>NC_000010.11:28760000-29385000 GCF_000001405.40 Homo sapiens | reverse complement strand
GACACACAGCCCTCCTGTGCAAATAACTCACAATCTTCCTGTGCCCAGGTATCACCAGACACCTGCAAGTTGGCTCACTGCAACCTTGGCGTTGTCAGTATCGCACACAGCCCTCTCCAGCACACAGCACAAGCACCATCCTATAAAATCCCCAGCAAGCCTCTGTCTGCTGGCTATCAGCTGCTCTTCTGCTGGCTGCCCGTTGCCTTCTTATCACATATTTTCATGCTTTTTTAAACAAATAAATCTGCCTTTCTTTATCTACAACTGTCTTGGTAAATTCTTTTACCCCCATGCCACCGGTCCAGATAGTTCTGGCTCGCCCACAACACTGGTCACTAGAAGAGCTGGGACCAGGGCCCTACTCCCATCACACTTGGCCCAGTGATTCTCCTTCTGAGACTCAAGACCTACTCTTTGGGGTGCAGTTCCAATCACTAGGACACTTTCCTTTGGTTGAGGAACACTGTCTCTGGAAACCACCTGGTAAAATGAGCAAGTGAAGCACTTTGCTCCCACGCTCACGTCAGCAGGGAGTGTGGCTCAGCACTCTGGCGGGCTGTACCCTCCCTCAAGGAGCAGAGACCAGGCTCAAAGGAGAATGTAGAGTGGGCAGAGCTGCTTCAGAAGGTGAGGGTCTCGGTCATCAGGGATGAGGTGGTCTGGAGTCTGCATCCCTGGGGATGAGGGCAGGACACCCACACGTGGAAGGGGTGGCCTCCCAGAGGAAAAGCAAGGCCCAGCATTTTCCTTAATGGTCACTAATGACCTCTGCACTGCTAGATCCAATGGCCATTCCTCCATCCTCATCGTGCCAGACTTCAGCAGCTAAGGCACGCTGATGGCCCCTCCTCTTTCATGCTCCTTCTCCCCTCAACTTCTGGATGCCACCTTCTCTTGGTTTTCCTCCTGCTCTCTGATCACCCTGCCTTCTCTGCTGGGTCATCTGTTGCACCTTAACCTCATAATGCCAAAATGTCTTCAGCCTCGTGAAAGGAAAATAAAATCCCGGGACTCCAAACTCACTATGCCAAAGGGAAAAGTGAAGCTTAGGAACTGAGTCATGAAAAAAAAAATCAACTTTTAACAACAACAACAAACAAATATAAAATAGCTGTAATTTCACATGCTTACTTTATCTTATGTAGAATGTAGATTTACTGAGCACAGATGAATGCATAATTGACCTCCCCTTTTCACATATAAAATGTGGATTCAGCATGTGCTAATCAAAACCTTATAAAAATGTAACCACTTGCCTCATTGCCTACCCTCCTTTTTTTTCTTTCCTCCTTCTCCTCCTGCCCGCTCTTTCCCCTTTAAACACTGAAGTTGTCAAAACCCTCTTTGGAAAAAGCGCAGGCCACAGATCCTCCTGTAACTTTTGTGTGTGTGTGTGTGTGTGTGTGTGTGTGTGTGTGTGTTTTCCTGGGCGCATCCTCAAGTGTGCAAAATAAACCTCTAAATGGATTGAGATTTGCAACAGTCACTTTTTGGTTTCCAGCCTCATCCCTTCCTTATCTCCCACACTCCCCGGAGGCCTCATCCTGTCCCTTGTCTTTAAACATCTGTTTATCTACACATAATAACCCCTATACGTCCATCGCCAGCCCTGAACTTTCTCCTAAACTGCACACGTTTGTCCAAGTCCCTCCTTGAGATGGTGGCTTGAATGTCTAGGAGACGTCATACTGACATGTCCAAATTTCTCCCAGATCTGCTCTGCCCACAGATTCCCCCATTCCAGGTGTTGGTGGCTCCATTGGTCTAGCTTCCTAGGCTGAACATCCGTGACTCCTCTTTCTCTCACACCACACATTTAATCCACCAGGAAATCCTGTTGGTTGTATCTTTAAAATACACCCAGAGTCAGACCACTTCTCACCACTTCCCTGCTGCCCCGGGTCACAGTGGCGTCATCATTTCCTGGCTGTGGCAGAACCTAGAACATTCCACCTGGTCTCCTGCTGTGACTCCTGCTTCTCCTAAGGGTTCTCTTCAAAACTGCGTCAGGACAATCCTTTCAGAGCAGCTCCCATGGCACTCCTTCTCTCTCTGAGCCCTGCAGTGCTGCCCTTTTCCTTCAGTGCAGAAGCTGGCATCCTTCCCTGGTGTGCCAACCCGGTCCCCTGAGATACAGATGCCCGGGGGGGATTCAGTGAGCGAGGCTTTTCTGAGAGCATCTTCCCATGAGAAGATATCAGGAAGGAGGGAGGAGGCTAAGGGAGGCATCAGGTTGGGATGCAGGTCAGATCTCCAATGCAGGAGAGAGAGGGAGAGTCAGGTGGGACGGTCCCAGGCTGCAGTGAAGCCTTAGGACGTAATCTCTGCAGAGCAGTCTGTGTCTCCCAGGAAAGGGCCTGCCTCATGGCCCCTCTGTGCTCTGCCGAACCTTTCCCATAAGACCCGTGCTAGCGCCATGCTGAATATTTCAATCTGCACCTCCTGCCCCTGCATTCCTAATGCCCCTTGACTGGCTCTTCCTTTCTTCTTCTTGTTATAGCACATCCTGCCTTCTAATGTGCTATACAATCTACTCATTTACTATGTCTGTTTTAATTGTCTGTGTCTCACCTCTGGCACATTAGCTGCATAAAGGCAAGGATCTTGATTTTGTTTATTAATATAGCCCAAGTAACCAGAACAGTGTCTGGAGCATACTACACACTCTATGAGTAAATATTTGTTGGATGAATGGATGTTGTTCTCATTTGGCTCTTCTGTATGTTAACCTAGCAGTTCTTTCTCAGCCTCACATTTTGAATTGGGATGCTTCGTACTGATGGGATAAATAGTGATAACTTTGGTTTATTTTATCGAGCCTCTACTGAGTGTCATTTGCTTACTTCACATGGACACACACTCATCTTCCTAACACCCCTCAAGGGAGATGTGGTCGGCAGCGTTGCATGGGCCTCTCCCGCGGTCCTTGGGATTGGTCTGTGTGGCCGTCAGAACACAGAAGTGAAGGTTTGTCACCGCCCAGGTTATGCTGCAAAAGCTATTGTGGCTTAATCCCTTGCTCTCTCTGGAATCACTCACTCTGGGGGAAGGAAGCCAGTTTCCACACCATGAGGATATTCAAGTGAGCTGTGGAGAAGCCCAGGAGGTGAGGATCGGGGGCTCCCTGTCTGCAGTCCTGTGAATGTACCATCGTGTAAGCAGATCCTCCAGCCCCAGTCATGCCTTCGAATAACTCTGGACTCAGCCTGCCCCTTCACTGCTGCCTCATGGAGGTCCTGGGCTGGAGCTAAGCTGTTCCCAGATTCCTACCCTGCAGAAAACTGTGTGAGGCTGCACGTGTTTATTGTTTTAAACTGCTAAGTTTTGGGTCATTTGTCAGGCAGCCATAGAAATTACATTCATTATTATTAGTACTATTATTCTTATTACTATTCATTTAATTTTAGAAATGACAAATCTGAAGTTCACAGAAACTAACCTGCCTGAGGTCACGCAGGTAAGAGGAGGCAGGGCAGGGTTGAACACCTCAGAGGGGCCGGAGCGCGCTAGGTCCCCCAAGCCACTTGAAGAGCAATTCTACATTCCATGTATACCCACGGTGATAGGCCATGGGAGAGGAGGAAAAGCCTATGTTCGTTAATTTCATCAGAAAGATGAGGCTTATTTGCAGAGAGCAGAGGCCGGGTCATTAGGTAAAAGGACCTCCAGCACAGCTTAAAAACCAAACCACACACTTGGTTTAATCCGAGTCCCTATCCTTGGGCTTGGAATGCCCAGCTATCCATCTCTGTAAAACGACATCAGGCAAAAAGAATTCAAAAGCTGCCCATCCCAATAAACCCATACCTCTACTCATTTGTAATAAAGCCAATCTTGCTTTTATTTCAACTTGGACAGAGTTGGGATCCAGGTTTGTGGCTGTGTTTGCTTGCAGTAACCAAGGATTTAAAATCTCAGTGATGCAATCTTTCCTGTTGCACCTCTCATTTCTAAATATGCCTCTATATGGCAAAGCAATTAAGTCATTTTGTTTCAGCTTCTGATTTTACTCTCTTGACTCCAACATTTTTGCAACGTTTATTTAATGGAATGAAAAATAAACCTCACCTGAATCACCTTTTAAATGAAAGAGTCGCTAACCCTTTGTGGTGCTTTATCTGCGCAGTGGGAGTGAGGGTAACGAGTAGCAGCAGGAGCTGGAAGGCCTCTTCCCTCCCTCCTCCCCAGGAGTCTGGGCTCTCAGCTGGAGGCCACTGTACCATGGCAACTTCCATTTCAATGACATTATTTCTAATAAATGACTGCCCGAGGGTTTATGGGGTGTTTCTGGCCCCAGCTCAGCGTAACCAGCAGGAGTTGGGGGCGGGTCGATTTCCTGTCCCCTCACCCAGTGGTTTCTGCTTCACCATGGAAGATCACAAGAGTATTTGATGTTGGTTCTTGGAACAGAAATCAGTTAATTAAAGTCGGTGAGTGTTTGAGCAAATTGAATGCAAGCCGCACATTGTTGGCAGAGCACGGGTACCAGAAAGGCAGGCAGAAGTCGGCCCCCAGAGAGCACAGATACAGGAAGCCCCTCTCTTCAGTCAGTCCCCCAGTTCATCAGTAATGAGAGCAAACGCAACAGGAGAGACAGAAACACAGCAACAAGCCATCTTTTCCTTCCGGCCAAACCTCCCTGACTCTCCTGGCGACTCATCTCTCAACCTGAAAGGCTCATCGCGGAGCCCAGATGACTGGTTTGATTTTTGCTCGTTCTCTTTCTGCACCAAAAGGTAGAGAGAGATTGAGAGAGGGAGAGAGAGAGAACAGAAAAGAGAGCAGGGGGTCTGAATAATCTTTAAAGTAGGTAATTATCAACACTCATCAAGAAACTTTATCATTGTCCCAAGAATGAAGGTGTTAATGATGTTTGAGTTGGGGGAATGTGGTCACCAAGTTTTGTCTTTTTGAGAGCCTCTTCTTTTGGAGGTCTGGCCTCCCTAATGGACTGACCTCTGTGTGCTACCAAGCCGAGGATGCATCTGGAAGAACCGGCCCCCGGCTACTTGTTAGATCATAGGAGGGAAATGGAAATTGCTCTCTGCTCATCAGTGTCACTCAGTCCGAAGACGTTTTATTAAGTGCCCCTGGGACTTAAAGTAGCCATTCTTCTAGATGCAGAGCAATCAAGATACCTTTTCATCAAGGAAATGAATGAGGTTAGCACTCACCTTCCATTGCTAGGGCACAGAAGAAGCGTGCCAAGGCCTTCTTGAGCTCATTTATGACATTCATGAATAAGAAAATTGTATCTTTCTGTGTTGAGTGCTATAGTGTCTTGGGAGGATCATAGTCAAAACATTCCTTATTAGAAAGGGCCTCTTAAACACAGCCGAGGCCTTCATAAAAAGTAATGTGAATATGTTTCCTGCAATTTGCAAGATGTATTTCAACATGTGTATAGACTGTTTATTTAATTTTCTGCATGCCTGAATATCTTCACTTGCATACAAATTCTCTATTGTAATTGGCCAGGGAGGCTGATTATAAACAATTTATAAGTCCAAGTGTTAACCACGTGTTTGGCACAGAGCTATGCCAGGACCACATTACCCAGTGCTCGAGAATGGAAATACCGACAGGCTGGATCTGAAGACTCAACTGTGGCATATATGGATGGTGGATCTCAAGGGCCAGCCTCTAGATTCACATGCAGAGGGAGACATGCCATTTACACAGTTAACCACACACCAACTATTTTGAGTGGGTTGCTTTGCATTTTACCACATGCATGCATTTAGTGACGTGAGATATTGTAATGTTGGCTTTCATTTCAAAGACAGTTATTTAAACATACTTAACCTGTATAATTCTTCCCTTTGCTGTTTAGATAGCTGAAAGATTGAAATTTGGAAATGGAATTTTCTTAGAGCTAGGAGAGATCTTACACACGATTCACCATTTTACTCTGTATGTTTTTCTAGGTGAGGTGCCTGAGGATGAGAGGGGGCAGGAAACCACCCAAGAGCACACAGCTTGTTTGGGACAAGGAGAAAAGTGGTGGGATGGGGTGTCAGCCCTTCTCATGTGTTCTAATCATCAGCCTGTCCTTCACTATTGGCTCCTTCCCTCCATCTGTAAATGCCATCAGATCCCTTTCTCCCAATGCAAATAAGTAAATAAGTAAACAGCCAAACACCAACCAAGCCCCCCAACCGACTCCCCCCTACCCTCAGTGCTCCTCTAGTAACTATCCTGACTCTCCTCTTCTCATCCACATTTTTTAAAAAGCAGCCGATATTGGGCTGTCTTCACATGCACTCTGTCCCCAGGCCACTCTCAGTGGGCCTCTTCCTGCTCCAAATCCAATGGGCTTTCTTCTCTCTTCTAGGGGACACTCGTCCTTTGTCCCTTCATACCCCCCGGTTTCTTTGACACCACCCTGCCCTGCTTCTGCCTGCGGCTCTCGGAACCCTCCTTCTGTCCTCCGCGAGCCTGTCTCCTCGCTGGCATGCCCACGTTCTGCAGGATTCTGTACCCGCTCATAGCCCCTCCCACTTTATGCTCTGTCCTGGGCCATGCTTTTCAAGCTCACGATCAACTACAGACAAAGTATGAT
Organism: Homo sapiens; assembly: GCF_000001405.40. Taxonomy (NCBI): domain Eukaryota; kingdom Metazoa; phylum Chordata; class Mammalia; order Primates; family Hominidae; genus Homo; species Homo sapiens. The sequence continues at coordinate 29,378,435 of NC_000010.11, read as the reverse complement.
GTCTCCCTGATTCTGAATGTCAATTCTGAGCTTCAAATCTAAATAGTCAACAGCTGGTTGGACATCTCCACCCGGAAGTACTACAGGAACTTCAAACTTAACGCATCCACAGTGGAATTCATGACCGGCCCAGGCACTGCATTTTCTTCATTTTTGTGTATCCAGCACCTAGCAGACAGCAGGCACTCAGGAATTGTTGGCTGAGTAAGCATCTTACTTGGAAGGCAGAGGGGCGGAAATGTTTGAGAATTATAGGAGTAGGTAAAAGTCCCAAAGTGATGCAAGGAATGTAGGTTGGAGTGTTCATCGAAACTGCGTTTCCTAGAAGTCATTATATGAAAAGGACACCACACGCGTATGTTTACCGCAGCACAATTCACAATTGCAGAGATGTGGAACCAACCTAAGTGCCCATCAACCAATGAGTGGGTAAGGAAAACGTGGTATATATACACCATGGAATACTACTCAGCCATTAAAATGGAGGAAATAATGTCTTTTGCAGCAACTTGGATGGAGCTGGAGGCCATTATTCTTCAGGAGTGGAAAACCAAAACCACATGTTCTCACTTATAAGTGGGAGCTAAGCTACAAGTATGCAAAGGCATACAGTGTGATATCATCGACTTTAGAGATGCAGAAAGGGGAAGAGCGCTAGGGATAAAAAACTACACATCAGGTACAATGTACACTATTCGGGTGCACTAGAATCTTGGAGTTCACCACTATATAATTCATGTTACAAAAGACACCCCAAAAACTATTGAAATAAAAAACAATTTTTAAAGAAAGAAACTGTTTCCTGATACACTCAAATAAAAGATTAAAATGCCAGGTCTTTGAAAATGAATGCTTCATGATTGGCCATTGTTTTCTAGCACCACCTAGTGGATATCCTGAGTCAGCCAGCGTGCCTTCTTTTTTTATTATTATTTTTTTATTTTTTGAGAAAGACTGTCACTCTGTTTCCCAGGCTGGAGTACAGCTGTGTGATCTTGGCTCACTGCAAACTCTGCCTCCCAGGCTCAAGCAATTCTCCTGCCTCAGTCTCTTGAGTAGCTGAGACTACAGGCGCGCGCCACGACGCCCGGCTATAGTTTTGTATTTTTAGTAGACACGGGGTTTCACCATGTTAACCAGGCTAGTCTCGAACTCCTGACCTCAGGTGATTCGCCGGCCACAGCCTCCCAAAGTGCTGGGATTACAGGGGTGAACCACCGAGTCCGGCTTTTTTTTTTTTTTTTTTTTTTTTGAGACAGGATCTCCCTGTGTTGCCCAGACTGGAGTACAGTGGTGCCATCTTGGCTCAACGCAACCTCTGCCTTCTGGGCTCAAGCGATCCTCCCACCTCAGCCTTCCTAGTAACTGGGACCACAGTCGCGAGCCACCATGCCGAGCTAATTTTTTTTTTTTGTATTTTTTGTAGACACTTGGTTTCGCCATATTGCCCAGGCTGGTCTCAAACTCCTGGACTCAAGCCGTCCACCTGCCTCAGTCTCCCAAAGTGTTGGAATTACAGGTGTGAGCCACTGTGCATGGCCATCTTCATCTTTTAATTAAAAATGATATCTCAATTAACGATTTGCACTGTAATAGCACCTACCAAACCTACTAATTTTACATACATTACCTCATCTCATCTCCAAAACAAGGCACTCATTATTCTCCCCATTTTACAGGTTAGAAAACAAAACTTTAGAAGGTTGAGGAACTTGCCTTTCTCATAATTGTTTCCAACACTAAGCCTTCGCCATTCTGCCATAGAACTTTGCACTTTTATTCTACTGTTTTATTTCGTTGTTGCTATTTTACGTTATCTTTTAAAGAACACTAGTAGTTAGTTTATAGGGCTCCTAGACTATGTATGAGATATCAGAGTTGCAAAAATTCATTATAGATATAGCATTAGGCCAGGCGCAGTGTCCCATGCCTGTAATCCCAGCACTTTGGGAGGCCGAGGAAGGAGGATTGCTTGAGCTCAGGAGTTCAAGACCAGCCTGGGCAACATAGTGAGACCCCATCTCTACTATATATATATATATATATATATACATATATGTATACACAATGTGTATATATAGTGTATATATATGCAATGTATATATAGTATATATACAATATATATACTATATATGAAAACTATTTTTTAGACAAAATATTTTTTCTAATAATATTTTAGAAAAAATTTTTCTTTTCTAAAGGAAAATTCTAAAATTTTCTTTTTCTAAGAGAAAAATGTATATAAACATAGAAACAGTATCAACAATAACAACAAAAACAAAGCACATGCTGCCTCCAGGCATTGTTACAGCTTCCTAGGTATCATCTCACTTAATCCTTGCTTCCTATATATCATCTCACTTAATTCCCGTGACCACTCCGTGAATAAGATATTCTTATTATCCCTATTTTGTTTTCCCAAGGACACCAGCTAGTAGTGGATCCTAAATACAACCAGGCAGTCTGACTCCAGAGTCAAGATCTTAACTCATATCAGAGCAAACAGCATCGGGAAGACACTGGAAGGGTCAAACGTACCTTGACACTTGTTCACTCATTTGATTTCCATGATAACAGAGATTTAAATATTTGGTCTACATCTAATGCACCCTTTTCAGTGCCAGGTATGGTGGCTTTCCAAAAGCAAAATTTCAGAGTCCACTTATTGAATGAATGATCTGTATTAAGAGAACATTGGATGATGATGGCTTAATGTGTCCATCATTGCATATAGCTTATTTCCTTTTTATTAAGAACTTACTGGAGGCCAGGCACTGTGGCTCATGCCTGTAATCCCAGGAAGACCAAAGTGAGTGGGTTGCTTGAGCTCAGGTGTTCAACACTAGCGAAACCCTGCAGGTACAAAAAATAAAAAATTAGCCAGGCATGGGAGTGTGACCTGTAGACCCAGCTACTAGGAGGGCTGAGGTGGGAGGATCACCTGAGCCCATGGAGGCTGAGGCTGCAGTGAACTGTGATCACACCACTGCACTTTAGCCTGGGCTAAAGTGAGACTTTGTCACACACACACACACACACACACACACACACACACACACAAAGAAAAAGAAAAAGAAAAGAAAAGAAGTTTCTGGAAACAAAATTTCTTCATTTAAAGGTGGTGATGTGTTAGAGAAAAGCACTCTTCTGTACCTTGGATGGACCTGGGGGTGGGGAGGTCTGTCCCCAGGGGACAACTTGGGATGTCCTCACATCTGCCCACAGTGGCCCATTTATTTATTTTTATGTTGAATATGGGCACAGTGCCACACCCCTATTGGGCTTCTGTTTCAGCCACTGAACTTAGTTTTGGGTGGCCTTTGGGCTTGGTTCTTGTGTTGAATTATTAACCCTGATTTGACACCCCTGCCATTCATACTGTAAGGTTTGGGTTTTGTGCAAAGGGCTTGCCCGCCTCCTGAGACCACATGACTACAAGCCAGGAATGCTTCCCTGGCCACTTCTGGATAATTGTTTTCTGCTGTACTTGGATTTGCTCTTATATTTAGCTATAAAGCAAGACAGTTTCCGTCAGAAACTCTACTTTTCCACAACTCCATATAAAGGGAAAACCTCAAAAAGAAAAAAAAGGGTATTTTTGGTGAAAGTTTTCCTTTATGACAGGGTCAATTGTGAAATAACTTATATGAAGGGGACTCCGATAATTGGTTGATCAACCTGTGAAACAAAACTTTGGGTGCAAATTTTAAATTTTTAGGCTAAAAAATTATTTTTAAAGCATATACTTGAATGCTTTCACTCATACATTGGCTAACCTATGAATTTCCCTCCCACCTTACCACCCGCAACTCAAAGAGGTTTATACTTTATATATATATATATATATATATATTCTGTATTTTTTTTCCTAGGAGTTATCCCCAGTTTCCCTCACCACAGATGCAATTTCCAGAGCCAATACTTAGATATAATTTGAATGTGTCTCATTTGATTCATTTACATTTTCTAAATGAGGCCCACGTACCTTCTTCTGTCACTCTCCCAGGCTTACAGCTGCAGGCTTCTTTGGCCTCCCATGGCAGCGGCGCAGCCGAATGGATGGGGCGTGTCTCTGGAATGTGTGTCCTTGCATAGCGTTTATATCAGAAAGAGCTCCTGAGAAGATCCAAAAATGTTTTTATCTCTTACTTCCCTGACAGGTAAAGATCTCTTTTTTGTAATTATCTTTAAAAAATGTATGAATGGCTGGGCACGGTGGCTTATGCCTGTAACCCCAGCACTTTGGGAGGCCAAGGTGGGCAGACCACTTGAGGTCAGGAGTTTGAGACCAGCCTGGCCAACATGGCAAAACCCCATCTCTACTAAAAATACCAAAATTAGCCTGGTGTGGCGGGGTGCACCTGCAATCCCAGCTACTTGGGAGTCTGAGACAGGAGAATTGCTTGAACCTGGGAGGCGGAGGTTGTAGTGAGCCAAGATGGTGCCATTGCACTCCAGCCTGGGTGACAGAGTGAGACTTTGTCAAACACAAAAAAATGTATGAATGATAAAAACAGAAATACTTAGAGGGATGGGAGTTTAAAGCTCAATGTCGTTCTGGTTTTTGATAGTAAATATATATATATTTACTATATATTTGTTATATGTGCTATAATACTATACTATAATATACTATTGCATTTATTATATACAGTAAATTTTTATATATTTGCTGTATATTTACTATATATAGTAAATACATATATATGAAATACATAAAATTTATTATATATAGTAAATATACATATACACACACACACATACACACACACATACATGTATATATATATATATATATTTTAGAGACAGGGTCTTCCTCTGTCACCCAGGCTGGAGTGCAGTGGTGTAATCACGGCCCACTGCAGTCTTGACCTCCTGGGCTCAAGCCATCCTCCCACCTCAGCCTCCCTAGAACCCGGGACTACAAGTGTGCCCCACCACACCCAGCTAATTTTTTGATTTTTTATAGAGTGGGGTCTTGTTATATTGCACAGGCTGGTCTTCAACTCCTGGGCTCAAGGGATCCTCCTACCTTTGCCTCCCAAAGTGCTGGGATTACAGGTGTGAGCCACCTCACCCAGTCCCTAAATATTCATTACAGTAAGAATTAGTCAAGAGAAGAACATTGTTATGGACTAAATTGTATCCCTTCAAAAATCCATAGGTTGAAGCCCCACCCCAATGTGGCTATTTGGAGATGAGGCCTTTGGGAGATAATTGGGGTTGGATGAGGTCATGAAGGTGGAACCCTCGTGATGGGATAATGGCTTGATAAGAAGAGGAAGAGGGAGAGGTCGCTGTCCCTTTCCGCCATGTAAGCACACAGCAGGAAAGCGACTGTCTACAAGCCAGGAAGAGGGCCCTTATCAGGAACCAAATCGGCCACCACTGTGATCTGGGACTTTGCAGCCTTCAGAACTATGGAAATAAATGCCTGTTGCTTAACCCACTCAGTCTATGGTGTTTTGTTATGGCAGCCTGAGCAGACTAATGATGAAGACAAATATGATTAAGATTAAATATGATTAAAAAGAGGGTTATTAATTACTTTTTTCTGTGATTTTAAACATGTGAGATAAAAATAACATTTTGGCTTTTTGAAAAATAATGAGATTTTTTCCCCCACTGTCTTCTTTTTTTTTTTTTTTTTTTTTTTTTGAGACGGAGTCTCGCTGTCGCCCAGGCTGGAGTGCAGTGGCGCAATCTCGGCTCACTGCAGCCTCCGCCCCCTGGGGTTCACGCCATTCTCCTGCCTCAGCCTCCCGAGTAGCTGGGACTACAGGCGCCCGCCACCTCGCCCGGCTAATTTTTTGTATTTTTAGTAGAGACGGGGTTTCACCGTGTTAGCCAGGATGGTCTCGATCTCCTGACCTCGTGATCCGCCCGCCTCGGCCTCCCAAAGTGCTGGGATTACAGGCGTGAGCCACCGCGCCCGGCCCACTGTCTTCTAATGATGAGGCAAAATGTCTTGCATTTCTACTAAGTCTTAGTTTGATTCGATAGAAACCTTCCATCATACCCGTGCTAATGGCAAACTGCAGTCTATCAATAAGGCAGGGCATGTTATAAGACAGGAAATAAGTAAGTAACAGAAGGTGAGAAAAACTGCCTTTGCTCCCCACTGAATCTCTAGCACCCAGATAAAGCAGAGTAACACGGTGGAAACTCAGGAACTATTTTATGAATGAGTGGATATAATTAAAGAATGAAAGCCCAGTGCGGATGATGGAAAGAACATGGGCTTGGGAACCAGAAACATTTGGGTCAAAGTCTGGCTCTTCCATGGAATTACAGTTACCTGACCCTGGGCAATGCAAGGAATTTTGTTTAGCCTCAATTTCCTCCACAGAAGGAAGATCATAATGCCAACATTGTAAGGTTGTTGGGAAGATCCAAGACAGTAGACATAAATTGTGCTGCAAGAGCCCAGATGCATGTAATACCCTCAATACTATTACATGTCTTGTTTCAAAAGAAGGAGAGCTGAAATTGGCAGAAAAACTTTCATGGAAGGGGCAGGGTTTGAGCAGGACTTTAAAGAAATAAAGAGAAATAGCGAGATGATGTCTATTATACACCATTATACACCATTAGAGAGATAAGTCACAGAATAATATGTCCATAGTATGATCCCAGCAATAGTTTTTTTAAAAACCCTATCACTATGGGCATGCACATAAACATACCTACATTTCTGATTGCACTGGCAAACCATCAGTGATAATTTAACTGTGGCTAATGGCAAGGGGTTAAGAAAAGAAATTAAGGTTTTTCAGTTTTATCTTCAGTTTTATTTCCTATATTATATTGCATAAATCTTTTCAAATAAGCATGGCTTACTTTTGTAAAATAATGCAAAAGAACAACTTACAAGAGGAAGGAGTGGGGTTCAGCTACATGGGAATGAAGAGGGGGCTCCAGTGAGAGGCATAAATTAAAGATCTACTGCAAAATATGTTATCTTACATCAGCAAGAATGTCCCAGTACACATAAAATCAGAAATGTTTCCCTGATTCTCAATCCTGTCTTTTTTCTCCCAAAATCAGTTAAAGGGAATTTCCCAAACTTCCTTTTCTCTGGACTTGTAGTTTAAATTGGTATAAATCTTATACCCTGAGATATCTCCTTGAATTGTGAGCGTCACCTCAAATACTTTATCTACAAAACAGAAGAGGGCAAAATTGTTTGGATATGTGGTTCCTGGTATTTCTTCTTCTACCTCCTCACCCTGGCCAATGAATCACTGGGGAAGGAAGGAAGGAACAGTGTCTTCTTCCCTGGGCAACACAGGCAGGACACAGAAAGCATGACATCCTTGGTCCTGTCAAGAGACTTTCTGCAATTTCCCAAACACTAACAAGTCTTCTTTCAGAAACTCAGAGAGTGCCCTGTGTACTTTACCAGCTTTTATCTATGAATCTCAACAACATTAGCTCATTCACCCTTAAAGCTCGCAGGAGACCTGTGTAGAGCCACATAGCAATTACCCCTGGGGCTGGGGAGTGAGTTGGCATGAAAAAGGGATGGAACCCAGACCTCCTAATGGTGGGTGAAAATCTCTCCTGTTCCTCCTCCCTGCCTTCCACCCCTGTGCTGAATAGGGGGTGATGTCACATTCCACTGCATGAAGCTAAGGCTTTTATGTCCCTTTAATATGTTGGTTTTCCTTTGGGTTTCCAATCTGCCTATTCCGTGAAAATACTCCCCTGGTAACGATCTGTCATCATCAGTAATCATAACTTGTAACATCGTGTGGAAGTGAGCTGGACATCAGTCAGAGCTGTCTCCTGGCAGCTTTGGGAGCGGCAGAGCCCTGATGTGTTAGTTTTGAACCAAGAATATGCTGTAATGTGAATGTAATGCTATTTCTGGAATATATACATCTCCAGGGACCCAGGGGGTGTACAGAGGGTAGACGAGCTTATTTTATTGGAATGTCAATCTATTTCATTTTTTATCACACTTGGCATTTCTCTGAGCTAATTTCCTCCACAAAGTGGGGAACTGCTGTGACTTATGTGGACAAGGGGCTCCTAAACCTTGGCTTGCCCAGCCCACAGAACCTCTCCGGAGCCTGCCATGCCTGCCCGGGCTTAACGCGTTAGGTTTGGCATCAAAGCTGCAAACATTCGGATGACGTGGAAAGCAAATGTTTTTGCTTCTGCAGAAGAGGTGTAAATCCTTGGTCTGATCTGGTTTCACTGGGAAATGTTCTCTTGCATACGTTTTCTTTCTGGTAGCTCCCTCTTCGTAACTGAGCCAGTCATTTCATACACAGTAGTTGCATATCTACTTGCCGCAATCGAAAACAATTTCCGAAAAATAAATGGATGCATGTCAGGGGTTCCTGGGAGAGTGAGAGAGTCCAGACTTGGCAGGCTATGAAACAGAGAGATGCCCACACTCTCTTTCCTCACCATGCCCCCAATGCCCAGATCATTCCCACTTCCATGCACTATCTCAAGCCTCATCACCATCTGTAAGGCATGCCCTCATTTCCTTCATCAAAGGTGGGGAAACTGAGGCTTGTAGAAGCAAAATACCAAAGCCACAGGGCTGAAAAGAGGCTGCATCATTCTGGCTCCAGCCATGAGCTCAAATGTCCTACAGATCCGATGTGGGCACCCCTCGTTGCTCCAGCCACTCATGAGAGGAAAAGCTATCCCATTCCTAAAACACATGATTAATAATGAAGACCCTTAGCGTCTAGTACTTGCTAACCACCAACATACTCAGTGATGTGGGCTCCATAACAATCATGATATTTTTATTACAGCTAACAGTAATTGAGGGCTTACTACGTCCCAGGCACTGTTAAGTACATTGCAGGGATTACCATATTCATTTACACAGCAGCTGCATGAAGTAGATATTAGTACTAGACTCGTTTTACAGATCACAAAACTGAAGTGTAGATTTGTTAAAGCACTTTCCCAAGGTCAAGGGTAGCACACAGCAGCCAGGCATAACTTCTCCCTCTTTTCGCTCATCTCTTGGTGGAAGAGTTTTGCTAGATAATTTCTTACAATGTCCTCTGACTTTTTCGAATATTCTGACTTGTTATCCTTGGCTTTGTTAATATTGATCTGGTTATTTTTTTTTTTTACTCCCTCTAATTAATCATATGTCTTTTCATATTGTTTGTGTTGAGGGAAACATGTTGTAAGATCACTGAGGCCAGGGTGTGTCACTAACCTGGCACGCTATCTGAAGCAGAATACAGATAATATTAACTGTGAATTAGAAATGGAAAGTGGTAGGTAGATACGAACATCAAGGGAAATAAAAATGGCTAAGAGTTTTAAGCTTATCTCTAGTATTTCTTTCTTTTAATGAAAGCTGCTAATAAATATTCCCAATTGACAGGATTGAGTTTTTTTTTTTTTTTCTTGCTTGCCATCTGGGGAAAGGATACACATAAAAAGTGAAATGGCAAAAGAAGATAGACCAGGAGAGGAACAGAATATGAAATAAGAACAAGGAACAGGGGGCAGTGGTTCATGCCTGTAATCCTAGCACTTTGGAAGGTGGAGGCGGGTGGATCACCTGAGGTCAGGAGTTCGACATCAGCCTGGCCAACCTGGTGAAATCCCATCTCCACTAAAAATACAAAAATTAGCTGGGCGTGGTGGCACATGCCTGTAATCCCAGCTACTTGGGAGGCTGAGGCAGGTGAATCGCCTGAACCCAGGAGGTGGAGGTTGCAGTGAGCCGAGATTGCGCCACTGCCCTCCAGCCTGGGCAACAGAGCGAGACTCTGTCTCAAAAGCAAAGCAAAACAAAACAAAAAACAAAAAGAACAAGGATGTGACATTTGCAGAAAACGTTCTGCTGCTTACAGTTATATATATTTTTAGAAATTTCTTTCTTTTGGGGAGAGGGAAATGTGTATGGAGAAAGGTTTAAAAGAGATATTAAATGAAAAGGCACCGAATTGAATCAAGAAGGTACAAAGAGTTAAGCCACGAGGATCATGGGGACAGGATCCTCGTGTATGGGGTGTTCTGAGATTCACACCTTTCCTAAGGGTACGGCTGGGCCCTGCAGTGGCTGCGGTGGCTGTCAACTTCAATGTGCACTGTTCCCTCCTATGAAGCCATATCTGGTGATAACATCAATGTGCCAGACTTCTCTACTTATATCACTTGTTTGATGAGTTTCCATTTTTCTCCACTCTTGTCTGTAAATGCTTGACCTGTTGGAAGAAAAAAAAGATGCAAGCTTTATTTTCTGTGTATATGCAAACCTGCCCTCATAAACAGTTTTCAACCACAGTCAACGAAGCATCTGAATCAAGCTGATTTTCAATTACATGCACCAATTTGTTCCTGTGCTTTACTTTTTGTCTTATATGTACATCTCTAAGACTTCGTGAAATTTTTTGAAGTCCAGGGTTATACTGTATCAAGAACTTTTAAAATTAAGAATGCATTATTTCACTGATTTTCACAATCCCCTTCGGTGATGATATCCTTGGAATATTTCACTGAATTTCTAATTTCAAAGTGATTGTAACAGGAGCTGGAGGAGAGAAGCAGAACATAGTGAAACCATTCATGGAATGTAATTTCTATTCCACTCATGTTAGGGAAGCCGAAGTCTAGGAGAGCCACGGTAACGCCATTTTAGGTTCAGCTCTGTCTTGAGACCAACAGGTAACCACATTCATTGTTACCCACTACCCATAGTCTTAAGATGCTTACGGTTAAAAGGAAACAGCTTAAACATACGTACAAGGACACACTTCTGCAACAGTAGTGTGTCCGGAATTGGTGGGTTCTTGGTCTCACTGACTTGAAGAATGAAGCCGCAGACCCTCACAGTGAGTGTTACAGCTCTTAAGGTGGCGCGTCTGGAGTCTGTCCCTTCTGATGTTCAGATGTGTTGGGAGTTTCTTCCTTCTGGTGGGTTCGTGGTCTCTCTGGCTCAGGAGTGAAGCTGCAGACCTTCGCGGTGAGTGTTACACCTCTTAAGGTAGCGCGTCTGGCGTTGTTCGTTCCTCCTGGTGGGCTCGGGGTCTTGCTGGGCTCAGGAGTGAAGCTGCAGATCTTCGTGGTGAGTGTTACAGCTCATAAAAGCAGCGTGGACCCAAAGAGTGAGCAGTAGCAAGATTCATTGCAAAGAGCGAAAAAACAAAGCTTCCACAGTGTGGAAGGGGACCCCAGCGGGTTGCCAATGCTGGCTCAGGCAGCCTGCTTTTCTTCTCTTATCTGGCCCCACCCACATCCTGCTGATTGGTAGAGCCCAGTGGTCTGTTTTGACAGGGCGCTGATTGGTGCATTTACAATCCCTGAGCTAGATACAAATGTTCTCCACGTCCCCATCAGATTAGTTAGATACGGAGTTTCGACACACACGTTCTCCAAGGCCCCACCAGAGCAGCTAGATACAGAGTGTCGATTGGTGCATTCACAAACCTTGAGCTAAACACAGGGTGCTGATTGGTGTGTTTACAAACCTTGAGCTAGATACAGAGTGCTGATTGGTGTATTTACAATCCCTGAGCTAGACATAAAGGTTCTCCAAGGCCCCACTAGAGCAGCTAGATGCAGAGTGTCGATTGGTGCATTCACAAACCTTGAGCTAAACACAGGGTGCTGATTGCTGTGTTTACAAACCTTGAGCTAGATACAGAGTGCCCACCGGTGTATTTACAATCCCTGAGCTAGACACAAAGGCTCTCCAAGGCCCCACCAGAGCAGCTAGATACAGAGTGTCGATTGGTGCACTCACAAACCTTGAGCTAAACACAGGGTGCTGATTGGTGTATTTACAATCCCTGAGCTAGACATAAAGGCTCTCCACGTCCCCACCAGCGGATCCCACACCAGGGCTGCAGGTGGAGCTGCCTGCCAGGCCTGCGCCGTGCGCTCGCATTCCTCAGCCCTTGGGTGGTCGATGGGACTGGGCGCTGTGGAGTAGGGGGTGGTGCTTGTTGGGGAGGCTCCGGCGGCACAGGAGCCCATGGAGTGGGTGGGAGGCTCAGGCATGGCGGGCTGCAGGTCCCCAGCCCTGCCCCGCGGGAAGGCAGCTAAGGCCCGGGCAGAAATCGAGCGCAGCACCGGTGGGCTGGCACTGCTGGGGGACCCAGTACACCCTCCGCAGCCACTGGCCCAGGTGCTAAGTCCCTCATTTCCCGGGGCCAGCAGGGCTGGCCGGCTGCTCCGAGTGCACGCCCACCCGGAACTCCAGCTGGCCCGCAAGCGCGGCACGCAGCCCCGGTTCCCGCTCGCGCCTCTCCCTCCACACCTCCCTGCAAGCTGAGGGAGTGGGCTCCAGCCTTGGCCAGCCCAGAAAGGGGCTCCCACAGTGCAGCGGCGGGCCGAAGGGCTCCTCAAGTGCCACCAAAGTGGGAGCCCAGGCAGAGGAGGCGCAGAGAGTGAGAGAGGGCTGTGAGGACTGCCAGCACGTTGTCACCTCTCAGTAGAAAGTCCAGATGTCCCAATACTAATAACAATATGTTTTCAAGATTAATTACTTGATGCTTTAGAGTACACACACACTAAAATGTCAAAGTTTTCTTTAAATCAACAGAATAATACACTTTGTCATGCTGTCTACCTACCTACACATAGATACAGCTTAGCTTAGCTTCTACATAGTCAAAACCCCTAGATAAGAAAAAAGATGAGGTGCGCCTCCGCTTGCCTTCTGAGGATGCCCTACTCTGCATCACAGTAGCTTTCAATAAACGATCTCTTTTCACTGCTCTCTGTGACTCTCCTCGAATTCCTTCCTACACGAGATCCAAGAACACTTTCTAGGGGCAGACCCAAGAAAGACCCCTTTTTTCGAGGAAATGGTCATGTGTCACTTAAAGGAGGGGGAAATTCATCGTTAGGTGATTTTGTCATTTGCAAACACCCTACAATGTACCTACAAAAACCTAGAGGTGGCCGGGCGCGGTGGCTCACGCCTGTAATCCCAGCACTTTGGGAGGCCGAGGTGGGTGGATCACAAGGTCAGAAGATCTAGACCATCCTGGCTAACATGGTGAAACTCAGTCTTTACTAAAAATACAAAAAATTAGCAGGGCGTGGTGGCGGGCGCCTGAAGTCCCAGCTACTCGGGAGGCTGAGGCAGGAGAATGGTGTGAACCTGGGAGGCGGAGCTTGCAGTGAGCCGAGATCGCACCGCTGCACTCCAGCCTGGGCGACAGAAAGAGACTCCGTCTCAAAAAACAAAACAAAACAAAACAAAGCTAAACTAAACCCTAGAGGCACAGCCGCCTACACATTCAGGCTCTATGGTGTAGCCTATTGCTTTTAGTCTATAAACCTGCACAGCATGTACTGTACTGAATACTGCGGGCAACTGGAACACAATGGTAAGTATCTGTCTATCTAACCATATCACTTTTTCACTTCGTGAAAAAAAAAGTTATAAAAAATTTTATGCAAAAAATGTTGCATAATTTAAAAGAATAAGGCCTCCTGAGTACTACTGAAGAAACAGTTTATGTGCAAGGTGTATAAAAAAGTAAAATATACCTTTAATAAAAAGATTATAAGGAGGCATAAGAATGTGGATTTTTACCTACATTAAAAGGTTAAGAAAATTATTGTTTTAAAAGTTTAAGCAAGTTTTAAAAGGTTAATTGTAAAGAAAATTCTGTGTGTAAACATATTAGCTAAAGTTAAAAAGGTATCATCCAGTTTCTCTGTGAACTGGACATGAAAGTAAAAATGCAACAGGTTTTTTTTCTTAAAGCATCAACCTGCTCTTTAACAAAAATTATAAAAGGTTAAAAAGAGTCTATAAAATCTTACCTTATGGTCAAATATAAAAAATTGGATAAATATGTCTACAAGGTTTTATTAAAATTAAGTTTAATATTAATAACACACTAATATAATGGTAAAATTTAGCTTATCTGGTATAAAAATCATACAAGAAACATTATTAAATATAAAATGGTGTTTAGCTTTCTTTGGTCTAAAAACTAATAAAAATTGGTACAAAAGAAAACATTCATTTTACTAGAGGATCATAAAAGTTAAAGACTTAAAACAAACTTTGGCAATTAAGACAGCATACCAAGATGCAAATGCCTAGTTGAAATGGATCAAATATTCCATCTGCACATTAAACAAAAGCAATTGTTATGCTTGTGCACATGGCAGGCCAGAGGCCCTTATTGTCCCCCTTCCACTAAGGTGGTCCTCCAGTCCACCAGGCGTGGGCTGCATAGTAGCTCTTTTGCAGGATTCTACAGCCTGGAGTAACAAGTCATGCCAAGCTCTCTCTGCTATATCCCGAAGTCTGGCACCCTGCGGGTCAGCCCCCGAGGGCCGTCCAGCTTCCGTCTCCCAACACTAAGTTCACTTCGTGTCTCTCACGGTAGGGAGGAGACTTAGATTCCTTGGAGACCTGAAGGGATGCAGTGAGCTTAAGAATTTTCAAGAGCTTATCAGTCAGCCCTTGTTCATCCCCGAGTGGATGTGTGGTGGTATTGTGGTGGACCTTTACTGGGCACTCTGCTGAATAACTAGAGTGGCACTTGTGCTTTAGTCCATTTGGCTATCCCTTTCACCCTGGCATTTCATCAATCAGAGGAAGGAAAAAAATAATAAAAATAATAAGACATAGTAAAGCGAGAGAAGCCCCTTATGGGTCTTTCAACTCTCACATCTATTTAGATGCAATTGAAGCCCCGCAAGGAATACCAGATCAATTTAAAGCTTAAAATCAAATAGTTAGAAGATTTAAGTCAATATTTTGGTAGATGACAGTCAATAAAAATGTAGATTAGATAAACTACATCTATTACAACCAACAGCAACAAGCTTTTCATGAGTTTAAAAAAAAAAAACAAACTCATGTCGGCCCCAGCCCTGAGGCTACCTGACCTGACAAAACTCTTTACACTCTATGTGTCAGAAAGAAAACAAATGGCAGTTAGAGTTAACCTAGACTGCAGGGCCCTGGCCAAGGCCAGTGGCCTATCTCTCAAAACAACTAGACAGGGTTTCCAAAGGCTGGCCCCCATGTCCAAGGGCCCTGGCAGCAATGGCCCTGTTAGCACAAGAAGCAAATAAGCTAACTCTTAGGCAAAACCTAAACATAAAGTCTCCCCATGCTGTGGTGATTTTAATAAATACCAAAGGACATCATTAGCTAATAAATGCTAGACTAACTAGATACCAAAGCTTGCTCTGTGAAAATCCCCGCATAACCATTAAAGTTTGCAACACCCTAACCCCGCCACCTTACTCCTGGTATCAGAGAGCTCAGTTAAACATAACTGTGTAAAAGTATTGGACTCAGTTTATTCTAGTGGGCCCAACCACCGAGACCATCAGTAGACTGGGAGCTGCACGTGGATAGGAGCAGCTTCGCCAACCCCTGCAAAGTGACTCTGAAGAAGACGACAAGCCCTGCTCCAGTCACACCTGGAAGCTAACTGGTCCACACACGGCCGAAACATGAGGAAACTCATCACAGGACTCATTTTCCTTAAAATTTGGACTTGTATAGTAAGGACTTCAACTGACCTTCCTCAGACTGAGAACTGTTTCCAGTATATTCATCAAGTCACTGAGGTAGGACAAAAGATTGCTACAGTCCTATTATTTTATGGTTATTATAAGTGTACCAGGACTCTAAAAGAAACTTGTTTGTATAATGCTATCCTACCAAGGTATGTAGCCCAGGAAATAACCAACCTGATGCATGTTATGACCCATTTTAAGCATCCCATAATCACAGTTTTTAAAATGAAATTAAGGAGTGGTCCTTTTCTAGGTGACACAAGTAAGGTAATAGCTAGAACATAAAAAAAGAGGGGTCCCCAAAAATGTAACCTTAAAATTTGATGCTTGTGCTGCTACTGATAGTAAGCAGCATGGGAGAGGATGCAGTTCTCTAGATTAGAAAAAAAAAGGTACACCATAAAAAAATAAGTATATCTGTCAAAAATCATATTTATGTGAGATGTGTCAATACTGGTCTTGTGTCATTTGGACTACTTAAAAGGAAAATAAAAAAGATCCTGTTTGACTCCAAAAAGGAAAAGTCAGCCCCTCCTGCATGAATGGGAGCTGCAACCTTTTAGAATTGATCATCACAAACCCCTCAGACCCAAAGTAAAATAAAAGAAAAATATGTATCATTAGACATTGATGGAAAGGGACTAGATCCTAGGGTGTAAGCATCCTAATAAAAGGAGACGTTCAAAAACGTTCTCCAGAACAAGTATTTCAGACTTTCTATGAGGAACTAAATGTGCCAGTACCTGAAATTCCAGGAAAAACTAAAAATTTGTTTTTGCAATTAGCCGAACATGTAACCCAATCTCTGCAAGTCACCTCATTTTATGTTTGTGGAGAAACCATTAACAGGAAATCAATGGCCATGGGAAGCCCAAGAATTAGTTCCTACAGACCCAGTTCCTGATAAATTCCCAGCCCAAAAGAATCACCCTGATCATCTCTACGTTCTAAAAGTCTCAATTATTAGACAGTATTGCATAGCTAAAGAAGGAAAAAGATTCACTCATCCTGTAGGGTGGCTTAGTTGTCTTGGGCAAAAGCTGTATAATGGTACCACAAAAACAGTTACCTGATGGAGTTCCAATTATACAGAAATAAATCCATTCAGTAAATTTTCAAAGTTGCAGACTGTTTGGGCCCATCCAGAATTCCACCGGGACTGGATGGCCCCACCGGGTTATACTGGATATGTGGACAGAAAGCTTATGCTAAGCTTCCTGATCAGTGGACAGGTAGCTGTGTAATTGGCACCATTAAGCCATCTTTCTTCTTACTGCCCATGAAAACAGGTGAACTTCTGGGCTTCCCAATCTATGCTTCCCAGAAAAAAAAAAAAAAACAAAAATACCAAAACGAAGCATAGCCATAGGTAATTAAAAAGATAATAAATGGCCCCTTGAAAAAAGTCATATAATACTATGGACCTACCACTTGGACACAAGATGGCTCATGGAGATATCGGACCCCCATCTACATGCTCAACTGAATCATACAATTACAAGCTGTTTTAGAAATTATTACTAATAAAACCAGTCAAGCCTTGACTGTTCTTACCCGGCAAGAGACTCAGATGAGAAATGCTATCTATCAAACTAGACTAGCTCTTGACTACTTGCTAGCAGCTGAAGGAGGAGTTTGCGAAAAGTTTAACCTTACTAATTACTGTCTACACATAGATAATCAAAGGCAAGTAGTTAAAGACATAGTTAAAAATATGACACAACTGGCACATGTTTCCGTGCAAGTGCAGCATGGATTCAACCCTGAAGCCATGTTTAGAAGGTGGTTCCCAGCACTAGAAAAATTTAAAACTCTTATAATAGGAATTATAATAATAAAAACCTGCTAACTGGTCCCTTGTTTGCTACCTGTACTTCTTCAAATGATAAAAAGCTTCATCGCTACCTTAGTTCACCAAAATGCTTCAGCACAAGTGTACTATATGAATCACTATTAATCTATTGCACAAAAAGACATAAGTAAAAATAAGAGTGAGAACTCCCACTAATAAAAAGTGAGAATCTCAAAAGGGGGGAATGAAGGAAGAGAAAGACCCTCTCATATTATTTTATATTCAGTACCTGTTTTAAGAAAAAACAACAAGGAAGTAAAACCAAAGACAGGCAGCCCGGCGCCAGGCCCGAAACCAGGCCTGGGCCCGCCTGGCCTAAACCCAGTAGTTAAAAATCAACTTATGATTTAGAAGCCGATGTTATTCATAGATTCCTAACACTGTATAGAAGAACACTGTGAAACTCCCTGCCCTGTTCTGTTCCTCCCTGACCACTGGTGCATGCAGCCCCTGTCACGTACCGCCTGCTTGCTCAAATCAATCATGACCCTTTCATGTGAAATCTTTAGTGTTGTGAGCCCTTAAAAGGGACGGAAATTGTGCACTCGGGGAGCTCGGATTTTAAGGCAGTAGCTTGCCGATGCTCCCAGCTGAATAAAGCCGTTCCTTCTACTACTCGGTGACTGAGAGGTTTTGTCTGCGGCTCGTCCTGCTACAGTGCCACTGCACTCCAGCATGGCGACAGAGCAAGACTCCATCTCAAAAAAAAAAAAAAAAGAAAGAAAGAAAAAAAAGTAATTGCACTATGATGTTATAATGGCTACAACATCACTAGGTGATTTTTCAGCGTCATGATAATCTTACGGGACTACTTGGTCACATAAATTGTTCTTCATTGACTTAAACATCCTTATGTGGTACATGACTGTAAGTATAATGATTTACTTGAGTTGATTTGCAGGGTAATGAAAAAAGATTAAAAACTTTTAAATGGAAATTAAATGATAGAATGATTGATTGACAGTCATGAAATTGACCTGACAAGACTCGTGGTGGAGTCGTTATACACCATTTACCTTATTAAAAATGGTGAATTTTCATCATCCTAAGGTGACCACATCAGCTTGATCATTTCTTTCCCATGAAGTCCCAACTCCCATATTTGCCATCTGCTTGACCTGGGACATAGAATTAAATGCCAGTAATGGCTGGGCATGGTGGCTTTTGCTTGTAATCCCAGAGATTTGGGAAGAAGAGGTAGGACGATTGCTTGAGGTCAGAAATTTGAGACTAGCCTAGGCAACATAGTGAGACCCGGACTCTACAAAAATAAAAAATAAAAATAAAATTAGGCCAGGTGTGGTGGCTCATGCCTGTAATACCAGCACTTTGGGAGGCCAAGGCTGGCAGATCACCTGAGGTCAGGAGTTCAAGACCAGCCTAGTATTGAAACCCCGTCTCTACTGAAAATACAAAAATTAGCCAGGCATGGTGGCAGGCACCTGTAATCCCAGCTACTGGGGAGGCTGAGGCAGGAGAATCTCTTGAACTCAGGAGGCGGAGGTTGCAGTGAGCTGACTTCATGCCACTGCACTCCAGCCTGGGTGACAGAGTGAGACCTTGTCTAAAAAAAAAAAATTGGCCAGTTGTGGTGGCCCAGGCCTGTAGTCCTGGCTACTGGGGAGGCTGACTCAGGAGGATGGCTTAAGCCCAGGAGTTGCAGGCCACAGTGAGCTATGATTGTGCCACTGAATTCTAACATGGGCCACAGAGTGAGACCCTCCCTGTCTCTGAAAAAATAATAGATAGATAAATAAATAAATGCCAGTAATTCCAAAGAGTCGTCAGTGCAATTAAAACAGCCTTTGTGAGGCTTCCCCATGGGACTAATGGCTCCAAAGACGCTGTTGTAATTGGTATGCCTAGGGCATAGCACAGTAGCTTGTTAATTTATAAAAATGTCATAGCTACCCTGTAACTATCCAAATCACGATAGACTTTGAGCCCCTGGAATGCAGCTTCCTTAAATAGCCTTGGCTGGTTTTTGCAGGTGGCTTGGGATGCTATGTGGGATGTGCTCTGGAATGAGTCAATCACCCTTCTTTGGCCTCCTGCTGGCAGGCACTATGCTGCCCCTGAAGCCGCTGGCCCTCTGGAGATCAGGGGACCACCCCACACAGCCAACACCTGCTCGCGTCCACCGCCACCACCCATGCTGGTCCTGGTGGTGGTGGAGAGGTTAATCTTTCCTTTGCATAAAAAAAGACAGGTATTTTCTAATTCCACATAAAACTTATAGATGACTGTGCATTTTTTGACATTTTATTGACAATTTGGTGATGACATAAGAGAAATACAATGGAGAGTGAAAGTTAGAATTGCTTTTACATTCTCTGCTCTCAAGATCTAGGCTGTCTTCATCTTCACCCCCTGCCCCCCAAACTTCCTGGCTCCCAATCTTCTTCCGTAAGGCAGTGGCCATCCTGTGCCCACCTCCCAGAGATCTCTGAGCCTGTGTCACTGATGCCGTGACAGTTAACTTAAAAATCACACCATTTATAAATTTGAAAAGGAGACTCTATTTTTTATAAAGGGTTACAGCCTGCAAGGGGGTCTTCCAGATAGGTTGGGGAGCTGGTCTCCAATGGAGGCAGAGACTGTTATCGAGAGCTTTGAGGGAGGAACTGGTAAGACAGGAATTTAAGCTGAACAGGTTGGACAAGTATACATATTTAACAGGTTACACCAGGAGCTACGAATATTCAAGAAGGTGGTCTTGACCCACGTGTACCGAACATGCATGTCACATATGCCCCATGTTCACTTTGGGGTGGACACTTAACATTTAAATGCGCTAGAATTAGGCCCTATACGTCAAAGCGGGAAGCAGGGACGTGAAGGCATTCTGTGCACAGCCTTTGTAAACTGGCCAGAACCAGTGCATGGTCTGTGGGCTCTTATCAGGAGAAAGTTACTGAAATCAGTCTCTTGTTCAATCAAAGCTGCGATAACGGCTGGTAGAACAGGGGGTCAGCTAGTCAGCTGCTGGCTGTGGACGAGCTGCAAGTCGTTTCAATATTGCTTATGTCCAGGCCAGTGCTTGTTTATCTGCTAGAGGAAAAGAAAACTCTTGTGGCAGTTAGAACAGAGCTTCTTCTTTAAGAGTAGGGGGTAGCTTAACCCCTGCCTGCCCTGGCCTTAGCTCCTGATTGTAATTTGGTATCTTATTGCCACAAAGAGCTCCTTCCGTCAGTCTTTTATCATCTCTGCTTTAACATGGATGCTGGCCAGTTGCGTCTAAACTGCAAGGGAGGAGTATAACCAGGTGTGTCTGACTTGATTCCCATCCTGGCTAGGAACTCAGTTTTTAAGGTTTCTCTGGGGTTCCCTTGGCCAAGAGAGAGTCCGTTCAATTGGTTGGGGGGCTTTGGATTTTATTTTTAGTTTATGGAACCTTTTTCTCCTTTCCCTTCCCTCTCTTCCCTTCCCTTCCCTCTCTCTTTCTCTCTCTCTCTCTCTTTCTTTCTCTCTTTCTCTCCTTTCTTTCTTTCCTTTTGACGGATTCTCGCTCTGTCACTCAGGCTGGAGTGCAATGGTGCAACCTCGGCTCACTGCAACCTCCGCCTCCCAGGTTCAAGCGATTCTCCTGCCTCAGCCTCCCAAGTTGCTGGGATTACAGGCACCTGACACCACACCGAGCTAATTTTTTGTATTTTTAGTAGAGACAGGATTCCACCGTGTTGGCCAGGGTGGTCTTGAACTGCTGACCTCAGGTGATCTACCCACCTTGGTCTCTCAAAGTGCTAGGATTACAGGTGTGAGCCACCACCGCTGACCTATAGAACCCTTTTCGTAGGACTTTTCCATTCCTGCTGGGAGAGTGGCTATTAAAACTCTCTGCAAGTTCTGTAGGCCTTGCCCTAGGGCAGTGGCTCTCAAACTTCATTTTGTATCATTTCCTGGAGGCTTTGTTAAATCACAGGTTACTCTTTGACCCACCCTCAGAGTTCCTGATTCAGAAGGTCTGGAATGGCACACAAGAATGCACATTTCTAACAAGTTCCTGAGAGACTCAGACCAGTGCAGTGACCACAGACTGGCCTCAGCTCAAGAGAGCTACTCTCCCAAGGTTCTGCCCTTCCCTG
The DNA here is from genome assembly GCF_000001405.40 of Homo sapiens. Classification (NCBI taxonomy): domain Eukaryota; kingdom Metazoa; phylum Chordata; class Mammalia; order Primates; family Hominidae; genus Homo; species Homo sapiens. Next base: position 29,357,006 of record NC_000010.11, on the reverse strand, counting down.
GGGCAGCCCACATCCAAAGACTGCTTCAGGCAGGGGTATAAGGCCTGGTCCCTGCTCCACAATTGGGAGTGACACTGAAGGGCATTCCAGCTCCAGGGCATGGCATGAGATCCGCGGAGTCTACCTTGTGATGACTGCAAGTTTGTCTACTTCTCCCTCTGCTGGGTCCTGCTTCCTGTACACACTTATGGCTGTTGATCTGAGAGTCCATCTCAATAAAACGCCAGTCTATACATCTTCATTTCAGAGTCACTTGGGGGTGGGGAAGGGGGCTGACAGCCCACCGGCCCCTTGGGAGCCAGACCCAGGGAGAAGAACAATGTTCAAAGCCCACTTCCCAAACCACAACTTCCTGTGCCAGGATTGGTGGCTCCGTGGGGTGGCCGCTGGTGGGATTGTCTTCTCTCAGGCCTTCACAAGGCAATTTCTCAAGAACATAGAATTCTACCTTGATTCCATCCTAGGTTGCTAAGTCTTAAATCACAGAGACATGAGGACATCAGCAAGCCAAACCAGTGTATTTTCACAGGCATTTTTCCAAGAGAAGGGATGGGGGTGATGCTTGTAGCTTCAGGCCATGCCTGCATTCAGCTCCTTTGCTCCTGGGAACAATTCACTGAACCCCACAAGAACAAGCAACACTGATTTCGCATAAAACCAATATAACTTCTCCTTCACTCCCAATGTTACAAAACCCAAATGGGGTCCTCTGGCCTGGAGTGATAAAGTCAAACATCCACACTGAGGCTTGCAGCAGGAGAAAGGAGGGCATTAATGTGCAGAGCGCCAATCAAGGAGAATTGGGCAGCTCATGCTTAAGACTCGACCTCCCCAGTGCCTTACAGGTAGGGGTTTTTAAAGACAGCATAAATTTTATGCTGTGTGTGGTGGCTCACGACTGTAACCCTAGCACTTTGGGAAGCCGAGGAGGGGGGATCACCTGAGGTCAGGACTTCAAGACCAACCCGACCAAAATGGCGAAACCCCATCTCTACTGAATTAGCTGGGTGTGGTGGCACATGCCTGTAATCCCAGCTACTCTGGAGGCTGAGGCAGGAGAATCACTTGAACTTGGCGGGTGGAGGTTGCAGTGAGCCGAGATCATGACACTGCACTCCAGCCTGGGTGACAAAGTGAAACTCCATCTCAAAAAAAAAAAAATAGGAAAGCAGAAGTTATAGGCAAAAGCATAAATCAACACATGGAGGCTACACACTGGTTGGGCCTAAAAAGGCGGGATATCTTGAAGCAGCAGCTTACAGATCACAGGTAGACTAAAAAATTTTCTGATTTGCAATTGGTTAGAAAGAGGAGCTTTGTTTAAAGACTTGGGGTCAGCAGAAAGGAATGTTAGCTCTGGCCCGTAGTTGTGACTTCCTCCCGGCCCCTCCGGAAGAAACTTAGAGCAAAGAACTTCAATCAGAGCTCAGTTCTCAGTTTCCCAACATCTGAGGTCTGCATGCCAGCAGAACCACTTGGTGGAGGATCTGAGTTTCTGAAAAACAACACAGGGACATATGTTAACATGTTATTATTAGCTCCTATAGGGAGGTGGGGGGCAAGGGGAGGGAGAGCATCAGGACAAATAGCTAATGCATGCGGGGTTTAATGCCTAGGTGATGGGTTGATAGATGCAGCAAACCACCATGGCACACCTATGTAACAAGCCTGCCCGGAACTTAAAGTAAATAAATTTTAAAAAGAAATTACCAGGCATACCAAGAGAAATAGAAAGAGCCAATATAAACATGCACGAGAATGTTTATAGCAGCACTATTCATAATAGAAAATGGAAACAACTCAAAAGTCTCTCAACAGTAGAATGGATAAATATTGGTGTGTGTATACATTGGAATCAATGCAGCAATGAAATAAATGGACTACTGTTTACGTGCAACAAGTGTGCATTAAATTCACCAACATAATGTTGAATGAAACCAGACACAAAAGATTATATAATATATACATATATATAAAGTTCAGAAGAAGAAAAAAACCAATCGATGGTGATAGATATCAGAATAGTGGTTAGCTTTGAGGAGGAACAGGGGAGGGAGTGAGAGGGTGCCCATAGGCAGCTTCTGGAGAACTGGTGATATTCTATTCATTGTCTGGGTAGTGATTACACAAATGTGCATATTTTGTAAAATTTCATTAATCCATACATTTATGATTTGTGTACTTTTCATTTTGCATGTTATGCTTCAGTTAAAAACTTTGCTTAAAAACCTGAAAAAAAAAAAACTAGTCTTCCTTCTTTCTGTATCAAGACAGCATTTTTTTTCTGAGCATCTCATTGACCTCTAGAATGGCTTATATTATTTATCAGCAAAATAATGAGCCATGCACATTAGCTATTAGAGTGCTAAAAATGTGGAATGTATTATCTAAAATGCAATTTTCTAGACTAAGAGTCCCATCAAGGTTTATAGACTGCATCTTAGTCCATTTGAGAGGTTATAACAAAATACCTTACAATGAGTTTTATAAGCAACAGAATTTATTGCTTACAGTTCTGGAGGCTGGGATTTCAAGATCAAAGCATCAGCAGATTTGGCGTCTGGCGAGGCCTCATTCCTCCTAGATTCACCTTCAATGTGTCCTCACACAAAGGACAGGCAAAGGAGCTAACAAGCTCCCTCAGGCTTCTTTTATAAGGGTGCTAATCTCATTTATGAAGTCTCTGCCCTCATGACTTAATCACCTCCCCTAAGCCTCATCTCTTAATACCACACTGCAGACTATGTTTCAGTATATGAATTTGGGGGAACACATTCAGACCATAGAGACTGAAATGTAGAGCCTACTGTCATTCTTGTTTTTCTACCCTTCAGTATGAAAAGCATTTTTTTTCCAGCAGCTATTTCTATTATTCAAGGTCACTCTCACACAGTCATGAAATAGCTGAACTTGGTTTCAGGGTCAACTGATCCATCATCTAGGTTTTGGTGTGAAAGGCTCTTTTCTTTTCCTGGTAGAATCAAAGAGCTGGGAAGGTTGAGAGAGCAAGGAAGGGTGAGAGGAGAGAGAGACAGAGACAGAGACAGAGAGAGGAACAATAGTGGCACATGATTTGGATTGCAATGTGGGTGTTTTCAACTAATGTACACTCGCTGGCTGCTGTTGTTTTATATTTTGTCCCACTGGGGAAAATTATCTTGAGGTGGAATTGTGTGGTTTGGCACAACTTATTTGTTACAAGTCTGAAAGTCAATGTACCCAATGTGTTTAGTTTCCTATTGGAACACCCCAAAATGTTGAAATAGGAATACCAAATAGCCTGTTGGATTAAGCAAAGATTCAGAGACATAATTAGATTTTGGCCTCTTCGATTCTTCTTTGGACTATATTGGACTTGGAATATTAAAATATCTTACTACTTTTAAGATTTACAATGTAATAGTTTCTCCAGGGCCTTGGTAGGATTCCTGCCACTTCGAGTATAGCCATATCTCAAAGGAAGAGTGTTTATTTCCTTTGTCTGCATAAACTTTCAGCAGAATGGGCTGCAATCCAGCAGAAAAATCTCTAACTTGAGAGTTGGAAGCTGGGACTCTTAGCTCTGTCTCCAACAAACCTACTGACCTAGGACAAGTGACTTCCCACCTCTGAACCTGAATGCCTTCATCTCTAAAATGAGGGGATTGAACCTTCGATCTCTAAGGTCCCATTCACTTTGAAGACTTTTTGGTGAAAGACCTGGCAAAATATTTTGTTTATTTTCAAAGGTGAAGAAATGTTTTCTGAAATGTCCACATTCAGACACACAGACCCTCGATGTCATTATAAATGCTGTTAGCAGGCCAGGGTGCATCACTAAAGAAGAGTACGTCTGACCAGGCGCGTTGGCTCTGCCTATAATCCCAGCACTTTGGGAGGCTGAGGTCAGGAGTTCAAGACCAGTCTGGCCAACATGGTGAAACCCTGTCTCTACTAAAAATACAAAAATTAGCAGGCGTGGTGGGGCAAGAGAATCGCTTGATCCCACAGGTGGAGGTTGCAGTGAGCCGAGATCATGCCACTGCGCTCCAGCCTGGGTGACAGAGTGAGACTTTGTCTCAAAACAAACAAACAAAAAATCAAAACCAAAAACAAGAAGAGTCATCTGCTTTGTAATCGATCATGAAATTTCAACACTTGGTATTGATTACTTTGCTAGGACTGCTGCAACAAGTACTGCGAACTAGGCGGCTCAAGCCACAGATAATTATTTTCTCCCAGTTCTGGAGGCTAGAAGTCTGAGACCACAGTGTTGGTACTGCTGCTTTCCTCTGAAGGCTATGAGAGAGGATCTGTTCCATGCCTCCTGACTGTCTTCTAGTGTTTTGCAGGGAATGAAGGCTCATTGCTTGAAGAATCATGGTCCCAGTGGTACTGTGTGTGTGTGTGTGTGTGTGTGTGTGTGTGTGTGTTTTCAAATTTCCCCTTTTTATATGAACACCAATTATATTAGATTAGGGGCCCATCATACACAAGTATGACCTCATTTTAACGAATACATCTGCAACAAACCTATTTCCAAATAACATCACATTCTGAGGTACTAGGGGTGAGGACTTTATATGTAAATTTGTGAGGAACGTAATTCAACCCATAACACTAGGAAATGAAATAAACTCTGGAAAGCTGAGGTTCCAGATAGGATGAAAGTTTAAGGTTTTGAACCAAATTTGGTGCACAATTTTGCAATGGGCTTCCAAGATTGGCTCAGGCGTGTGTTGTTCAACCCTCAATCATCCCTTGATTCATACTTGCAAACAGGAGTCAGGGGCTATAGTCTCCCTTTCCCATTTCTGCAGTCAGTCATTCCTCCTGAGAGGACAAAAGACACTCAGGCGATCAATTTCTCAGCTCCCTCCCCATCCAACCACCATCCAACCAGCAGCTTCTGCCTCAGCCTTGAATGCATCGTCTCCGATTTTAAAACTGAGGATGTCTCTGTAAATACGTTTAACCATAACGAAATAAAAAAAAATGACATTGATGTGCCTAGCACTCAAGGAGGACACAAAACAACCCCCTGTTCTTAATGAGCTTATAATCTAGTTGGAGAGCCTAGAGCTTCACCTGTTAAGAAAAAATTTAACAATGTAAAGCAGGCCAATAGGCCCTTAACATAAAACCTTAGCAGATTCTCTCATTTAAGAAGAAGGTCAAGTGTGGTGGCTCATGTCTGTAATCCCAGCACTTTGGAAGGCTGAGGCAGGCAGATTGCTTGAGGCTAGGGGTTGGAGACCAGCCTGGGCCACATGGTGAAACCCCATCTCTACAAAAAAAAAATACAAAAATTAGCCAAGCATGGTGGTGTGTGCCTGTAGTCCCAGCTACTTGGGAGGCTGCGGCTGGAGGATTGCTTGAGCTGGGGAGGCAGAGGTTGCAGTGAGCTGAGAGGAGCCACTGAGCCACTGCACTCCAGCCTGAGCAACAGAGTGAGATCTTGTCCCAGAAAAAAAAAAAAAAAAAGAATAAAACCTTAGCATGTGCTCTCTTCCATGAACTTTCTGTTTCCAGGTATCATTTCTTAGCTTTTCTCAGTTCTGAGCCAGTTCCAGAGCATCTGGGCCAGTTCCAGAGCAGCAGTGGCAGTTGGCTTTCTTTTGGGCATCATATTTTTCCTATTATACTTTACTAATCCATTAGTAGTGAAAACCACATGCCACTCTTCCATGCTTGCACACACACCCAAACTCTGTAGAACTGCCGAGTGGCCCATTTCTCCGATTCTTACATTATTCTACAAAATATATTCATGGCAGGCTTAAAGTGCACTGTATGTCTTGAATTACATGTCGACTTGGAAAGTTGATATATGTGCTTTTACTGTGTGTGGTGTCCACAAGAACAGAAGCAGGAGCAACAGTGGTATATAGGTTTTGTGGTACTTTTTATTGAAATGTAATATACATACGGAAATGAGCACACATCGTAGTCTCAATGAATTTTCACAAACTGAACACATCCATAAAACCAGAACCCAGAGCAAGAAATACAATGTTACCAGTTCTCTTTTGTGTTATCTCCCAGGCACTAATCCTAAGTGGGGTAATCATTATCCTGTCTGTTTGTGTACTTTATAGAAATGGAATCATGCAGTGTATACCAGACTTTTAATGTCTGGTTTCTTTTCCTCCATAGTATGGCTGTCATATTCATCCATATTTTTGTGAGTACGTGATTCTTTCTCACTGTTGTACAGTATAGGTTGAACATCCCAAATCTGAAAATCTGAAGTCCAAAATGCTGCAAAATCTGAAACTTGTTGAGCACCCACATGATGCTGAAAGGAAATGCTCATTGGAGCATTTAGATTGAGATTGAGATTTCAGATTTTTGGATTTGGCATGTTCCACCAGTGAGTTTAATGCAACTATTCCAAGACCTGAAAAATTAAAAATCTGAAACATTTCTGGTCCCAAGCACTTGGATAAGGGATACTCAACCTGTATTCCATTGTGTGAATATCGCGTAATGTATTCATTCATGCTACCATTGCCGTGCACCTGGGTAATTTTCAGTTTTTAGCTCCAATGAACAGCACTCCTAAAAAAATTCAGGTAAGTGTTTATTAGTGAACACATTTCTGTTGGGCATGAAAACCCAGAGTGGAGTTGCTGAGTCGAAGGGTATGTATATGTTAGCTTTAGTAATAATTTCCAAACCATTTTCCTAAGGGTTTGTACCAATTAGCACTCTAATGAATAGTGTGGGAGTGTTCAAGTTGTTACATATTCTTGCCAATATTTGGCAATTTTAATTTAAATTTTAGCCATTTTGGTAGTGTGGAATTGCATCTCTATGATTTCAATGTGCATTTCCTTGATTACAAACAAAATTGAGCATTTTTAATATGTTTACTAGCCATTTGAATATTACTCTCATTTATGAAGTGGCATTTCAAGCATTTTGTCCATTTTCTACTGGGCTGACTTTTTTTTTAACTTCAATCAACAATGATTTTATTTGATCTTATTCATCAGTTCCTTTTTTTGTCTTCCAATTTTTATTTTAAGTTCAGGGGTACGTGTGCAGGTAAATGTGTGCCATGGTGGTTTACTACACAGATCATCCCATCATCCAGGTATTAAGCCCTGCATCAATTGGTTATTCTTCCTGATGCTCTCCCTTCCTGCCCCTACAGATGCCCAGTGTGTGTTTTTCCCCACCACAGGTCCATGTGTTCTCATCAATCAGCTCCTACTTATAAGTGAGATCATGCAGTGTTTGGTTTTCTGTTCCTGCATTAGTTTGCTGAGAATAATGGCTTCCGACTCCATCCATGTCCCTGCAACATGATCTCATTCCTTTTTTTGGCTGCATAGTATTCCATGATGTATATGTACCACATTTTCTTTATCCAGTCTATCACTGATAGGCATTTAGGTTGATTCCATGACTTTGCTATTGTAAATAGTGCTATATGTGTGCATGTATCTTTATACTAGAAGGATTGATTTATATTCCTTTGGGTATATACTGAGCTGACTTTTAGTAAATTGACTTGGCTAGGCATGGTGGCTCATGCCTGTTATTCCAGCACTTTGGGAGGCCAGGGCAGGGAGGATTGCTTGAGGCCAGGAGTTTGAGAACAGCCTGGGCAACATAGTGAGACCTCATTTTTATAAAAGCAATTAAAAATTAACTTGTTCATATATTTTGTGTATTTTTTTTCTGAGACAGAGTCTCACTCTGTTGCCCAGGCTGGAATGCAGTGGCATGATCTTGGCTCACTGCAAGCTCCACCTCCTGGGTTCAAGCGATTCTCCTGCCTCAGCCTCCTGAATAGCTGGGATTACAGGTGCCCACCACCACACCCAATTAATTTTTATACTTTTAGTAGAGATGGGGTTTCACCATGTTGGCCAGGCTGGTCTTAAACTCCTGCCTGGCTCTACTGCAGTGTAGACTTTGTCTTAAGCAGATCATCATGTGGCAAAGCGGTGATTCCACATGCACTCTGGCCTTCTTCTGAATGGCTGTCGGTGGAGCCTGAGACCTTGTGAAATCAATAATGTGGCCAAGGTCCAAGGCGAGGAAAGTGAAGGCTGCTGGCAAAGATGTCTTGGTGCAAACAGATGGGGTCTGAGCGTCCACCCTTCTCTTCCTGGGTTTGCATCCTGAAACTTCCTGTGGTGAGCTCCCCAGCTTTCGTATTATGGAAGTAGATTCCTCAGATATAAACAAGTCCTTGTCTGGAAAGAAGTCACTTAGTGGGCCTGAGAATGGAGCACAAGTAGACCCATCAGCACAGAGCCACTCTACAGACCAAGAACGACCTCGCAAGGCACCGCACGACCGGCACTTGGCTTCCTAGTAAAAGCAGGACCCTGCATGTTCCTCTACATCTTATACCATTTATGCTTAAGGGGTTATATTTTTTTTCTGGGGTCAGTTAAATCACTTTCTCTTCCCACTGTGGTAAACCCCAAAGAGCCTCCTGATAATTAATTTTTGTTTTATTGCTAGATTGCTCTGCTCTGCTAGAATGTAAATTCTATAAGAGCAGGGACCTTGTCTGTCATAGTCACTCAGTAACTATCACAGCTAGTGAAGAATGAATGAATGAATGAAAACTAGGCTAGCCTGATGAGTAGATAAGAAGGAAGCATTGCTATGAGGAAGAGCCACGGAACAAAGAAGGAATTGAAGGATGATATTGACGCTCTCACGGAAAATTTTCTGCTAGAGAACCCCTAGGAGCTCATCTCACCTGAGAAGAGCCTAGGATAAGATGATCAATGTCAGCAAAAGTTGTATGGAAATGGGACCCAGATGGTTTACTCTTTAAACTGTCACAGCAATAGCATCACATACTTTAGGGGATGTTGGTAGGATAGCAATCTGGGTAGAGTGATTGGAAAAGTGGGATATGATTTATTTTTCTTTGTTTTAGCCTGTCTGTGATGATTACCCTGACAATTGTCTCAGAAACTCTTAAAACTCTCTTATAGCATTTCTGACTGAACACAGAGAACTCATTTGGTCAATCTAAGAACCAGAGAGTTAAATTGGGAACCAAGCTTGATACCAATAAGATTGTTGGAATTCAGGAGAGGCTCATATTTTGAGCTATTCTGACAAAAATACACCAAAAATTCCCCTTAGCATTTTAGCTACTAGAACAAAAGTTAATTATCAGAAAGAATCTCTTGCATTGTGGTCCAGCTTCCCATTTAGAAACAAAACATCTATGAGATTAAATTTCCTTGGAAACTTTTTGTAAAGGAAAGCAAAATGGCTTTTCTCAGGCCAAATTTTGAAGTTAAATAGATACACACACACATATATATGTAATATGTGCATATATAATATGTAAACTATATATTTATAATATATGTAAGGACATATATAAACAAATATTATGTGTGTGTGTGTGTGTGTGTGTGTGTGTTTGGGAGAATTCTCCTGGCCCACAGTAGCAATTCCAGGGAGGGTGCTTTGTTGTAGCCTCAACTGTCCTATCGAATTCTTCTCTCTCTTTTATTTTTTTTTTTTTTTTTTTTTTGAGACAGGGTCTCACTTTGTTGCCTAGGCTAGAATGCAGTGGTGCCATCTCTGCTCACTGCAGTCTCCACCTCCGGGGTTCAAGTGATTCTCCTGCCTCAACTTCCTGAGTAGCTGGGATTAAAGTCATGTGTCATGTGCCACCACATGTGGCTAAGTTTTGCATTTTTAGTAGGCATGGGGTTTCACCATGTTGGCCAGGGCTGGTCTTGAACTCCTGACCTCAAGTGATCTGCCCACCTTGGCCTCTCAAAGTGTTGGGATTACAGGCGTGAGCCACTGCACCAGGACTCAAATTCCTTTTTAAGTGTGTGACAGGTGGCTGCAAGCTCCCATCTCTAAGAAAGTGGATCTTTCCCCATCCTAAGCTAAGACGGTAGTTTGCATTTGAAAAGATTGTTGAGTAGACCAGACTGAAGGAACATTCTAGACTCCTACCTCCTTTGTCTGCTAGGCCTTTTCCCCAGAAATTCTGCCTCCGCATTTATCCTAACTTGAATCATTGTCTGCAGACATGCAGCACCTTCCTTTAATAATCTTCCAAGTTAAATCCACTGCATCTTCTCCCTGTTAGTACCTGCACATTCAGGAGCACCTCCCATGTTGTGTGTTTGTCCCAGGCATGAGTAGGGCACTGGGAATACAGGTTATGGAAGACATGGCCCTGCCCTTTGGAAAATGTGCTCTGTGGAGGGATGGTCATGTAAACATGCAGTGTCACTGCAGTCAGTGCTAGGACAGAGGCAGACACACAGAGATCCTGGAGGAGGGGTCCTCATCCTCTCTTTATATTTTACAAACAAAGTTTGGTTTCCTTTGTTGGATCTTTCCCAGTTTTCTCACATCTGCCAGTTTCATTTTTTCCTGTTTTAGTTCACCCATAGGAAGGGAGGGGGTGCAGTTTACCAAGAGGCTGCGATGATGTGCTCATTTCCTTCTGTAACAGAGAAAGCAAGCTTTAGAGCTTCCCTACCTCATGGGGCCATCTGAGGAGCAGATGATTTATAGGAGGTCGCTTTCAGAAGCACATACAGACCCATTACGTTCAAAATCAATCCCACGGTTTCCGCTGTGAAACGCCATCCAGGGAAATCCATCGCATTCTAGCAGGAGCCCTTGGGAAATCCCACCGAGGAGGTGGCCATCCTCCTTCTGGGAACGTGGGTGTCCCAGCTGATGGAGGCCAAAGGCCCTGGGGAGATGCTCTCCAAGATTCATTTCCTTGTAAATCTGATTTTGTTTGGGAGCAAGTTCTTTTCTGGGTTTAGGGGGCTCTCTGCAGTGGCCCAGGATGAAGACTCTGGTGCCTGTGTGCACAGCTACCTTCTGTGTTGCCCATTATGGATCCCCACTGGACCCTTCTCTTAGCTCCCTGCCCCACTGTGCAGTTCTTGTCACCACATTCCTGATTTGTGGGGCTCTACTCTCATGTCCTCACGCCAGCATTGCCCTTAAGACATAAGCTGGTGCTATGTGACACCAGGGAGTAACAAGGGCTTCATCGTCAGCCCACCCAGGAGGAATGGAGTTCCTAAATGGGGACCTAGCAGTTGATTCTGTGAATTGAAATGTCCACCCCAACTGAGTTCGGCCTGAAAGTGATTACGAAATGTAATGACCGCTGTACTACTTGTCTAAGGTTTAGAGCTAATCTTCGGGAATCAGTTATTTGATCAGATGTTAAGCATTTTAAATATTCATATAGTTTTAACACAAACTGGTGTCAAGGCTGTTTTCACTTTCTGGACACTTCATTTTATCCAAAGTAGGATATCCTCCTACTGGGACTGGTTGCTATGCAGCGGGGACAATAGGATTCTTTACTCAGTGGCCATTTAGGGTTTAGCATTTACTTTTCTCAGGAGTTCAAACCCTGACTCCTGCATCCTGGGATCTTCTGAAAATTGAAGTTAATCCACAGCTTGACACAATAGGAGGTCATTAAATTCTTTTATAGTCGCACTCAGAAAGCACAGTGCTGTTTGCATTATTAATTCACAGGAACTTTTTTTTTTAAACCTGACAGATTAAAGCTTATTTCACAGTATTCAAAGCAAATCTCTTTCCCAAACTATGCTTGTTGGGCATATAAGTCTCGTTATAATCACATTAAGCTTATCTTAACATTCTTCAGGTGGGGAGGAACATGGAAACGCTGGAGGTCCGTCAGCATTTCTGGAATTTGAAAATGTCTTCCTGCCTGCTAAAACAAACAAACAAACAAACAAAATCAGAACAAATTAAGTAACGTATTTCTACTTGGGCACAGGTTTGGGCACCCTAGACTTGGTGGAGTGGTTGACACCCCAGTACTGCTAAGCTATCCAAGTTGCTTAGGGCAGAATGAACTTCTGATTTCTCTTGGTGACTTCTGCCCAGAGTTTCCAACATTTTTGAGCACATGGAACCCCTTTTAAAAGTAAAAATAAAAATGTGCACACATTCCATATGATCAAGCTGGACTCTTAATAGCTTTCGATGGGAAAATTGTGTACAAACATGGACTCTTGGACCTTTTGTAATAATTCTGTTGCTCACCAGGGTTTTTGGTTTTTTGGTTCGAAAATCTGGCGTGGGAGATCAGGCAACCAAGTGCCTACTAGTTTAACTAATTCCGTGTTGGTCACCAGGAGGGATTTCAAAGGAAGTCAGAGTCCGACTTCTTGGCCTGAGGAATGCACCCCCCACCTCCCCCAGGAGGGCAGGAGCTTAGACTTCGGTAGGGCTTCTTTGCACGGCTGAAGTTTTCTTCCCTTCTTTGAAAGCCCCGGGTCCTCCATGCAGCCTGTGGGTGGCATTGTTGGTGGGAAGTGAATGATACACATGCAAATGATTCATGTCCGGCGTGGGTGGCCCCTGAAGGCCTTTTGCCGAAGACTTGCAATTGTTTTAAAGCTTCATAAATGAGCCGGCACAGGGCTCTCTGGAGGCCAATCAGGAGATTACCCTTTCAGACCACTGCAAGCCAAGTCCTCATTACCTAGGGTGAAGTGGAGGTTAGGTCGCTCTGGCTCACTTCTCAGCAGTAGAGGAAATGATTGGTTTTTCAAATGTAGACCTTCCTGTGGCCTTTTGGAAGGCTCTTCCCAGTTAACGGAGCCAAAGTTACAAAGGGAAGACGTGTCCGCATCCAGCACAGGGAGGGATCGTGGAGGTGAAGGGGAAATGCCAAGTGCCCTTCTGCTTTTTCTCGTCATCTGATTACTCACATCTGCATCCTTTGGACACGCTCTCTTCTTCCTCTAGTGGTATTCATAAAAGGACACTAGCTTTCCTTGCGGTCAGGCCCACCTACGTGGGTCCCGGAGGCAACCTTGCTCTGGAGATACACGGGACAGTGAACAAGTGGGGGATGTGTTTGGAAACCTTCTCCATGGTCCTGCCAATTTTCAGGGTGCAGGAAGAAGAGAGTAATTCTACTGCTAAGACCTGTGTCAGATGTGGGGCCTGGACCCTGCAAAAGGAGCCTGGCGATGGGTCCCAGGGTGTGGCTGTCCAAGCCAAACAAAGACTCCAGGGTTGGACGGATCAGGCCCTGATGGGCTTTACTTCCCCAGGTCTAGCCTCTAACCCACAGGGCGGTGTTTGCAGCCCCGAGCATGCCTCATTATGTAAAACCAGCCATTCCCATCACACTCCAGCTTCCTGTTTTCAAGCGGCCACATAAGGGACCCTCTGTAGTCCATTTGTTTTACTAAGCAATATAATTCTGCTGTGTGGCTCCCAGAGTGGAAAGATAAAATTCAGTCAGGAACTGTCAGTTTTTTTCAAACCACAGGAAGTGGGACTGAAACACACACACACACACGCACACACACATCTCTTTCAAGTCGAGTTTAAGCATAATTTCAAGTCAATGATCAGAAAGATTTTATGAGTAAGTGTGGACAAGGGAAGGTGGGAACATCCCTTGCTCTGTAAGGTAAGAAAGGGACTTCCCAGGAAATCTAGTTAGCTAACTTTGAGCTTAAGAACAAATTTCTCAGAGACGTCGACTTCTGCAAGACAGCTCAGAGTCTGTTATTGCTAAGTGGGAAATTGAACATTTGGGAAAAAGAAAAAAATTAGCCTTGGCACCACACGTTGACTTTTTCTACCCAGGTTGTAGAAAAAGTCTTGGTGAACAAGTCAAAGATTACAAAGTAGAATGGAATTGGGGAAAATAAAAGCCTTGGAAATGCAAAGATGGTAGTGTGGCCCAAGACCATCAACAGGTTTATAGTCACAACATCTCTATCAAGATAGTCACGAAGTCATCCTATCTCAATTATTCCCATATTTGCTCTTAATCTTAGTGGGATTAAAATTGGTTTGAAAGGAGACTCCAGAGAATATTCAGTGACATCTGCAGTTGGTGTTGGAAGCAGAGCTACATAAATAAGCACAGAAGAGTTAGATCACTACCCTGACTTTGTATCAAGCTCTAATTCTCAGACACGTGCTCCATGTTTCTGAAGATGCAAGTTATCATAAGAGAACTTACAGGAAGTTGTCGTAAAAGATGCCAAGCATCTTTGTAACCACGCAATGGGTTCGTCTTTCCCACTGCTCAGATAGAGTTGATTTATCAAGACAGGGGAATTGCAATAGAGAAAGAGTTTAATACAGGTAGAGTTGGCTAAACGGGAGAGCAGAGTTTTATTATTACTCAGTTCAGCCTCCCTGAAAATCCAGAGGCAAGGAGTTTTCAAGGATAGTTTGGTGGGCAGGGGTCTTGGGAATGGGTGCTGCTGATTGGTTGGGGATGTAGTCATAGGGGTGTGGAAAACGGTTTTTGTGCACTGAGTCTTCCTCTGAGTGGGGGCCACAGAGGAGTCACTGTTTTGGGCGGAGCCATCTGGTTGTCAGAAACACAAAAGCCTGAAAAGATATCTCAAAAGGCCAATCTTAGGTTCTACAGTAGTGGTGTTATTTATAGGAGTAATTGGAGAAGTTCCAAATCTTGCAACCTCCGGAATAAAGGCTGATGACCATTTAGCTACACCTATAGTCTTAGCAGAATTCAGGCCCCTCTCATCCTCCCAATCTTGTGGCCTTTTATAAGTTTTACAAAGGTGGTTTTGTTGTGGGAGGGGCTATTCTCATTTAAACTGTAAACTACATATCTCCCAAAGTTAGTTTGGCTCATGCCCACTAATGACTGGGGGCAGTTTGGAAGTTAAAAGCAAGATGAAGTTAGTTAGGTCAGATCTCTTTCATTGTCATAGTTTTCTCACTGTTACCATTTTTGCAAAGGTGATTTCATCTTTCAATGAGTGGTCTCCGGGAAATAGGGGAGCTGTGTCAAGGGGTGCTGAAGATGGCCCCTAGTGCTATGGTGTTCCAAGTCTCACCAATGTGCTGCCACTATCAGTGGATTTGCAAAGAAAAAACTTAGCTATTGTGGCACATGTGGACTAAAATGGGAGCTAATGGAGGAATACCCTTTATCTGGACAACTTTTCTCCCTTCTCCCTTTCTTCTCCAGGTTTTGGTTATAAAAATTTAGAGTCTGAAATTACAGAGAAATCAGATCCAGTCTGTCTCCTCTTTCCTATTCCCCCAAATCAAACAAAAATTTGTAGTTTTTTTCCTCCCTCACCTCCCTTGGAGATTGTCTTAGTCTGTTTTGGGTTGCTGTAACAGAATACAAGACTGAGTAATTCATAAAGAAAATAAATGTATTTCCTACAGTTCTGGAGACTGGGAAGTCCAAGGATGAGGGGCCTCCATCTGGTGAGGACCTTCTTGCTGTGTCATCTCATATTGGAAGGCAGAAGGCAAGAAGGCATAGGAGACAGAGACAGAGAGAGAGAGAGGAAGAAAGAGGGCCGAACTCATCCTTTTATCAAGAGCCCGTTTCTGAGATAACTAACCCATTCCTGTGATAATGGTATCAATCCATTGGTGAGGGCACAACTCTGGGGACCTAATCACCTCTTAAAGGTCCCACTTCTCAACACGATTGCATTGGGGATTAAGTTTTCAACACAAAAAGTTTCAGGAACACATTCAAACTATAGCAGATATTAACCCTCTTTCCAGGGGGTCAACAGTTCTAGCACTTTCACAAGCATAATGACTCATATTTCATCAGTAATTCATCAGTCTCAGTGATCTTCCAAGATCGCAGTGATAGTCTTATATACCTCTCCCAGAGTGGAAAAGCAACAAGCCATCCAATTGTTTCTTATTTTTCTTTGGGACACTGTAAACCCAAAGAAAAGTTGTGTAGGTCTGTCAGCAACATGAGACCAAAGAGCCCATCTCTCAAAACAGCCAAGCTGGTACACTGAGAAGCCTGTAAGGTCATCTGCTGCCTCTGTAGCTACCCTCCGCCATGGTGGGCAGCAAGATACACTGGCAATTGACTGCATTGGAGTCACAAAGGTCAGGTTTGGATCCCAGCCTTGATACTTACTAGCTGTATGGCTTGGAACAAGTCATTTGACATTTATAAACTCTCTGAGTTTCAGTTTTCTAATCTGTAACAGGGCGATGTATACCTCACTGAATTTACCAAGGTTGAAACGAGATCACTTATATGGAATGTTTTGTGAAGTGCTGCATAGATGTAAGCTGATATCAATACTCATAAGTTCAACATTGAAGACCCTTAATGCCTGGAACGAATAGTGTATATGTCACCATCTTCATCAACATTTACAGGATAAGCACATTCTACTGGTCTCTATATTAGAACATTTCCAGGATACGCACACCACAGTGGTCTCAGTATTAGAACATTTGCAGAATATGCACACTACACTGGTTTCTGTATTAGGATATAAGAAAAAAATGATTTAATATGACCAACACCAAGTCATTGTTACCCTTTCCATCCTTCCATTCTCAAACCTCCCCCACTTCCCAATCTTGATTAATGCATCCTCATCCAACTGCTAGCTAATTAGTTAGCTGATAACTAATTAGTTGTTAGTTAGTTACATTGGACTCCTTTCCATCACTTATCTTATTCAATTAGTTCCAAAGTGATTCAAGCAATTTTTCCAAAAAACAGATCTTGTACAAAACCTAGATGGCTTCCTCTTTTGGACAAATGGAAGCTTAAACCACTTTTCACTGAATTTTGGTCATTCGCATTCTAATTCTAATATAACCTGACTTCTTCGTCTCTCAAACTTCATTCATCTCCTCTTTGCTAGTAACATGTGATATGCTACCTTCCAAAACAGATGGCTCTTTCCAGCCTCCTGGAACATTTTTCTTGCTGTTGTATCTCCCTAGGAGTCTGTACGTCAGCTCCCTTCTGGGCCTGCTATCATATCATCATTTAGCCTTCAAAACCATGGATTGAATATTATATCATCTGAGAAGCATCTCTCTCCCTTAGATGTGATTGCTCCCTCCTCTGTGCTCCTGGAACATTTATTTAGTGTTATAGTAGAGCTGGAAGTTGGATGGTATTAAAGTTAATGGTATCTATATCAGTTCCTCCTAGGCTGGAAGCACTTGAGGGTAAAAGGCCCAGATCCTCTTAGCACCAAGTCTAGTAGTTGAATTTCACTCAAGTTCTCACACTCCAAAGCTTACGGGCTACTTGGGGAGCCTGGCATTAGTCATAAAAAGATACAGGATGATATGAGATAAACTCCCCTGATCCCCAAAATGAATGTTGTCCTGCCTGGACCTTGGTGTCCCAAAGCACTGATGCAAAACCAGGGCTACCTAGACATCTGTCTGCAAAAAAACACTGTTGAGCATCTGAGTGGCATTTTTTATCCTTAGAGTGCCAACTATCAAGGTCATCTGCTAAAAGTGCTATCATCATATGCAGCTCTTGACTTATTCATGAAATTTTATTGTGTGTCTACCACATGCTGGGCACTACACCAGGCACTGGGGAGTGAAACAAACACAGGTCCTACCTTCAAGGAGCTTACGGTTTAATGAGGTTCCAGAGCTGGGATCTGGAGTCACACTGACTAAATAATCTGACAAACAAATAAGTATATAGTTACCAACTATGATAAGTCCCTTGAAGGAAACTCCAGGGGGCAATGAGGGCATAGGATGAGGAACTCTGAGGGAAGAAGGGGAATCTCAGGACTCCATTTTGAGAGCCAGACCTAGAGGACTGTTTCTGTTCAAGAAGAAAAGAGCCCTGAATCCTTCGCCATGGAAGTTCTCAGTGAATGAGGTTGGGCTTTACAAGAGGAGGCTTTTCTTCATGGTGGGCTAACAGATGCACAGGGTGATAAGTAGATTTTCATGAGCATAAATCTTAAATGACAGTATTTATATTGAATCATGTTTTTCAATAACAATATTTTAAATGCAATGTACTGTGTTCGTAATCTGCCTTCCAACCACCAACACACACAAAACTGGCAAACCAAAGGGAATAATCCTCTTCAAGAACAGGAAGCATCTTTCCAAGTATTCTGTATAGAGAGACTAGTTTTGAATGAAACCTTTCCTTTCTTGTTTTTCCTACTCGAACATAATTTCATGTTCTCAAACCATGCTTTTCCTTATTGTTTGTTTGATTTTAATTAATAAATAAATTAATTTATTTTTTATTTTTAGAGACAGGGGTTCGCTATGTTGCCCAGGCTGGTCTCAAACTCCTGGCCTCCAGTGATCCTCCTGCCTCTGCCTCCCAAAACTCTGGGGTTACAGGCATAAGCCATCATACCCTGGCCATGCCGTTCCTTAAAAACTGTACAGATGATATTTAATAGTTTTCTAGAATTGAAATAATGCCTTTTTTCTTTCCCTCCTCTCCAATACCTACCAAATACAGACGACTAACTTTAAAGCCAGAAATTATTTATTTTCAAAACTCAGGTGATATTCAAGTCATTACTTTCCATAGACTTGTTTGAAAGTAAAAATGATGCCATTAGTCTTAAAGTTTAATTAGCAGTGAACATGAACCAAAGTTAAATTATGAGTGATAAAGTAAAAGCATGATTTCATGGCCTGAACAATTGCAATGAACATAAAACTACTGTACTAGTGAATATATTCCACTTATCTTAATTATTATGTTATTATTATATTTGTTCTTACAGTGGTAAGAATAGGGCAAAATGTTGACCCAATGTAGGTAGATATTAATTTTTATTTTCTTCTAAAGTTTAAGGTATTGAACTATTAAAGAAATGTAATTTATTTTAATTTTTTTCTGGTATTCTCCTAAATCTATCTTAAATTTATTATATTTTTAACTTATGGGAAGTTATTTCTTTTTGATATACACAGTAAAGATTTGATATCCTAATTAGAAATATAAAAAATTGATAAGAAAAATCTCAGAGGACAATAATTTTCTTTTCTTTTTTTTTGAGACAGAGTCTTGCTCTGTTGCCCAGGCTGGAGTGCTGTGGCATGATCTCAGCTCACTGCAACCTCTGCCTCCTGAGTTCCAGTGATTTTTGTGCCTCAGCCTCCCAAGTAGCTGGGACTACAGGCACACACCACCATGCCTAGCTAATTTTTAAATTTTTTAAAATTATACTTTAAGTTCTGGGGTACATGTGCACAACATGCAGGCTCATTACATAGTTACACATGTGCCATGCTGGCCTGCTGCACCCATCAACCTGTCATTTACATTAGGTATTTCTCCCAGTGCCATCCCTCCCTCCGCCCTTCACCCCATGACAGGCCTTGGTGTGTGATGTTCCCCACCTTGTGTCCGAGTGTTTTCATTGTTCAATTCCCACCTATGAGTAAGAACACGTGGTGTTTGGTTTTCTGTCCTTGTGATAGTTTGCTCAGAATGATGGTTTCCAGCTTCATCCATGTCCCTGCAAAGGACATGAACTCATCCTTTTTTATGGCTGCATAGTATTCCATGGTGTATATGTGCCACATTTTCTTGATCCAGTCTATCATTGATGGACATTTGGATTGGTTCCAAGTCTTTGCTATTGTGAATAGTGCCACAATAAATATACGTGTGCATGTGTCTTTATAGTAGCATGATTTATAATCCTTTGGGTATATACCCAGTAATGGGATCACTGGGTCAAATGGTATTTCTAGTTCTAGATCCTTGAGGAATCACCACACTGTCTTCCACAATGTTTGAACTAGTTGACACTCCCACCAACAGTGTAATAGCATTCCTATTTCTCCACATCCTCTCCAGCACCTGTTGTTTCCTGACTTTTTAATGATCGCCATTCTAACCGGTGTGAGATGGTATCTCATTGTGGTTTTGATTTGCATTTCTCTCATGGCCAGTGATGATGGGCATTTTTTCATGTGTCTGTTGGCTGCATAAATGTCTTCTTTTGAGAAATGTCTGTTTATATCCTTTGTTCACTTTTTGATGGGGTTGTTTGTCTTTTTCCTGTAAATTTGTTTAAGTTCTTTGTAGATTCTGGATATTAGCCCTTTGTCAGATGGGTAGATTGCAAAAATTTTTTCCCATTCTGTAGGTTGCCTGTTCACTCTGACGGTAGTTTCTTTTGCCATACAGAAGCTCTTTAGTTTAATTAGATCTCATTTGTCAATTTTGGCTTTTGTTGCCATTGCTTTTGGTGTTTTAGTCATGAAGTCCTTGCCCATGCCTGTGTCCTGAATGGTATTTCCTAGGTTTTCTTCTAGGGTTTTTATGGTTTAGGTCTGACATTTAAGTCTTTAATCCATCTTGAATTAATTTTTGTATAAGGTGTAAGGAAGGGATCCCGTTTCAGCTTTCTACGTATGACTAGCCAGTTTTCCCAGCACCATTTATTAAAGAGGGAATCCTTTCCCCATTGCTTGTTTTTCTCAGGTTTGTCAAAGATAAAATGGTTGTAGATGTGTGGTGTTATTTCTGAGGTCTCTGTTCTGTTCCATTGGTCTATATCTCTGTTTCGGTACCAGTACCACGCTGTTTTGGTTACTGTAGCCTTGTAGTATAGTTTGAAGTCAGGTAGCGTGATGCCTCCAGCTTTGCTTAGGATTGCCTTGGCAATGCGGGCTCTTTTTTGGTTCCATATGAACTTTAAAGTAGTTTTTTCCAATTCTGTGAAGAAAGTCATTGGTAGCTTGATGGGGATGGCATTGCATCTATAAATTACCTTGGCCAGTATGGCCATTTTCACGATACTGATTCTTCCTATCCATGAGCATGGAATGTTCTTCCATTTGTTTGTGTTCTCTTTTATTTCGTTGAGCAACGGTTTGTAGTTCTCCTTGAAGAGGTCCTTCACATCCCTTGTAAGTTGGATTCCTAGGTATTTTATTCTCTTTGAAGCAATTGTGAATGGGAGTTCACTCATGATTTGGCTCTCTGTTTGTCTGTTATTGGTGTATAGGAATGCTTGTGATTTTTGCACATTGATTTTGTATCCTGAGACGTTGCTGAAGTTGCTTATCAGCTTAAGGAGATTTGGGGCTGAGACAATGGGGTTTTCTAAGTATACAATCATGTCATCTGCAAACAGGGACAATTTGACTTCCTCTTTTCCTAATTGAATACCCTTTATTTCTTTCTCTTGCCTGATTGCCCTGGCCAGAACTTCCAACGCTATGTTGAATAAGAGTGGTGAGAGAGGGTATCCCTGTCTTGTTCCAGTTTTCAAAGGGAATGCTTCCAGTTTTTGCCCATTCAGTATGATATTGGCTGTGGGTTTGTCATAAGTAGCTCTTATTATTTTGAGATACGTTCCATCAATACCTAGTTTATTAAGAGTTTTTAGCATGAAGGGCTGTTGAATTTTGTTGAAAGCCTTTTCTTCATCTATTAAGATAATCATGTGGTTTTTGTCAATGGTTCTGTTTATGTGATGGATTACGTTTATTGACTTGTGTATGTTGAACCAGCCTTGCAACCCAGGGATGAAGCTGACTTGATCATGGTGGATAAGCTTTTTGATGTGCTGCTGGATTTGGTTTGCCAGTATTTTATTGAGGATTTTTGCATCAATGCTTGTGACCTACAGATGGGGTTTTGGTGTGAATGTCCTTTTTGCTGATATTTATGCTATTCCTTTCTTTTTGTTAGTTTTCCTTCTGACAGTCAGGTCCCTCAGCTGCAGGTCTGTTTGAGTTTGCTGAGTTCCACCCCAGACCCTGTTTGCCTGGGTATCACCAGCGGGGAGGCTGCAAAACAGCAAATATTGCTGGCTGATTCTTCCTCTGGAAGCTTCATCCCAGAGGGGCATCTGCCTGTATGAGATGTCAATTGGCCCCTACTGGAAGGCGTCTCCCATTTAGGCTACACGGGGGTCAGAGACCCACCTGAGGAAGCAGTCTGTCCTTTCTCAGAGCTCAAACACCATGCTGGGAGAACTCTGCTCTCTTCAGAGCTGTCAGACACGGACGTTTAAGTCTGCAGAAGTTTCTGCTGCCTTTTGTTCAGCTATGCCCTGCCCTAAGAAGTGGAATCTACAGAGGCAACAGGCCTTGCTGAGCTGTGGTGGGCTCCGCCCAGTTTGAACTTCCCCAGCCACTTTGTTTACCTGCTCAAGCCTCAGCAATGGCGGATGCCCCTCCCCCTGCCAGGCTGCTGCCTCTCAGGTCGATCTGAGACTGCTGCGCTAGCAGTGAGCAAGTCTCCATGGGTGTGAGACCTGCCGAGCCTGACACGGGATATAATCTCCTAGTGTGCCATTTGCTAAGACCATTGGAAAAGCGCAGTATTTGGGCATGAGTGTCCCGATTTTCCAGGTACAGTCTGTCATGGCTTCCCTTGGCTAGGAAAGGGAAATCCCCCAACCCCTTGCGCTTCCCAGGTGAGGTGATGCCCCGCCCTATTTCAGTTCACCCTCTGTGGGCTGCACCCACTGTCCAACCAGTCCAATGAGATGAACCAGGTACCTCAGTTGGAAATGCAGAAATCACCCATCTTCTGCATCAATAACGCTGGGAGCTGCAGACCAGAGCTGTTCCTATTCGACCATCTTAATTTTTGTATTTTTAATAGAGATGGGGTTTTGATATGTTGGTGTCAAACTCCTGCCCTCAAGCGATTCACCCACTTCAGCCTCCCAAAGTACTGGGATTACATGTGTGAGCCACCATGCCCAGCCTATATATATGTGTGTGTGTGTGTGTGTGTGTGTGTGTATATATGTGTGTGTGTATATATATAATGTATATATATGTGTGTGTATATATATATATGTATATGTGTGTGTGTGTGTGTGTGTGTATATATATATATATATATACACCATCCAACTTCCATTTCTGCTATAACACTAAATAGATGCCCCAGGAGAACAGAAGAAAGAGCAATCACATCTAAGGGACAGAGATGCTTCTCAGATGATATAATATTTGATCCATGGTTTTGAAGGCTAAATCTATCTATCTATCTATGTATCTATGTATCTATCTATCTATCATCTATCTATCTATATATATATATATATATATATTTTTTTTTTTTCTTAAGCAGATAGCTGGCTTTGCTTTTCTAGTATTTCCGTAAAGAACCAAGGGTCATCTTAATTTAGAGGATGTGATGTATATGAAATAGTTTCACAAAATTACAAAGCTGTAAAACCATAGAGATGAGTTAGTCAGAGTCCTTAATACTGTAGAGGTCTGGGTCCTCTGAGATTGTGCCTTGTCCAGAGCCATGTGACTAGTTAGTGGCAAAACCCAGGTTAGGTCTTGGGCCTCTCAACTCTTAGTCCAGTGCTTGTTATTCTTCTTGGAAAATATGATACCTTGGTAATTTTAACCTGCCATATAAATAAGGAAAATGTTCTGACAACAGTAAAACTTTAATTTCAGCATCGGAGGCCCTTAAATTACTGTGTTTCTGGTGTCCGTACAGGAAAGGAAGTAAGAACTATACTTGAATGTTTTTCTTCATCATCCTTAACCTTCACCTATTAATACTTGTCCAGTTACCAACAAATATCTGCTCTGTGCTGGCCCCTTTGCCAAGCATTGCAGGGGCAACTCTGATAAGCATCATCTTGCTTTCAAGGAGTTTATAACCTGGTTGAAAGTTTGACTCTTTTTAAAATAGCTTTTCCAAGCTGTGCACAGTGGCTCATGCCTGTAATCCCAGCACTTTGGGAGGCTGAGGCAGGTGTATTGTTTGAGCCCAGGAGTTCAAGACCAGTCTGGGCAACATGGTGAAACCCCATCTCTACAAAAAAAAATACAAAAATTAGCCAGATGTGGTTGTACGTGCCTGTGGTCCCAGCTACTTGGGAGGCTGAGGTGGGAGGATGGTTTGAGCCCAGGAGGCAGGGGTTGCAGTGAGCTATGATCACATCACTGCACTCCAGCCTGGGAAACAGAGCAAGAAACTGTCTCAAAAAAAAAAAAAAAACAGAATGAAAAAGAAAGAAAGAAAAAAAATATTCTGCTAATATCACAATCTGCTTTGCTCCTCCAAAGCAGATTGTGATAAGTGTAATCATAGAGGTAGAAACTAAATTCTCTGAGAAGTTCAAAGAGAGGAAGGATCACAGTTATAAGGATGAGGCTGGGGATGGAATCAAAAGTGGCTTTACAAAGAAGACTGTCTTTGACATGACCTTGAAGGATGGGTCGGATTTCAGTAGTTGGAGATGAGGGAGGGGGTTTGCTAGGTGGGCAGGGCGTGACCTAGACAATACTGCCTGTCATTACAGACTTCCAGAGTTTAGGTCTGTCTCAAACTCTTTTCATGCTGTAGACAGTCAATAAACATATGTTGATTGATTGGGGCTCTGTACTGGGGTCACTGTCGGTCACTTCTGCCTGGGGCAGGCAGGGCCCACCATGCTGTGAAGCTATAGACTAGGCAATGAGTTATGAACGTTACATCCTCGAAGACCTTCACTGCCACACTTGGCCTCCACAATGTACTAAAATGTTTGATCCAGAGATATTTGTCTTTTCTCCTTTTTCAGGACACAGTTAACTTCTGGCTCACACCATTTGTGGTTTACAATGATGGTGGTGTCCCATTTGTTTGAACAGAATCTAAATCCAAGTTCTGGAGGTTTTAGTGCCATCCTCTCCACCACCTGAGCCTCCCAATTCCCTGGTTCCTGCAGATGGCTGCAGAGCACTTGGGTTTAATCCAAGTCTCCCTGGAGTCGGCTGAGTGTTTACTTGGCCCCTCTATAATGGTACAGCCTGGTTGGTTTTCCTAACCTGGATGTACTGTGTCTGCTGTAGCTGCCTCTCCTGGCTTTTCCCCTGGAGTCTGTCCCATGAAACTATTAAGCCATAGTTTCCTCAATACAAGTGTCTTATCCTTCATAGAGCAAAATTGGCAGCTAACATGCTTCCCTTCCAAAGACCAGGTGCCTGTGCACCCTCATCTCAGAAGCTGAGAGCACAGCAGCCATTGCCCAGATCAGAGCTTTACAAACACAGGGTCAAGATTCTTGGGCGAGTCCTGTCAGTTGTGAGTTTTGACTGCAAGCGAAAGAGCACATACACTTAAAAATCACTCAGCTGAAACAGAACGGATTCAATGTTTTCCCCAAATAATGCCATGCTCCTTCCATGCAGCAGTGTGATTTCAGGCCTAGGGTAGAGAAGAGAAGACTTACAGGTTAGCAGGCTGAGAATACCACACCACCTCTACCCTGGCATGTGTGGGGTCTCAACAGTGAGGCGACTCATGAGTTCATTGGCCAGGAATTTCTCTGTGCAATAAAGGCTGAGAAATGCTGGCTTGTGGCATATGGCAACTAAGGTTGGGCCGGGTGACCTGTGTTGGTTTCAGGGCCTCTGCTGGTTGCCCTTCCACGGAAGACCTCCATATCCAGTCTGCCACATACCCAGCAAGCTAGGTTTAGGCATGGTGGCCTCACTTACTTACTTAATGATTAGTTTTTAAACACTGTGGTAGGGGCCAAGGATATAAGAGGGAAAAGTCCCAGTTCCTGCCTTTTGGAGCTGACCATCTACTATAGATCTGTGTGCTATAATGAATCACCAAAATTTTGGATCATGTGGGAATGTAGGTTATAGGAGGTAGCATTTCCATTTATAGATGACAATCAAAAGCCATTTATGACAGTATGAGTAGATACTTGAAATCATACTCTAGGTACCTCATACAAGTGAAATCATTCAGTATTTACCATTTTGTGACTGTCTTATTTCACTTAACGTAATATCCTCAAGTTTCATCCACGTCGTTGCGTGTGTCAGAAGGGGAAAGCCTTTCCTACAGCCTAATCATGAGGACACACCAGGCAAACCCAGAGGGAATGGCAGTCCCCAAAATATCTGGCCAATACTCTTCAAAAGTGTCAGGGTCCTGAAAAACAAGGAAACACAGAGAATCTGTCACAGATTAGGGGATACTAAAGAGACACAATGACTAAATCCAGTGGGGTATCCAGTGTGGTCCTGGAACAGAAAAAGGATTAGTGGAGAAACTGGTGAAACCCAAACTGAGTCTGTGGTTTATGAGTAGAGTTGTGCTTGGGATACTCCACGTTTTTTCCAAGGCAGCAGCTCTGCTGGTGATGTCAGACCCGTGCTTGGTCTTCAGGCCTCCTTGTAGTCTACTGCCCCCATCAGAGTAACAATGTGTCTCCGCCATGTGTTAAAACCAACTTCTTTGGTTTTCTCAGTCTGACCCCAGAGTAGGCCTTGTCCCTCTTCCTCTGGGGCCTTCCATCTTGTCCCACCTCAAAGGGGCTGGAGGGGGGCAACTGAGCCCAAAACTCCAAACCCAAAGGCTTAGCCATACTTGATGCGAGAAGGAAGGGGAAATTTCCTTCTTATTCTCTTTGATAATGAGAAGAAACACCAGATCAATTCTCCGTGACACTCATTAATCAATAGCAAAATCCATGGCTATTTTAAAATAACATTTAAAAATAGGCACAAATAATGTTGATGGAGGAAATACTGCCATCCCTTGTTGAGAGATCAGCTTTGAATGTCTTCTTCTCTCAGAAAAATCTTCACTCTCTCCAAAATTAGTATCATCCATTAGGATAGAGCTAGGAACTATAACTGAAAAAAAAAAAAAAACTGGAGCCAGTGTTCTAAACAAGTCTTCCATTTGTTCTTTATCTGAAGTCTAGGCTTTCCTGATGAACAGGCTAAGGTTTTGGTGTGTTATCTTTTCTGCCACTGGAAAAACCAGACAGGAATGAAATGTATGTTGAGTATTTATTGAACATCAGAAACTATGTTCATTTGTTCATATTCACATTTGTTTCTTTAATCCTAAGAATAATGCCATGAGTTAAGTATCTTACTTTACAGAGGAGTCAACTGCAGAGATTAAACTAATTTCCATCACACAGTTAGCAAGTGAATGAATCTAGAACTTGAAACCAAGTCTCTGATTCCGAAGTTCAGTGTTCATTCCATTAACCCATGGTGCTAACAGAGAGGAAGATATGGGACTTTCTTTTCACTTCATTGAATTATTTTATGTAAGGATGTGTGTATGTAGTGTTTGAGTGTTTGATAATTGACAAAACCTGGATGCTACAATAATAAGAGGGGAAGGAAGAGGGAGAAAGAGAAAGAAGAATATGGTGGAAAATACAGACAGGCATAGATACACACGCGCACTCCATGTTCCTTTGACCTCAGCCAGCCGGTGGGTGGAGGCATTGCAAAGAAGTGGGTCTTTTGAAAGACATTGACATTAGAAAGGTTGTCAACAAACCTTCTGACAGCTGTTTGCTAATTATTACTTCTAGGGGAAAAGTGTGAATGTAAGTTGTGTCTGAATGTTTTGTTGGAAAAAAATCTGGAATGCATAGTTCCATTCTCCTCTATAATCATAAATGGATTTTCTTGCAATTGTATTTTCTCTTGCTAATGAATAGTAAACAACACTGATTATAGGAGTTATCTAATTCTTGGTGCCCCCCTTGCTGTGGCCTCCCATCACTGCCAAATCCCCTTCTCTCTCTTCACACACACACACACACACACACACGCACACACACACACACACAGAGAGAGAGAGAGATCAACACATAAATCAGCAAGCCATGTTGACCCTTACGCAATGCCATGTGCTGTGAAAAGCACCGGGAATACAGTTCATACAATTAAGGGCCAATTATGTGCTTATTGGCTCTTGACCTAAGAGGAGACACAACGTCTTCAGGGCAGGAATTGTGTTAATGCTCTGTTGTTCTCAGGGGCCTCATAGAGAGCTCTGTTTCACTTGGGGAGAATTTAGAAAGCAGAGCGCCCTTAATATCTATTTCAAATAGAAGTAAATGCACTGAGTATAAAATTAACTTTCTCTCAAGTGGTGGTTACACAGCTAGGCAAGATTGGTTCAGAATAATGAGAGCCAATTGGCTTTGCAAAAATGGGAGGAGGTGGGGGAGACCAAAATGTGGGTGATGTTTGGGGCAGTAGATGGAAGGTGCTGCTGAGCTGCTGCAGAGATGACCTGGGGTAAGCAGTAGACCACGAGCATGCAGCTCACTCAGGAATGTGGGAAGTCATCCCAGGCATCTTCTCTGTTCTCATTTGGAAAGCACGCCAGGGCAATGGCAGTTGCCAGAGTTTTAGGTCATGACTGCTTCCATAAGAAATATTATGATTATCCATATTCCAAATTATCCTTCAGTACGAATGGTAGACATCAAACAAACCACCTCATTTTAAGGTGGAGTCACATAAGTTTCACAGCTGCTAACCAACTGTTTGAAGACTTTCAGGGATGGTTCCCTCTTTTTTTTTTTTTTTTTTGAAAAGAAGTCTCACTCTGTCACCCAGGCTGGAGGACAATGGCGCGATCTTGGCTCACTGCAACCTCTGCCTCCTAGGTTTAAGTGATTCTCCTGCCTCAGGCTCCTGAGTAAGTAGGATTAAAGGCATCTGCCATCATGCCTGGCTATTTTTTGTATTTTTGTAGAGACGGGGTTTCACCATGTTGATCAGGCTGGTCTTGAACTCCTGACCTCAGGTGATCTGCCTGCTTCGGCCTCCCAAAGTGCTGTGATCACAGGCGTGAGCCACTGTTCCCAGCTGTCTTTTTTAAAATATATTTTTTTTAAATAGAGAAGGAGATCTTGCTATGTTACCCAGTCTGGTCTTGAACTCTTGGCTTCAAGCAATCCTCCTGCTTCAACCTCCCAAAGTGTTGTGATTATAGATATGAGCCACTGACCCCCACCAGGGATGGTCCTCTCTTGATACTACCTCAGATCTTTGAGCTGAAGAATAAGAAAAGGAAGAGTGTGAGGAGGCGTGAAGAAGTGGATAGATGCTGGGCATCTTATCTCATCCCTGAGGTCCAGGGAAAAACAGGCTTCAAAGTCAAAAGGATACATGGATGCAAGTTCTGGTTCTGCCCTTTACCACCTGCAAGGTCTTTCCAAGCTTCCTGAATGTCTACAGCCTTAGACTCCTCCTATGTAGGGTGAGTTGTCTGAGAAATAAAGGTAATGTATGAAAGATTCCTGGTATAGTGAGTTCTTAGTTATATGTAGCTACTATTATTATTTTATAAATGTTTCAAACATTGATGTTGGTGGTCACTATAGCAATATCTCACCGCCTTAGGACTCTCAGAAGTTCCTGTAGCTCAGATGTCCCAACCCCCAATTACAGAAATGCTGGCATGGAGCAGGTCATTGGATAAAGACCTCAGTTTCTCCAGTTGCCTCTCCATAAGGGGAGGGCTGAGTATATACGTGGCCAATAAACGGCAACATCTATTACTAACCCAAAGAAGCAAACGATTCACATGACTGCATTGGAATGGAGGTTACAGAACTGAAATAGGAGAAAGCACAAGCAAATTTCTTATGCCCTCAGATTCAGCACGGAATATGCTGTCTCAACCCGCTTGTCCGTGGACAGCCTTGACTGTCTCCTGGGGAAGAATATGAAGAAGCTTTCCTTTAGAAGATGCCATCAGGGAAGACTGGACTAAATCAACAGTTGGAGAAATAATGATGTGTAAATCAGAGTGAGGCCATTTCACTGTGAGGTTCATGTTTGCTTTAGGATGCTTTGGACTTTGAAATGAGAAAGTTGACACACCATGGGGTGCTGTCTGTAAGGGTGGGAAACTACAGACTTCAGAGCGCCTGGGACCTGCAAATATTTGGCTTTATTTTTTTCAAAAATCAACTAGAAATAAACTTACACTGGTAAGTTCTAGCTTTAATTCCTTCACATACTTGTTCTGTTCCATTTTTATTACTGCCATTGCACTGGGTGCCCATTAAACGTAATGCATACACACACAACATCAACAACAATGACCAAAACTATTGCTTGTGCAGTTAATAGAAACCAAATTTCCCAGAAGCTTGCAACTCCACATGTCACATGTTTTGCTTTTTTCCCACTGATTTAAGAATCTCTCCCTAAGCTAATTTTCTTCTCCGTTCGCTCTACCCCAGGCCCCAAATGCCCATGGTCTAAAGGTCTTTTGTCAACCACACTCAAAGACTTC
This sequence comes from Homo sapiens, assembly GCF_000001405.40. Taxonomy (NCBI): domain Eukaryota; kingdom Metazoa; phylum Chordata; class Mammalia; order Primates; family Hominidae; genus Homo; species Homo sapiens. Next base: position 29,327,203 of record NC_000010.11, on the reverse strand, counting down.
CATCTCCTTGAGGGTGAACTTGTCTGCCTGGTTTCATTACTTGCATGGCACTCCTCTCAGATGGGGACTTTGACCTTCTGAAATTCCTGTTGAAGATTAAATACCAAACCCAGCAGTCCACAGGAGAGTTAACAGACGGTTTCAGTACACACAGCAAGACTTCCAGAGTGGTCAAATTATTAATCCACGGGAAAATGCGGATCAGATGGTCAAACGCAGGACATAACTCACATAGGGAACCGGCTTTTGCACTGGGAGCCACTGAGTCCTAGGGATAGAGCCACGCTGCTCTGGGCTAACAGGAAATCCCAAGTTTGGGCTTTTTGTTTTTTCCAAAGCACATAAATGCAATTGATTCACTCTTTGTGGAACTCTTTGGAGCTTCAGTGCCACTCTAGATGGCTTCTCCTGGCCTCATCTAGAATATTTCTTTTTTGAAAGTCTTTTTGGAAGGCTGAGTTAGAACTGCTGTCTCTTCTCTCCTCCACTCTCTTTTGCCATTTCGCATTCCCATTTTAGGCTTTTCTAGTAGTTTAAAATATTACATGGTTGATGTATTAAGATAAAATTATGGAACCTACTTGGTCATGAGAAATATATCCCATAGCTATACTAGGTCTTTTGAAATTACCAAGTCAGCAGGTAGGAAAGTCAGGAATACAGTTGAGAAATGTGTGTCCTTCATTCAGCATGAACATTTGCTAACAAATGTTTTGTAACTGGGTAGAGACTCTAAGTGTGTAAACTTTCTGGAACATCTCCGAATTTGGTTCAGGATACTTTGCACAATTGTCTCTTGATCAATTCAGATTTCTTCCTTGGTCCCTTCTTTCTGTTGCTCGCCCTTTGGTTATTTGTTACTTACTCTCTGGTACAAGGAGGGAAGGGTCCCAGAGAGAAAGAAAAATACCCCTCCATATTCTTTCCAACATGTTTTCCAACTGTTCACATTTCCTCGGGAATGGGAGGCTAAAATTCTGGGTGAACTCTGTTTTGGGCTATGTATTGAGGTAGCATAGTACAATGGTCAAGAAGAGAGATTTAGTATCTGAAAGACCTGGAATTGAATTACTTGAACTAATGGACTAACCTTATTAGTTAATTAACTAGGTTAATCAACTAAACTTGTGCAAATTCATTAAACTCTCTGGGCTTTAGTTTTCTCATTTGTAAAATAGGATAAGATTAGTTTCATAGGATTGTTAAGAATATTCAGTTAATGAATGAAAAGTCCTTAGCTGTGTTTCCAACATAGAAGAACATTTATTAGGTATTATTATTATTATGTCATTAGTTGTTACCCTCTGCAATGCCCATGAATCTGTTGTGTGTAGAAAATTTTGATTTTTCAGCTGACAAACCATTATACCATGGCCCCAACACTTTATGTTCAGTGTTGCAAGGTACTTTTGAGAATTTAGTGGATTTTTTCTCTCTTCCTCTTTCCTTTTCTTTATTCAAGCAGGTAGCAAGCTACGACTTGGATGTCTGAACTTGTGAGTGCAATGCATACTACTATGCCAATAAAGGCAGCACCATTTCATTGATTGGATGAAAGCAGCTTCCAGTCTGCTTTCTGAAATGGACAGATTCTTCTTTAACTGATCAGGGAACCACATGCCCCAACACTGCATATTCACTGGAAGGCCAGGAATCTTAGGAACTGAGTTTTTTCAGGTTGCATTTGTCAGCACTCGCTGGAAAGACACAAAAGAGCAAATGGCGATGTCTATAGTTTCTGAGCTATGCCTCTTAAGTATTTCAGATGCCTACAAGCTCTGCTAGGCCTCACTGTGGGAGCATTTTAAATATCCAGAATAAGGTAACACTCACCTGATTTCTTTTTCTAATTTAACCAATTCAGTCCAATTACTGCTGTCGCCCTGTGCTTTGCACAGAACCTAAGAGCTGGGTTTTCATTCAGCCTCATGTGAGAAAGCAACTACCAAACATTACAAGACTCCTTGGCCAAACGGACTGTGGTACCCAATCTGACTAGGATGCGACTGTTCCAGAACTCTCTCAAAAAAATTTTTTTTGAGACAAGGTCTCACTCTGATGCCCAGGCTGGAGTGCAGTGACACGATCTCGTCTCACTGCAGCCTCTGCCTCCCAGGCTGAAGCAGTCCTCCCACCTCAGCCTCCCTAGTAGCTGGGACTGCAGGCACACGATACCATGCCTAGCTAATTTTTTTTGGATTTTTTTAGGTCTACCTGTAGACCCTATCTTTTTGTAGAGATAGGGACCGTATGTTGCTCAGGCTGATCTCCAACTCCTGGGCTCAAGCAATCTGCCCGCTTCAGCCTCCCAAAGTGCTGGGGTTACAGGCATGAGCCACTGTGCCCAGCTTCAAATTCTGATCTCAAACAAGCTTTCTGAAAGCATTGAGGTGGGGGTAGTAAGATACTATGAGTTCTGTTCCAGGAAGTCTGGAATCCACAAACTCTTGTCCTGGCTTCAGTCTAGTGAAAGCCACAAGGTCAACGACAGTGACACCACCGTACAGTACTTCACAGTTAACTAGGGGCTGCATATATATTACTCCGTTTATCCTAACAACGGCTCCTTGAGGTTTGCTGAGCTGAATCATAATAATAACAAAAACTTATTGAGCACTTGCTATCCATTTTATGCTGGGCACTTAGATATTCATGACAACCCCATGAGGTAATACTATTTGACGATCAAACAAGGGCAAAGTCAGGGTAAGTTAGTCGCTGTGCTGCAGAGATGGGATTTGACCTGATGTCTGCCAAGTGCAGTAGGCTGTGCACTTAACTGCCGGTGCAGGAGGCAGGCTCCGGGGTGTGGGAGTCTCGGCCAAGGTCACAAAATCGTTAGCATGGCCAGGACCTGAACCCTCGGTTTCTCATTCCCTGGCCAGTTCCCTTCTTGTTACACTGTTGTAAAAGCACTCTATATTTTGGATTATTAAACTTTAAGTAGCTTCTAAAACCACCCATTTAGCTGGGCCTACAGCTGGGAGTGATTAGATCAGCAAGCCCCCTCAAGCCAGCTTACCTGTGCAGCAGGTCCTTGTCCCGGAGCAGCCCTCTGTGTCTCCCACCGCATGACTGACAGGGGCTCTCACCCTGCCTGCCCATGAGAGGCACAGTGTGGCTTTAAATTATGCTAATGTCAGCCACGTGCAGTGGTTCATATCTGTAATCCCAGCACTTTGGGAGGCTGAGGTGGGAGGATCGCTTGAGCCTAGGAGTTCAAGACCAGCCTGGGCAACAACATGAGACCCCATACCTTTAAAAAATGTAAAAAAATTAGCCAGATGCAGTGGCATGCCTGTAGTCCTGTCTACGCGGGAGGATGGCTTGAGTCCTGGAGTTCAAGGCTGCAGTGAGCTATGATCGCATCACTGCCCTCCAGCCTGGGTGACAGAGCAAGACCCTGTCTCAATAAATAAATAAATGATAAAAAATGCCCATTTCCATTGCAGATTAAGTAAATAAGGGTCTCTGAAGGTGGGTCCCAGGCAGGAATATTTTTTTAAAGCTCTCAGGTGAGTCTGACCGCAGTCTGGAGCAGGAACCTTAGACTGAGGCGTGTGCTCTGAAAACTGTGGAAGGAAGTTCAAGAGGTGGCAGCAGGAACCGCAGTCCACCCCGCCAGCTGTGTCTTAGCTTCCAGAGAGAGAAACGGGTCCAGATAAACTCCTTCATGCAGCACTTAGCATGGGGTCACACATGAAGAATCAAGATTTTTTGGATGCTATTTAAAATAGATGAGGAATTTTTAATTTAGAACCAATTGGTGGCTTCCTGAGAGTGAGGAGGGGGCTGTGGGATTCCTGAAACTGAATTGTGTGTGTGCCAAATGAGCATTTTGCCAAAGAGGGGAGTGTATCGTTATTGTTGTTTTCAGGTTCTCAAAGGTTTCTTTAAGGAGTTTACAAAAGCGACCTTACTGATCCCTCCAAGAGCAGCCGCAGAGAAAACAGAGACAGTCCAGAATATTGGAACTGGAAGGAGCCTGGGGTTCATGACCTTGGTGGCAAATGACAGTGGCCTGATGGCCACATGCTCAGAGGTTTTGACTTTTTAGTCTGTGGGGAGGGCCGGGGCATTAGTATTTTTAAAAACTTCCCTGGACGATTCTCCTGTGCCGCCAGGGGTGAGAACCATCACAACTCACTATTTTTAGATGAGACTGGGGCCTAACAGATTCTCCTGCCAGCTTGCTCTGCTAGGAATACTGCTTACTGTCTGCTGTTTCTGGCTAAGTCAGTGTGACAAGCCCCACTCCACTTCTCTACCTTTTATCTCTCAGAAAGATCTTTCTTTTCTCTTTTTCTTTCTCTCCTTCCTTCCTTTTTTCCTTTTCCCTCCCTCCTTTTTCTCTCTCTCTCTTTCTTTCCCTCCCTCCCTCCCTCCCTCTCTTTCCTTCTTTCTCTTCCCCTCCCTCCCTCCCTCTCTTTCTTTCTCTTCCCCTCCCTCCCTCCCTCCCTTCCTTCCTTCCTTTCCTTCCCTCCCTTACTTATTGCTCAGAAAGGACAAGTAGCATTATTTTCCACCCTGATTAGAATACTTCCAGGGCTGGGATGAGGGTGAAGCCTTAGCACACAGTTTAAGGGGGTGTCCAAAAACTCAGGAGTCAAGATAAATAACATTTGAAGGCATTATTTTTTAAAAATCAAAATTAATGCAAAAACCCCATGATGAAGAAAATATCAAAATTTCAAAATAGGCCAGGCACGGCAGCTCATGCCTGTAATCCCAGCACTTTGGAAAGCCAAAGCTGACGAATCGTCTAAGGTCAGGAATTTGAGACCAGCCCACCAACATGGTGAAACCTTGTCTCTACTAAAAATAAAAATTAAAAAAAAAATACAAAAATTAGCCCAGTGTGGTGGCAGCCATCTGTAATCCTAGCTACTGGGGAGGCTGAGGCAGGAGAATGGCTTGAACTCAGGAGGCAGAGGTTGCGATGAGCCAAGATCATGCCATTGCACCCTAGCCTGGGCAACAAGAGTAAAACTCCATCTCAAAAAAAAAAAAAAAGAAAAAAATTTCAAAACGAAATGAAAATCACTCATAGTGCTGTGAAGAGCCACATTCAAACCTGGAGCAAAAGAAAAAGAAAAAAAAATCAGTAATATTGGTCCTGTCTTTGAAATGTTGACTTTTTGTTCATCATGGAGTTTTTGCATTAGTTTAATGCATCGCATATTGCAAATAGATCATGCATTAAAACCTTGTTGATCCTGATGACTGCGTGTTTTGGTGCTTCTTTCATTTCACACCTAGGAGAGTTTCCCACGGTTCTCGCCTTGAGACTGTGGCCACTGAGCGGGGACCTGTGAGAGGAACAAGAAGCTGCTGGCTGTGCCAGAAACAGGTTAGATTCTGGGCGTGTGGGGAACAGGTTAGATCCCAGGTGTGCGGGGCTGGGACAGAGTGAGCAGGGGTGTGGGGGAAGTGGGGGTGGGAGGAGGGCTCTATTACATATATGTTTTACTATAAATGTGGGGGGAAATTTTGCTTTCTTATCTGCTGGCACCAAAATTTTTCTTACAGGTGGGATCGAACTTCTTTTTAAGAGCACTTTTTCATCAACTGCTTAAAGAGAAGATAAAACTTTGAGCACCTGAATAATTAGGAGCCAAGATGATAAAAAGAAACAAACAAACAAAAAACAGAATAAAAGAAAACAGGTGTTTGGTCAGAGAGAAAAAAGAAGAGGAAAAACCCCGGAAGGGGAGCAGGAGGAGAAGCAACACTTGGGGAACAGGAATTTCTCTTGTCTGAGTTTTTTGCATTGGAAATCTAGATCTTTCTGTCTTCCTAAACCTTCTAAGGAAAGTCCATATAAATATCTTCTGTGGAAGGTTTAATTTTATTTCTGTATTGTCCAAATGAAGAAAAGAGACCCCTTTCCTGTCAGTGACACAATAGCAAGGAGAGGAGAGGATTTTTAAATGAACGAATTCAGCAGAAGCAGAGGCTCAGAGCCAGAGAAAAGCATGAAAATGTAAGCTTTTTAGGTCTCAGGAATCTTGCAGAAGACCTTGGGCTTCCCTTATAAAAGGTTGAGTCATTCTGCCCAGGATGTTGAGGGGACAGGGCCACAGCTGATGTGTGGGTGACCCCTTAGCGTGGCTCAGTATAATCAGACAGCACCTATACTTTATTGGTTTGTAATTGCATAGATTTTGAGTTTTCTTGTGCAATATCACCTTCATATTTCTTCATATTTCTGTGGTCTCGTCATCTGTCTCTTGCTATCAAGAAAAATGACTGGCTGGGTGCAGTGGCTCACACTTGTAATCCCAGCTCTTTGGGAGGCCGAGGAGGGAGGATCACTGGAACCCAGGAGTTCGAGACCAGCCTGGGCAACATAGTGAGGTTCTATTACTACAAAAAATAGAAAAATTAGCTGGCCATGGTGGTTTGTGCCTGTAGTCCCAGCTACTCAGGAGGCTGAGGTGGGAAGATTGCTGGAGCCCAGGAATTCGAGGGTGCAGTGAGCTATGATTGTGCCACTGCACTCCAGCCTGGGCAGCAGAGTGAGACCTCAAGGCAAATCTGTAGGCTTCACGTCCTTACAGTGTCATACAGGGGCAAAAGCACTTTGTTCAACACACTCTTAACTATTGTTTAAAATTCCTAGACTTAGGGAAGTTATGTGTTAAGTTTTAGATTTTTCTTTGGTAGAGATGAAAATAATTTCTATCTGGCAGGAAAAACAAAAACAACTCCGTAGTTTATAGTTTATTTCCCTGTAAGATGTTAACTAGCCAGTAATCGTACCCTAACATTCCTTTTGTTAATTGCCCATAAATACCTAGCTCCTCAGATCTCTCTGAACTGGTATTAAGATCTTACTGATTCCTCATTAATTAGTGAGTGTGATAAAGTGTTTGACATGTGTTCATTTTATATTTGCATAAAGAGTCTTGGATTTAGCTTTTTGGAAATTGTGCTTTTGCCCTCTCTGGACTTGTAGACCTCAGGGTATAGCTGGTTCTCCTGCCCCTGCCTACAGAGAAAACCCAGAGCTGCAGAATCAACCAATTGGCTATGCTCACCATTTGCATAGCATAGTGCCTGGCACAGTTACTCACATATTTGGGGGTTTTTAAAATTGGTTTTAGTGGGCTTTTTTTTTTTTTTTTTTTGAGACAGGTTCTTGCTCTATCATGGCTCACTGCAGCCTTGAACTCTGGGCTCAGAAGATCCTCTTGTCTGAGCCTCCTCAATAGCTGGGACTACAGGTGTGAGTCACCATACCTGGCTAATTCTTTTAATTCTTTTTGTAGAGAGGGGGGTCTCGTCATGTTGCCCAGGCTGGTCTCAAACTCCTGTCCTCAAGAAATCCTCCCACCTCGGCTTCCCAAAGTGTTAGGATTACAAGCATGAGCCTCCGTGCCTGGCCTTTGAATACTTGCTGAGTGTTGTGTGTGTTCTGGCCTCTGTTGTCCCCAGGTTACTCTGATGATGAGGCTCCACTCTTGAGGTCCCTGTATTGACTCTCAGCTATCGGAGAGGAACGACTTCCTGAGTCTTCACTGTAGCCAGAAGGTGGGTGACCTTGATGTTCTTCTCCCAGTGAGGTGACGGAGAGGGGGCACTGTAGCCCAGGGGAAGCCTGTGCTCAGCAGGGTCCCGTTAAGTCTCTTACTCAGGGTTCATAACCTTGGTTGAGCATTAGAATTAACGGGGGAGTTAAAAAAATATCTGCATCAGGACCCTGCCTTCAGGGAGCCTGATTTAACTGAATTGAGCCAGGCCTGGCATCTGCATTTTTTGAAGTGTCCTGATGATCGCATTGTGCAGCCAGGGTTTGGAACCACAGTTCCAGCCCTGTCCCTCGACTGGCACAAGGGACCGTCCCTCCCGTTGTCTCTCCTCAAATGTGGTTACGTGAGCTGTGTTCAAAGGGCCTCCCAAGGGTGTTTTTCCCTGCGCTGCCGGCCCCATGTTGGTCTTCATGGTGGGCCCCGAGGAGCTCCAAAGTCCACAGAAAAATCCCAATTCCTCAAAGACTCTCATCTTACCAGCAATCTCCCCACCGCCCGCGCAGACTGCTCCATTGTAGATTTTTTCCTTTCCTCTTCTTTTTTCTCTTCTAAATTCTAAGTTCCTGGCAGCCACTAAAATGTCTCAGAAGCAGAAACTAGCTTTGATCGACTGTCAGCAGAGTCGAAAACTACAATTTTTTTAAAAAATAATTTTTCAAAATCTCCCTTCTCTAAAGTCCTTCTTGGGCACCCCCTGGAAGGCCTTTGGGCTGCCTTGTGCACATGACCCGCTTCCCTGGCCTCGGTCCCAGCCCGACCTCTCCTGCCCTCCCCTCTCCGCCCCTCCCCTCCTCTGTCCTTCCCACCCCCCTGCAAATTAATGTGGTGCTGCTGCTGAGAGAGTGGGTTCTGGAGCGGGCTTCTTTCTGGCCTCTCTGCCATCACAGGCTGGCAGCTTCAAAGCTCGAGTCATCCTGTTTCCGTCTGCCCCTGAGCCCGCGTGGCTTGGCTTCACCGCAGGGGTCAGAAGTGCAGCCTCAGCCGATGACAGCAGCCTGGCCCGGCTCGACAGCGACCCGGGGACACACACCCATCTGATGTCTCCCCTCCTCTGCTATTATCCCTCCCCTTCTCCGCTATTTTCTCTCCCCTTCTCCACCTCCTCCGTCCCCAAACAGTCCTTCCTCTGGAAAGATAAGGCCCTCTTCTCAGTTCCCGCATCCCTTCCCTTTTATGCCAGACAGAGGCAGCCCTTTGTGAAGGGGGGTACGGGCTTTTGCACAAATATTTAATCTCTTCCAATCTGCCCTTTTGCACTGCCTGTCAGTTCCTGGGGTTGGAACCACTCTGTTTGCTTTAGCTGGTAACAGGATACTGTTTTGAAAAGTGATGCTGAAGTCAGATTACTTATGAATCTGGGCTTTATTTTGCATGAATGCTTTCTCAAGGCAAGTATAGATTTCGTTTTTTCATCCTCACCAAGAATTATGTTGCCACTGGGGTTGTGGTCTTGAGCAGGCAGGGAAATCTAGCTGAGTTTAACTTTTTCCCTTGTAGTTTGGAATTCTTAGCAGCAGGGACCTGTGAAAATAAACAGCCTCAGTTTCAGGTGGTTTCTTTCAGCCACTATCTGCACCTTTGCTTTTTGAACATGCCTTTATTTCACATTAAAATGTAGTTTATCCTTTCAAAGTGTCTGCAGGTCCTGTTAGAAATCACCTATTACAAAATTATAGACAAAGAAAAATGCAGAAATAGGATAGTAATCACTTTTTTTTTTTTTTTAAAGAGACAGGGTCTCACTCTGTTTCCCAGTCTGGAGTGCGGTGCTGTCATTATAGCTCACTGTAACCTTGAACTTCCAGGCTCAATCGCTCCTCCCACCTCAGACTCCCAAGTAGCTGGGACTACAGGTGTGTGCCACCATCCCCAGGTAAATTAATCACTAATGTTTATTACAAGCCTGGTTTGTGCCAGGTGATTAACATGCTTCTAATACGGTTGCTAGTCCTTACCATGGCTGTGCATGGCAAATACTGTTATTCCCATTTTACAGGAAGTGAAACAGAGAGGTTCAGTGTCTTGTCTGTGCTCACACCACCAGTCACAGAGGAGTTGGGCTTAGCTCTGGCAGTCTCTCAAGGGCGCCCTGTCTACTCCCCACTCTGTTTGCACAGCTATTGGCTTTGCTCCATCACCAGGGACAGAAGACCTGGAGCTAAGGTAATGGCATGTTTAGGATTTTTCAGCACAGTACTGACTTAAAATGTTTTCTCTACGTACCAACCAAATGGTGAATGATGGATCCTAATTGTTGGGAAATTGTGATTGGCTTTCATACTTCTAGTCTTGATTTGACTTCTAAAGTAGCCAAGCAGTCCAGGGAAAGATGACCTCCATGAAGAACATGTGCTGAGGACTTCTGGTGAGGTTCAGAGGAGAATAAACAGTGAGAAGAGGAAGGGCTCTTTGCAAAACTTGGCCTAGAGCTCCAGGCCTGAAAATGGTACTGGACAACCTCAATATCCAACCATAGGGGAGAGAGGAAGTGAATCACAGGTCAGCGTAAGTAACTGTTATGCTGTTCCTATGTGTCATGTGTTAGAAAATATTAATGTGGGGAAAATCTTGTGTCGTATTAATTTAAAAATAGCTATAAAATTAGGTATCCTATAATTCCAACTTTATTAAAAATCTGTAAAAAACCTGGAAGAGGCTGGACATGATGGCTCATACCTTTAACCCCAGCAATTTGGAAGGCTGAGGTGGGAGGATCGCTTGAGCCCAGCACTTCAAGAACAGCTTGGGCAACATAGCAAGACCTTGTATTTACAAAAAAATTAAAAAGTTAGCTGCGAGTGGTGGCTCACGCCTGTAGTCCCAGCTACGTGGGAGGCTGAGGAGGGAGGCTCACTTGAGCCTGAAAGTTTGAGGCTGCAGTGAGCCAAGATCACGCCACTGCACTCTAGCCTAGCCTGGTGACAGAGTAAGACATTGCCTCTAAAAAAAAAAGAAAAAAAAAAAGGAAAAGGAAAAAGAAAAAGAAAAAAAAAACCTGGAAGAAAAAACATCAAAATATATTAATAGCAGTTATGGATTTTTTTCAGTTTTGGAAATTATTTTCTATCTATTCTACAAAGAATGTAGATTATTGTTATGAACAGAGCCTAACCAATAAGGTGAGTAAAACAATGTCTCCATTCAAAACACAGCGTTTCTTTTGGGTTACATCAGTGAGGAGGCCCCAGTGGTAAAAACTGTGCAAACTGCAGCCTGGTGTAAAGAAAGATTCGTTGCTTCTCTTCTCTCTCCTGCTCTCCAGCAAGACTCTCTTCATTAGCTTCTGACCTTGGGCTTCCTCTTCTCTTTCTCCTGTTACTGGAGGATCAGTTTAAACCAAAGTGACTGCTGAATCTGTGAATCGGAACAGTTTCTGAGTGTCCCCTGTTCTATTTCCCTGCACTTGTGGAATCAGATGAGAGAAGGGAGAAAAATGAGGGAAAGAATTACCTGCTCAAGGCAGAGTGCTGTGAAGCTGCCTTCCTGCCCTCAAGGAGCCCCATTTTGTTCCAGAAGCTTCTACTGTGCCCACAGTTCCTCCCAGATCCAGATCCTAAGCTCTCCCTGGCCATGACTCCTCTGCAAGCTGGATGTGTGAATTTCCTTCCCCTGACATCGCTGTGTGTAAAGAACTGCTTGCAGCCCAAGCGCTGGGGGATGGCGATGTCTGTCCTCAAGCAGTCGGACCCTTCAAGGCAGAAGCACTGCAGAGGAAGCCTGGCAACCTGGAGAAGCATCACCGGGGGGCTGAGCAGGGCTGGAGTGGGGCTATTTGGCCTATGTTGGAAGACATTTTCATGCTTTAAACTTTTTTTTTTTTTTTGAGACAGTGTTTCACTCTGTTGCCCAGACTGGAGCGCGGTGGTACGGTCAGAGCTCACTGCAGCCTTGACCTTCAAGGCTCAAGTGATCCTCCCACCTCAGCCTCCCAAGTAGCTGGGACCACAGGCACAGGCCACCACACCCGGCTAATCTGTTTTATTTTTTGTAGAGATGGGATCTCACTCTGTTGCCCATGCTGGTCTCAAACTCCTGGGCTCAAGGGATCCTCCCACCTCGGCAAAGTGTTAGGATTACAGGCATGAGCCACTGCACCCGAGCCCTTAAACTTTTTATTTTTATGGTATTTATTTATTTATTTATTTATTTTTATTTATTTTTGAGATGGAGTCTCAATCTGCTGCCCAGGCTGGAGTGCAGTGATGCAATCTCGGCTCCCTGCAACCTCCGCCTCAGTGTTCAAGCAATTTGCATGCCTCAGCCTCCAGAGTAGCTAGGATTACAGGCACTCACCACCATGCCTGTCTAATTTTTTTGTATTTTTAGTAGAGATGGGGTTTCACCATGTTGGGCAGGATGGTCTCGAACTCCTGACCTCAGGTGATCCGCCCACCTTGGCCTACCAAAGTGCTGGGATTACAGGCGTGAGCCACTGCGCCCGGCCTAAATTTTTTAAATCAAAAAAATATAGTGTATTTCTAGTTGGAAAGAGTAGTTCCTGTTTATTGACAGTTCCAGTTTTAGACATCCAGAGCATTTTCCTTCTATTTTGGAGACACAGAGGAAATCTTCCTGGGTCTCTTGATGAAGGCTTTATTTTTTTAAATTCACCTTGAAGAGACTAAATTGTTCCTGCAGATCTTTCAGGGGCTGGCTTAGGGTTTGTGCCATATTTGAGACACTCAAGGAAGTGGCTGTGTGGAACACAGGTGAAGGGCTCAGGCACTCCCTGTTCGTAAAGGAACTAGGACACGTTCTGTCACTGAGTTCTGAAGATCCCCGCAGGGCAGCAGGGGCCTCTTGGATTCTCTGCCATTGCGCTGTGGCCCCTGGGCGATAGTTACCCCTTCCGTATCTCAGGGACGTGTATATGGAGTGAAGTTTTCATTCCCCTATATCCCAAGATTGTTGTGAGGAGCGTATGAAATAATAAACATGAACTTGATTTGAAAACAAAAATGTTCTAGATGCAAGGTCTTATTTGTAAACTTTCTGTGATTCCACATGTGTCCAGTGGTACAAAAAACCAACATCAAATTTTTTAATTAATTTTTTTAAGAGACAGGGCCTCACTCGGTCATCCAGGCTGGAGTGCAGTGGCTAGTTCATAGTTCACTGAAGCCTCAAACTCCTGGGCTCAAGCGATCCTCCCACCTCAACCTCCTGAGTAGCTGGAACTACAGGTGTGCACCACCACACGCAGCTAATCTTTGTACTTTTTGTAGACATGGGGTCTCACTGTGTTGCCCAGGCTGGTCTCAAGTGATCCTCCCGTCTTGGCCTCCTGCAGTGCTGGCCAACATCAAATATTTTTGAATGTTAACTATTATGTGTTTAGCACTGCAGCAGGGATTGTGGAAATATAGCAGTGAAGGACATGGTCCAGGCCTCAAAGAGCTTACAGGTTGGATGAGGACACTAATCCCCAGTCACCTAATCCTACAGCACACACCAGCCATGTGTTCAGAGGCAAGAGCTTTAGGGGTTAGAGGAGCTGGGAGCTTGTGTTGGCTGGGCCAGGCTTGAATAGGCTGCAGGGGAGTGGCACAACCTCCATGTATGGGAAAAACCAAGAGCAAGGACACCTGAGGGGAAATGATATACTGGGTATAAAAGGCATCAAGGGAAAATCACAGACCAGACCAGACCAGAAAGCATCGAGGAACAACAGGGAACAAGTTGGGATTCAAAGAGCCAGATGCTGGGGGAGTGGGAGGTGTCCCAAGAATCAGGCAGAGCTGAGTCCCCACAGAAAGAATGTACCCACATAAGCCAATCACTATCCCCTAATACCCAATGGTCTGCTCAGTGTATCTGGTAACCAGCAGATAATGTGGCCACGAGGAGTAAATGAAAATCTACTTCCAAGTGTCTTAGAAACTATAAAGGGGAATATGAGTGTGGGTTTTTCTGAAATATGCTTTTGTTAAATAAAGATAACTCAGGCATAGAAGTATTCATGTCCTCTTGAATTTCTGAAGGCTTTAATTATGGAAAATTATCTGGGAAAATGTATTCTTTTCATCCTAAATTATTCTTTATAGAAATAAATCAAACATGGGGGAAGGGGAAGAGTAGGATTGCATGCTTAGAAATCTTGTGAGTTTTGCAAAAAGATAGATGAGTCTAATGTTAGGACAGCCAATGTCTTTTTACCTTAAATTTTAAAACACTTATTTTTGGAGTTGGTTTAAAAAAAATATTTCCCCCAGTCTTTGAATGGCTGGTGCCAGGTTCATGCTAACTTAGCTCATAAATAGGTGCCGTTGGTTTTAATGAAGCAGAAATTTGGCTAAGAATGGGGCTGCAAGGCAGATGACTAACAGGACAATAATAATGAAAAATGCATATTTATGGCCTTCTGTAAGCACAGATTATTGATTTAGTGCAGCTTAATGGATTCTACATTTTTCAAATTTTCTTCAGCTATCTTATAAAATTACTTTTCAATTCTTAGATGGGGTTCAAAAGGTTTTTTCCCTCAGGGTTTATAATGCCTGTTAAATTGTCCCAGGATGACATGTATGTTTAGAAATATATAACATGTTTATTTATTTATTTAGGCAAGTAGCGGTTAGGCGTTCTTAAAGCCTCTGCATGCAAGGCAAGCCGGTGGGCAGGAAAGGAGCCATCAGTTGAGGCCTGGGGAGTTGGCAGTAAGAGCATATTGAAGGGTTATTTAGGCGCTGTCACAGTATCCATCAGTCTCATCAGTGGAGACTTTCTTCTAAGTGGGAAACTTACTTGTTGGCATAACCAATTCTCCAACAAACATCAATTGAAGGCATTTTCCAGGTCAAATTGCATTCAACATGAGCCTACTACCTTCACCTAAATTTAGAACAAGACAGCTCCAACCAGCTCTGCCCCAGCAGAACAGAGGCATGTGGATTGATAATGGGCAAGAGAAAACCCAGCAGGTGCCACAGAACCACCCCGCCATGGGAGCCAGGAGGGGGTGCCATCCCTGTGCGGAGCAGAAGGCATCCTGGGAATATCGCTTTGGGGTCTGAGATGCTCAGCTCACTGCCATGTCACCAGACTTCCATCAGAGGGTCACCAAGTTCCTAGCCATACGAATAAAATCTGCACGTCTAAGGTTGAAAACAACTTTGTCATGGGGTTGTGAGCTTGTAAGCATGGCTTTTTGAATTGGATAGATTTAATTTAAATCAGGGGTGTCCCATCTTTTGGCTTCCCTGGGCCATATTGGAAGAAGAATTGTCTTGGGCCACACATAAAATACACTAACAATAGCTGATGAGCTAAAAAGAGAAATCACAAAAAAAAAAAATCTCATAATGCTCTAATAAAGTTTACAAATTTGTGTTGGGCCACATTCAAAGCCATCCTGGGCCACATGCAGCTCATAGGCCATGGGTTTGACAAGCTTGATTTAAGCAGAAGTGGAATAACATGGGGAACTCTCTTGATGTCAGGGGTAAGAGCTACAATTTTATCTGTTTGGACCCATTAGAATTTCCAGCAGGATTTAGGCATAAAAGCTGCAACTAAAACAAAACAAAAAAAATGCTGTAGAGACAGGGTCTTGCTATGTTGCCCAGACTTGCCTTGAACTCCTGGCCTTAAACAGTCCTCCTACCTTGGCTTCCCAGATTGTTGGGATTACAAGCGTGAGCCACTGTGCCTGGCCAGGGGTCTTATTTTTTACTCCGGAAAAAAAACGTTCCCTCCCCCTTCCCCTTCCCTTTCTTGACAGAGTCTTGCTCTGTCACCCAGGCTGGAGTACAGCGGCATGATCTCGGCTCACTGTAACCTCCACCTCCCACCTCAGCCTCCCGAGTAGCTGGCATTACAGGCACGCACCACCACGCCCGGCTAATTTTTGTATTTTTAGTAGAGACGGGGTTTCTCCATGTTGGTCAGGCTGGTCACAAACTTCTGACTTCAAGTGATCCACCCACTTTGGCCTCCCAAAGTGCTGGGATTACACACGTGAGCCACCGTGCCTGGTGATGTTTTTCTTTAATAGCAAAATATGTCAGGAAAAACTTGGAAAATGCAGAATACAAAATACAAAAAATGCAACTGAGAACTTTTATGAGAATTTCAATATCAAACAGTGAATCTCAGTTGCCCTATCTCTCTGCGTCTCTTGCGTGCGTGTAGATAGATAAATGGTGTCTAGGCTTGTGGGTGGGCATGCATAGACGGTCCTTCTGGGGTACTCTTAAGGGGATTCGGCCCCTCAGGTGCTCCTAGTTCCTAACCTCACCCTTCTGCATGTGTCCTGTTTCTGAGGATGGCCCTGAAGATGAGGGAGTCTTATTTTTGAATGAGCAGCAGTTTCAGGGCCACAGAAACCAGGACTCCCTACAATGAAGAAGGGAGCTTTGTTTTTTCCAAGGCTAGAGCATTGTGGAGGTGATTTTTCAAGTCTTAACACCATGCTATTATGACATCATTGGAACTGAGACGGGGTGAAGACATTTAAATGGAAATATTTATTTTCTTAAAAGTATAGCTTAATTTTCCCTCTCCAAGTTTGAGAAGGAATATTGGGAGGAAACGGGACAAGATGACACAGGCATTTGGACATTCACTGCAAATCCTAGGGCGTTGCTGCAAAGCATCCTGGGTCCAGTTCCAGTTTAGGAAACCTCACAGCCTTTTTTCCACTCGGACAGGTCTCTGCCCTCACAATGTTTCTTCCAGCCTTGCCTGAGGATGAGAGGGAAGCAGGAGCAGCAGAAAGAAGCGTGACAATCCAAACCGTCTTAGTTTCAAAGCCTACAGAAATTAACCAAAATCGCCAGCGGAACCCTGGGTTGGGTTTCATTTGCTTCTGAGCTTCAAGGATGCTGTCCTTTTGCCTAGTTCAGACTTTTGTCTCCTGGTTTTCTCCTAGCCATTGTTAGCTTCAGCAACAAGCAATCAACTTTTGTAAGGATGGGTCATTCCATGTCACACCCACATCTGTGAAAATTCGGGTTCTCTGAGTGGGGCCGGCTGGCAACGTTCACCAGAACACAGCAGCAGCGAATGCAAGGCCCCAGGCTCAATGCTGGGGACGCTTTCTGCTGAGTCGCCATGACACAGACCTGCTCACTTTCCTCTTGCTGCTGCTCATTCTCTTTCCCTGCAAAATGTTGCTGTAACCTTCAAAATCTTATCCAAATCTAGAACAAACTCAAGCTTTTTTTTTTTTTCCTCTCTCGAATTGATTCAGTTGACCCTTTCCAAGTCACTTTAGAAAATACCTTTCTCCATTGTTTGGAATACGTTCATATGAAAAGCAATTGCAAATTATCTTAACCCAATCCCAAGTCTCCTCTCCCTTTCTATGTACTACTATGTTCACTGCACACCCACACACTGATGGAGGAGAATATAGACAAGGTCTCCTTCCATTGGTTGGACCACTCTGCGGAGGTGAGTTTGTCAATTCCACCATAACTGTGATAAATACACACACTAGGTTTTGCCCATGACAGCACAAGTCTCCCAAGAAAACACTCTTACCAATAGTTCATTCCTTGTGTCTCTTTAACAATTTTCCTGGCACAGATAATTGCATCTGTGAGGTCATCAGTGATCAAGGCTGTAAAAGAGAGAAGACATCAGGGTTAGGCGAGACTTTGTTGTTGGAGAGGGACCTCAACTCAACTTTACTTCACTTTTCTCAGTCTTTTTGGATCAAGAGGGTTGGAAGAACTATGATTTTGCCTGCAAAGCCACAATCTTATTTTCATTAAGCTTCTTCAAAAAGAACTTTTTGTTGTTGTTTTAAGACCGTTTTCATCTTGCACTACCTGATGTTTCAGAGGAAGAGCCCAATCCTGAAGGGTTTTTGGAAATGTGTTTAGAGAAAATGCCATGCAAGAATGTTTTTTATGTCTTAAAGAAATAGGCGCAGGCCAGGCATGGTGGCTCAGACCTGTAATACCAGCAGTTTGGGAGGCTGAGGTGGGAGCATCCCTTGAGGCCAGGAGTTTGAGTCCAGCCTGGGCAACGTAGCAAGATCCCATCTCTACAAAAAGTAAAAAATTAGCCAGGTGGGATGGTGTACACCTCTAGTCCCAACTACTCAGGAGCCTGAAGTGCGAGGATCACTTGAGCCCAGGAGGTTGAAGCTGCAGTGAGCTGTGTTCACACCACTGCACTCCAGCCTGGGCAACAGAGTGAGACCCTGTCTTAAGAAAAAAAAATGGCACATAAGACAGGATAGCACAATGTTTTCTCTATGTGGGTTAGTTTGACATATAAGTTCTCTTTGGAGGTAAATATTAAACCTTTGTCTATTGTCATTTCATATTGTGCCTTAAAAAATTTTTATCCAGGGTTTTGTTTTGTTTTGTTTTTGTTTTTGTTTTTGTTTTTGTGAGACAGAATCTCATTCTGTCACCCAGGCTGGAGTGCAGTGGCATAGTCTCGGCTCACTGCAGCCTCTGCCTCCTGGCTTCAAGCAATTCTCCTGCCGCAGCCTCCCCAGTAGCTGGAATTACAGGTGTGTGCCACCATGCTGGGCTAATTTTTGTATTTTTACTAGAGATGGGGTTTCACCATGTTGGCCAGGCTGGTCTCAAACTCCTGACATCAAGTGATCCACCCACCTCGGCCTCCCAAAGTGCTGGGATTACAGGTGTGAGCCATCGCACCCAGTCTAGGGTGTTTTTCATATGCAAAAAGTTTTAAGTTTTAAGTCAAATACGTCTATCTCTATCTTTATTACTTTTCCTTTTTTCTGAAACAGGATCTCACTCTGTCACCCAGGCTGGAATGCAGTGGCATGATTATAGCTCACTGCAGTCTCAACCTCCTGGGCTTAAGTGATCCTCCCACCTGAGCCTCTCAAGTAGCTGGGACTACAGGCATGGGCCACCATGCCCGGCCATTTTTATTATCTGTATTTTTTGCAGAGAGAAGGTTTCACCATGTTGGCCAGGCTGGTCTTGAACTCTGGGGATCAAGTGATCCTCCTGCCTTGGCTCCCAAAGTGCTGATACTACAGCCAGCACTGTGCCTGGCCACTTATTACATTTTCTATTGCTTCAGACATAACAAATCTTTTGATTGAAATGTATTGTTTGATATCCGCATTCTTTCCTGCTTGCCTGAAAAGTAGCCTCAGAATCCTTCTCAACACAAACATGACAGAAAACGGCAAATAAAATGTAAAAGTCCAATATCACTTCTGTTGCAATTTGGGTCTCCAGGAACAGACGCTGCGATGGGTTTGAGGTGCTAGATATTCCTCAGGGATCCACACCTATGAAAGGAATGGGGTGGAGGAAGCAGGATGGGCAGACGGAGATGTCCATTTGTGACGCAGACCCAGCAATTCATTGGGCAGCCCAGCCATGAGCTCCCGAGTGAGCACCGCCCATCAGAGTGGCCCAAGTCGGGCCCACATGCCAGGTCCGCATGCCTCTGCCTCACATGTCACTGGGTGTGGGTCACCCCGGAAGGGAACAACCTGCACCTGAAGCCAATCCTGAAGCAGGTGGCAGGTACTGTCTGCTCATCACACAACTGCAGCGGGGGCAGCACGTCTTTCCTTAGCAGGGGATCTGGGAGGCCCATCTCCATGACCACCACAACCACCAATCAAGGACAAAAATACTCAAACCACTTGATCTCATTTCTGCTTGTCAATTACTCAAAGGTTTTGTTTTGTTTTGTTTTGTTTTTGTTTTTGATTTTTAGAGAATTGGGTAATGCTTGACGTTGACAAGGGCACAGAGAGGCAGGTTCTCTGGATACTTGCTCGTGGGCGTATAATGGATTCAACGTCTTAGGAAACCAACATAGCAGCATGTGTTTAGAGCCTTAAAGAGGTGTTTATCCTTTCACCTAATAATTTATCTCTCCAGATCTATCCTAAGGAAACAGTCATGATGCTAGACAAATATTTCTTTACAAAGTGGTTTACTCTAGTTTTATTTACAAGAGTTAAAATGAAAAAAATCCAATTGCCTCATAATCAGTGATGTTCAAATTAATCATAATACCTTCATTTAATAAAATAAACAGCCATTTAAATTATGTTTTCCCAGGATGTTTTATAACATGGGGGAAATGCTCCCAATGCAATGTTAAGTTCCCAATATCATAAAAATATCCATTGAGAGCTGTATTGGCTAATGCCAATATGGCAGGCATTAGCAACATGTGACAATTTACATTTAAATTATATTTGTTGACCGATGAATGGATAAAAATATGTTTATATAGAGAGTGGAATATTATTCAGTCATGGAAAAGAAGGAAATGCTGACATTGGCAGCAGCATGAATGAACTGAAGGAGATCGTGCTAAGTGAAGGAAGGAAGACCCAGAAAGACAAATACCACATGATCTCACTCATATGCAAAATCTATCAAAGTTGAACTCATAAAAGCAGAAAGTAGAGCAGTAGCTGGTGAGGAAAATGGGGAGACGCTGATGGAAGGGTCTAAACTTTCAGTTATAAGGTGAGGAAGGACTGGGGATCTAATGTACAATATGGTGACCATAGTTAATTATACTGTACTGTTCACTTGAAATTTGCTGAGAGTAGCCGGGCACAGTAGCTCATGTCTGTAATCCCAGCACTTTGGGAGGCCGAGGCAGGTGGATCACTTGAGGTCAGGAGTTTGAGACCAACCTGGCCAGCATGGTGAAGCCCATCTCTTCTAAAAATACAAAAATTAGCCAGGCGTGGTGGCATGCACCTGTAGTCTCAGCTACTCAGAAGACAGAGGCAGGAGAATTACTTGAATCTGGCAGGCAGAAGTTGCAGTAAGCTGAGATTGCACCACCGCACTTCAGGCTGGGTGACAGAGCCAGAATCTTAAGTGTTCTTCTCTCTCTCTCTCTCTCTCTCTCTCTCAATCTCTTTCACACACACACACACACACACACACACACACACATACATAAGCGGTAACTATGTGAGGTGATGGATTTGTTAAACTTGATTGTAATAATCATTTCACAATGTATACAAAAATAAAATTATCATGTTATTTACTTTAAATATATATTATTTTGATTTGTCAATTATACCTCACTAAAGCTGGGAAAAATTCAAAAAACTATGAATTTTAATTAATCAACATTAAACATAATTAAAACTTTAGTTCCTTATTTTTTCTTTTTTTTTTTTTTTTTTTTTTTTTTGAGACGGAGTCTCGCTCTGTCGCCCAGGCTGGAGTGCAGTGGCGGGATCTCGGCTCACTGCAAGCTCCGCCTCCCGGGTTCACGCCATTCTCCTGCCTCAGCCTCCCGAGTAGCTGGGACTACAGGCGCCCGCCACTACGCCCGGCTAATTTTTTGTATTTTTAGTAGAGGCGGGGTTTCACCGTTTTAGCCGGGATGGTCTCGATCTCCTGACCTCGTGATCCGCCCGCCTCGGCCTCCCAAAGTGCTGGGATTACAGGCGTGAGCCACCGCGCCCGGCCAAGTTCCTTATTTTTTCTAGCTACATTTCAGATACTTTATAGCCACTCATGGCTAGTGGTTCTCATGTTTGACAGCACAGATGGAAGACATTTTCATCATCACGGAAACTTCTATTAGACAGCACTGGTTTAGAAAAAAAAGACAGTCATTAATTCACTAATACTTTAAGAAGGATTGGCTCTTAACTGTGGGATCACCAATGCTCTTAAGTCTTTGCTGCGTATTTTCTAAAATTTGTTTACAGTAGAAATGCACTATTTTTGATACCAGAAAAAAATAATTGTAAAAAATGCTAGCATAAAATGTTGCATTTCAGTAGAACATTGTAATACCAGATTATTTTGTTAACTCTGTTGGAAGTGGAATTTTCCCTCGAGCATGCTATTTCCCTGAGTTGCTAATTTTGTGGCTTTCTCAGTTCAGCTTCACTAGAAGATAAAGGTAGTGACAGATTTCTTTTAAGCAAATTTATTCTGAATGTGACTTAATTTTTATTTAAAACAAAATTCTATTAACCAGGAGAAAAACTGACAAAATATATCATCAGTAAGAGATAGCAATTGAAACAACATATGCAAATTCGCTGGCATTTGGTTTACAATTCTACAGTGAAAACTAAAGCTATATCAGCTTATAAAATCTCCTGCCTATCTTCTTGACATATAAATATTTCAGATAATAATAGCTATTACTACTAGCTTATGTTTTATAGAAATCTTACTCTATGTCAGGCACATGTTAAATCTCTTCACGCAAAATCTCCATCAGTTCTCTGAACAACCATTTCTGTGGGTACCATTTTATCCCCATAAACCAAGGTCACACACCCAGTTAATGAGCCTGTATTCTGATAGGGGGCTTAAATTCTGTTTTCCTCTGATCTCTTCTTCCAACAGAAGTCACTTAAGCAAAGATTCCTGCTCATAAAACACTATATGTTAATAAAGTTAATAATTAAAATATACTTTATTAATTTTTCAAGTAATTATCTATGAGGTTATCCAAATTTAAGCATTTGGTACCTGATACATGTTCAAGTTACTTAGAGACACTTTATTTCGGGTGCTTGATAAATGCTGAGACACTGTGGTTTGTGTTTGGAAGTAGTCTAGCATATTTTCTGGGAGATGTGGGTTTGGGGCGGTCTCTAGAGGTTGGAGGGACACAGATTATATAATACATAGTGAGGAGGAAGCAGATCACATTCTATTATTCTGGGATTGGAGGTCATCCCAGGCATGTACAGAAAGAGCACATTTTGTACTAGGGGCAGGGCAGTTTGATTGTGGATGCCCTGTAAGGATTTCTGGGACGGTGGGGCCATATTGGACCAGGAAGTGGACACCGAGTACAGTTGTTTGTCTCCTCCTACTTTGTTATAGCATTTAGTTGCGCAGTTGGGATGTTTTGAAAGTTGGACTTGACTGAATTTGCTTGGGAAAATATGTTAGGGAAAGTAGGGGCTGGGAAATCAAGAGCTCCCTCCTGCCTCCCAGCCCTGAGCACTGAGGTGTTGTTACAAGAAATAGCCACAGAAGGGCAGCAGAGGGGCAGAAATGAGTTCAGATGGCACTTTTTAAATGAGGACTCTTGCCAGTAATTGTTTCTGCTCAATTTACTTTAAATAGACAGTCTGTCCTGTCAAACATGAATAAAGAAAGGGTTATGTTGAACAGCAAAGAATCGTTTATTCTTCCACATCCAACAGAAAACAGCAACAATTTACACAAAAAGAGCTTCAGTCCTATTTTCAGTTATGTTAGTTCTACTTCAAAGTATCTGTGTCTCTCCTCGGCATCCTCCTGCCTCCCAAGTGAAATCTAGCAGCCACACACCCTCGATGTTCATCTCTTTCCCCTGTGAGATGACAAAGGCCAATTCAGATACCAGGGTGATGAAAAATAAAATTAATATAAGTGCACTAGACTACACTAGATAGAGAGTCAATAATCATTTTTTCCTCAAATGCTCTTATTTTAATGAAATCTGTGCTGTTGGGGGTAAATACTGTCATCACATCAGGCATTTTGTACACTGTGTGTATGTATATGTGTAGGTATATGAACGTGTGTGCTTATGTATGCTTTGTATATATGAATATAGCATCAATTTTCTGTCCAAATAGTTTAGGGAAAGTAGGAAGGCATTTTAGGAATACAATTTGGAATGAGAGTGAGGAGACTGTCCAGCTTCAGAAAATGGTCACGGGCTAGGTGCAGTGGCTCACGCCTGTAATCCCAGCACTTTGGGAGGTCAAGATGGGAGGATCGCTTGAGCCCAGGAGTTTGAGACTAGCTTGGGCAACATGGCGAGACCCCCTTCTCTACCAAAAACAAAAAGAAGAAAAAGATCATGAAGTGTATCCATGCTGTACATGCATATAACGTCACGTACCTTGTAAACACACCCTAATGCTAACTTTTTTTCAGTTTCCCATGACAAATGTCCCTACTTCTGTAATATGTGGGACAGAATGACATTGTTCTAATAAAAAACTCTCTGGCCTGAGGCTAAGGGAGGCCTTTCATGGAGGGTGGTTAGTTATAAAACCAACATCTTGTTTTCTATTTTAAGGCTATCCCCCAAAATCCCATGCTCTTCACGATAAGAAAACAGATATGAGTGTCCTTTTACCTCTGACCATGAACCGTCCAACACTTTAATTTCTTAGAATCTAAGATTGTCTTGCAGATAGACCTTTGCCCCAGGCTTCCTTAACTGGAATGAAACTGAACAATGTTAAATTAGTAATCTGCATTTAAAGTCCAACATGACCACGATGGAGTCACAGATTTCTCTTCCCACTGTAAACAACCAGAAGACTAGACAAAATAGATGAAAAATTGTTTTCGGATATGGACAACTGGCAATGCAGGATCATGATCTTTGAGAGAGAGAAAAACACAGTGAACCCTGTGACTGCCATGACTTTCTGCCCAGAGGAGCTCTGCAGACCAGGAAGGTAGAACCAGGCAGGGGATGGCCATCTAAGAGGAGGAGACAGACATCAGACGCCAAGGCAGCTCAGATTTTGTGGAGAATACCTGGGAGGCAGGAGCTACCCAGAAGAAGAGCAGCAGAAATCTGCAAAGGGATTCCACCCAGTCTTTGACTGAAGGCTAAACTGGGTATGCACAGGTAAATTTCCACAGGGCTAGGCAGAGAACTACCCCAGGGAACAGGGCAATTACAGACCTCGCGGGGCTGGAAGACATTTGATTTCTGACTAGCCCAAGGGAATAGACCTTGCTGAATCCTCAGCACATTCAAAAGAGACACTGGATGCTTAGTTATGCCTTGGTAGTGGGACTAAACTAGCCCTACCCTAAAAACTACTCCAGAACTTCACTAACAAAGTTTAAGAGTTACGCTGATCAGAATAAACTTAGCTGGTTGGAAAAGAAATTCAACACTCTTTAAAGGAAGACACATAGTCTAGACACTCAACAATGTTGCATATGAGGCAGGATAGGTAGGCAAGGAAGCAACTGTGTCCGCGGGGTACGGCAACTATGGTGACTGGCCAGTCAACACGATGAGCCTCAGCATTCACACTGAAGGCCAGCTCATTCAAACAAAGCTGTCTCCAGAAGGGAATTTCCCCTGTAGGGAACATGCGCATTTTGACTTTACCTGTCCTCAAACTCACGCTTTGCTCATTATAATAATAAAAAACACACACCTGGGTGGAGATTTAAGATGCTAATGAGACATGCGACATATGAACATCCATGTACAGCTACTGCGCAAATGCACGAAGAGGACCGCCCAGAACATGCTTACTAGCAACACCTCTTCCCACCCGTTTATGAATAATCATGGAAGACTCCATTAAAGGGAGCATCCCTCGTGCCGGCCTTTGATGTCTCATCCTTACGAGCAGCCTGCCCTGAAGTTTCTCTCAGGGTGTACTGTCCATTCTGCACCTAACTTACAAAATATTCTTTTTCTTTTTCAATAAATTAGTCTATGCTACATCTCCTTTGCTGTGTATCTCTTGTTGAAATTCTTTTAAACTAAGAAGACAAGACTCGAGGACTTACAACAGCCATCAACACACACACTATGTATGTATTCAATAAAAAATGATTCCTTGTGCAGAGGCAGGGAAATGTGGCACATACCAGGAGAAAGATCAGTCAAGGGCAAGACCCAGAAATGACAGTTGATTCTACAGCAGATAAGAAATTTAAATCACTTCTTATAAACATGCTTACTTATGTCAAGGACTTCAAGAAAAACATGAATAAAATGAAATGAGAGATACGAAAGTTTGCCTAACACCAAATAAAAAATACGGTATCTGAAAAGAAACATCCAATCAATAAGCTTAATAGATTAGCATTAAAAAAAAAAGTAACAGTGGACTTGAAGACATAACAATGGAAACTACTGAAAATAAAACACAGGGAGGGAAAAAGGCTAAAAACATGAAGAGCCATGGTGATAAATGTGACAGCAGCAGCAATCTAACATATGTGCCATTAGAATCCTTGAAGGAGAAAAGAAGAGTATTAGAAGAAAGAATGACTGAAATGTTTTCAAATTTAATGAAAATTATAAACTCAGGGGTACAAAATGTTAATGAATGCCAAGTAAGATAAACACAAATATCACACATAATCAAATTGCTGAAAATGAGTAATAGAGAGAAAATCTTAAAAATGACTAGATAAAAAAGACATATTACATACAGGGGACAAAGATAAGAAAATCATTGGTTTCCCATCATACACAAGGCAAGACAGAAGGCAATGGAATATCTTTAACAATTTGAAGCTGAGCATGATTACTCACAGCTGTAACCCCAGCACTTTGGGAGGCTGAGGATCACTTGAGCCCAGGAGTCTGAGATCAGCCTGGGCAACATGGCGAGACCCCATATATTAGTCCATTTTCATTCTGCTGATAAAGACATACCTGAGACTGGCCAATTTACAAAAGAAAGAGGCTTAATGGACTTATAGTTCCACATGGCTGGGGAGGCCTCACAATCATGGCAGTAGGCAAGGAGGAGCAAGTCATGTCTTAGATGGATGGCAGCAGGCAAAAAGAGAGCTTGTGCAGGGAAACACCTGTTTTTAAAACCATCAGATCTTGTGAGACTCATTCACTATCAAGAGAACAGTGCCGGAAAGAACTGCCCCCATAATTCAATCACCTCCCACCGAGTTCCTCCTACAACACATGGGAATTATGGGAGTTACAATTCAAGATGAGATTTCGGTGGGGACACAGCAAAACCATATCACCCATCCCTACAAAAAATAAAATAAAAACCAGCCAGGCATTGTGGCATGTGCCTGTGGTCCCAGCTACTCGGGAGGCTAAGGTGGGAGGATTACTTGAGCCCAGGAAGTTGAGGCTGCAGTGAACTGTGATCATGCCACTGCACTCCAGCCTGGGTGACAGAGCAAGACCCTGTCTCAAAACAGCAACAACTTGAGAGGAGAACAACTGTCATCCCAGAATTTTATATGTAAAGAAAATATTCCTCAAAATCAAAATAAAATAGAGATATTTTCAGACAAACAAAAGCAGAGAAAATGCTTGCCAGTAGACCTCTAGTCTAAAAAAACCGAAACCAAAACCAAAAAGAAGGTAAAGAAAGTTCTTTCAGCTGAAGGAAAGTGATATCGATTGACTACTTCCCCAAATAAATCCACCAAAGGAATGAAGAGTATTGGAAATAGTAAATACATAATAAATATTATAGAACTTTTTTCTCATTTAAAAATTTATTTAAAAGACAATTGTTTAAAGCAAAGATAATAAAAATGGATTGTGAGGTATATAAATATAAAAGAAAAATGCGTGACAACATGGCACAAAGGATGAAATGGGAGAAATTAAAGAATACTGTTAAGAAACTCATATGTTATATATGAAGTGGTGTGTTATTTGAGGGTAGAATGTAATACGATAATGATGCCTATTGGAAACCCTAGAGTAACTACTAAAAACAAAATAGAGATATAGCTAACAAACCAATGGAGGAAATGAAAGAGAATAATAATTTTTTTTTTAATTCCAAAGAAAGCAGAAAAAATGGAACCAAGAATAGATGGCATAAACAGAAAACAGAATAGCAAGATGGGATTTAAAACTAACCATATCAATAATCACATTAAATGTAAATGATCTAATCAAGGTTCCACGATGTATGTCCCACAGGAAAACCTCCTGTTTCTGTAAATAAAGCCTTATTGGAACACAGCCAGTCCCATTCATTTACATACTTTCTATGGCTGCGTTCACACTCTGTCGTGGTTGAGTAGTTGCAATCAAAACCATATGACCTGAAAAGCCTAAAATATTTACCATTTGGCCTTTTAGGCAAACATTTGCTGACCTATGGTTTAATCACTCCTACTGAAAAGCAGTAATTACCAGAATGGATATAAAAGCAACACATAACTATATGCTATCTATAAGAAATTCACTTTAAATATAAAGACCCAGATGGGTTAAAAGTAAAAGGATGGAAAGAAACATATTATGCAAAGACTTCCCCAAAGAAAGTGAGAGTGGGCTGTATTGCTATCAGATAAGGTAGATTTCTGGATGAGAAATAGTACCAGAGTTAAGGAGAAACACGGACTCCAGTGACAAAAGGGTCAATTCACCACAAAGACATAACAGTCCTCGATGAATATGTGCCTAATAACAAAGCTTCAAAAATGGACAAGACTGAAAGGAGAAATAGACAAAACTAAAATGATAGTTGCAAATTTCAATATCTATCTCTCACTATATGATAGTTCTAGT
Organism: Homo sapiens; assembly: GCF_000001405.40. Lineage (NCBI taxonomy): Eukaryota > Metazoa > Chordata > Mammalia > Primates > Hominidae > Homo > Homo sapiens. The sequence goes on along the minus strand of NC_000010.11, from coordinate 29,299,499 downwards.
AAGATCTGTCTAATAAGTTCTCAGTAAGAAAATCAGAAAGGAAATAACAGTCACTTATAGAACATCTACCCACCAAATATAAAATACACATTTTTTTTTTCAAATGCATATTCATCATAAGACACATTTGCTGTGCTGTAAAACAAGATTAAAGACATATTAGAGGTCTGAAACCATATAGACCAGGGATCCCCAACCCCCTAACCACAGACGGATACCAGTCCATTGTCTGTTAGGAACCAAGTCACACAGCAGGAGGTGAGCGGCAGGCAAGTGAGCTAAGCTTCATCTGTATTTACAGCCACAAGCTTGCCATTGGTTGCATTACCACCTGAGCTTCACCTCCTGTTGGATCAGTGGCAGCATTAGATTCTCATAGGAGTGCGAACCCTATTGTGAACTGAGCATGCAAGGGATCTAGGTTGCACGGTCCTTATGAGAACCTAATGCCTGATGATCTACCGCTGTCTTCCATCATCCCCAGATGGGACTGTCCAGTTGCAGGAAAATCAGCTCAGGGCTCCCACTGATTCTACATTATGGTGAGTTGTATAATTATTTCTTATATATTACAATGTAATGATAATAGAAATAAAGTGGACAATAAGTGTAATGCGCTTGAATCATCCTGAAACCATCCTCCTCCCTCTGGTTCATGGAAAATTGGTCTTCTGCAAACTGGTCCCTGGTGCCAAAAAGGTTGGGGACGGCTGATATAGACCATATTCTCTGACCATAATGAGGTGTAACTAGAAATCTATAATAAAAGCTCATCCTGGGATCATCCTTCACAATCAGGCTGGGCATTCCTCTTGCCTTTCTCCCTCATCGAGTCCCTTGTTTCCTGAACCATGTCTTCCTCTTTATTGTTTTAGTTTATCCTTTTTGTGAAGCATGTTTTCCTACGGTTTTGTGAGAGAGGGTGCATGGGAGGTGAGCTGAATATGTCATCTTTGCCCTGACGGATCCACTCTCTACCCTTCTCCACCATGCTCTGTGCACTCAGAGGCCAACGCACACAGTTGCCGTCAATGGTCTCCCATGTCCTCTGACTTCTGAAGGGGTTTAAATAAGAGTAGGCATCAGCAGGGAAGGGACAGAGGAGGGACACTGAGGTTGGCATATACATATAATATCTTCCAGCTTTATTTCTGTCAGGTCACTCAGCACAAGTCACATCCCTTGAAGGAAGGTCTCAGATCCTAGAAGGTTGTCCTCTCCCTGCAGACCCCTTGTACCTCGGTGCTGGTCATAGTTCTCTTTCCATTCCTCATTGGGCAAGGGGGTGGTAATTGCCTGTGATTCCTAATCCCTTACTTCACTATTGCCATGTTTTTTCTATGATTTGATCAGATTTTTGTAAGTAGAGTCTTTATTAATATTCTCCTCCAATTACCCAGTTTGTGTTTGTTCTGTCTTCCAGCCAGGATTCTTTATGATACAGGAGGTAAAGAATTTAACAACTTGGTTCTCAGAAAGTGTACTCATTCTATGCTCAAAATGTACTGATAATTTGGTAGCACAGAATTTTATAGTGGAAATGGTTTTCCCTAAGAATTTTGAAGACTTTTTCCATTTTCTTCTAGCTTCCAGTGTTGTGGTTGAGAAGTCTGATGTCACTCTGATGCTTGATTTTTTGTATGGAACTTTTATTTTCAAATGGAAGCCTGTTGTATATTCTGTTTTTCTATCATGTTCCGAAATTGTATGAGGATGTTCCTGAGTGTGAGTGTACAATAATCACTTTATCCAAGGGGGATACATTCCAAGACTCCCAGTAGATTTCTGAAATGATGAATAGTACCAAATTCTACATATACTATGTTTTTTAAGGCAGATAACTGAGACAGCTACCAAGTAACTAATGGGACCATAGTGTATACAATGTGGATATGCTGGACAAAGAAATAATTTATATCCAGTATGAGACAAAGCAGAATGGTGCAAGATTTCATCACACTACTCAGAATGGCATGCAATTTAAAAGTTATGAATTGTTTATTTCTGGAATTTTCTATTTAATACTTTTGAGTCACACAATGACCATGAGTAACTGAAACTATGGAAAGCAAAACCATAGACAAGGAGTGACTGCTGTACCGGTCATGTGATGAACCTTACAAATTGAAATCACATGCTCTTTAGTTCTGGAAATGTTTTTTAAAGGTTGTGTGCTATCTATTGTTTCTCTTCTCTCCTGCTAAAAAGTATTTTTATATCCATTTATTTTATCATTCTTATTTCTCCTATTTTTCACTCATCTCTTTTTTTCACTCTGCTTTTAGAGAGATTTCTTCAATGTTATCTTCTAACTACTTTACTGAGTTTTCCATTTCTGTATCATATTGTTAATTTCCAAAGGTTCTTTATTTGGTTATCTGAATGTTTCCTTTTTCTCTCTTTTTTTTTTTTTTTCAAAAAAAGCATCTTGCTTTGTTTCATCCAAGCATCCTCTCTTATCTATCTGAAGATATTAATGGTAGTTTTCTGAATTTGAAGTTTCATTTCCTTGCATAAACTCTGCTTTCAAAAAGTTTTATCTGTTTGGTTTTTGCTTCATTTTTTTTCATGTCACTGCTACTCCTCTGAAGTCTGGTGAGCCTTGGCTCTCTGCAACTATTTAAGAGAGGGGCACTAAAGGCTGGCAGAGCCCTGTGCTCAGAGGTAGGGATTTTCAACTGTGGATCTCACTGCAGGGAGGTTTGACCAGTCTTGTTCACTGGGGAGTCCCACTCAGAGTCATTAGTAATTTCCTTTCAATTTGGCCAGATCCCTAGAAGAAAATCTTCTCATCTGGAGAGTCTGGCCTGGCTGCCATCATTGTGGGGTCTGAGTGGAGATGGTGGTTGGAACTATAGAAACTATAACTTAATCTCCCATGTCTGTGGTCTGGAGCTCTCAACCTCAAAGATTGTTGAGGTCTCAGTTGAGAGGTTTTCTACTTTACTCGTCTAGAGGAAAAAGTCCCAGTATTCTGCCAGGGTGAGTGAGGGGCAGTCAGTAGGTGAATGCCTCAGGAAGGGACTGGATGTTCTAACTACTCCTTAAGTGAACTTTAAATGTGTCTTCCTGTTTGTAATCTGTCTTCATTCTAACTTCCAGAAGTAGCTAATGCTACTGATTTCAGAGCTTTTTGTTGTTGTTGTTGTTGTTGGTTCTGTGTTTGCTTCTCAGCTTTCTCTCTGCTGATTTAGGATTCAGATGTCTTTAATCACTAAGTTAGTCACCACTTGCCTCCTGCTTTCCAGCTTCTAAATGTTTTGGTATTGTTTCCTCTTCCATTTATCTTGTATATGTGGATTTATCTTTTTATCTTATTGATTCTCGAATCCCTTTGGTATTAATTTGGCAGGACACCAAGAGGGAGGAGAGGGGTATTGGGTTTCTATTGCTGCCCTACCAAATTACCACAAACATTGTGGCTTGAACACTGCAAAATTTCCTTACAGTTCCGATGGCTGGAAGAGTGCCAGGGGATTCACAGGGCTGAAGTCAAAGTGCTGACAGGTCTGTTTTCCTTTCTGGACACTCTGCAGGAAGATCCATTTCCTTGCTCACTTGAGTTTTGGCAGAGTTCAGTTCCTTGTGGGTGTTGGACTGAGATCCCTGTTGCTTGCAGGTTGTCACCTGAGGGCCATTCCCAGCTTCTAGGGACCACTCACACCCCTTGACTCATGGCCCCTTACTCCATCTTCACAGCCAGCAATGATGGGTGAAGTCCCTCTCACACTTTGAATCTCTCTTTCTTCTTCTATCATTGGAGCTCTCTCTGACCACAGCTGGGCAAGATTCTCTGCTTTTAAAGACTCATGAGATTAGACTGGTTCCACCCACATTGTCCCGGATAATCTCCCCTACCTGATCTCAGATCCTTCCTCACATCTGCAAAGTTCCTTTTGCCTTGTAAGGTAACAGAGTGAGAGATTTCAGAGATTAGAGAGTGGACATTTGGAAGCTGGGGACTCAGCCCACCATGGGAGGTAAATGCACACATTTAATCCTCATATTTAACTGAAAGACTCCATTGGTGAGCTCTTAGGGAATGCTAATAAGATTGACTGGGACAGAGAAGGGTTCAAAAGTCATGCCTATGGAAAGTGAATATACTGAATGTTTTAGCTCAGAAGATAAGAAACCAGAGATGAGAGGTACTTATAAATCATTTGCATACAGTTAATAAGTTTTTATGTGTAACATAAAGCAAACTTGTTTTGAATAAACCCAGAAGGAAAAACTAGGATTGATATAGAAGGTTAGAAGAAGACAGATTTTGGCCTAACAAAGGAATGTTCTAAATTAAGGGCTGACCAACAATCGGGAGATCTATCTCAGGAGGTAGTGATCATTCTTTATCAATGTTAGGGTAGGGACAATATACTAGGTAACTTAACATATTATTCAGTCATTCAAACATTCAAACCCATATACTGATTATCTTGTACAATAGTTCCCCCTTATCTGCAGTTTCATTTTCCAAGTTTTCATTTACACTCAGCAGTGGTTGGTTAGTTTTATCAATGTAACATATTTTGAGAGTCAGAGAGAAGGTGCTTACATATTTTTATTACAGTATATTGTTATAATTATCCCATTATTATTGATTGTTAACATCTTACTGTACCTAATTTATAACTTACACTTTGTCATTGGTATCTATGTACAGGAAAAATCATAGTATATACAGGGTTAGGTATTATCTGCAGTTTCAGGCATCAGCTGGGGGTCTTGGGATGTATCTCCCTTCAATAAGGAGAGGACTCCTGGATGTGGCAAAGAGAAGTTAAAACGGTTTATTTTCTGCTCTGAAAGAATTTGCAATAGAATATTTTATGACTCTCTGACTTCACTCTTGTTCCTCATTCTCTCCATTTATTCAATAAACATTTATTGAGCTCCTGCAATGGCCAGGCACCATTCTAGACATTGAGGATACATCAGTGAATGAAACAGAACTCTCTGCCCTCAAGGGACTTACACTCTAGAGGCAGCACAGAGAAAATGCCTTTGACTGAGCTCTGCCCTCTGCCTGTTCAGCATCTCTTGCATCAGTCTTCTCCATGTCACCAACCATGACCATCATTCAGTCTTTTTATGGCACTTAGCTCAATAACTGTGGTGACACTTAAATGGTCTCTGCTTTAATCTATCCCACACCCTGCTTGCAGATTGATCTTGCTGAAGCAATGCTTAATTAACTGACCTCTCTTGGTTTCCTCTTGCAGGCAGAAATCAGTGAAAGCCTCTTAGCCTGGGTTTTTCACACTCAGATGGTCGTTAGCCTCTCCACCTGCCTTCCCTGGGATTCTCTTCATGTCACTTTGTTACAGAAAAAACAAGCCTCTCCCTACTCTCTGTTCATGCTTCACACCTTCCCACAGGCACCTCTTTGCTTTTGCTCTTCCCCTGGCCTGGGATAACTTTTCTCTATCTCTACCCAAATCTTCCCTATCTTCTAAGTCTCGGGTCAAATATCACTGTGTTTACAGAATTTTCCATGATTTTCTTTTTTTCTTTCTTTTTTTTTTTGAGACAGAGTCTTTCTCTGTCACCCAGGCTGGAGTAGAATGGTGCAATCTCGGCTCACTGCAACCTCCACCTCCCGGGTTCAAGCAATTCTCCCGCTTCAGCCTCCCGAGTAGCTGGGATTACAGGCACCTACCACCGTGCCCAGCTAATTTTTGTATTATTTAGTAGAGATGGGGTTTCACCGTGTTGGTCAGGCTGGTCTTGAACTCCTGACCTCAGGTTATCTACCTGCCTCGGCCTCCCAAAGTGCTGGGATTACAGGCATGAGCCACTGTGCCTGGCTCCATGGTTTTCTTAATACTGTCACTTTCCTCTGAAGCCCATGGCACTCAGCGCACTCCTCCTTACATGATTTAACTTCATGTAAGCACATATTCTCTTTTCTTGTCATGTCACATGAAAGTTCGGTAAAGCAGAATTCATGCCTGATGTATTTTGTTATCCTCAATGCTGTGCTCATATGTATTTCTGGAATGACTAAAGTAGAAGACATGAAAGTAAATTCTAGCTTAATTTCTAATGTTTAAGACATGTGGCTAGCTAAATATACTGGCCCACACCAATAACTATAGCACTCTGAGAGGCCGAGGCAGGAGAATCTCCTTAGGCCAGGAGTTCAAGACCAGCCCAGGTGGGACCCCATAACGGGACTCCATAGCCAGACTCTGTCTCTACAAAAAAATTACAAAATAGCCGGGCGTGTGCCTATAGTTCTAGCTACCCAGAGGAGGGAGGATCACTTGGGGCCTGGAGGTCAAGACTGCAATGAGCTATGATCACATCACTGCATTCCAGCCTAGGCAACAGAGTGAGACCCTGTCTCAAAAAAAAAAAAAAAAGAAAAAAGAAAAGAAAAGAAAAAAAAAGAAAGAAAAGAAAAAGGGAAAAGAAAAGAAAGAAACCTAAAGTGTATTCATCTCATTCTGCACTAAGAAGTACAAACTGCATCCTCTGAGCGAATTGCTTATGGAAAGCAGCTGGCAGGCAGCTTCCTTTTTCTTACTGAAGACATCAAATATCTCTAACATGAAAGGGCAGTAGGGTTGTTTGTCCATCCACCTGCTTTAGTGGGGGCTTCATAAAACTGTCTACAAGGAATAAGTCATCTTTGGAGAAGTCAGCCACAGGATCCTGAGTGTCACCTTGGAAACTGTTGCATAATTTACCAATCTGGAACAGACCTATTTGCAAGCCTGAACTCCAAATTTTAGTTAAAGCAAGACATGGTTGGTGATCCCATTGTCGGCTTTCTCGCCTAGTCCTGAGGATGGCATCACTGGAAAGTCAGAGCCTCACCTGAGCAGGCGACATGGCAGTGGTTGTTCTCCTTCAGCTTTCCGCGTCTGCACCACGCGAAGCTGTTGATCTGGAAGATGCCATAGTCGATGCTGCCGTCATCCAGGACCGTCTGGGCTGTGGTGTTGTAGCCGCTCTCATAATATGCCATGCAGATCCCTGGAGGGGGGAAAGCCAGAAACGCCAGCAAAGGAAGTGCATCTTTTGCTCTAAGCTTGGTCTGAGGGCGAGTTTCCTTATCCTTGTTACCTGACTGCTTCCTCCCAATACACCTTGGGCAGGGCAGGGCGGGCATGCGCCCAGGGGGCACACGAGGGGCACATCGGGGGCTGGGATGGCACACCTGAAGCTGTACACCCAGTCAGGGGCTGAGCCTAATCTAGACCAACAGTCAGGTCCCCCCACTCCCCACAATGCCAGCAGAGGTGGCATTATTTTCCCCTTCCCTGGCTAGTGTCATAAGGACAGGACTCCAGGAATAAGGAAATGAGGGGCAGGGGAGGAAGGAGAGGAGACCCAGAGAGCCACAGTTAGGCTAGCAGCCACCCCTGAGTGCGGTGAGGGCAGAGCAGGGGTAGTTGGGAAGACACAGCAGGGAGTGTGGCCAGGACCTTCAACATCTCAGGGGAAAGGTCAAGGACAGAAGGAGAGCAGGAAAGAAAGAGTCTCACAGTTTCCAAGGCTGAAGCCCCAGTAATTGTCCAGGCCAGCCCTCGAGAATATTTTTGCCAGTTTGCAACGAGTGTAGATTTTGGACTCGGCGCCTGTGACCAGGCAGCCAATGAGGGTCAGAATGCCCGCAGCCTTCATCCTCAAAGCCTGCCGGAGACAGAACCTGCCAAAGAGCCGGAGAACAGGTCAGACGATCTTGGTTCAGGAACTTTGAAATCCAGCGGTGGTGACTGTGCACAGCCCTGCCTAGATGCTGCCTGTCACTTTGGTCATTCAGTGCCACCATCAGGGAAAACCGGCCACTCTACGGTCCAGGGAAGGAAGGCAACTGAAGGCTGTTTCCTTAATGCTTTTCCATACAGTAACTTTCAAGTCAATGCTGTGTTCTCAGGGTTAAGCAAGCAAAAAAATTAACCCTCCTTAATACACATCCAGGTGAAAACCACAGGGGGCATTTTTAGGATTTCTATTTTAATTCTATGAATGAAAAATAGAATACAGGGGTGAAACATTCCCTATACTGCTGACCCTTGAACAACATGGGTTTGAACTGCGTGGGTCCATTTATCCGTGAATTTTCTTCTGCCTCTGCCACCCCGAGACAGCAAGACCAACCCCTCCTCTTCCTCCTCCACCTCAGCCTGCTCAGTGTGAAGACAACCAGGATGAAGCCCTTTATGATGATCCACTTCCACTTAACAAATAGTAAATGTATCTTCTCTTCCTTATTCTTTTCTGAATAACATTTCATTTCTCTAGCTTACTTTATTGTAAGAATCCAGTACAGAAGACATAGAACATAAAAAATATGTGTTTATTGGCTATTTATGTTATCAGTAAGGCTTCCAGTCAGCAGTAGGCTATGGAGTCGTTAAGTTTCTGGGGAGTCAAAAGTTACATGCAGATTTTCAACTGAGCAGGCGTCGGTGCCCGTGACCCCTACATTTGTTCAAGGATCAACTGGATGTGTAGAAACAGACAGCCCATTTCAGCCACAGATGAAAGACACGTGGGCCTGTATGGAAAACTTTAAGGGTTATTGTTTGGGGGTTTATCGAAGAGTGAAGATTAAGCACCTACTCTTTCATTTTCTTTTCTTGATTCAGTTCCAAATGTGGGAGCTTTGCTTCCAAAGTATCAGTGCTTTTATTTATTTATTTATTTTTTGAGATGGAATCTCACTCTGTTGTCCAGGCTGGAGTGCAGTGGCGCCATCTGGGCTCACTCCAAACTCTGCCTCCCAGGTTCAAGCGATTCTCCTGCCTCAGCCTCCTGAGTAGCTGGGATTACAGGCGCCCACCACCACACCTGGCTAATTTTTGTGTTTCTAGTATAGATGAGGTTTCACACTGTTGGTCAGGCTCATTTCAAACTCCTGACCTTGTGATCTGCCCACCTCGGCCTCCCAAAGTGCTGGGATAACAGGTGTGAGCCACCATGCCCAGCCCAAAACATGAGTGTTTTATCTTAGATTGCAAATGCATTGCTTTGCTAAGCTTCACCACCAGTGCTCCGGGGGGCCTCCTAAAAGTCTGGCACCTGACTGGGGAGCAAGAGGGATGGAGGACAAAGCCTCATGAAAGGAGGAAAGCACCTGGGGGAGCAGAGGGGCAATAAAGAGACCCCTGCGGAATCATCTGAAATGGGAGTAGGATCAAGAGAGCTGTCTCCTGCTGCCTACTGATTTTCCACAATCTCTTCCCCTCTTGAAATAATGTCTTCCCCAAATACAACAGCCTTGCTGGGATGGGGTGAAGTGAAATTTCTGACAACTACTCGGGATCCTGAACTTGATGTTCTTACATATGTTCATCCCGTGTCATTTTCTGCACTTGCCTAGAAACTTCTCCAGTCATTAGTTTCTCTCCCTGGGGCTGGATTCCTGCATTGAAAGGCTAGGCCCAAAACAGGGATAAGTAGTCATCAGCAAGGCCACCGCACCAAGTAACAAGCAGGGCTTTAAGGTGACTAAGCAATAAGGTAAGGAACTGCATTGCATGAGGGGCATGTACATTACAAACGTGAATAGCAAGCGTGGGCAAACCAGGCCCGCTTTTGTATGTAAAGTTTTATTGAAACATAGCTACACCCATTTGGTAATATATCATTGGTGGCTGATTTCCAACTACAGTGGCAGAGTTCAGTAATTGTGTTTGAGGCCGTATAGACCACAAAGCCTAACATATTATTATCTGGCCCTTTTCAGAGAGAGCATGCCAGTCCGCTGTGTACAGCACTGTGTTAAGCTGTGAGGGACAGACAAACGAGGTTTAAGATGCAGAGCTAAGGCCAGGCATGGTGGGTGATACCTGTAATCCAAGCACTTTGGGAGGCTGAGGTGAGCAGATTGCTTGAAGCCAGGAGTTTGAGACTAGCCTGGGCAGCAAAGGTAGACCCTGCCTCTACAAAATATACAAAAATTAGCCAGGCATGGTGGTGTGTGCCTGTGGTCCCAGCTACTGGGGAGGCTGAGGTGGGAGGATCACTTGAGGCTGGGAGTTTGAGGCCATAGTGAGCCATGATTGTGACACTGCACTCCAGCCTGGGCAGCAGAGTGAGAGACCCTGTCTAAAAAAAAAAAAAAAAAAGAAAAGAAAAAAGAAAAAAAGATACAGAGCTTACAAATAGAGTTGGTTTCCATCCCCTGCCTTAGAATTTTACTGATCTCAAACAAGTCCAAAGAAAACCCGCAGCAATGATAACCCCAAGCATCATGTTCTACATCCTTCAAGAACCTGCCATTGCTGGTTCTCATAAGAGTAATTTAGGTCTTACTGAAAAGGCAGATTCCTGGTGCCTGCCCCAGAGGCTGACTTCTCAGTTGAGTCTGCGGAAGAAACACTGCTCCACTTAGTCGGTGACAGGCAGCTCAGGGGAGCGTCCTGCATCCCCTGAAGCCATGTCTGATTCTAACGAGGCGCGAGTAATCCTTTCCTAGCTCAAGAACATTTCTTTAGAGTGTTAGAGAAAGAAAAATTCTTAATCCTTTGTTTCTCACCACCTAGAGATGCTAGAATTCTACTTCTTGGCACTAAAAGCTGTATCATCCTGCATGCTTGTGTTCTGAGGCAGGTGATAACTGTCTTCTGGGGCTTAATACCTCTTGTTTTTTGTCTTTTCCCCTCAACAACCCTCCTCATTACACAACTTGGCCAGGGCCTCCTGTCCAAGTGAGAGCTCTTCTCTGAGGCGTCTGCAAACTTTATCACAAATTCCATTAATAAAGAAAGTTAAGCATGTATCCTCTTTAGATGTACATTGAGTTATAAATCATACTTCTGTACCTCAGTACTAATATGCTACATAAATTATCAACATACATAAAACTAAAATTTGAAAATTAATGACATAGAGGTGAAATTAACATTAAAAATTTATTAACAGCACATTTGCTATAGTCAAATTATTATTAATAAAATATTTTTGTAATAACATGATTTTATTATTTTTGAAAAATTTGGCTTAACACTTTGTGAATCAATAACTAAAGGGCTGTTTTCAAGGTCTATTTATTTCAATGTTCAGATTTAGTGACACATTTGAAATGAATTCTCATTAGAATATGTAGATCTAAGTAGAAGTTTATTGTTGGCTGCACCTAACTAATCGTTATATTTTCTTAAATTCCATCTGCCAATAATGCAAAGGTTTTGTTGAAATCTATTTTGAAGTTCATATAGTATTGCATTATACAGATACAACATAGCATACTTAGCCAATTTCATATTGATGCACACTTATTTTATTCTTCTATTGTAAACATATTACAACCAGTAATTTTGTACATATGTCATTTGTAACTTTACAAGAATATCTTGCTGGATCAAAGGGTATAATTTTGTAATTTTGCTAGATATTTGCCAAATTGCCTTTCACATGGGCTTGTATCAGGAAGATAGCACACTGTGTTATCAAATGTTTCAATATTTCTCAATATTAGAGATGAAACATAATTTTTCAGCAGAGTTTCAATTTCAACTTTCGTTATTTCAAGCTGCTTGAGGGTCTTTTTTATCTTTAGAAGCCATTAGTGGACTTCTTGTGAACAGTCTATAATATGAGAAAATGTATAGGTTTTTCCCTCAAACATCTTTTTCAAAATGCTTTGAAATAGGGATCTTACCAGTGAGAAAATAGAGACGGATTGTCTTTTTCTTTTTCAAAAATGCTTGCTTAGCAAGTTTTCAGATATGACGTAAATATACAAAAGCCATTTACAATCTTATATACTAGGAATAGAAAATAAGAGTTTGAAATAAAAAAAAATCCATTTACAATAGTACACAAATGCAAATGAAGTACTTAAATTTAAACCTAACAAAATATGTGCAGGATATATATACTGACAACTATAAGACAGACGGAAAATTAAAGAAGACCTGAGTAAATGAAAAAGACACACCATATTCATGAATTTGAAGAGTCAATATTATTAAGATTTAATACATAGATTTAGTGGAATCCCATTTAAACTCCCAGAAAAATTGTTTAGAAAATATCAATAAGAGGGTCCTAAAACTTATATGAAAAGGCAAAGGGACTAGAGTAGGCAAAACTATTCAGAAGAATAATAAAATTGAAGGACTCATATTGCTTGATTTTAGAACTTAATATAAAGCTGTAGTAATCAAGACAGGATGATATTTGTGGAAACAGACACATAGGACAGTGTAACAAAATAGAGAGCCTAGAAATAGTGTTACACATATGTAGTCAAGTAGCTTTTTATAAAGATGCAAATTAAATTCAATGGAAAGATGATGTTCCATTTAACACATGGTACTAAAATAAGACTGTCTATGTGCAAAACAACGAAAACAACAAAAATAAAACAAGGCATAAGGCATATTGAAGAATACATACCTTATATCTCATACAAAAATTAATTCAAGATGGATCAAAAGCCTAAATGTAAAAAGTGTGAAACGATGAAATTCTTTAAGTTAAATATAAAAAATCTGCAGGACCTTGGGTTTGGCAATGAAATTTTAGATATAACATCAAAAGCACAATCCATGAAAGGAAGAAAAAAAAACTGATTAGTTGGATTTGATCAAAATTTAAAACTTTTGCTCTTTGAAAGACACTGTTAAGGGAATGAAAAGATTAGCTACAGATTGGAAGAAATATTTACAAATCAATGTCTGATGAGATGAAAGCCTTGTATTCAGAATATATAAAGGACTCTTAGAATTCAACTATAAGCAAGCATATAACCCAATTAAAAAAAGGGCAAATGATTTAAGCAGACATTTCAAAGAAGATATACAAATGACAAGCATATGAAAAGATGATCAATATCATTGTCACCAGGAAAGAGTAAATAAAACCACAATTAGATATCACTTCTCACTAATTAGAATTGCTAAAATCAATTAGATGAAACCAAATGATGAAGACACAGAACTGTAAGAACTCCAATTTATCACTGGTGGAAATACAAATGGTACAGTCACTTTGGAAAACAGTTAGTCAGTTTCTCATAAAATTAAACATGGACTTATCACATAAACCGACAATTATACTCCTATGTATTTATTCAAGTGAATAAAAAACTTACATTCACACAAAAACAAGCTAACCCATGTTTATAGCAGCTTTATTCATAATCAATGAAAACTGGAAGCAACAAAGATGACCTTCAGCAGGCAAATATATTCAAAAACTATGATCTATCCATACAATGGAATACTACTCAGCAATGAAAGGAATGAGCTATTTGATTCCCGCAACAATGAGGATGAATCTTAAATGCATTTTGCTAAATAAAAGAAGGCAGACCCAAAAGATTACTATTATATATACGTATTATATATAATTCCATATATACGACATTATGGAAAAGGCAAAATTTATAGGGATGGAAAACAGTTCAGTGATTGTCAAGGGTTAGAGGAGAAATTGACTACAAAGGAACCACACACATTCTATTTTATTTTAGGTCATTGGAACTGTTCTCTATGATACTGGGGTAGTAGAAACATGGCTTCATGAATTTGTCAAAATCTGTAGACCCGTACACCACAAAGGGGGAACTTCATTGTATGCAAACTTTAAAAAAATCATCCAGGATGTTGGGGAATACCAGGATAGAATTTAGTCTGTGAGAAAAAGACCTAACTGTATTACAAACGTATAACATAACCTCACTGAAGGCGTGGGAAAAGAGATGCGGATCCAGGTAACTTTAGAAAACAGTGTTTTGACTGAATATCTAAAGTCTAAAGACAAAACAATCTGTACATAAACACTGTACTTCAGTTGGTGAATTCCCTTCTCCCTGGGGTAAGAGTTAGCAATTCTGAAACTACATGTAAACTAGCATTAAGCAAATGAAGAAAAACATTGCAGATGATGGGAGCCAGATTTCACACTGTCAGAGAGAGAAGTTAAAAACAAGCAAAAGAGAAAGACTAGAATTGAACTCTGTGACACTGGATTAGAGTTGGAGACATTAATATAAATCTGTCCATCTACCTAGAAACAGTGGCACTCCAGTAGCTATGGGCATTCTCAATACACAGACTTGCTTCTAATACCATTTTATTCTCCAGTAAAAGAAACCAGGACTCCTTAGAAAAGAAGCTGATTGCAGAACTGAGTCAGGGAAAATGCAAAATGAGCTTGGGGTATCTTGTTGGTGCCAAAGAATAAGGAAATGCTGAGGGTGGGGGAGGCACATGTCGAAGAGACACAGGAACCAAACTGAGAAAACCCCCCGATGGCCTAAACTGAGACAATCGCACAACAAAATAAACAACGATAGTACTGGATTCTAACACACAGAATAAAATAAATATATATGAGGACATACTGATATAAATAAATGATTGAATAAATAAATATCTGAGGACAAGAAACAAGTCTGTCTCTCAGAAGAATTCTAAGTAATCTATGTAGAAAATCCCCCTCCAGGAAATGGAGCTTAATTCTCCTCCCTTTGAGTAGGGGCTCGACTGACTGACTTGCTTCCCACAGATAGAATGCAGAAAGGGGAAAATGGCGACTTTCTGGTGAGGAAACCCAGCGGACTCTATCTTAGCCAAGTGATCCAGGTTAACCTCATCAGGGATGAGTCATGTTAGGTCCCCCTGATAGGACATGACAAGAAGGGCACCTCACCTCTGTGGTTTTCTTTCCCCGAAATCCATAACCCCACTCAAATCATGAGAAAACATAAATAAAACCCCAAAGGATGGACATCCACAAAATACCTGACCACTGCTCCTCAAGTATGTCAAAGTCAAGAAAAGCAAGGCTGAGAAAACGCTAGACTGGAAGAGACTAAGGAAGTGTGAGAACTAAAAGCAATGCGGTGTCCTGGATTGGATCCTGGGATAGAAAAAGGACATATTAGAAAAACGAGTGAAAGCTGAATAAAGCCTGCAGTTAATATATTGCACCAATGTTACTTTCTTGGTTTTGACAGACATGCTGTGGATGTGTAAGATGCTCATGTTAGGGAAGCTGGGAAAAAGGTATGTGGGACTCTGGACTCTCTGCACGACTTTTCTATAAATCTAAAATGATTCCAAAATAAGTTTAAAAATCTGTTAGCATACTGTTGATAGCCACTTATCACAGAAAAGGTGAGCAGATTTGAACTGCTTGATTATTGTAAAATAAAAGTGACTAATCTCTACAGTGGCCAATGACTGTAACTACATTGCTAATAAGAAACCCAGCACACATGTGCCACAAAAAGTTTTCAAACTCACTCCTCTTCTCATGATAAATTATGTGAGGGTTCTATTACTTAAAGGTCTCATTTTAATCAAATTAACCATATTAATTTCACTCTACCAATACAGTCTGACCCTACTTATTTTTTGTGTAAAGTGGGACCGCACTGGTGATATTATGTGCCATCTAAATGACCACATATTGCAGTAAACTAAAAGCAGCAAATGGATACATTATTCTCCATCTTCTTACCTGGGGGCCATAGAAAGTAAGATGAAGACACAAGAGCCAAACAACACAGGGGTAAAGATTCAAACTCCTAAGCTGACTTACACATTTACCCACAAGGGGTAACCAGCCACAAAGCTAAGACCACGCAGAAACACAAAGCAAATCAAACATAGACTTGGTCAGCTCACTGGTGATGATGGCAGCAGAGGTTTTAAATGTGTGCAGTGTTTTTATTTATTTGTTTATTTTAAAACTTGCAGTAAAATAGACATTACATAAAATGTACTGTTTTAACCATTTTAAAGTATACAATGAGAGTCATTAAGTACATTCACAGCACACATCCATCGGTTCTCTCTAGTTCCATAACTTTTTCATCTCCCCAAAAGGAAACTCTGTTCCCATTAATTCACTTCCCATTTCCCTTTTTCCCAGCCCTGGTACCCATTGATCTGTGTTCTGTCTCTACAGATTTACCTGTTCTGGATATTTCCTATAACTGGGTCTACAATGTTTTTACCAGTGTTTTTCAAAGTGTAGCTCTCACCACCAGCCTGGGAACCTTACCTGAAAAACATGTTAAAATAAAATTTTCTTGATCTTAGTCGAGGTCTGCAGAATTAGGGGTGTGGTGGCCTCTGGGAATCTGAGATTTGACATGCTCCCCAGGTGATCCTAATGCCCACTGAAGTGTGAGAAAATCTGAAATAGCTAGTCCTCTCCATCTTCTATTAACTTGACACTGTGGATGGCTGCTTTCCTGTGGGCTCAGCTGGCCAACCTGACAAATGAATTTACGATTGGGAATTAATCACTGAGGTTGATTCAATGTGTAACTTTTCCCAAGAGAATGGCAATATGAATTGAGACATCTTCAAAATACTGTGGTTTTCTTTCCCCAAAACCTGTTTTCAGACTGTGAAAACTTCAGTTCTTCAGAGACTAAAGGCCCCGTGAAGTTGCCTCAGGATGGATGCCCCTGTTCCCCAAGCCCCACACCAGGAGGTCTGAGCCACCCTGGGAATGGACAGACCCACTCCTGTCCCCGGGGCAATCTGACTTGCTCTCCAGCTCTACTTTTTGTGGGTGTAGGGGGAGTGGGAGGAGCTTGAATATTTGGCCTCTGAATAAGACTTGGTTTCAAATCTGTTTAAAAACAAAAAAACACCTCCTTAACTCTAATCAATGAACTCCTACTAGTCAGATTTCTGACACTGTTACAGACCAGTAGGGGAGTCATTATGCCATTAGGGTGACAGCTAGGGCTGAGTCTAAGACTACTCTAGGGAACTTTGGGGACTGTAGCGCATGGCTCTAAGTTTCAAGGGTGCCCACAGGTAATGCGTCTCTAAGTCAAGTGCACTGGATAAGTTCCGTGGGTATGACTAAGACAGTACCACCAGGAATAACACAGCAATAGAATGTGTTATAAACACAGAGATGGATTTATAGGAAATCAAACCTCATTGCCATGTCGTAAGCCTTGGCCCATCCCACTGTATGTATTCTGCTACCACCTCCACTATTTTAGACTTGTACGATAGACACTACCATTGCTGGTTAAGCTTATTTCAAAAATTCAAACACAAAACAGGCACCAACTATATCATAGGAAAGAGTTGGTCTTTGCTCTCTAGATGTTTCTAAAAGTGATCAAACAGGTTGGATTACTCCAGTGGTCATTTGAGACCCACCCATATATCTTGACATCATACTTTGTCAAGACTACACTCTTTCTTAGATTTTTGTAGGGTTCCAATTATGAATTTCGTGGGTAGCAGCTGGCCACTGGAACTGCAAAGTAGTCCATCCTCACAAAAGGATGTGCACTTTGACCAAAACCCTAGGTAACCATCTAGAGTTCTTTGAAATGATAAGGAAAAAGGATAATTTTTTTTTTAAGGTTGGGCACTGTGGCTCATGCCTATAGCCCCAGAACTTTAAAAGGTCAAGGTAGGAAGATAACTGTAGGCCAGGAGTTCAAGATTAGCCTGGGCAGTGTAGTGAGACCTTGTCTCTACAAAAAAAAAAAAAAAAAAAAAGGGAGAAATTAGCTGAGCATAGTCCCGGCTACTCAGGAAGCCGAGGCGGGAGTGTCTCTTGAGCCCAGGACTTCAAGGTTACAGTGAGCTACAATTGTGCCACTGCACTCCAGCCTAGGTGACAGACAGATGTGGTGGGTGATTTACTTTTTTTAAAAAATTTTCTTTTTAATATGGTTCATAGTTTTGTACTGTGTATGTTGTTCAACAGTTTCCATTGTCATGCATAGAAAAGAAACATTTTCATGGGTAGAAGAATCTAGAATCAGAATGCAAGCTCTGACATCAGATTTCCAGGATACAAACTTGTGCCCTGCCAATGACCAATTGTTACCATTAAAACTGTTGGAATAGTTCCTGGCACATGACAAGAGCTTAACATATATGGTTACTATGATCATTAGTAGAGATATCACTACTATGAATGTTATTACTAACCCACCCCCATGGTGAAAAAGAAATGAAGCCTTAGGCAAAAGTATCAGGTAGGTTTGAGTTACTTTGGTGAGGAAACGTGAGGCCCTTCAGCATAAAGATTCATTCATCAATAAGGTCTAGGGATATTTTCTAATAATGGTAGGAGTTCTTTGTCCAAGGTTTCAAGTGATCTAAAAAACCTGTAAATTTAAGTGGGGGTATTCATGTTCATTTTTCTGGTGACACACTCTAAATTTGACCAAATTCTCAAAGGAACGTGGGACTTTCACAATGTTAAGAACTGCTACTTTTGAGCCTGCTAAGTTAAATAGCTTTTCTGCAGGCTGTGTTCTGCCCAGCCTGGAGGCAGGTGGATGGATATGACATGAATCCTTCAGCGTCTTCCACGCCACACTCATCTTGCACTGGGTCTGTTAAAAATTATTTCAATTCCATGACATTTTCAACATTTGCCAAATGCTTGCAGAAAATTTTCCAGGATCCCAAACACTCCAAAATCCTTTAGGCACACACAGTTCAGGACAGTAGGATAACACGCATTACTCCATGAAACACAAATTCCCTACCTTTGTGGTACCCCAGGAATTTCTTCAGTTATTGGTGCTCTAACCCTTGGAGAATCTCTCTTGCTATGTGTGTGTCTGTATGTGAGTGTGTACGTATTTGTGTGCATGTGTGTGTGAACATTCAGTCCTGTGCCCAATGCATTTTGCTACTTTTTTTCCTACAAATGCCCACTCATTGGTAGACCTCTTTTCTTTGCCAACATCTTTACAGATCTTTCCCATTTTTATTCTCATATGTCAGCATGTCATGTTATAGCCATTTCCAATTTTTTTTTAAAGTCCAAGATAAATGCAGAAAGAACTTGCACTGTGGCTGAACTCTCCTTAACATCTTCAAAGGAAAATGTCTGTGTGGCATGATTTTTTCCATCATTTAATCCAACCGTGCACTCCCAGAATAAGAAAAATCAGAAACCCAGCAGGCTTACAACTGTGGGCTCCTGTCAATGGCAAAATGATTGTTACTTTGAGACGGATAAGAGGGACAGGAGGCACCAACCCCACCACCTCCAGCCTTGAGCTCCTCCTCACACAGGAGGGCCCCGTCTCTGCTGGAATCCTGATTATGTTGCCATTATCAAGTGGGAAAGGCGTTTTATGAAATGATTCTAAGGATCTCAATTCCCTCTCTGTCATGTGTTTATTGTATCTGGGGTTTGCAGTAATTTGTAAGCATGTGTTGAAAATTCCAGTTCACATCGATCTCCCAGTGCTGGCGGGCTCCAACGGTGAGCATGGAATCATCTGGTGACCTTTCGAATGTCTAATTTAGAATCAGGAGAAGCCGCAATAATGAATCTAGATTCTTGGAGTTTATAAATTAAAGGTAATTATTTATAAACAAACAAAACCAAAATGAGATTTCTTGTTTTTTTAAAAACCGGAGGCAACCCCCCAAAATTGTTGTGGTCCAGTACCTTCCTTTACAGATTAAAAAAAGCTGAGGTCCAGGGAGTTACTTTTTTGCCTTTTTAATGTGTAGCACAAAGTTTGGCTCCAAGTTAAGCATTTGGTAAGTGCTTGTTGAGTCAATATTTGTGATCGAGTGACTTGCTCCGAGAAAGAGAGTCCTAGTGCCAGACACTCAGTCAGAGCTTAATGAATATTGAGTTAATAGGACATGGTTATGGGCGCTCAGTCAACAAATGAATAATAATAAACTATCATTTAATCCGGAGATGCAACTGTCCACATAACCGGCTCATATCAGTGTAAAATGAAAGCACATGTCATCATGTTCCTTTGTTAATATAGCAGTGTTAGTATAGCACAATTCTAAACAAGAAGAGCAAATTATTGCCATTGCCCAATATCCATCATTCAAATTACAGTTGATCCTTGAATAAAAGGGGCCTCAACTCTCACACAGCCAAAAATCCATCTATAACTTTTGACTCCCCCTAAACGTAACAACTAATAGCCTACTGTTGCCTGGAAGCCTCACCGACATCATAAATAGTTGATTAACACATATTTTGTAGGGTATATGTATTCTATTCTGTATCCTTGTAATAAAAGAAGTTCGAGAAAAGAAAATGTTATTAAGAAAATCACAGCTGGGTGTGGTGGCTCACACCTGTAATCCCAGCACTTTGGGAGTCTGAGGTGGGGAGACTACTTGAGGCCAGGAGCTCAAGACCAGCCTGGGCAACAAAGTGAGACCCCGTCTCTACAAAAAATACAAAAATCAGCCAGGCACGATGGCTTGCACCTGAAGTCCCATCTACTTGAGAGGCTTGAGGTGGGAGGATCACTTGAGCCCAGGAGGTCAAGACTGCAGTGAACTGTGATCACGCCACTGCACTCCAGCTTGGGTGACACAGTGAGACTCTGGAAAAAAAAGAAAGAAAGAAAAAGAAAATCACAAGGAAAAGTAATATAGTTACTATTCATTAAGCGGAAGTGGACCATTGTAAATGTCTTCATCCTCGTTGTCTTCATGTTGAGTAAGCTGAGGAGGAGGGGGGAAAGGAGGGGTTGGACTTGCTGTCTCAGGGGTGGCAGAGGTGGAGGAGGTAGAAGGGGAAGCAGAAGAGTCAGGCATACTATGTGCAACTCGTACTGAAAAAAAATTGAAGGTAAGTGGACCCACACAGTTCAAACCCCTGGCGTTCAAGGGTCAGCTGTAATTGAGAAGTGTGCTTCTGCTCATGGTGGCTGATGTTGAATAAAGGCATTCTGTCCCCCTTAGAAGTTGTCATTTTTTTCACAATCTCTGCAAAAAAAAATTTCTCCGTCTACTTTAATCAGATCCCCTTGCCCCTCCCAAACCTCTGAGTGCTCAGAAGGCTGGTCCCCATTTATCTTCCACTCCAAGGGCAGTGGGTCACCAGCCCCATTTGAGAAGGCACCCCCACCCCTCAGGCTCCCCATTTTATAATTAAACTCCATATTTTACACAGCATAGAATTCTACACTTTGTTGTACACATAGTCTTTTTAACAGGAGATAATGCTAATTACAAATCTAGGTTTTCACAGCAGAGTTTCTGCCACTAGTGAGGTTGCATGAGAAAAGTCAAGACTCCAGGGTTGAGTGGGAATTCTGCCTGCTAACACACATGTGGTCATAATATTTGATATTAACCAAGCATTCCACAAATGTTAAAGACCTTGGGCACTTCCAGGGGGTTATTATTTCTAATTTCATTTGGGGGTTTGGGGAAACTCTTGCTCCTTTAGATTTTTCCTTTGGCTGGTAATCTGGTTTGTGGAGTATTTGAACCTCTTGTCTCTGGTTTCTGCACAATGCATGCCATAGTGTCTTCACTAACCAGTGAGAAAAGACAGCACAGGAGGAGCCAAATTAGCCCATTTTGTTTTTTCAAGGCACATCTTGTGAAAGATTTCAAGGGAGACAATGTTAGAATGATTGGCAAAAATGAAGCTCGGGGTTTCTGTGGGTTTAAACTGGTTATGTCTTTCCCGTGCCCTGCTAGAAAGGATAATCAGATTTAATTTGATTTTCAGTGTCAAGAGAGCAGCAGCTAGCTCTGAGATTATTATGGGCTCTTTTGGGAGATATTTACTTGGGCTGAGGGAGACTTTGGCCATTTATATTTCAGAGAGACTCTCCTTTGGAACCAATTGCACATAAAAGAGGAAATTTTGCTTTTATCTATTACAAAATTAGTACAACTTGCTTTTTTTCCCTTTAAGAAAATACTGTGACATTTCTGCAAAACAATAGTTCTCACTTGTAATGAGTTTAGATGACTCAGGGGTTTTGCTCCCCCCTTATTTCTTTGGAAATATGTAATGTCTGTAATTATGCACATATATGTTCAGTATGAAGCAAGGCTGGAAATATTTGGAAGTAAATAATTTTGCAGTATTTAGAAAGCTCGAGCCTTTTAAAATGTGAGAATGTTTTGAAATATTGAATTTACTTGGCTTAGAAAATCCAAGGACTAAATCTGTATTTCACCTCCTCCATCTTCTGCAGCCCCGCCCCCTGGAGAGGAACAAGGCCATGCATGTGGATCTGCTGGAGAATGAGGCTGGCACCAGGCTCTGTTTCCATAACCTCAGGACAAGGTGAGGAAGAGAGCAGGGCCTCTGAATATGCCACAGAATGTGAAATGGAAAAACCTAATGCTGGCTTCACCCCTGTCCCTTAGGAAAATATGCATGCGTAGAGCTTTGAAAGTCATCGCCCTGAGGGAATATTCCTTGCCTTGGAGACAAAGTCCAAGTGGTGACTTTATTTTTAAATGCCTAAAATAAATGCACGGAATCATCTGCAAGAAAGGTGATTTGCATATAAATCTTTTGTTCACCTTCTTCGCATGTGTCATAGGCCCAACATTGCACATCACAGGGGTGCAACAAAAGGTTTTTTTTAATTTTGCATTATTAAAGATTTGGAAATAAAATGTCTTGTTTTTCAGATATTGCTAATCATTCCCCCAAAGTATGAATTTGAAGTGATTCTCTAACATACAGGTTTCCACTTTGGGGGAAGTGTATATTAGTGTGGTTTGGTTTCATCTGAAGTCCAAGCACTATGTGGCATGTACCCAATATACCACAGTCTTGGGTTTATTATTTAATTCCCTGTCTGGAGACACAAGGACAAATGGCTTGGTGTCAGGAATTGTACTGAGAAACAATGTGATTATATTTTTATTTTTGGTTGTACCAGATTTTGTATTTGTGGGGGAAAAAATTCTATTAACTTTCTTTTATGACTGCCAGCAGTCATAAAGAAATATCTTGGAGAGAACAGTATCTTAAGAGTTTTAAGAGCATCCAAGAGTCCAAGTAACAGACGGGAGCTTTGTTAGAACTAAATGCTTCCTTGCTCTCATAAAACTGCTATCTACCTCAATCTATGTTTATTTTTCTCCAGTGTTTCAATTTGCTTAATGGACTTCAGCTGAAGACTTTTCTCAATGTCCGAGGGAAGTAAAGTCTAATAAACCCCTGAGGACTTAGCCGTCATAGTTCAGCACTTTTTGGCTTATTTTGTCTGACTTTCATCTTTGCTGCTGCAGAAATGAGGGCTGAAGAGCACCCTGGACCTACTCTTGTAGCTTTGAGCCTGGGAAGCAGTAAACTAGACAAGTTGTCACAGGCATTTGAACCAGAGCAAATGCTGTCTTGAACAGCAGCTGGGTAAAATGAGGCTGAGACCGACTGGACTGTATTCACAGATCATTAGGCATTCTTAGTCATAGGATGAGACAGGAGGTCAGCACAAGATACAGGTCATAAAAACCTTGCTGATAAAACAGGTTGCAGTAAAGAAGCCAGCCAGGGTGTGGTGGCTTACGCCTGTAATCGCAGCACTTTGGGAGGCCAAGGTGGGTGGATCGCTTGAGGTCAAGAGTTCGAGACTAGCCTGGCCAACATAGTGAAACCCCGTCTCTACTAAAAATACAAAAAATAGCTGGGTGTGGTGGCGGGTGCCTGTAATTTCAACTACTCAGGAGGCTGAGGCAGGAGAATCGCTTGAACCGGGGAGGCGGAGGTTGCAGTGAGCAGAGATTGCACCACAGCACTCCTGCCTGGGCGACAGAACGAGACTCCGTCTCAAAAAAAAAAAAAAAAAGAAAAAAGAAAAAAAAAAGAAGCCAACCAAAACCAAAACCAAGATGGCGACGAGAGTGACCTCTGGTTGTCCTCACTGCTACACTCCCACCAGTGCCATGACAGTTTACAGATGCCACAGCCATATGAGGAAATTACTCTATATGGTCTAAAAAGGGGAGACATGAATAAGCCACCCCTTGTTTAGCATATCATCAAGAAATAACCATAAAAGTGGGCAACCATAGCCCTTGGGGCTGCTTTGTCTATGGAGTTGCCATTCTTTTATTCCTTTACTTTCTTAATAAACTTGCTTTCACTTACTCTATGGACTCACCCTGAATTCTGTCTTGCGTGAGATCCAAGAATCCTCTCTTGGGGTCTAGATCTGGACCCCTTTCCTGTAACAAAGTCATGCCTCCCTTCTCTTCTTGGTAAAAGGAAAAATATGGTTTGTTGGGGGATCAGGAAAGCTAAATCGAGAGAAGTAGGATGAGCTGATGATGGAAGGTTTAGATGGCTAGGCCGAAGGCTGCTGAAGAATCTGACCTTCTAGAGCTTGGCATTCAGGTCATCCTCATCAGAGAAAACTGGCTAATTTGCTACTTATCCAGATGATTGGCTTAGAAACCAGACCTGTTGAACCAATATTTCTGGGGCAGTGCCCAGGAATCTGCATTTTCATCAAATCTTTCACTAGACATTAGAGAATCACTAGCTAAGCAATAGGGTGCTTTGGAAATTCATGAATTCAAAAAATTCTTCCATTTTAAAACTTTCCCCAGATGTTTTAACTGTGCTTTTTACAATCACCGTATTTTATTTTATTTATTTATTTATTTTTTTATTTTTTGAGACGGAGTCTTGCTCAGTCGCCCAGGCTGGAGTGCAGTGGCGCGATCTCGGCTCACTGCAACCTCCGCCTCCCGGGTTCACGCCATTCTCCTGCCTCAGCCTCCCGAGTAGCTAGGACTACAGATGCCCACCACAATGCCAGGATAATTTTTTTTTTTTGTATTTTTAGTAGAGACGGGGTTTCATCATGTTAGCCAGGATGGTCTCCATCTCCTGACCTCTTGATCCACCCGCCTCGGCCTCCCAAAGTGCTGGGATTACAGGAGTGAGCCACCTTGCCCGGCCTACAATCACCATATTTTAATAGTTGAGTATAATCACATTACATTTATTTGTTGTGTTTATTGACACATTCGGCTTCTTCCTGCTATCTTTTTTGAACCATGCTTTTTTTTGCATATATTTTCCTACTTTCTTGACATCCGTTGAACTGGTTAAAAAAATGTTTTTGGCCAGGCACGGTGGCTTATGCCTGTAATCCCAGGACTTTGGGAGGTTGAGGCGAGTGGATCACCTAAGGTCAGGAGTTCAAGACTGGCCTGCCCAACATGGCCAAACCCATCTCTACTAAAAATACAAAAATTAGCTGGGTGTGGTGGCATGCACCTGTAATCCCAGCTACCAGGGAGGCTGAGGCAGGAGAATCGCTTGAACCTGGGAGGAAGCTGTTGCGGTGAGCCAAGATCACACCATTGCACTCCAGCCTGGTTGACAGAGCAAGACTCCATCTCAAAAAAAAAGAAAACTTTTTTTTTAATTGTTCTTGTTTTGAATTTGCTTTTTTCCCTCCCTTAGGCTGGTTTGAATATTACAACTTGTATTCCTTCACTTTTTGGTGAAATTCAGTTTATATATATATATATATTTTATTTTACATTTTCCTAATGATATCTAAAATTATCCAGTGCCTCTGTCTTTCTTCTGAACAACAAAGGCTCTGTTGGTCAGTTAGCATGCATTCCCTCCTCCTTTCCATCTTATCTCCCCATCTTCATGATATTTCTAGCTGGAATTTTAGGTCTGTCTCTATAAAGACAAAATATAATCAATTATTTAACATTTAAATATCAGTAGTTAGCCATGTCAACATATTTTACCAATGTCTTTGTTACTGTTATTTAAAATAATTTTAAAATACTGTTCCAAAAGTCAGAAAGAGTAGTCACCTTTCTAAGTTTTTATGTGTTTGAAAACGACTTTTATCTGGCTCTCAGTTTAAACGAAATTTCCTCCCGGTGCAGTCTGACGATTATTTTCTCCATCACTTTGAGGCAATTCCTCTACTGTCTTCTGGTATCTCTTGCTGGTGAGATGCCTACTGCCTATGGCAAACAGACCTCAAGACAGCCTCCACAATCTCACCTCCTGGTGTGCAAGCTCTTATGTAATCACCTCCCTTCGAGTGTGGGTTGTACCTGTGACTTTCTGCTAACCAACAGAATACGGCAAAAGTAACGGGATGCCATTCCTGTGATCACATTGTGTCACATAACACTGACTGATTGCAGACGGGCTCTGGAGTCTCGTTCTGCTTGCTGCTTTGAAGATGCAACAACCATGAGTCCTACAGTTGCAAGGAAGTGAATTCTGCCAACCTGAGTAGGCTTGGAAGCAGCAGATCCTTTCCCAATTGATCCTCCAGATGACAACCCAGCCCAGGCTGACACCTCAATTGCTGCTAAACCATGTTCAAACTCCCAACCCACAGAAACAATGAGATAAGAAATGTGTGTTGTTTTAAGTTGCTAAGCTTCTGGTAATTTTTTACGTAACGCAGAAAACTAAGACAGTACTCTTTACTGTTACCGGTGTGTAGCTCATCTGTCATTTCTCCCTTATAACTTCTAAAGGTTGTTTCTTTTTCCTCGGTGTTCTACAATTTCACTACAAAATATCTAGGTGTGGTTTTATGTCTTTTTTGTCCTGTCCACAATTGGCGTGGACTACATGTATGAACACTCTTTTTTTCTCCTTTAATTCAAGAAAATGTGAAGCCATCACCTTCTCAAAAATGCCACTCCACCAACCTTTGTGTATATTCTCTACTTTTAGAACTGCAATTAGGTCCATCAGAGAGGGTCTCAATCTGTTCTCTATGTTTCCTGGCCTCTCTTCCATATTTTAGGTTTCTTTATCTGTCTGTGCTTCATTCTGGATCAATCAGTATATTATAGCTCTTTAATTCCATGGCTATGACAAGTCTAGTATTTATTATCACTGCTATTTAGTTTTAAATTTCAGTTAATATATTATTGTTTGAGTGGTAGTACTTATCTTTTATAATCATCCCTGTTCTGGATTCATGTATTTGTTTGTTTGTTTCATAGTGTCTTGTTCTTGCTTTGGTTTTCAAGCTCACCTTGAGAAGCATGTGTGTGTGTGCTCACCTTGAGAAGGATGTGTGTGTGTGTGTGTGTATGTGTGCTCACCTTGAGAAGGATGTGTGTGTGTTGATGTGTGTGTGGCATGTTTTCTTTTCCTTTCCCCATGTTAATACCTCTATGTGGATATCTTACAGTTGCCTCTATCCCACCAGGGTTCCCAGTTCAGAACCAGTTCTATTAGTGTGTCCTATGGGATGTCAGAGCTCCTGTTCCTAAACCAGCAAGGGCTTGCTCACCTCCAAACTGTCCGGCTGTCTCTACTTCCTCCCACGACATCAGGCAGCAGCTCTGTGCAGTTTAACGACACAGCATGAAAGCTCCATTTGAACGGGGCGGGCCACCTTAGACCCTGGTTTCACACATGTTTCAATCTTGAAGCCCAGTAGAAAGGCTTCAGTTCCCACTTACTGCTGTGTATTTGGTTCTGTTCATAACCTATGAGGTCACTAATCTTGGGTTGTTTTTCTTTTTGCATGGTTATGAATTTAAAAATTAATTTACTTTAACATGTTAATGCTACATGTTTGGAATGCAGGCAGGGGATTGGTGTGTAAAATCACAGCACTCGCTTTGTTTTAGATTCCAGGAATAACTATTGTTATATTTTCTGCTATCATACATATTTGGTTAGGATAGAATATTTCCATATCAATTACATGTGTCATTGAATCACTGTCTTAGTCCATTTGGACTGGTATGATGCAATAAACAACCAAGATTTACTTCTCATAGTTCTGAGTCTGGGTAGTCCAAGATCAAGGCATCAGCAGATTCAGTATCTGCAAAGGACCTGCTTCCTGGTTCATAGATGGCAACTTATTCTGTCCTCACATAATGAAAGGGGCAAGGCAACTCTCTTAGGTCTCTTTTACAAGGGCACCAATCCCATTCGTGAAGGCTCTGTTTTCATGACCTGATCATCTCCCAAAGGCCCCACCTCCTAATACCATCACCTTAGGCATTAGGATTTTAACATATTAATTTAGGAGAGGACACAACATTTACACTACAGCACTGACCAAATTCTCTTTTGCTTTTGTTGCTAGAGGTATTATATGAAGAACACTTGAGGATTCACCTTGTTAGGTTATAGGCACCCCTTGCCAAGTTAGTATTATCTGAGTTTATCAACTACCTTAATAGGCAGATATGACATGGAATTATACTTGGCTTTAAAAAAAATTCAGCCTCAGAGGAAATAAACTTCAAAATAGTGCATACTGGCACTGAATGTGTTTCTGAAAAAAAAGTGATAAAAGCATTTTGAGATGTGGAAGCATTGTAGGATAGTAGTAAATGCATTAGACAGAGTGAGAGACAGCTGGAAGCCTAACTCTGGGGCCAAGTTTGCCTGGATTTGAATCTCAGTTCCTTCCCTTCTTTTAAAATCTCTTGGACTCTTGTAGAACATGCATCTCAGTTTTGTCATCTATAATATGGGGAAAATAATAAAACCTCTATTACAGAGTTATTGTGAAGGTCAAGTGTGTCAATCTGTGTGACATGCTCAGATTTTTTTTTTCTGGTATGCAGTAATTGCTAAGCAAAGACCAGCCATTATTATTAGATCTGCAAAGACTACTGAATTGGCAGCTTGGAAAAAGACAATAGACATTTGATGTGTAGGAGCTGAGGTATTGATTAAAAAGAAACAGCCTCTTTTTAATGCTTAATTTTGTATCAACTTGACTGGGCCATGTGGTGCCCAGATATCTGGTCAAACATTTTTCTGGGTGTGTTTGTAAGGATGCTTTTGAGATTAACATTTGAATTGGTGGCTTGAGTGAAGTGGATTGCTCTCCCTTATCTGGGTGGGCCTCATCCAGTCAACTGAAGATTTACATAGAACAAAAAGGCTGTGAGAGGAAACTCCTCCTCCTGCCTTACCACCTTGATCTGGATCATCAGTCTTTTCCTGCCTTTAAACTCAAACTGAAACATTGGCTTTTCTGGGCTGATGGAATGTGTGCCATCAGTACTCCTGGTTCTCAGGCCTGCAGAGTCCAACTGGAACTATATTATCAGCTCTCCTATGTCCCCAGGTTGCCAACTGCAGACCTTGGGACTTGCCAGTCCCCATAATCACATGAGCCAATTACTTATATTACTCTCTCTCTTTCTCTTGTCTCCGTCCTCTCTCTCTGTCTAAACATATCTCCATAGAAATATACATCCTATTGGTTCTGCTTCTCTGGAGAACCTGACTGCTGCACTCTTTCTCTTTGAGCTGGGCTTTGTGTGTATGCAAGTCAGTTGCAAGACTATGACCTGCATTATTTTCTGCCTTGGCTTTTACACACACTAATGTTAAAAGATATGAATGTCAATATCTGTAGGCCGGATGAAATCCTCCTACAGGTGTGGACTTCAACACAATTATGAAGGGTTCATTTTGCTTGTAGTATATTCTCTAATGTCATCCTAATTTCAGAATTGAAGAATGAGGCAGTGCCGGACTGAGTCCTTGGGAAGCCTGTTGGTTCTCATGCTAGACCTACTCATCTCAGTTTCTGGACCCAACGGGTCTTGACCTTTCATCCTGCCATATATTTGTAAAACCCTAAAAGTAAATCTTGGCTTTGAGGACATTAAGACATAAAGCACGAAGACTGCTCAGGGACGGCCTCTGCTGCCAAGGGAATGGGATTCTGCCTTTGCGCCTTCCCGGGCCTGGGTGCCGAGTCTTTAGGAAAATGTTGGAGTCAACAAATCCTTCTACAGTAACTATTCAGTTTTACAACATTTGTTCTTTCCAAAATACACTTCTGTTTCTTACTGACTATTTCATTTTTGTTTTACTTTACATCAGCGGTTCTTAACCTTTTTGGAGTTGTCTCCAAATATGATGAAAACTATAACCCTAGAACAATGTGTATTCACACATAAACACGCAAACACACCCGGGGAGTTCACCCTAAAATTTGATGTGGACCAGCCTTAAGGATCCCCACACTCGATGGTTGTTAAAACACTCCTGACTTGGCAAACTCTCTTTCATTTTGCGTTTCCAAGGAAGCTGAAACTGTTTTCCTGCCATATACTTCCCTGTCCCAATGGACTATAAATGAGATCCTGAGGTGTCTGTTTCAATCTGTGGAAAGTGTTTTCATTGCCAACTAAATACCAACCGAAGAAAGCCAGAAGTACATTTTAGGAAACCAAAACGCATTTGTCATCTC
Source organism: Homo sapiens (assembly GCF_000001405.40). NCBI lineage: Eukaryota > Metazoa > Chordata > Mammalia > Primates > Hominidae > Homo > Homo sapiens. Next base: position 29,269,597 of record NC_000010.11, on the reverse strand, counting down.
ATTTCCCAAGGAACTACTTCACCAACTGGACGATAAATGTGCTGAATTTAACACGTGTTCACATGGATGCTATCATTTTAAAGAGAAACTCGGGCCCCCTCCAAATCCTATTACATCCCCATCAAAAACACATGAAAGGCTTAGTTCTGTGTCATTTCTTTACTTTCCTTCAGATGGCATGATTTGTTTTGTTAATATTTGATGTTCTCATATCAATATTTTCTTTGAAATGGGTAGACTTTGACATATTTCCAGGAATATTGTTTTGCTAGAAGCATAAAGCCATTTCATCTGAGATATATATTTTTTCTGAATGTTTTACAGTAGTAAAACATTTCTGGAGGAACTTACTGTTTGAAAATACAATTTGAGCAAGGTATTGATGGATGTGCATTGTTAGTTTAATTTCCATTGCTCTTTTATGAAGCCTAGAGAGGAGGCCTAGAAAACCAATTGCCATATTTGTGGAATAAAAAGGGTGGTGGTATTGCAGTCACCCTCCTGGGCCAGGTGTCCCTAAGTCTGGAGATAAATAATCATGTCATATAAGAATCTCAAAGGCAATGTCTTTATCTGGACGATGTAGACCAGGGAGAATTACCTAGCACACAGCTTTCTGGGTGTCTCACCATCCACCTCTTCCTCTAGTGGTATTCTTGTTCCAGCCCACCCACCTGGAGGTATCCAGTATCTTAATTAATTTCCTTGTGGCCCCAGGCTGCCTTTGCTACAGCACCTATCCTGCCATGAGCCCTAGCAAAGCCATGTTTTTTGAAATTTTGCCTTTGCCTCAAATGTATTATTTATGTTTATTTTATTTTATTTTTTTGAGACAGAGTGTCGCTCTGTCGCCAAGGCTGGAGTGCAGCGGCACCATCTCGGCTCACTGCAACCTTCGCCTCCTGGGTTCAAGGGATTCTCCTGCCTCAGCCTCTTGAGTAGCTGGGATTACAGGCACGCGCCACCACGCCTGGCTAATTTTTGTATTTTTTAGTAGAGACGGGGTTTCGCCATGTTGGTCAGGCTGGTCTTGAACTCCTGACCTCGTGATTTGCCTGCCTCAGCCTCCCAAAGTGCTGGGATTACAGGCGTGAGCCATCGCGCCCGGCCAACAGTATTATTTTTTGACAGCCCTCTGTCCTTTCCTCTAAGGCCTGTTCTCTGTTATTCATGTTCAAGTTTAATAATGGTTCACCAAGCCAGACACAGTGGCTCATTTCTGTAATCCCAACACTTTGGGAGGCCAAGATGGGAGGATCTCTTGGGCTCAAGAATTTGAGACCAGCCTGGGCAACATACCAAGACTCTGTCTCCACAAAAAATAAATAATTAGCCTGGAATGGTGGCTTACGCCTGAAGTCCCAGCTACTCAGGAGGCTGAGTCAGGAGGATTGCTTGAGCCCAGGAGTTCGAGGTGGCAGCGAGTCATGCTTGTGCCACTGTACTCCAGCCTGGGCGACAGAGAGAGATCCCGTCTCTAGAAAAAATAAATGGTTCACTGGATTCGGTCCCTGTCAACTAAACCCTCTGTATTTAAAAATGAGTCTTCTGTGATTTAATCTTATAGGGAAGACTAGTGTTTTAAGTTACGGGTCCCATGCTGGAGCAGTGTGGAAGAGATTTTTATTACAAAATATCTTAAATTGTTTCACAAATAGAAAGGAAAGAATGCTACTGGTAGGGCTATTGGTGACATGTCTTAGAGGCCCACCTTCTAGATCAAATTTTTCCTAGCTGTGATTGGAAGTCAGCCAAGCTATTCTTTTCAGCTCACCTGAAAAGCGAGACGGGCACCCACAGCACTTGGTAGCAGTGATTATAGCAGATGCAGTGAGTCCTGCATTTCAGGATGAAGGCACTATTAGGCACAGAGGACCTATTCTAGACTGATAGATGAATGGTGTCAACCCCCAATGTCACAGAGTAACATCTGCTGTTTCCACAAAAAAAAGAATTTTTATGTCTAACCAAGTCGAAGCTGACAAACATGCTAGCCAGAAATTTGTGAGGATTGCAGAGAAAGAAAGATGGCCAGCATGGAAAGTTTTCATTTCTTCCTAATACATACCGTCTCTTGATGTAACTTTTGTATCAGCTTTCTATGAAGGCTGATGTGTAAGAAAGCCCGCCAAAAAATGGCCTTTAACCTTTTTTGAGGGGGAAAAAGGGGGGCATAGCCCTGGAATCATCATATGTTATCTAATCAAAGAGACACCATTAGAAAAACTTTCTACACTTTCTGTGTAGAAAGTTTTAGAAAATTCTAGAACGTTCTATTAACATTCAAGAGATTTTTGGTAAGGCATTTTTTTAAAAGTCAGTAAAGAGACCCCCTAATCCCTGCTTCTCCTGTTTTTTAGGTGAATCTTACTGTCTTCTTTACTTTGCAAATAAATAAATAAATAAGAGTATTTTGTTTTCTGGGAACCTGTTATGAATATCATTTTATCTAATAGGAATTGAAAGCCCCTTTTGTGAGAAATCTGTGAGTTTCCTGTTTCCTCAATGTTTGTGAGGAAGGACTTTGTAGTGTTCCCAGGCAGAAAGTCAAAATTTGCATTTTGGAAATATAAACAAAACAAGTACAAAAATGAAGATGGGTCCTGGGACTAGGGAACCAATACAAGACAAACACACACACACACATAAACACACACACAAATGAGGATAAGTCAGGCTAATTCTGAGCTTGGCTGATTGCATCAATTGTTTGCGGCTGTGGAAATCGATGATTCGGGAGCCTGGGCGGCCTGCCATTTCATCAGTTAACCAGAGCGGGCTCCCTGCTGGTGGCTGCTTTCAAGAGAGCGCAGCAAGCAGCCTCATCCTCATTGCTGCTTAGGAGACACTTTGCACATGTTTTTTCAATAAAACGGCACCATGCAACTTGCTGGGTCAATAGTAGAGCAGAAAAAAACATTTCACTTGGCAAACCCAGTGGCGAAGACTCCAGATTGCCTTAGAGGCAAAGCAAAGTAAGGAGTCTCTTCTAATGAGACTACTTGTGCTCTCTAAACACTTCCCTTGTTTTCTTTAATTTGTTGAAATTTGCCCCCTTGTCCTCTAGTGTTTCTCTGTATTCTCCTATTCACAACCAGAATAGTTTTCAAATGAATATAAATTTCATGTTTATAGTGTCAGAGAGGATCCGGCATCTACCTCTGAGGTTATAACCATGCCTGTCTCAGGGTAGTAATGCTAGGAATGCTTCCTACAGCAGAGTGCGAACTATACCATTAAATTTCCTGCGATTTCAGCATCTTTTGTGTGTGTGTGTATGTGGGCGGTGCGGGGGGATGGAGTTTCGCTCTTGTTCCCAGGCTGGAGTGCAATGGCGCCATCTTGGTTCACCCCAACCTCCGCCTCCTGGGTTCAAGCAATTCTCCTGCCCCAGCCTCCTGAGTAGCTGGGATTACAGGCATGCGCCACTACACTTGGCTAATTTTCTGTATTTTTAGTAGAGACAGGGTTTCTCCATGTTGGTCAGGCTGGTCTCAAAATCCCGACCTCAGGTGATCTGCCCGCCTCAGCCTCTCAAAGTGCTAGGATTATAGGTGTGAGCCACCGCGTCCGGCCTTTTCTTTTTTTTTTCTGAGATGGAATCTTGCGCTGTCACCAAGGCTGGAGTGCAGTGGCGCGATCTCAGCTCATTGCAACCTCCACCTCCCGGGTTCAAGCAATTATCTACTTGAGCCTCACGAGTAGCTGGGATTACAGGCATGCGCCACCATGCCTGGCTAATTTTTGTATTTTTAGTAGAGACGGGGTTTCACCATATTGGCCAGGCTGATTTTGAACTCCTGAGCTCGTGATCCACCTGCCTCGGCCTCCCGAAGTCCTGGGATTACAGGGGTGAGCCACCGTGCCCGGCTGAGATTTCAGCATTTTATATAATTCTAGCAGCTTCCTTTCTCTCTGAGGCCATGCAAAACGATCAAGATGACTCCTACCCTACAGTTAGCTTACTTTGCCTACTGTACAGCCCTGGGTGTCCCAGAATTACTTGGTGCAAATTTTCTTTGTCTTTATCTGTGTTGTTATAGATATGGACATACACACATTAAACCTTTTACGTTTCCATGCATATATTTTAATGTAAAATGTATGTGTGTATGAATTTAATTCTTCACACTCTCAGGCAAGCTGTGTAAATATGTTGACCAGTTGTTATGACGGTGCTCATGTTTACACACAAATGCACATTCAGAATAGTCTGCGATTGTACAGCTCTGCACTTCACTTACAAGAGCTGGCCTGGGAAAGCCCTGCAAACTTTCAGAGCACTCTGTTTTTCATAGCTGCTGAAAGGAACAGCCTAAGGAAGAGGGTAATGTGACAGGAACAAAATGTGCAGGTACAGGTGTAGGAAAAAGGTGGCTTTTAAAAATATGAGTTAATAATAGGCTTGTTTAAAATGTTAAGTTCAGGGGTACATGTGCAGGTTTGTTACCTAGGTAAACTTGTGTCACGGGGGTTTGTTGTACAGATATTTCGTCACCCAGTTATTAAGCCTAGTACCTATTAGTTATTTTTCCTGATCCTCTCCCTCCTTCCACCCTCCACCTTCCAATAGGCCCCAGTGTGTGTTGTTCCCCTCTACAGGTCCATGTGTTCTCATCATTTAGCTCTCACTTATAAGTGAGAACATGTGGTATTTGGTTTTCCGTTCCTGCGTTAGTTTGCTAAGGATGATGGCCTCCAGCTCCATCCATGTTCCTGCAAAGGACATGATCTCATGTTTTTTGTTCGTTTGTTTTTGAGACAGGGTCTCACTCTGTTGCCCAGGCTGGAGTGCAGTGGCACAATCTTGGCTCACTGCAACCTCTGCCTCCTGGGTTCAAGTGATTCTCCTGCCTCAGCCTCCTGAGTAGCTGGGATTACAGGCGCCTGCCACCATGATTGGCTAATTTTTGTTTTTTTGTTTTTGTTTTTTTGTTTTATTTTTTGAGACAGAGCCTCCCACTGTCACCCAGGCTGGAGTGCTGTGGCGCGATCTTGGCTCACTGCAACCTCTGCCTCCCAGGTTCAAGTGATTCTCCTGCCTCAGCCACGCTAGTAGCTGGGATTACAGGTGCCCGCCACCATGCCTGGCTAATTTTTGTATTTTTAGTAGAGACGGGGTTTCACCACGTTGGCCAGGCTTGTCTCAAACTCCTGACCTCAGGTGATCTACCCACCTTGGCCTCCCAAAGTGCTGAGATTACAGGCGTCAGCCACCATATCTGGCCCAATCTTGTTATTTTTTATGGCTGCATAGTATTCCATGGTGTATATGTAACATATTTTCTTTATCCAGTCTATCATCTATGGACATTTAGGTTGATTCCATTTCTTTGCTATTGTGAATAGTGCTGCCATTAACATATGCATGCATGTGTCTTTATGATGGAATGATTTACATTCCTTTGGGTATATACCTAATAAAGGGATTGCTGGGTTGGCAGTTCTGTCTTTAGGTCTTTGAGGATTCACCACACTGTCTTCTACAATGGTTGAACTAATTTACACTCCCACCAACAGTGTATAAACATATAACACATATTTTTTAAAAATAGGCAAGAGGAGATGAAAACCAGGTTTAGTATTTCTTGGTGTCATTTCCCACTTCCTCCATTTATGTTGCTTAATTCAACGTTGGCATGAGAAATGAACCAGAATTGTTAACCTTGCACCCCCATGAGCAGTCTGCTCGGTTGCTCTATACCTTGGCATCTTCCTCCTTGAGAAGGGCCTGTGTCCACAGACAGCTGTGACATGGCAACTGGGCACATTGGTCTGTCGGCCTCTTGAGGGCAAGAGTCATGCCTTGTTCATCTTTCTGCCCCGGCATACAGCATAACGCCCTCAATAGTAGCTGCTTATTAGATGGCCGCTGGAGGAAAAGTCTGTACCTCTACTCCATGACGAGGCCCCCACCCTTCTCAAGTCTGTTTTCAGGGTGCAGCTCATGGGAACTCTTCCCTGAGGATAGCACGGTGCAGAGAGAAGACCAGGAACTGTAGGCGGAAGTCGCTGTTCACATGAGAGCACCTTGGACAAGTGTCACATGGGCAGACAGCTGGGCCATGGGTTGGGAACAGAGGTGGAGCACAGGAGTGTGGGGAATTTTCACCAGGTTTGCCTGCATGAGATGGGAAGCCATGGAGTTTTCACAAGGCTGTAGGTCTGTGGCCAGCATTTGAGAGAGTGGAAGAAGGAAACAAACAAATAACTCCTTCCCTCCTTCCTTCCTTCCCTCTCTCCCTCCTTCCTTCCTTCCCTTCCTTCCCTTCCCTTCCTTTTCCTTCCCTTCCTTTCCCTTTCCTTCCTTCCTTCTTCCCTCCCTCCCTCCCTCCCCTTCTCTCTTTCTCTGTGAGATGGGAAGCCATAGGCTTTTCATAAGGCTGTATGTAATCTGTGGCCAGCATTTGAGAGAGTGGAAGAAGAAACAAACAGCTTTCTTTCTTTCTTTCTTTCTTTCTTTCTTTCTTTCTTTCTTTCTTTCTTTCTTTCTTTCTTTTCTTTTCTTTCCTTCCTTCCTCCCTCCCTTCCCTTTCCTTCCTTCCTTCCTTCTTTCTTTTCTTTTCTTTTTCTCTTTCTCTCTTTCCCTCTTTCTCTCTTTCTTTCTTTCCTTTTCTCTCTCTCTCTCTCTTCCTCCTTCTCCTCTGGGCAATCAGTTGCTACCAGTTTCAAGTCTCTGTCCCTTTTCAACCTTAGATGGCTGCTGCAGTGGAGTTGGCTGCTGCTGAAGCTGAGAGGCCCTGGGATGGCCAAGTGTTTGGCTGACTTTCAGTGACTTGGGGCCATTTTTATGAAACCCTTGAGAGAGCTCCTTACCAACACCTGGCAGAATTCCAGATGCCACTCATCCCCTCTCCCCAGCATCCCTGTATTGCTCCTCTTCTTTCCACCTTGATTGTTTCCTTCATTTTTGAAATATTTCTTTATTTTCTTCTGCTCCAAGGTGCAAGATTTCCAAAATGGCACCATGGCAACGGTGGAAACTCTTACTGCCTGTAACCACAGAGTTGGAAGGAGGAGAAGGGTCAGGTGTGTAGGGAGTGTTTTTAAAAGTAATATTGATGGCAAGAGTGGGGTTTTCATGAGGCGGCCCCCCTTGACAATTAGTACTTGAGTGATAACTGGGAAATGTCGAGTGCAGGGAGTCTGGGGTGAAAAGGCAGATGGAGAAAGGTCAGTAAGAGGCAAAGGATGGGCTTGAGCAGCTGGTGTTCCCAGCAATGTCTGAACTTGCTCTCTAGAAGAAGAAAAACCAATACTGTCCTCTAGGTCTTAGACCTCTGTCAGTGAGGGAAATGAGATTTCTCTCCACTGGCACATTCAAAAGAGCTACCTTCAAAGGAGCAATGGTAGAAATAGGGTCAAGGGGGCAGAATGTGTTTTGACTTTCCATGGTCCTACTCCAATTCCATTAAAATTGCCTTTGCCCTTCAGGAACTGACCTGGTCTGGACTTCACACTTGGGACCAACCCAATGTCTTAGAACCTGAAATCCATCTAGAGCCTCCACAGGGCAACTTCACTATCACATTCTGCCATTTTAGCTAAATTTCAGATATACCAGGTATATTTTCTGCTGCAAATACTACCCTGGGAAGGAATTCTTAAAAAGCAAAAATAAATAAACAGGCTGGGCATGGTGGCTCACACCTATAATCCCAGCACTTTGGGAGGCAGAGGTGGGAGGACCGATTGAGCTCAGGAGTCCGAGACCAGCCTGGGCAACACAGTGAGACCTCATCAAATTAGCTGGGTGTGATGGCATGTGCGTGTAGTCTCAGCTACTCAGGAGGCTGAAGTGGAAGGATTGTTTGAACCCAGGAAGCTGAGGCTTGCAGTGAGCTATGATTATGCCGCTGCACTCCAGCCTGGGTGACGGGGTAAGACCCTGTCTCAAAAACAACAACAATAACATCTGTTCATGATAGCTTGTTGTCACTTTGTCAAGCAGAGAATAGATTATGAGAGGACATAGATCATGAGGTATAGAGAGAGGAGGGTGGTGACACAGAAAGGCTGAGATTCTGGTGGCCCCTCAGTGGGGAGTCAGTAGCAGCCGGGGATCAGCTGGCAGATCCCTGGGAGGGCCAGGGCTGAGTGGACAATGGGGAAAGCCATGGACTGTGGCCGTCCCTGCAGAAGCATGGCCCTGAGGAATCAGCCTGCCTGCTCCAAACTGGCGCACGCTCACTTCCACACCCGCGAAGACCACACATGTCAGGAAGGGGCCTCAGGTAGTAAAGTCTGCATACCCTTTCTGGATACAATGGTGAAAAGCGGCATCGGAGAAAAGAAAATTTCCTTTCATGAGTTGTCTTTTAAGTTTTTCCTAATTAAAAAAGTCATAGATGTTGAATGCAAAAATCAGTGGAAAATATGAAAAAGGATATATGTATATGTTCAAAGCTAAAAGCAAAAAGAAAGAAAAACACTAGCAACAATGTAGTATATTTCACATTTTAATTCATTTAATGCAATTTTCACTTACATTTTATATATACATATTTTTAGAGACAGGGTCTTGCTCTGTCACTCAAGCTGGAGTACAGTGGTGTGATTATAGCTGACTGCAGCCTCGAACTCCTGGGCTCAAGTGATCCTCTTGCCTCAGCCTCCTGAGTAACTAGGATTACAGGTGTGCACCACCATGCCCAGATAATTTTTAAATTTTTTGTAGAGACATGGTCTCACTATGTTGCCCAGGCTGGTCTCGAACTCCTGGCTTCAGCCTCTCAAAGTGTTATTGTAAGCATAAGCCTCCACACCCAGCCTCATTAAAAAAAATTAAGGCCAGGACTGGTGGCTCACAACTGTAATCCCAGCACTTTGGGAGGCCCAGGTGGGCAGATCATGAGGTCAGGAGTTCGAGACCAGCCTGGCCAACATGGTGAAACCCAATCCCTACTAAAAATACAAAAATTAGCTGGGCGTGGTGGCACACGCCTGTAATCCCAGCTACTCGGGAGGCTGAGACAGGAGAATTGCTTGAACTGAGGAGGCGGAGGTTGCAGTGAGCTGAGATCACACCACTGCACTCCAGCCTGGGTAACAGAGAGAGACTCTGTTTCAAAAAAATAAAAAAAAATAAAAGCACCGCTGGTATGTGTCAGGCTTTGTATTAGGCACTGGGAATGCAATGAGAAGCAAGATTAAGGTGGTCTCAGTCTTCAGTAACAGAAATAATTATGTACTGTTTATTCTATCTTGTAGGTTCTTTTTTCACTTAATTATATGGTGACAATTTTCTTATACCAATAAATATTCCTCTACAACATTATTTTTAATGGGTACATATGACTTCATTTTATAGATTTACCATTATTCATTTAACCAATCTCTTATTGTTAGACACCTAGGTTTTTGAATTCCTCCCTTTTTATTTTGACAATATACTGTTAAAATGAACATTCTTGAATGTATATTTTGTTTCTATTATTTTTTGTTACTTTAATACCAGACTTATTTTAAAAGCTTTTTAGATATTTAGTGAAAGATTATTCATCCAGAATGTTCAGGCATGGCTGTTCATGAGCTAACGATATTGCTAGAATGTAAGCATCTTATTCCAAATAGTATGCTTATTAAAAAAATAAAAATGTGCCTCTGCCAAATGTCTTCTAAATGCATACTCTTTCCCCATTTTTATGTATTAAGGGATTTAACATATATTGTATATTTATGTTATGTTTTCTAACAGTTGTGAACTTCTCAATCAGTTAAAAATGCTATTTGCTACCAAGTAGTAGAGAGCTAGGTTTATGTTATCTTAAACAAATATGGGTTCATTTTTTTTTATACAACAAGAAAACTGAGGACTGAAGAAGGTTCTCAGTGTTGGGGCTAAAGTCTCTATGATATTCTTGACTTTGCCTCACAGTCACAAAATGGCTGCCCCTGCTCCAGGCTTTACCTCCTCAGTCACGTTGGGAAGAAACAAAGAAGTGCCCCCAGAGACAAAAGCAAAGACTGTCCCAGAAGCTATAACAAACTTCTTTTTACAACTCTTTGTACAGATTCACATCACATGGTCAACCACGGCTACAGGTGTGGAAAGTAAGTATTGAGATTTTTATAGCTTTTATGATCAGAATGAACTAGGAGGAAGAGGTTCACACATGGTGGTTGGGACAGCCAGCCAGCGGTAGCTGCCATGCCCAACCACAACATATGATGGCCACAGGACTATTCCAGTGCTCCAGTTACCAGGAAAATGGCTTTGATGTCACTGAATTGTCCTTTCAATCTGGACTTTTGGGTCATTCATACCAGCACCATGAGCTTTATATTAGAGAAGGGTGATCATTCAAAAATTATCTTAGAAAAGAATACAGTAGGACAAATACAGTAGAATAACTACAAAACCTTGAACACATTTTATATTCTCACCCACAGGGTATGAGAGGGTTTGCCTTTCTACATTGCCCAATCTGGGCATTAGCATTATTTTAAATGCTTGTCAATTTGATAAGAACCAAATAACAACTCATGGCTTTTGTTATTAAGAGATGAGGTGTCAGTCTGTTGTCCAGGCTGTTGTGCAGTGGCATAATCATGGCTCACTGCAGCCTTGACCTCCCAGACTCAAGCGATCCTCCCATCTCAGCCTCTTGAGAAGCTGGGACTATAGGCGCATGCCATCATGCCTGGCTAATTTTTTTATTTTTATTTTGTAGGGACAGAGTCTGGCTTTGTCACCCAGGCTGGTCCTGAACCCCTGGGTTCAAGCGATCCTCTGGCTCCACTTCCTAAAGTGTTGGGATTACAGGTGTGAGCCACCATGCCTGGCATAACAGATGGCTTTAATTTTCCCTTCTTTGATTATTAGTGAGGTTTTTCGTGGTTTTATCTTCTGTGTGTATGCCTTCTCTTATGAACTGCATGTTCACCTCCTTTACACATTGTTCTCTCTCTCTCTCTCTCTCCTCTCTCTCTGTGTGTGTGTGTGTGTGTGTGTGTGTGTGTGTGTGTGTGTGTGATGTAGAGAAGGTTTGTTTTGCATCCCCCACTGGTCGTTTTTTTCTAGTATGGTTTCTACCTCTTGTGTCGTGCTTAGAAAACCTTCTCTTCTCGTAAAACAGCTATACAAACAACTAAATTTTCTCCTTTGATGATTTTATTTTAAATCCTTATTTTTTTTTTTTAGTCCATCTGGAATTTCTTTTGGTGTAAACCATGAGGTAAAGCTCTAACTTCGTGTTTTCTAGGGTCAACCTGTTATCCTGGCACAACTTAGTAATCATCTATTCCCCTCTAAATGACCTTGCTACCTTTATCATACGATACTGAATTTGGGGGGATCTGGTCTCAACATTCTACTCTGGTCCATTGACTTCTTTGTCCATTCTGGGGCTACTGGCATATTCGTTTAATTACTGCAGCTTTGTAATAGCACCTGGCACTGCAAGTCTACTGCTAGTCTTCTTGTTTGTCTTCTAAAATACTTTATTGGATTTTCTCATGTGTTTAGAGCTCCTCATTATTCAAGGTGTTAGTATGAATTATGGTCGGTTTAGTAAAGTCAACCCTGAGCAGCCTGGGAAAACTGTCTGCTCTCTTGGCCTTGGGTGCCATAGATTAAGGAACCATTCCTGGATTCTTGTCTACCGAGTATTTTTACAAAGTTGACACTTGGGGTGAAATTGCTGGACTGTTCCCAGAAAAGATTGACCTCGAACTCATGAAAGCATCTGGGAAAAGTTGACAAGGAGTTCCAGTCATCAACACATCCTGAGTTTTCTCCAGAAGGGGATTAGTTCATTCATTCATTTTTCTCCTGAAAACACTAAGATCCTGGCTTCACCATCTCACAGAGACATGGCCAGGATGACACAGACACTGGACACACATTGATGTCACTAGATCCTTTTTTCCTCTGGCTTCTTTCACATTAAAGAGTCTCTATTTTTAGTACAGGACGAAGGGTATTTATAGCTGTAGTTTTCCAAAGATCAGACACTGTGCCAGGTATGTGGTTAAGACAAGGGGCACCCCGCCTGATAAAGTGCCATGCATTCCCGGGAGCCAGGGTGATTTTTCCTCTAATGACACTTTCCTGGTGGCTTCCCTGCTCCATTCCATCATTTTGATCCATGTGCCAAATTCCTGGGCTTGACACATGTAAAGAGATAATTCACATGATCCCCAGCTTGTTTTTGACTCTGTTTCTTAAAAAAATGCAGTAAAACTTTATAGTATGACCAGCATGACTCAATGTTGTTTCTGGATTTCAAAATATTGAGGTTAGATGTGCTAATGGTTTGCTCCGGAGCTACTTTTACAAGGCAAAGCCAGGGCCCCTCTTGCCAGCACATCCGAGCAAGAAACAGCAATGTGTTCTCAGCGCTAACCTTTCCCCCCAGAGCACGCCATGTCTTCAGCTCCAGAACCCGGAGAGTGCAGCTGTGGAGTAGGAGTCAGCCCTCGTGTATCACCTCCCACTCCAGATCGTAAATAAAAATAAAACGTGATTCCAAGTAATCTTGTGCTATTTCTGCAATCCAGTTGGGAGCAATGGAGAATGCATCTTTTTTTTTTTTTTCTTTTTCTAAAAGCATCTCACTGGAGCAGAATTCTCCAGAAATATTTAAATATCTGTCTTATTCTCTTTGCACATTAGCTATCTGATTCAATCTCCCCCTTTCTCTTTTATTATCTCCTTTACCCTAATGGCAGGCAAGGTCAAAGAGAATGAACTTAGTTGCTAGAAAATAATCTCCTTGTTTTGACAAGAAAAGTCTTGGTTTCTCTGAGAGTTTTATTTTCTACAAATGCCATAGCATTTATCTCACAGAAAGGAACTGTTACAGATCCCCAGAGTTCACCTTATCTCCTAAATAAAACCCTTTATTTATGAAGCGAGCCTTGTGGTATGTCTGGACTCTGCTGTTAAATTTTTCTTCCTTTTAATGTAAAGAGAGAGGACTTTGTTTCCTACCTTAGGGGGATTTACTCAACTTGCTCAATAGCTGGCTTTAGGCAGGACAGCTCACATGGGCACTAATGAAAGTTACATTTCTGAAAACCTCTGCAAAAATAAAAACAAAACAAAAACAAACAAAACACTTGTCCACTTGAGCGTTTCTCAATGCCTTTTCCTTTGAACACTTTTATTTAAATTCCCCTTGCATTCAAACTTCTTTGGAGTTCAGGTGTGGGAAGGCGGAAGACTGGGTAAGGGTGGTGGTCATGGAATCATATTGTTTAAATTAAAACCTTCTGGTGCTGAAGTGGCATGTCTGTCCCCCTGCGAGTCACTTGCACATCTCAGTAAGCAGCTTTGGCTGTCTTAATATTTTGCCTAACATCTTCCGTCAATGTTCCTGTTTCTAGACAAGCTTCTGTGTGTTTCAATTACATGAATTACTGGGATTTGCTTGGAAACAAACTTTTCATGACATTTAGTAAAGCTGAGTAGGTGGGACTGTGGGCGAAACCCTCTTGAAGTTTGCGGTCCTTCCGTAGGACACACGGTTCATAAATTGGAAATTAGATTGGCTCGTGGAGAAGGTGGGGTAACAAAAAGAAGGAGTTGAGCTACAGGCACCCCTGAAATCTTTCCTTTAATTGGAAATGGAAACATGCCATGAGTCACACAAGACCCTCCTAGTCTGATTCAGAAAATTTACAAGATCCCAGCTAACTTCGAGTAGTGGGTCCTGACCCCCAAATCAGGGCAATTGAGCACATTAAACAAAGCTCACCATCTCAACCCCTCACAACCCCTACTGTCCAGGCTCTCTCCCTCTCTCCCTACATCTCCCCAACAGAGAGGACTGGCAAAGGAAATAAGGTCTTCCAGATGCCAAAATGTGACATTACATCCATTAAAGTCAGTGTCTGAGGAAGGAAATGAGTGTCTTTGACAGGGTGGCTAATGGAATTTGTATTAAATGGGGTGTCACAGAATGAGACTTCCCCAAGTGACATGAAGTGGGCATCCAATCTCTATGGCCTCCAAATTTTCACCTATAAAATGCAATACATTTTGCCTCTCTGCAACTTACAGATACTTGTGAACAAATTAAGAAGCTTCTCTTTAAAAACTAGAGCTGGGTCTTACTCTGACATGATTTTAATATTGGTATATCTCTTTAGAAGGGAAGAAAATATTTATCCAAATTCCTCGTCTGGGGTGCATTGGATTTCAATTTTTTATCCACTGATTTTTTCTTTGATATATAAACTTTTCCCAGATAAAACAATATTACTTTTGCTTATCATACCAGATGTCCCAGTGTTGGGTTCAGAAATTAGGGTTAATATATAAAGGATGTACATCCTTCTCTGAATATATGAGTGTGTGTGTGCATACACGCTATTTAAATCACAGATGGTTCCAGCTGGCATCCAGAAACAGAATCACACTGCTGATGTAATGATAAATGAAAACTAATTTGCAGACCCAGAGTACAATTCAGCCACAGTGAATGCCTTTTTGTAAAATTTTGAGGTGAGTTCTCCCTATGTTGCCCAGGCTGGTCTCAAACTCCGGGGCTCAAACAATCCTCCCGCCTCAGCCTCCCAGTGTGCTGTGATTACCGGTATGAGCCATCATGCCCAGCCCCAGTGAATGCCTTTAACAAAGGACGCCAACTGCTTCTGGTTGTTTTAATTACGCCGACCTTTTAGATGGCCTGGGAGTGCTGTTACTATTCAGGTGGCAAAGAACCCATTGTCTGCGATCTCGCCCAGTTGATCTGAGCTTGAGTCAGGCATGAGCTTTCAGTCTGTGAAAAAGAGCTGAGAAATGGCAGGCTCTGGGGCTGGTGGCCTTTTGGGCCAGGCTGGAGAGAACGTCACCCCCACCCCTCGTCCTGCCTCTGTGGTCTGCTCCCTGGGGGCCCTGATGCTATCAGCATTCTTGTCAGAGTCTGTCTGGGTGACGGATGATTAATGAGCTGTAACTACAACTATCTTTGACAAAAACCAGCAGTGCAAGGGTTGGGGAAGTTGGGGGTGGGGAGCATGCAGGGAGCTTATCTATCCTCTGGTCCCCATAAAAATGTCTGGGGAAGTTCCCTTCCGTGCAGCCAATCTAACTGTGTGGATCAGAGCTTTTCTGGGACAGAGCATATTTACTGCAGGCCAAGTTTTGCAGAAATTTTTAAGGAAAGAAGGGGATTTAAGGTCTTCCTCTTCTCCCTCTTCTTCTCTCTTATTCCTTCTGTTTTTCTATGAAAAAGAACTGAGGAATGGCAGGCTCTTGAGCTGCCTCCTCCTCCTCCCCATCCTCCTCCTCCTCTTCCTCCTCCTCCTGTTCTCCTCCTCCTGTTTTCCTTCTCCTGTTCTCCTCCTCCTCTTCTCCCTCTCCTCCTCTTCCTCCTCCTCCTGTTCTCTTTCTCCTCCTTCTTCTTTTCCTTCTATTCTTCCTCCTCCTTCTCCCCCTTCTCCCCTTCTTCCTCCTTCTCCTCCTCCTTCTCCCTTTCTTTCTCCTTATATTCTCCTTTTTCTTCTTTTTGTTCAAGGTTTCCAAAGCAGAATCAGCTTTGGTAACTCTGAGCTGGTGTGCTGTGACTTATAGGAGAACATACACGTCTCACTCCAAAGGGGTGTCAGAAGCTGTGGAAGTGGATGAATGGGAAGTTTGCTTTGAAGAAGCTAATTGTCAAGATTCATTTGCTATTCAGGTTCTCCTCTTGCTGGCCTGGGCAGTGTATAATTTGTCCCAGTAAGGAGCTGTTCACTTTTTAATCAGATTGAAGCATGCTTCATTGCTATAGGTGTCCTGCTGAAATCCAACCCGGTTATATTTCACTGCCAATGTGGGCAATTACACGAGCCATTTAATATATACTTTTGTCCATGAAACCACTTGCTGTAGAAACTCCCGCATTAGAAACAGCTTGTAAATAATCTGCTGCCTGAGCATTTCACCTGCTGTAATTTCTCCTAAAACCACAGCATATCTACTTAGTGACAAGTCCAAGTCATCTGCTGCACAGCTTAGGTCATCCAAGGGTTGACAGCAGAGATGTCTATTTCAAATGACAACTCCAGCTGACTTCAGCCCAAATTCCATCCCTTTTCCCTATTGCTGAAAATGGTCTGCTCTCTTTGCAACGTATGCAAGCTATTTTTCCCCCTTTTCTCTTTGAGCAGCCATAAAACGTTACAGGCTGTGCTGTGATCATTCTCTTTATCCCATAAGGAGAGAGGAGAGGGCGAGCCTGTGGGATGAATGCACATGGACTTCTCTTGGCACAGACATGATCTGGAGCAAGGCGTTGGCATGCTCCAGACCTGGGGCGAACGTGACGCTCCCCTGGGTGTCTCGCTGCGAACAGAATTGAGCCAGAAGACGTTGACTCGAACATTCCTGTGACCTTCGGCTGCACGGAGGAGTCATCTGCTTCTTCTGCAGCAGACGGGGCTGATGATCCCCCAAGGAGATGTCAGATTCACTCTCAGGATGGAAAAACCAAAGCAACACTTGAGCTCATCTCTGCTGTCTTTTAATCATCTGCCAGATCAATAAACTGCTCCCTGGGACTGGATTCTTCAAGACAGCGTCTGGTATGGATTCTCTGCGTGGTATAAAGTCCATTGGCTGGAATAGGCTCAGGCTTGCAGCACGCTTTCCAGCCCAGCCAGCCAAGGCACTGAGCTGAGCTTTCAATTTGCCCCTGCCCTGGACGTGGGGACTCTGGGTCAAAGCCCCTAAGGGCAGTGCCCCAAGTGTACCCACACAGGATGAATGAAGCTTCTTAGATGCTCCTGCCAAAGGTAGTAAGGATGGATAGAGGTACTGAGGTGGCTTCCCAGACAGAGGACTTGCCTCAGGGACTGTAAGGATCAAGTCAGGCTTAGCTACCGTCTTGCAACTGTGACAACACCTGATACTCACACTTGAGTTTCCCTATTCCCAACACATAC
This sequence comes from Homo sapiens, assembly GCF_000001405.40. NCBI lineage: Eukaryota > Metazoa > Chordata > Mammalia > Primates > Hominidae > Homo > Homo sapiens. The sequence goes on along the minus strand of NC_000010.11, from coordinate 29,252,725 downwards.
CCAGGATATTCTGGAATTCAACTGATCTCTCAGGCTGAATGCCTTTATTAGTGTTACTATTATTTTGAGAGAGAGAGAGAGAGAGTCTTTCTCTGTTGCCCAGGCTGAAATGCAGTGGTGTGATCGTATCTCATTGTAACTTTGACTTCCTGGGCTCAAGCAATCCTCCTGCCTCAGCCTCCCCAACAGCTGGGATTACAGGCACACATCACCACAACTAGCTAATTGTCTTACTCTTTGTAAAGATGGGGTCTTGCCATATTGCCCAAGCTGGTCTCAAACTTCTGGCCTCCAGTGATCCTCCCACCTTGGCCTCCCAAAATGTTGGGATTACAAGCATGAGCCACCATATCCAACCTGAATGTTCTAATCCACAACTTGGGGTTGTTAATACCTGTCTTCTAGAATGGTTGGTGAATCAAGTGAGATCACGGCAGTGCATCACATTGTTTATGATGTGATAGGTGTCACAGCACATGGAAACATCTAAGCTCCATAAACCTTTAAAAAACCACTTGCAAGGTTGATGCCCTGCCAAGTTGTCAGGAGGGGAAACTTATTTTGTCTGCTTGCCTTAGAACATCCTTCCTCCAATTTCTGAACACCTAGGGTCTTTAATTCGACCTGACCACACTGCTGGAATTCCATTTTCTTAATCAGTGACTTGGTTAATTCTCAATTCTTTATACTGATGGAAGCTAGGATGGTCCTTTAGAGGCTCTAGATACTGCAAGTGTTATGGTGCTCCTAGAAATTCAAGATAAAAATATACAATAAATACAATAAAGAGCAATCAAGCTCTTATTTTCTTTAGATAATGACTTCAGTAGTGTGTTTGTAATTTTTCACATCCATTCTTTTCCAAACTGTTTTGGGGATCCCACTTTGTCGACACCTGAAGGATGTGCTCAGTCTCTTTATACCAGGTAACTCTGATCTGATTTCTGTCAATCACCCCAACTTTGCTTCTCTGCTCACCTGCTGATGAGCTCTAAAGTCTTAGAGTCAACAATGGGAGGGGGAATGACTACAAAAGGTGAGGTGAGAACAGCACACAGAAGCCATTGTGGTGAATGTTGCTTTGGTTACAAAAACCAGAATCCAGAAATTTCAGAACAGGAAGGGCCTCAGAGTTCATCTCATCCAGCTTTTCCCTCCCCAGCAGGTGCAGGTGAAGCCAGTGAGTTCCCCGGGGACATTATGAAGTAGTGAGCAGAGCATGGGCTTTGCAGCCAGAAGGCATGGGTGTTCTTACATTTAGAGATGCATGGGGGTGAAATAATAGGATGTCTGGAAAGCAATCCTGACAAAACAAAAATAGACGAAGTAAATCTGGAAACCGATGAATAACTATTCAAGCTAGGTGATGGGCATGAGAGAGCATGATCTATTTTCTCTACTCTTCTTATGTTTGAAAAATCTAGTAATAATTTTTAAAAGCCAGCATATGTGGATTCCCATTTTGACCTTGACACTTTTCGAATAGGTGATACAAGGCTGCCCATTCCACCTCTTGGCTTCCTCAATTATAAAATCAGGATATTGATGGTCATCACTGTTTGAGGATATAATGGGGTGAGGAATAAAACTCCTTTGTTAACTCTAAAGTACTACACAAATGTAAGTTGTTTACTGATTAAAGCAGAACATATATTAATCAAATACCTGATGCAACAGCTTATAAGTGGCTCAACTGGGTCTAACACTGCTCCCCCAAATGGGAGTTTTCCAACATGGAACTTCACGAGGAACCCTGCCTCTGCAGGCAGCTTTGGACATTTGCAGAGGGTGTAGTGACATAGACTTTAGTCCAGGTTTCCATTCAGGGGCATGACTGGTGTGGAAGGAAGGACAGAGGAGGAGGCTTGGCTGCAGCTCCTTGGCAGACAGAGAGGGTCTCTTTTCTTTTGCTATTGATTTCAGGGCATCCAATGCTAGCAACTTGCTTTTTTATTTTCAGCGGGGACCATGAAAGCTTGATGAGAGTGGGGATAAGAACCGAGCCTTCCTTGTCGCCCCTTCTTGGGGGATGATGACTGGGGCTGATGCTGGAGGGTGCCTGGGATCACTTTTTGCATCACTCTGGACCAGATGGCCCTTGGCCTTTGGGTGTGTCCAGTGTCACTGTGCTGTGCTGTGTGGGAGGACAGGCTGCCTAATTCACCACGTGCACCACATTGGACAAACCAGTGTTCCTGCCCAGGTTGCATGTCCTAAGCCAGAGAATGGGCCATTAACATTTGTCTCATAGGATGGTTGGTGAATCAAGTGAGATCATGACAACATATCATGTTGTTTAGGATGTGGTAGGTGTCACAGTGAATGGAAAAATCTCAGCCTCATAAACATTTTTGAAAGCCACTTGCAGGGTTAATGCTCAGCCAAGTTGGGAGGAGGGGAAACTTACCCTGTTGGCTCACTTTAGAGCACCCTTCTCCCAAGTTCAAATACAAAGGGCTTTTAATTAGGCTTCTTCCTTTCCACGCATTCCAACCTCTCCCTCCCTTTCCTCCCTCCTCTCAAAAGCTGCTTGGAACTAGCTGTCCCACTAAAACAAGTCCATCTGCTCATTTTTCCCTTTTACTAGGGACACTTTCATGTTACTGGGACCACAAAGTAAGCCCCCAAAATGAAATGATATTTGAGACCTGTGGTTGTCTGTTTTGCATGGTTATAAAGGAATACCTGAGGCTTGGTAATTTATAAAGACAAGAGGTTTATTTGGCTCATAGGTCTGGAGGCCGTATGGTATCGGCATCTGCTCAGCTTCCAGTGAAGCCTCAGGAAGCTTTTACTCATGGTAGAAGGGAAGCAGGTGTGTCACATAGTGAGAGAGGGAGCAAGAGAGAGGAGGAGGTGCCAGAATATTTTTAACAATCATATTTCATGTGAACTAACAGAGCAAGAACTCACTCATTACCATGGAGTGCACCAAGCCATTCATGAGGGATCTGCCCCCACCCCATGACCCAAACACCTCCCACCAGGCCCCTCCTCCAACACTGGGGATCACATTTCAACATAAGCTTTGCGGGGACAACCATTCAAACTATATCAAGACCTGTGGGACCCATCAATGGAGAGGGGACCTGGCATCCAACCCCACGCAGAGGAACACAGCGTAGGTCAAGATGTGAACAGAGACGGACAGATGGGCAATCCTAAACATGCATTCAACTGACCCGAGATGCATTTTGTATTTCTCTTGTCTTGCTGGATCCTTGTACAGCTTTGAAGCTATGTCCACATTGCATTCATCTCTTTTGTCTTCAAAAGCTCAAAGTAGAAAGAGATTTTCACTGGTGAAACATCACTATGGCTCCAGACATAAACTCACGGATCCTGCTGTGAAATGACTTTTCTCATTAAGGGCCATTCACTGAAATAATTAGAGCAGAGAATCCAATATTTGGGTTTCTATGACTTTCTCCCTTGTGAACTGTCACATGCTGAAATTTTAAAGACAGATCTCCCTTTGTGACAGGCGTCCTTTACTGACCTATTTGGGGTCACATATTTGGAATCCAGGTCCCACCTACGTCAATGGAAATCCTGTGGGCAGAGAGCGGGAGGGCGTTCTGACACACCCACACCAGCCTCAAGCCTTCAAAGCACAGGGCTGAGCTAGGAAGAGGGATTTTATTGTTTGTGTCTTTGGAAGTATGCTCTTTGGTTTAACTAGTAAGAATGGCTAGACCTTTTTTGCTATTCATTTTCATACTAAAATTTGTTTAAAATATCCAAACTTGAAACATAAATATTTATATTTAAAAAGGCATTTATTTCACAATTTCTAGACTTCTGGAATGTCAGACCAATTGATAGCTAAAATCGACTCCCCTGCCTTGTTTTTATTTGAGTTGGAGTCTTGCTCTGTCGCCCAGGCTGGCATGCAGTGGTGTGATCTCGGCTCACTGCAACCTCCATCTCCCGGGTTCAAGCGACCCTCCTGCTTCAGCCTCCTGAGTAGCTGGGACTACAGGCGCAGGCCACCACACCCAGCTAATTTTTGTATTTTTAGTAGAGACGGGGTTTCCCCATGTTGGCCAGGCTGGTCTCGAACTCCTGACCTCAGGTGATCTGCATGCCTCAGCTTCCCAAAGTGCTGGGATTACAGGCATGAGCCACTGCACCCAGCCACCCTGCCTTGTTTTTAAAGAGTGTGAGGGTGGGAGGGGAGATTGCTCTTTTGCACCATACCTGAGAGTCACCTATCTTTGAGCAGAAAGTCTCTGAGACTTACCTATGCATGTACATATAGAAAAATACACATTGAATAAGACATCCTGCAAACAATGACCAACTTTTGGCTCTTATTTTGTTTGTATCTTTCCCACCACAAGTTTGCCTTTCTACCAAGTGCTGGAACATCTGTGATTAATTTCCAGGGAGCCCTGTATTTAAGATAAGAGGAGAAAGCTTCAACTAAACATTTCCAAGCTTCTAGTAGGTCATCCATATTTGTTTTTTAATCAATGCATCCTTTATTTAAAGCTTTTAGATTCAATGTATTAAATTTTTTTGTGCCTCAGTTTCTTCTGTAACTTGGAGCAAGCTAAATGACCCTCCTTTGTAGCCTCAAAAAGAACTTCAGGTAAATAAAGTTTTTACTTGACATTAAGGACAAAATAAAGAGAAAATACTTATTTTTGTGCAAATAAGTTGGAAGAGACCCTCCATCTAATTAACTTTGTATTTTGAGAGCACGTTTCAACCTGGTATTCTTTTTTTTTTTTTTTGGAGATGGAGTCTCCCCCTGTCGCCCCAGCTGGATTTCAATGGCGCAATCTTGGCTCACTGCAACCTTGGCCTCCTGAGTTCAAGAGATTCTCCTGCCTCAACCTCCTGAGTAGCTGAGATTACAGGCGTGCGCCACCACGCCTGGCTAATTTTTGTATTTTTTTTAGTAGAGACGGGGTTTCACCATCAACCTAGTATTCTTTAAACAATGCAACACATTACTTTGCATACTGATTTTGCAGGCTCTTGGTAGATGTTAAAGATTTAAATTCCACATTACCATATTTACTAGTGATGTGGTATCTTGGAGAGGGTTTTGTGCTCTGGTAAGATGATTCGTTTGGAAAAGATGACTGCTGGGGCTCCATGCTGTGAACTTCTGTAGTATTTTATCTGAACCTCTCCTATTGCAGTTAGGACATTCTATTCTGTGATATTTTTCTTGAATATCACAACTCTGCTTTTGAAAGCAAGTTTCATATCAGACTAGTCTTTGTTTCCTCCCAGCATACATTTCTTGTCTTAGAGTGTAGTCTAAAAAAAAAAGTTTGAGAGAAAGAAAAGACAATTATTGTGTACTTTTCAAGTCAAATAAATATTTTTCTATCTACATTTTAAAACAATTATCACAAATATCTTTATGAAGGTCTCCAGCTACTTATGACACTTCTTTTCTTCAGAAGCTAAATAATATGATATAAAGAAAGACACAGAAATAGTGGAACAATTTAGAAATTGCTGTAGTCAGTATTTAAATATATTCACTGACGTGAGATATGAGAAATGCAGAAAAGAAAAATGGTTTTGGAACAGTTAGTCTACCAGTAATGAGGAAAACAGACTTCATACTCTATCCCTATAAAAAATAAGGAGACATGTACAAGAATGCCCCCAAACTGGAAATAACCCAAATGTCCATCAGCAGTGAAGTGGAGAAATCAATTGTGGTGTATCCACACGACAGAATGCTGTTCAGTAAAAGAGAATAGCCCACTGATAGACAAAACAACACAGACTGTGACATAATACTGAGTGAAAGAAACCAGACACGACAGAGAACATATACAGTCAAAATGTATGTACGGTGATAGACATCAGGAAAACTGTTTTCTCGGAAGAGGGGCAGGTATAATGAGGAAGCAGCATGATAGAGCCCTAGGGTGCTGGAAATGTTATACATATATAATATATACCACGCTCCAGCCTGGGCAACATAGCAAGACCCCATCTCTAAATTTATACACACATATATATAATAAATATATCTATATATTATATTATTTTAGATATTTATATTATAAATATTATAGTAATATATTTATAAATGTAAGTAAATATAAATATATTTATATTTAATTGTTCATGATGTATATGTTTATATATTTATATATGGTTATTTATATAATATATACTTATATTTATTATTATATATTTAGAGACAGGTTCTTGCTATGTTACCAAACTGTAGTGCCATGGTGTAATCATAGCTCACTGCAGCCTCAAATTCTTGGACTCAAGTAACCCTTCCATTTCAGCTTCCTGAGCAACTGGGACTAGAGACACATATCACCACACTTGACTAACTTTTTAAATTTTTTGTAGAGATGGGATCTTGCTGTGTTGCCCAGGCTTGTCTTGAACTCCTGGCCTTAACTGATCCTCCCACCTTAGCCTCTCAAAGTGCTGGAATCACAAATGTGAGGCACCATGTCTGGCTGGAATGTTTTATATTTTGATCTGGGTGACCTTCATATGTGTAGAAATTTATCAAACTCTACTTTTAAGATTTATTTTAAAGGTATGCATATATAAAATAATTTATTTATAAGTATATAAAATATATTTACTATTTCAATATACAATATTTTAAGTGTAACTATATTTTATACATTTATAAATACATAAGTAAATTTATTTATAAATATATAAAGATGCATATATAATGGTAAACACATAAAATAAATACATAAAATAACTCAAATTCTAAAATTTTTTGTAAAAACTACTACTATTTATTACGTGTTTACTGTGTAACAGGCAAAGTGCTAAGTGCATGAAGCTTTAAAAATATGAAGCAATTTGCCACAGGTGACAGATCCACAGATTCTGGACTCAAATCTAGTTCTCGCCTCTAAATCTCTGCACTCTGTGGTCCCTGCTCTCCCGCGTAAGGACGAAACTAATCCTTAGCCTTGCAGAGACTTGGCCCTGTCAGTCTTTGGGTCTTCCAAGCAGAGCAGGTGGGCCCGTGGGAGTCGCAGTGGCTTGGCTTAACGGGTCTGTTTGATAACAATAAACCTCTGTTGCCGTATTAACGGAGCTGTTAAAACATTTCCCTTGCTGTTGGTGATGTCAAAGGCCCTTGCCAAGTCTCTGGGACAGTGGCCCGATTGTTGAACGAAGGAACTTACTGGAAGAACAGTGAATGGTGTTTTCAATAAGGGCATGGAGGTAAGAACAGAAAATGCATTATTTGTGGAATTTCTTCATATTTGAAGTTCATTCTGGCCGGATGCCCTTTTGGGGAAAGAAAACCCAAAATGAGGCTTCAGAACACATTTCCCTCCATCTACTGTTCTCTCCACTAAATTAAATTATTTTAGTTCAATTTGTTAGAGGCATGAGGTTTAAAATGCAAACCTGATGAGTTATTAACATTTATTAAATGGACATGTACCATCTTAATATTTATTAATGAGGGGTTCCACACAGTCTTATAAACGAGAGCTGAGAAAAACACATGCCTGGATCACAGTGTGTCATCCTCATCCCTTCCTCTCCTCTCTCTGCTCCTGTCCAGTGTGTGCTGACGCTCTCCATGTCTCCATCGCCCGCCATCTTGTGTGCTGGGAAATCTCTACCATTGCTGTTCTCAGGAAATTCTGAGGAGATTCCAACCTGGTTCATCACGAAATAGCACCACCAACATCTCGCTTATGAATCCGTTTAGTTAAGCAGACCCTGCAGAAATCCCCTTTCCTTCCTTTCAAGTCCTGAAATCTGCCTCCATATCCAATAGACAAGACGTAGAAATAAAGTGCTCACCCATTTACCAATGGTATCTCAGGCACATCATCTAGCTTCTATGAGGTTCTGAAGTTCACTGATTACAAACAAAATAGGTACAATACTTATCTCAGAGGACATTATGAGAGTTTTACTAGAAAGCGACTTTGCCTAGTGGAGTGCCTTGCACCCATGGAGGAAAATCACTAAATAATGCTTATGATGATGGCTAATTTAATAGAGGTAGCTGAAAGCCTGACTCTTTTTTTTCCCCCCCAGGGGGAAAAATGTGAATAACAGCTTCAATGACAAGCACCTACTTACTAACATTATTTTCTTTACTGGTATGAATTAGTCCTGCAAAGGGCTAGGCTTCAAGTTCTGCCATATTTCAAAATCTGTTAAACGTAGGATTTTTAAATGAGTCTTGATTGGAAATAGGGAAACTTTAATAGAGGTGAACAAAATACTACTTTTCTGACCTCTGAATTGGTTCATGTTGATCATAGATTCAAATCTTTTTGGACAGAAATTCTGTGATACAAACAGGTATAGTAAAGCCTAGTTGGGTTTCTAGCACGCAAGGCAGATAGGAACACTAGGGCGGTAGAGGGAAACTCCTTCCTCCCTCCCAGCCCAGGCAGGCAGCATTTCCACCACCAGTCTTCTTCGTTACACTGGGGAGTTCTCAGACTTTTTCTCCCTCCAGCCTCCAGGCAGCCCCAATGTGTCCACCAGCCTGGCCTCAGAGATGAGCACTTATTTTTGTCTCTGTTCTAGGTCACTGTACTATTTTTTTTTAGTTGATATAGAATAACTTTAAAAATCGAAATAGACCCAGCTTTGTTAAATTTGCACCCCAATGAAGCATCTTAGAACATGGTCTGACCATAATTTGGAACCATGCGCAGAATCACTCTTCTCTGCTTACCTTTCAGTTCTTTGAGACCATTTGTCTGACCTTTTCCCTTCATCAAGTAGGGGGCACTCCTGAGCAAGGCTTCCAGCTAAAGTTATGGAGTCAGTCCAACCCTGCCCTTGTCCCTGCAGCAGGTGAACATTTGGGAATCTCCCACCAATGCTTGGCAAGGGGCAGCTGCCTATTCCTGTCATCTGAGGTTGGGAAAAACAGGCAGATGGAAGGGAAACACAGGAACACTTGGTGAAACTGGCTATTCCAAGAAAGAACCTGGGGTAGTGGTGAAATGTGTCTTGGGAATGTGGATTCCTGCTTATCTAAGGTCTAAACTACATGCTTCAAGCTCCTGTGGGCAATATCTGGAAATAACATCAGGTGCATCTAGAACTTTCCATTCTCTCATTGATAACTAATCTTTTCTATCTAAGCCTTGCCTTGCCTCGGTCACCAGTTTTGCCTAGCCTTTTTTTTTTTTTTTTTTTTGAGGGACAATTTAGTATGGACATGGAGTCTTCTTCATCGTTCCACCAAGGCAGGGGCTTATGGCCTTAGATTCACATACTTGCCAGACAAGCTGGTGTGGTACCTGCTGATTTCCTTATTTCAATCATTTCTGGCCTCTTCTTTCTCCAGGGAAAGGCTTTTTAAATGGCTTCAGAGAACAGTTATCGGATATCTGTATCTCCAGGACTGAACTGTTTCTGCTTGTAAGCTCATGGGATGCATTTGCATAGTAGTTTTTTACTGCTCCTTGGGAGACCCAACCAACCTTTGAGAAGGCTGCCTCTGTGTACTTGGGAATCAGACACACAGATTTATGAGAGCACTATCAGCTTCCGGGGCCTGTGGCAGCAGATAAAATGTTGCTTCTGATGGCAGCGAAATGCCTAAAAAACCACCAGGATTATAGTGCTACATCTTTCCTGTGTTTTTCCCTAGTTGAGACGGGGGCTTCTCAATCACAGTGCTGTTGACGCTTGGGGCTGGATAATTCTTGGGGTTTGTGTGTTGGGGAGTGGTGGTGGGGGAGCTGTCCTGTGCACCCTAGGATGTTTAATGGCATCCCTAGCTTCCACCCACCAGATGCCAGTAGCAACCCAATCCCAGTTGTGACAACCAAAAATGTCTCCAGGTGTTGCCAAATGTCCCATGTAGCCAAAATCATCCCCATTTGAGAATCAAAGGTGAGATCCATTTCTACAGTAAGGAGCCCTTTGGTTCATTTTTATACTTTTAGTCCCTGCTGTAAGGTATGTTCATTTGCTGATAGCACCCAGGCACATTTATTTTCCAAGGATTCTAATTAAAGAAGTGACAGTAAGTTGGTGCTGGGAAAGTATGAAGTTCTGACATTGACCAACCTGAACAAGACGATTTTATCAATGGTTACATTTCTCGAATGGAAGACTGTCCTGATCGTCTATTGTTGTTTCTTGTGCTGTCTTGATTGTGTGCTTTTTGGTTCTGCATTCTTCATTTCCTTTCTCCCGCTTCCTCTTGTATTCACTGTTGTTTCCCTATTCTCTCTCAAAATGATTAATTCAATTTCTAAATATACTGTAGATTATCTCCCAACTCAGTATGAATCCTGCACCCACATAGTATCTCATCAGGAGAGATTTGAGTTATCTTTTTCTTGGTGCCCCAGGCCCCTTTTTGCTGGAACTGGAGGTTGCGGGAGGGGGGGAGAGGGTGGGCGGCGGTGGGGGGCGGGGGGGCGGTCCCCAGGCTGTGTCTACATAAGCCAACTGGCATAGGGGGAAAAAAGTTTAATTTAGTCAGACTCCAGCCTATTGTATAATAGACTTTAGTGGAACAGCAAGTTGTTTTTCCATAATTGGGAGGGATCTTGAAGAAAATATTGTCCAGGAAGCTTATTTTGCAAGGAAGAAACAGGGACCTGAGGATAATACTGTGAAAACTGACATTTATTGATACCCACTCCATGCCCTGGCATGTTCAGGGGCTGACATGAAAATCAACAAGTGGGGCAGAGTTCAGAGTTCAAGTCTCCATATGTTCTGTTCTAGGTAATAGGGGAACTTTCAGGGAAAAGTAACCCCACTCTTTCTTCCCTTCCCTCCCCCTCCTTTCCCTTCCCTTTTCCTTCCTCCCCTCCCCTCCACTTCTCCTTCCTTCCTTCCTCTTCTTTTCTTTCTTTCTCTCTCTCTTTCCCTTCCTTCCTTCCTTCTGCCCCCCTTTCTTTTCTTTTTCCTTCCTTCCCTCTTTCTTCGTTTCCTTCCTTTTCCTTCCTTCCTTCTTTCCTTCTTTTCTTTTCTTTCCCTTCTTCTTGAGGCAGGGTCTCACTCTGTCACCCAGGCTGGAGTGCAGTGGAGTGCTCATATAGCTCACTATGGCTTGTGTATTTGTGTGTGTATGTGTATGTGCATACAGATAGGGTCTCACTGTGTTGCTCAGGCTGATCTCAAACTCCTGGCCCCAAGCGATTCTCCCACCCCAGCCTCCCAAAGTTCTGCGATTAGAGGCGTGAGCCACACACCCAGCCCCATCCTCTCTATTTCTATCCCGATGGAGGGAATGTCACTGCTCTGACACCCCTCCTGGCCTTCCCACCTTATTAACAATCCCTGTGAAAGCCCTGTGGCTTATCTGATCGGTACATTCAGGACAGGACACTGAGAACACCCTGATCTGCTCTGGCTCCAATGGGCAGCCCGTGCCCTGCTGCAAGCGGGAGTCTTCCAGCTCCTGCAAGGACTCTGCCTGGGGTGGAGGACAGCGCCTTTTGTCCAAGCTGCACAGCGGTGGGATCCCTCTGTCTACTACGCCTGGGGTTCAGAGGCCTAATCTATGGCAGATTTGTAAACAGCCTGTCCTCCATCCATAATGAGCAACACTCCGTGCAAGTGTGTTTGTTTGTGCGCATGCTCAGAGGCAGCCCAAGGCTGCTACTTGGCGCTTGGAGTTCATGGAACATTTGGTTGCCAGGCAGTTAGATGGTCAGCAGCTAAACTTGGCAGAGGAACTACTGTTTTCAGTGGTTTCTCCCTCCTCTGAATTACTTTCTTAAAAATAAATTTTTAAACATAAGCCCTAAATTTTACGCCAAGCCGCAGAGTTCAATTTAGCATTTTGGGGTAGTTATTTTAATTTATTTTTACCTTGTATTCTTCAACAAGCAATCAGGAGTAAAACACCAAGAACTGAGCATTATCCTCGCATGACAGATGTGAATAAAAAAAAAAAACAATTTCTTTTAAATCTTACTTTTATAGAACGAGTGACTATCTTTCTTTACAGTTGTCATTTATTTCAACATGACACTATCCCTCAAAAAATATTTTAAGACATCTCTTGGGCTTTTCATGAGGTTGTTTATAAGCTAACACACAAAAGAAGTGTAATTCTTTTATTATCTCACTGTTTTTTTTTTAAATAGGTAAAACTCTTAATGTTTTCTTTGATCACCTTTTCCCCAGATTAAATATGACCTCAAAATTTTTCATAAAAAGGCTTTTAAAAAATCATTCTTTCCAAATCTTTTAATTAAAAGGATGAGACAGTCTCTGAAAGTAACTATCAAGGGATTCGCATATATAACTCTGAAGAAACTGCAATTATGTAAGTAAGTTTACGGATTTTTATGTTAAAATACAAGTCCCATGGCCTTGTAGATGAACTTCATAAACTTCACAGACTCCCTTGCAGCCAGTGCCAGAAGCTACCCATATGTGATATTTCTGGTTCTGACTACTTTACCTAAAAAAAATGTTAGAGAAGCAAACACAGAGGAGATCACTTAGAAGAATGGTTAAGTAAATTCGCTTAAGTAAGTTGAGAAGAAACCCAGGATAATATTTAAATCAATGCCATGGAACACTTTTGACACATAGTACTTTGTTCTATATTCATCAGGAATGAGATGGGAGTATAAGAGCTGGTGACAATTAGGGATCATCTGACCTTCTTTCCTGCGGGTCCAGGGTACCACTGGGCATGTTGTGCACTGCACAACATCATGGCGGATGGCTCCTCCTAGAGGCTCCTCCTAGAGTTGCATGGAAACAACTGTAACGGCCGCCCTGGAATGTCTGGACAACCACCTCCAAATAAACTCACACTGGTAGAGATGTGCGATGGCAACAGGAACTCTAAAAGTAACAGGGGCAGGTTGGAAAACTTCCTTTGTCAGGAAGGTCAGAAAAATTCTTAAGAGCTTGACAGTTTCACAGGAAGTGTGGAAACACAGCACAAGGGACCTTCATGGCTTAGTGGTTCAGAGCCTGGGCTTTGAGTTTGCACACACTTGGTTTTTAATTCCGACTCTGCCACTTTGTAGTTCTGTGACCTTGCGTAAGTTCTCATCAGTGAAAATTTTTGTCTGTTTTGAGACAGGTTCTCACTCTATCACCCAAGCTGGAGTGCGGTGGCACGATCACAGCTCATTGCAGCCTCAAACTCGTGAGCTCTGGCGATCCTTCCACCTCAGCTTCCTGAGTAACTGGGACCACAGGCATACGCCACCACGCCTGGCTAATTTTTTCAGTGAAAATTGAAGAACAATAGGGAATACTCAACAGGCTCTCTGTGAGGATCTAATGAGACAATGTCTGCAAAGCGCATCTGGCACATCACAAGTGTTTAAGAAGGGTGACATTTTGTTATTTTCACAGGCTGGAGAATCTGCTAACTTCCTGGGCCACTTGGCTCAGAGAGCCTAGGATCCCATCAGCAATAGCTGTCACCAGGCTGCTGACGGTTGTTCTTAATATTGCATTTTTCACAAGGCACTTTCAAAAGTGCATTCATTAAAACCATCTCCTTGGAGGTGGTAGGGGCAGAAGATTACATAGCTCATGGTAATGCAGATTGATACAGAATAGAAATGGCTTCCCATGGGTAATAACACACGAAACATCCCACCCTCCCCAGGGGTTAGCATGGCAGGGCACACATGCAACTCCTCTTGGTTCTGCCTGAAGATCTGAAGTCTTCCTACACTACTCAGATAATTGTCTTTGCCTTCTGGTTATTAAAATATCACAAGGGGCCCCTCAGAGAAATAAAAAGAAGAGGTCACCAGGGCCAGAGAGACGGGGAGTGGAAAGAAGAGACTTAAAAGTGCCTTATCAACATGTCTCACCCAGGCAGCCAGAAGATTTGTTTGAGCCATGGAATAATATTTATCCTGCATGCCACTGACCAAGTTCAGCTCTCTTTGATCTGTTTCTCACTGCAGATTTTTTTTTCCTTTTTTAAAGTTTTAATTCCTTCTGCCTAGAGGGTAACAAACAAGTAATGAACTTGGTAGTGAATTCCTAAAGAATTCAGAGGATTAAATATGCCCGCAGGACTCAGAATCCCTCTGACCTCATCCCGGTTTCTCTCTCTGGACTCACCTATCCATAGTTAGCACAGAAACATAGCATTTCACTGGGTCCTACTTAATCTCTTCTCAAATCCAGAATTGTTTTACATTCAGCATGCAAGGGCAGTCTGGCTAAATTCAGATCATGATTGCATTCTTTTAAAAAATTTTAATAATATATTTTCTTTAACCCAGTATGTCCAAAATATAATAATCTCTTCATGTAATTGTTATTAAAATTATCAATGATAAATGCTTGATAATATATTCATAATATATGTTACATTCTTTTTTTGGTACTATATCTTTGAAGTCCAGAGTGTATTTTCCCCCTACAGTACTGTTCAAGTGGTAAGTGCCTACCATATTGGCCAGAGCAGTTATAGATTAAGAAATGGAACTTCAAAGATTAAAACTTCTTGCCTGCGATCAAGCAGCAGGGCTTCTCCAATAAAATTCAGACACGTCAATCTGACACCTGGGCAGATGTAGATCATGACTATATTTTATTTTTAGGCTTCTTCTAAAATATTTCTTATCTCAAGAAGGTGCTTTTATTTTTTAAGTTTCCTGAATGTGTTTCTTGATATTTTGGACATGGAAAAGTGATGCAGGTAGGACCTGAAGTCAACGAGATTTCTCAGCCAGTAATGCTGGCGCTGGTTGCTGGTATGTCTTAGTTTCCTTATCTCATGAGCCAAATGCCTGCGGGACTGAGAGGAGACTAAGGAATTCTCTTTCCAAGCCCACCAGGCAGTATCTGTGTAAAAGGTAAAAAAAATCTGCAGAAACTCAGCAGTATGTTCCTTGTGGGTGGTTGGGCAGGCGCCAGAGATCACTAGAAACCTTTGTAAAAAATTGTGAAGGTCAAGGAGTCGGAGCCAGACTACCTGGAGTTAAACAGCTAAACCTTAGCAGGGTTGGCTTTTATGCTACTCTGGGTAGATTACAGCTCTGACAGATGAGACCCTAAAGGGACGATCCTCGGGGCCGCAGCTTTTTTTTACATGACTGCCCCGACCTCTGACCAGATCATATGTGACTCTGACATTTTCCTGTGCATAGGAAGAACCCTCTCCCCAGCCAAGACAATGCTGGGATATTTCAAAAAGAACTCGACTGGAAAACTGTTTCCTTGAGACCCTTTGTAGATCCAAGGTGCAAACACCACAGGGCCCTGGTGACAAAGTGTAGCAGTACTTCCTGGGTCCTGGTCCCAGGAGGACTTGGTGGAGAGAGAGTTACTACTACAGACACATTTACAATTACAAACGCCAGAGACATTTACACCTCTTCTCTTTCAGAGAGTTACTACTCTCTCCCCAATAACTCCTCCTGGGACAAGGACCCAGGAAGTACTGGAAGGAATCAGCCTCGGAGCAGACCTCTCTGTGCTCGGGAGAGTGCAGGTCTTCCCAGGGGCAATGGTGCTGCTTCCGCAAGTGGAAGAGAACAGTGAACGTCAACCGCTAGGAGCCAAGCAAGAAGAGGAAAAATACAACTAAAAACACCGGAAACCAGCTGAGAAACTCACACATAGGCACACGAGAGGCACCACCAGAGAAAACTGGGGAGGATTTGGAGATGAGGCTGACAAACTCTACAGGTGAAGACCTGTTGCCATTGCCCTTTGCGGTATCGGTGTAAATGTGGTATTGGCTGGGCACAGTGGCTTACGCCTGTAATCCCAGCGCTTTGGGAGGCCGAGGTGGGCAGATCACCTGAGGTCAGAAGTTCGAGACCAGCCTGCCCAACATGGCAAAACCCCCTCTCTACTAAAAATAAGAAAAATTAGCCAGGCGTGGTGGTGGGCGCCTGTAATCCCAGCTATTCGGGAGGCTAAGGCAGGAGAATCCCTTGAACCCGGGAGGCAGAGGTTGCAGTGAGCCGAGATCATGCCACTGCACTCCAGCCTGGGCGATGAGAGCGAAACTCTGTC
The DNA here is from genome assembly GCF_000001405.40 of Homo sapiens. NCBI lineage: Eukaryota > Metazoa > Chordata > Mammalia > Primates > Hominidae > Homo > Homo sapiens. Next base: position 29,236,792 of record NC_000010.11, on the reverse strand, counting down.
TCAAAAACAAAACAAAACATCAACAATAAAAAATGTGGTATCAGTGATACTCCCAGGTGGGTCCTGGGTGCCTGAAAACTAGCTTCCATGGGGTGGCAGGTGGAGAGAAGGAAGGTCTCCTTAGCAAAAGCAGACAAGCTAAAAAATAAAAATAAAAAAATTAAAACCACCCTGTTTTTGGGTTTGTATTCAGGCTTGGACCTTTTGCTGACTCTAGGCCCCATAATTAGTTTTCCTCCTTGTTGGCTTTGATACTGATGAAGTCAGCAACATAAAGGTGCATTCAAAAAGCAAAACAAAATTGAAAAGGAAATACCACAGAAGTTACAACATGTATCCTAAGATCTCAAAAACTTAGTCTAAAATGGTCTTGGTTAGTGTGGCTTACTGGTCACATAAACCCAAGGTTCTTTTTTCAATTTTCTCAACTGCATTTTGGGTTTAAGGCTGGACCCAACAACTGAGACTCCAGGGTGGAGACAAATTGGCAACATTGGTAAGTCAGCTGAGAATATGCCTCCACTGTCAGAATCTGAGGAAACATCGCATGTAAGGGAAGGATCATGAGTTTTTGGTGCCAGACAAATCTGCTTTCAAATCCTCACTCTGCTGCTTATTAGCCACGTGACTTTGGACAAATTACTTACGTCTCCTGGATTCAGATCCCTACTCAGTGAATGAGAGGTGTTAGAGTTTAGTTAGTGGTCAAGAGCTCAGGTTCTCAGGTTGGACTTGGGTTGCGGTTCTGACTTCTTCACCTAGAGCTGTGTGACCTCTAAGGCTTCAGTTTTCTCTCCTGTTGAATGGGCACAACTGTCCTCATCCCATTGGATTGTTGCTGGGCTCAATGAGATTGCATATGGAAAGTACACGCATAGCTCCAGGCATACGAAAGGGGCACAGCAGACATTAGCTTTTATTATACATCAATAACACTTCTTTTTTTTTTTTTTTTTTCTTTTTGACAGAGTTTTGCTCTGTCGCCCAGGTTGGAGTGCAATGGTATGTTCTCAGCTCACCACAACCTCTGCCTCCTGGGTTCAAGCGATTCTCCTGCTCAGTCTCCCAAGTAGCTGGGATTACAGGCATACACCACCACGCGCAGCTCATTTTTGTATTTTTAATAGAGACAGGGTTTCACCATGTTGGCCAGACTGGTCTCGAGGTCTCGAACTCTCGACCTCAGGTGATCCTCATGCCTCGGCCTCCCAAAGTGTTGGGATTATAGGCGTGAGCCACCGCGCCCAGCCAATAACACTTCTTATATATAACAAGTGCTCATGAAATGTAGTCCCTTCTGCCTCCTATCCACACTCTGCCCCAGCATGATGACCTTTGGTTCCAGGTCACACAAAAGAGTCTTCTGTTCTGCTCCTCATGTTATCACTGCGTACTCTTCCTACTTTCTCACTCAACAACTCAGGACTGGCCTACGAACTAAACACCTGGAAGGAATGGACATCAGTGATGATCTGCCAGCATGAGGAAACCAAAGCTCTGGGAACGGACAGTTGACCATCTAGAGTTGAGCAACCAGCAAGTTGTAGCATCCCGGCCTGTATCCAGGTTTAGCCAGCGACTCCCTCCTGCAGGCTGGGAAGTCTTGAAGGAATTGTGTCATGCTACTGTTGTGAAAACAAACAAATCAAAAAAATAAATAAATAAATAAATAAAGGCTTGTTATGGAATCTAAAGATAAATAGCTGGAATCATTTATTTATTATAAAATAACTAGGCCCACATGCTAAGAGTTATTTTCAAGATTCTGAAATTAGGCAAGACTTAGTAATATATCTCCTTCATTATCAACATCAATGGAAGGTTTATTATTTTAAATTAAGTTTTGTTTTGCTTTGAAAGTACTGTCTGGCATGCCCAGAATATTTATGCCAGTAAACCCTGTGTTTCTATGCATGATGAAGAGGGTTTGTGTTAAGTATCTTTGGGAACCAACCTCCACCCTGACGAGTGAGACCTGAATGAACAGGGAACTGGTCAACCTGTTCAGCAGTGGTGGTTTTTTTTTTTTTTCCCCTGAGACAGTTTTGCTCGGTCACCCAGGCTGGAGCACAATGGCACGATCTCAGCTCACTGCAACCTCCACCTCCCGAGTTCAAGCCATTCTCCTGCCTCAGCCTCCCAAGTAGCTGGGATTACAGGTGATTGCTACCATGCCTGGGTAATTTTTGTATTTTTAGTAGAGATGGGGTTTCATCATATTGGCCAGGCTGGTCTTGAACTCCTGATCTCGTGATCCACCTGCCTCAGCCTCCCAAAGTGCTGGGATTACAGGCGTGAGCCACCGTGCCCAGCCCACCAGTGTTTTTTATGGGCTCTCTAAACTTGAGTGGAGCTCAGCTTTTCAGGTAGTGTTCTGGGCTGCTCTATGACCTTGTTATCACAGGGGTGCCGTATGACCTCCAAGGTAGGCACCACCATTTCTGGAACTTGGATTCCTCATAACCTCTTCAAGATGAAGCCAGAGACATTTACACTTCTTCTCTTTCAGAATATTTTCTTTTTTTTCTTCTTCTTCTTTTTTTTTTTTTGAGATGGAGTCTTGCTCTTATCACCCAGGCTGGAGTGCAGTGGTGCAATCTGGGCTTACTGCAACCTCTGCCTCCTGGGTTAAAGTGATTCTCCTGCCTCAGCCTCCCAAGAAGCTGGGACTACAGGTGCATACCACCACGCCCAGCTAATTTTTTTGTATTTTTAGTACAGATGGGGTTTCACCATGTTGGCCAGGCTGTACTTGAGCTCCTGATCTCAGGTGATCCACCTGCCTTGGCCTCCCAAAGTGCCGGGATTACAGGCGTGAGCCACTGTGCCCGCCCTCAGAACATGTTCTTGATATTGAACTGCTCAGTGTTGGAAGGCAGCAGTGTTGGGATCTCAGTTGCTGGAATTTCTGAGCAAGCAGGATGAGGACAAGATTCTCCTGCTTCCTGCTCTCTCTCTGGGGTCTCAGGGAGGTGCTCTGTCATGGGACCTTGCAAAGTTCTGCTATGAAAGGTTGGTGCTTTGTTTCCCCAAGTGAGAAATCATATATGCTCTTGATAAAATATTCAGACAGTATGAAAAGATATTTTTTTAAAAATCTAACATTCTAATATCTAACATTCTACTTCCTGGTGATAACAACTGTTAATATTTTGAATATCCTTATGGACTTTTAAAATGCATACACACACAATTTAACAAAATTGAAGCTTTGCTGTTCATCCTGTTTTGTAATAATTTTTTTCTCCTGTACCATGGGGGCCTTTACATAACAATATCATTACTTTTAATGACTGCCTGGAATTTCTTTGTTCTCTTTTTTGACAGATACCATTTTTAGGATGCTTCTAAATTTTTTGTTTTAATAAATAATGCTGTGTTGAATATTCTTCTACATACATTCCAATAATTTCTCTCGGGTCAAAGGGCAGCACATTTAAACTTTGTATACATTGCCAAATTACCCTCTGGAATGGTTCTAGAAATTTCTATTCTCACCAACAATTCATGAAAATCACAATCATAGGATATTTTTTCTAATTACATTATAATAGGGTAAAAGAAGCAGGTGATATCCACCAACAGAGAAAGGAAGCTCCTTCTCCAGCCCCCTAATTCTTCATCGGAGCCTTCCTTGAACCCCACCTCCAACTGAAAATCTCTCGTGACTTGGTGGAATCGAGATTTTTTTAAAAATTATCATAACATGAGCAAAAAATGCAAACCTTCTTAACATGATGGAAAAAAAAAACAGGAAAACCCTATTAGTGTATTAAAAGAAAAACAGAAAAGGATGGGAGAGATTTTATCCAAGTGATAACTCTCTTTGCTTTGTTTTGAAATTTGGTTCTCTAAAGGCAGGACCATATCATGACACTAACATATATGTTTAATTATTTTACATGTCCTATCTTGGAAGTTCTGTTTAATATTGTAATAATCCAGCCAGCTTTACAGAATGTGATTTTCTGATGCACCACAAACATTTGGCCTTATGGACCATACCAGAGAATTCCTTTGAGAATTTTATCTTTTTCATTATTTTTAATTTTTAATTTATTTTTAGAGTCAGGGCCTTGCTCTGTTGCCCACGCTGGCATGCAGTGGTGCAATCACAGCTCTCTGCAGCCTTGACCTCCTGGGCTTAAGTGATCCTCCCACCTGAGCCTCCTGAGTAGCTGGGACTTACAGGTGTGCAGCCACCGTGTCTGCTTAATTTTAGTATTATTTTTTAGAGACGGGGTCTCGCTATGTTGCCCAGACTGGTCTTGAAATCCTGGGCTCAAGCAATCCTCCCACCTTAGCCTCCTGAGTAACTAGGACTACACGCATGCACCACTGTGCCAGTTAATTTTTTTTATTTTTCGTAGAGATGGGGTTTGAATTCCTGGGCTCAAGCAATCCTTTTGTCTCAGCCTCCCAAAGCACTGGGATTACAGGTGAGAGCTACTGTACCTGGTCTTTGAGAATTTAAAAAATGATCAGAAAAATTAGGATTCCAGAAATAGAAGGATTCAATGAATAGAAAAGGAAAATAGTAATAAAAAAGTTTCTTTTCTTAAAAGTGGTTAGGTCTATTTTTATTATTTGCCTATAAGCACAGGATGTTTTCGATAATAGGAATAAAAATGGTATCTGAGATTTTGCTACCATTTTAATTTTCCCAAACCATGTGCACACAGACTCAAGAAGAATATGAAAGGGCAATATCCCAGAATGGCTCTTCACATTTAGATAAGAAAAAAATGCCATTTATGTGATAAAGGACTTGAGACTTCCTTTTAGGGGCAAAGCTGCTGGACTTCGTGGGACCTTTCAGAGCCTAAGCACACCCAAAGATAGTGGCAATACTTTTTGCTCTTCTAGAAGTGCCATGAAGAGAATGGGGAGGTGTTTCCCCACTGATGAAAGGTTCTTCAGATTGCACAGAAGGACCCCATTATAGGGCAGCTTGCTGTTCCTTGAACGCAGATACGTCTTGGGTTTAATCATGGTCCCTGAATACCAACACCCATGCTAAATACCTGATATATCAGGTGTTTAGGGCAACTGCATGAAGATGATAGTCTGTTCTTCCAATGACAGAAATGAGAGAGAAATTCTAATGTACCTTCTGTCCTTATCAGTACAGGTCTGTGGCCATTTAGATGTTTTCAATAGTTAATTCTTTCCCTTTGCATCTCTATGTCTGCCTTTCTTTGGTATAGGTGAGACTATCACACTCATCAGAGGCTCCCCTAGTCTTCAAGTCAGGTCATGTGGTGCTAGATACCCACTCCCTCTTGTTACTTCCTGCCCTCACTGATGCCCCTCGATCCCTTCACCTCACCAGCCATTGCTACCTCCCCGTCTGATTTCCAGGAGCAAATTTCAGAGATCTGTAGCAAGCTCAGAGAAACCCCTCCATGCCCACTTTAAGAAACATTTATTAAATTCTCACCATTTGCCAGGCACTGTGTGGGGCTCTGGGGAATCTCTTTTTCTGAAGACAACGTGTAACTGGGGAGATAAGCACATATGCAGATAATCGTCATGTAATTACAAGAAGACGTGCACCAACATATCTGGCTTTTGCCATAAGGGTGCTAGAATCCCAATAATTGTTTGTTTCAGCTTTTCCTGATTGGAAAAATGATGCTGTATGTCCCTACAAAACTAGCTGCAGAGCTTGAACTACATCCTGCTGATGTAGGAGGTCAGAGTTCAGTGACTGATCGCTCTGGTGATGTGTAATGGATGGACTTGACAAGGACAAAATTGGGTCCAAGAAGATGTGTGAGAAGCCCGTTGCACTCATCTTCTTGGAAGCTGATATGCACCTAAGCTAGGGTATTTGTTGACAGCAGGGGAAGGGGACTTAAGATCTATTAAGGAGGTGTATCCAAGCACTTGCAAGTGCAATGACGGGTGGAGTGTACCTGCAACCAGGTAATGCAACTGGGTATCATAACCCAGACCCTTGAGACAGAAAATATAGAAGGAACACCAATCACAGGGAATTGAGGGACTTGCTGAAATGAAAATATCACATAGTGGTTGTATACATCAGTCAGAAACTTAGGGGCTGAGATGGAAATGGAATTACTCACCCTTTATATGTGAATGACTCCCCCATCGATGAGATTAGGTGAGCTCAGCCAAGGGAAGTATACCATAAAGAAGGGACAAGAACCTGACCCCAGAGAAGACCAGCATTTAATGGGATAGTGGAGAAAGAGGAGCCCACAGAGGAAGAGGAGAAGAAACGGAGCTCAGAAAGGTGCAGGGCTCCAGAAGGATCTAAGAGTCTCCAGGAGCAGGAAGTGGCCACCATGTCAAATGAGGCAGCTATTCAGTAACACAAGGATTATGATGAAGTGCGCTAATGTCCTTAGGAAAAGGCGTAGCCTGTGGAGATAGGAGGCAGAGGGGGTTCGGGGGGAAGAGTGGCTGAGTGGGGTTCAGACGGGAAGAGTGGTTGAGTAATGAGGGAGAAAAGCTGAAAGAGCGACCGGCAGTTCAGAATTTCTTGACATTTGGATGAGAAGGGGGTTGTCATCAAGAAAGGGTAGTAAAGTCAGGGAACTTATTTTTATTTTTATTTTTTTAGAGAATCAAATGGGAACTATTTGAAGAATTTTATAAGCCGAGGGGAAACCAGAGGAGGTTGGAAAGACGGGGAGAAAAGGAGCAATGGAAAATTTGGAGAGAGGAGGGTTGAGCCAGTCCAGGAGGAAGGCTGGGTGCAGGGCCAGGGGGTTGTTCAGCTTCATTCTCTGATATGGAAGTAGGAAAGGTGTGGATGTGGGTGGGTTTGTAAGCAAAGGGCCAGGAGCCAAGGCAGCTCACAGCCAGAGGCCTCGGTTTCCCCCACAAGCACGAAGCCAAGGCCTTGGATGAGAGCGACGGGCCTGAGGGTGTGTTGTTCTACTCAGAGGTGGGGACATGTGGGATCTTGATTTAGAGCTTGGTTCCACTCTACTGTGGAAATGAATTTCACCTCCAGAAAACTTGGGAAGACGTGGCGTAGTACCGGAGAGAACTGGGAACAGCTCCACGGCCGCAATAGGCAGCAGTACATGCGCTGAGACGCAGAGCAGGTGCCTGTGGTTAGCTGACCTCCCAGAGTCTCCTCCCCAAGCCGTCAGCCGAACCCCCACAGCCTCCTCCCCACATGGTCAGCCGACCTCCCACAGCCTCCTCCCCATGCAGTCAGCTGACCTCCAAGAGCCTCCTCCCAACATGGTCGGCCGACCTGCCAGAGCCTCCTCCCCAGGGGATCAGCCAACCTCCCACAGCCTCCTCTCCAGGCGGTCAGCCGACCAGAGAGCCTTCTCCCTACGCCGTCAGCCGATCTCCGAGAGCCTCCTCTCCACGTGGTCAACTGACCTCCCAGAGCCTGCTCCCCAGACAGTCAGCTGACCTCTCAGAGCCTCCTCTCCACGTGGTCAGCTGACCTCCTAAGGCGACTCCCCCTAGTGCAGCAGAAGGAAGGTGTCTCTACCCCTGCCCCAAGGCCCGGGTATTTGTGAACAAACACATCAAAAGGCTAGAGGAGCAGAGAAATTTAGAATCCTTGCCCATACCTGTATGTCAAGCAGAGTAGAGGGACAAAGCATGATGAAGACTGTCCTTGCCACTAAGACCCCTCATTACAAAGTCATGGGGCAAGTGGGTATAAATAATCAGGAAGTCAATGTTATTGTTTAGTTTTGTTTGTGCTAGTCAGGCAGAGTTAAAATCATTTTCATAGCATGTTGGAATTAGAGGGTGGAAAGGAAACTAAGAATGCTGCCCTCTACCCTCTTAAGGATCTGCATTAAAGGCCATTCCGTGCCCTCCTTTGTAATGCATTCTAGTGTCTCACAATCCTCAAGGAATTTTCATCTTCATGTCAGACTTCAAAAGAACAATGTTGAAAAATTATATTATAGAGTTCAAAAAGAAAATGAGAAAGAGAAGGATTCATTTCTTTTTTCGCTGCTTCAGAATTCTCCCTGCGCTTCCAATTGGTCATGCTTTTCTCCACTGCCTGGAGGCACGTCAGAAAACCATTAAGCAGTTTTGATGTGCTCAGTTAAATGTCTATTGTGTTTCTCCCCAAACGCAGCTACATTTTAGAGGCTAGCATAGTTAGCTTTCTTTCCGGGTATGCATGTCTTTGCACACAAATCTACGTAAATATGTGGTAGAGTATGTATATATCCCACATGCCAGTAAATTTTTATCTTGATAAAATTATTTGAAAACTCTAAGAAGGGCGAGTGTTACTAAAATCTAGGGTCCATAAGCAAAGTCAGTTTTGCACATGAAGAGCTGAGATACATGAGTCAATTCTAGAGCTACATTTTTGTAATAATTGTTGAATATTGTGATTTATGTGGTGGTGGTGGTGGTTATTCTCTGTATTCTCTGCTTAAATCTGAGAAGATTCTGAAATTTATTTATGTTCACCCCACTTCTAGTCTCTTTCCACAGACGGTATGTTTCAGACTTAGGGGGAAAATACAAAGATTTGAGGTGGAGGCTTTTCATTTTGATGTTTCCAGTGAGACATGCATATTGCTCTGGTTGGTTTATCAAGTTGTGAAAAACATCGTCATTTGGGAACTGTTATTCGTTCTTGTAGCTCAACCTCCTTTTTCTTCCCGGTTATATTAAGACTAAGAAGAATATGTTCACTCTGGATAAAAACAGAGCAAGAGAACGTATGCCCCAGAGCTGCAAAAACTCTTCAGAGAAAGTCATGTCCCCTGAAAGTGCCTGTAGTCCCAGCTACAGGGCAGGGGGGTGGGGGCTGAGGCAGGAGGATCAACTGAGCCTTGGGAGGTTGAGGCTGCAGTGAGCTGTGATGGGGTCACTGCACTCCAGCCTGGGCGACAGAGTGAGACCCTGTCTCAAAAAAATAATACAAATAAAAATAAAATGATTTTCCATCCACTGGATTGGTAACAGGTAACATGCTCAAAAGAGAGAGATTAAGACTCAAAACTCTGAGGATGATTTTGAAGGCACGATAAAAGCATATTCATGCATGGCCTTTGCAAAAAAATAAAAATAAAAATAATATTAATAAAAAGAAAGTCATGTCCCCTACCAATTTGTCCAGGGTCAGAGAATATGCCCATTATTTACAGACCATTCTAAAGTTGTCTGACATGTTTAAAGTGGAAATTGCTTGCAGTTCGCTGTGATTTCTTTAGTAATCTATATGCTGCCTTCTATCTCAGCTATGGTTTGGATGTTTGTCCCCTCCAAGCCTCATGTTGAAATCTGATCTCCAGTGTTGGTGGGCGGGGAGGGGGAGGCGTTGCTAATAGCTGTTTGGGTCATGGAAATGGATCCATCATGAATGGATTAATGCCCTCCCTTGTGGGTGAGTTCTCTTTCCTGTACAGCTGGTTACTAAAAGAGCCTGGCACAGCCCTCTGCCCCATCTTTCTCTTGATTCCTCTCTCTCCATATGTTCTCTGCACATGCCAGCTCTCCTTCATTTTCCACCATTAATGGAAGCAGCCTGAGACCCTCACCAGATGCCCAATGTTGCACTTTTCTAGACAACAGAATTGTGAGTGAAATAAACCTTTTCTTTTTATAAGTTATCCAGATTCAGGTATTCCTTTATAGCAATACAAATGGACTAAGACAATCCCTAATTATTAAAACAATGAATTAGGGATTTAGCTTTGTAATTGCATTTGTAACTAGTCAAATGTGACAGAATTCTTGGGCTTCCTAGTGGTTAAAATAATCTGTTATAAAATTGTTATTTGCTTGGTTCTCCAAGGACTCACTGATAGGCCGTGTCCTGCCGAGTTCATTTGTTCAGCATTCAGTGAGCATAGTTTCTCCAGGTGGTTTGAAGATTCCCTATGAACTAAGTCCAACAATCCAATCAAGGGTACCAAGCCAGCTTCAGAGTCAACCATTCATTCATTCGGTGCATATGTCTTAAGCACTTGTTATGTATGATTGAGAGCAAAACAAAGGCATTTTCTCCTTGGGTTAATCTTGCCTTTCATCTCCATATTTTCAAGGTTGAAATTAACATACTCTCATTTTCTGAGTACCAACTCTGTGAGTGGTGTACTGTGAAGCACTAGGCATGCGAAAATTAGTCATGCCCCTTACCCTCAAGGAGCATGCATTTATAAAGAGCTCCCTAACCTCCCAGTAATTTTCTGATGTCAGTATCTCTTTAGAAGAAAAAAATAATTCATTGTGGTCTACTTGGTGGCCAAGTAATTTAGTTTTATCGTTTCAGCTTCATACCTTGTAACACATCTCTATGAGTAGAGAAAGTTCTTATGGGAATTCAGTGATTTAATTTTTGGTTTGGACTAGCAAGAATACACATCTGATGATTAAATTTGTATTTGGGACTAAAATATTCATTTTGAAGACAGTACATAAATGACTCATTATTAGATTAAACTGATTCTAATTAAAACAGCCATCTCTTGACATAAAGAAGACAGATCTATTTTCTTTAAATGTGGCAATTTCTAGGAAACTGGCCCCATAATTCTAAATTAAAAACGGGTTTCCACAAGTTGGATTCATGCCTCCTTAGCCTTTGGTATTATATTTGGTCTGTTTAGTTAGTTAAATAATGGTAACAAAAGAAGACAGAATAGGTGACGTTAAATAATGGGAAATTTAAGAGAGTAATTATGGTATTAGGTTGGGCCAGAAGGTGAGGGTTGTAAGTAATAAGATACCTGCTTTTTAAACAAAGTGCTATGTTTCTATTTGGCATGGCCCTTCTTGGATAAACTGTATATTTTATCCCATTCACATAAGCAAGAGAAAGTGAACTGTGAGGATAATGTTGGGTGAGACGTTTATAGGTTCTAAGATATCTTGTATGAAGTTGCTTAACTTCCTGTTTTAAGTGAAGGTGTTAAAATTCCAGTAAAATAAAATATTACACTAAGTGACCCAGGTATGAGGAGGTACAAAAGGCTTGGAAGTTTACTTTCTATGAGTCCAATGCAGGAGTCATCTACTTGATTATTAAGTGGACACCTTGGATGAAAATAAAATCACAGAAAAGAACCTACAGGCAAATGAGTCCTAGGAACTTTTTATTTTATTTGAAAGACATAAATAATGGAACTCTGTTGGCTGTGCTAGAAGGAGCTGCTTCCAATGATGAGTGAAATGATAACTCACAGGAGAGCTCTTTCATGCCCCCAACTTCAACATAGGAAGGGACCACTTTCCAGAATGTTGATGAAAAGAGAGAAATATGCAAGAGAGAGACGGATTCTACTCAAAGTTTTCTAGTTGAGTGATATTTTCTAGCCCATCTCTAAACATCATCTTCCCTAACCCTTTACTTCAACTGAAAGGCTCAAGCTAAAGAGGCATTGGTAAGTTTTATGTGAGATTATTCTATATTCTAAGTCATCAAATGATCCTTTGATAACTTAGATCTCTGGGTCAGTTAATTACCCTCATCACACGGTTTTCATCCGTAGTGATATATAACACAGCATCAATTTCCTGACTAGGTGCCATTATTTACTTATTCATAATACAGATAACTTATTATGTACTAAAAATTGGGTTAAAGTCTTTATACAAATATTCTTATTTAATCTTTAAACATTAAGCCCATGAAGTATGGGCTCCCCAATTTTACTATTACTCCCCAGTTTTAGAAATGAGGAAATGGGCTTAAAAAGGTGAAATCATTTGTCCAAGTTTACAGACTGGGTAGGAAAAGAAATCAGGTTAAAATAAGAACAAACTGACTCCAAGAACCCACACTTATGAATTTCTCCATCTGATGTCTCCAGAATGCTCCCAAAGTTGGATTTCAAATAATCTCATTCATCATTTGGAAGAAGCCGGTAAGGTAGCTCAAAAAAAGTAACTGAGAGATGAAGCAGTAAAATGTTCATGAGCTTACACCTAGCTTGAGGCAGTGCTGAGTCTGAAATGCAAATCTCTTATGGGTATTTATTGGCTTATCTCCTGCAGCTGCATTTTGCTGAACTGAGCTTATACAGTCTTGGTCTGTATATTGTGAATCAAAGCTGAGATCACAACTGAGTATGAATCAAAGAAGTGCCTCTTTGCCTACAGTTGCTTTTCTGGTTTTTTCAGAGAAGATCAGACTAATTTTCTTCCTGTCCCCTGCTGCCTTCTCAGGACAGTGGTCCTTTACAGATGAGTTTGTGGATGTCTTTAACTAAAAGGCATTCCCCCTTGGTCCCATATCCTCCTAGCCAGACTCTACCCAGCTGGCAAGTTCCCTTGCATATGTTGTCTGTCCCACAAAGAATTTCCTGATTGACTTCCCCTCCCCATTTAGCTACTTCCTATCACAATCAGGTAAAATGATTTCTATTTTTTCTGGAGTTTTATAACATCTTTCCTGTCACTTTCTGTGCCTCCTCTCCATGTGATGTTAGAATTATCTAGACGCAGATCTCTCTCCTGTACTTCTATGGTAACTTTCTTGAAGACAGGTTTTGTGTGTCAGTCCTCATAGAATCTCCCGTGGTGCCTGGTCCATTTACCTTCACTTTCACAATAGGGGCAGTCAATATTTCATCAAAGAGTGAATGCACAGAGTGAAGGAAGAGCAGCTCACACCCTGCATCTCACTCTCTCTTCCTTGGTGGCCATTTCCCCATGACATCGTGTTTCAGAAGTCATTTGAAACCTTGGTGCCTAATTAGGTAAAGTGGCTTCCTCTAATGTGTTAGGTTACATATGTGCCGTGAATCCCTGGAAACAGAGTCCTTCCTTAGTATGGCACAGTGTCCTTTCTTAGTGAGACCTCCCCAGCCTGTACCCCAAAGAACTCCTGCCCAACAGTATGAATAACATTTTTGTTTAAGTAGCTTTACGCTTCAGAAGTCAAAAATTATCTTGGTGACCAAATAGCTCATTAACCAAAACAAATAAGACCAAAGACTAGCCCTGGTCTTATCTTATTTGAGGTATAGAAATATCTTGTTTGGGGACGATTTTTCCTCAGTTAGGAGCAGAAAACTCTCATTTTCCTTCTTTGCTTTGAAAGAAGAAGCCTGTCTTTTTCTTTAATCGAGAAAAATATATTTTTCCATACAAAACATGAATTAGCTTTGCTTTTGGGCCCTAAATGCCAAATATCAACCCCCGCCCCCCATAGCTCCCCCAGCCTCCATTAATAAATCAGTTACATACATTTTTTGCTGAAGCAGAAAATACTCAATCCAATTGAGCTGGCTGGTCTTGCCATTGGGATGTTAGAGCCAACTAGGTTGATACACATCAGGTGAACTCATAAACTTGACTTGATTTGGAGTCGTTCCTCCACTACATTGGCATGAAACTTGCTCGTTCTTGCCATGTACTTCCCACTGCATGCGGCTTAGGAGTTTACAAGTGGCTGATTATTATACACACAAAAAATCAAATAAGGCAACAGGGGAAAAAAAGAGAGATCTTTCTTCTCCAGGAAGTTCAGGTGAAAGCCAATATCCTAATCACTGTGATCCTGCAAAATCCAATGGCATTTTCCACAGGATTGAGATTTTGAACTCAGTACGTTGGATAAATTTTTCTTTCTTTCTTTCTTTAGTTACTGGGACAGGATCTTGCTCTGTTGCCCAGGCTGGAGTACAATGACATGATCTTAGCTCACTGCAGCCTCTACTTCCAAGAATCAGGCAGTCCTCCCACTTCAGCCTCCCAAGTAGGTGGGACTACAGATGCACACCACTACTCCCAGCCAAGTTCTTTTAATTTTTTGTAGAGACAGGGCATCACTATGTTGCCCAGACTGGTCTTGAACTCCTGGCCTCAAGTGATCCTCCCACCTTGGCCTCCCGAAGGGCTGGGATAACAGATGTGAGCCACCATGCCCAGCCTTGGATGGATTTTAAGTCCACAGCATCCTGCTGTTCTGCATATCCCCAGCTGCTGGAGCAGTTCTAAATTTTCTCCTGGGTTTTCCGAGCCATTGTATAGCGTGGTAATTACAGCCGTCTTGCTTCCATCACTTTGGGGGCAATTTTTCAGCCTCGTGTATGTTCATTTAGCCATTCATTCCATCAGAAATACTTGCTGAGATCACAGACTGTGCAAAGTGTTGCAGGTGCTACAGACATGAGGATCTTACTGTCATTGGGGTTATTTTATAGAAGGAGAAGATATAAATAAATAAATGACTGCAAGTCAACAAGATAAATGCTATTAATTCATCTTCATAAGTAATATAAACATAAAATAGACCAGGGTTACTTGGGTGTGACCTGTGGTGGGGGAGAATTCGATTGTCAGAGAAAGCCTTTTAAAGAGATATTTTCAAAGCTGAGAACATGTGAGGAGAGAGAGGGCATGAGCTGTTCCTGGGAATGGATTTTAGAAGGATAAGAATGGAAGCCAGAGAATAGCTAGGACACTTCTTGGAGTGGTCAGGCAAGGGAAGATGGTGGCTGGGTTGAAGGGGAAGAGGTGGAGATGATTGACAGAAGCAAAGGAAGAAAGAATGAGTTTTTAAAAATTTCCTAAGGTATTACTGCAAGGAGTTGAAAGTGCCAAATGATTTAAAACTAATTTTCATGATGGATCTTCATCTCTAACACAATATTGAATCCGTTCCTAATTTTTCAAGTTTAGTGGACCAAATCACAACCAGAAAAATCTTTTATTGTAGACCTTTTGAAACACATTCTCCACCCACCAATCCTGTGTGTCCGTGCAGATCACCTTCTCAGAGAGCAGGGTACCTGAAGGACCAGGGAAAACAGATCCTGAGTGAGAAAAGCTGATCTCAAAAAGTATGACACTGTAAGATTCTATTTCTGTAATATTCTCAAAGTGACATAATTATAGAGATAGAGGACAGATCGGTGGCAGCCAGCGACTCAGCAACCAGATGAGAGGATGTGACTGTAAAGGGACAGAATGAGAGAGTTTTTTTTTTTTTTTTTTTTTAAATCAGGGCGGAAAGGCTCTATATCCAATTGTGGTGATGGTTACCTGGATCTATAAATATACATGTGATACAATGTGATGTAACTATACACCCACACACACACACACACACAATTAGTGCATGTAAAAACTGGTGAAATCCACGCAAGGTGGTTTTCTGTTTTGTTTTGGGTTTTAAGACAGAGTCTCACTCGGTAGTGCGATAATGGCTCACTGCAGCCTTGACTTCCTGGGCTCAAGTAATCTTTCCACCTCAGCCTCCCGAGTAGCTGGAACTACAGGTGTGCTACACCATACCCGGCTGATTTCTGTGGAGATGAGGTTTCACCATGTTGCCCAGGTGATTCTCCTGCCTAGGCCTTTCAAAGTGCTGGGATTACAGGCATGAGCCACGTGCCTTGCCCCACACAGGTTTTAATAGTGAAGTATGATTATTTTGCAACTTTATGTGAGCCCAGAAGTATTTTTCTTAATTCAAAATACAAGAGTATAAAATGAAAATGAACGAATAATCCATTAACTGTTTTCAAAATACAGTTTTATATCATCTTCATTAATTGTTAAACTTTGGTATGTATAAAAGGGCCATTTTTAAAATGCAATTTGGGGCTTAAATTTTTCTCATCGTATAAGAATATCTGGGCATCCTTAGTGGTGGCTGGAAAATGAGAGCCAGTGTAAAGTTGAAATGCTCTACCAAGTTTCAAAAGCAAAATTATAAAATTCTTTTTTAACAGCAAAAAAAAAAGGGCATATTTAATCAAGACTAGGCAAATTTGTAAGGACAGAAAGTAGATTAGAGGTTACCAGGGGTTGGGGGAGGGGAAAATAGGGAGTTATTTCTTAATGGATACAGAATTTCTGTTTGGAGTGATAAAAACTTTTTGGAAATAGATTGTGGTGTTAGTTGCATAGCATCTGAATGTAATTAATGCCACTGAATTGAACATTTAAAAATAATTAAAATGGCAAAATGTACATCACATATATTTTACACAATAAAAAGAAGGTCCCCTCTCAATAAAAAGCGCACTTACTTTGACCTGTGAGTATATTTTAGTATGCTTCACATGAAATGGGGTATAGGTTCAAAAGTCAGGATATCTAGACCTACACAGGTATGAAAACAATCTGGAATAAAAATACATTTCTGAGAATGGGTGAAATTACCTAGGGAGGGAAGGAAGGGGGGACCACAGAGAAGGCAGGTTGAATCTGTAGTCCATCAGCGTTTAGAATTTGACCTGGAGTAGTCAGCAAAGGAAGGCAGAAAGAAGAGCCAGCGAGTCAGAAGAAAGCCAGAAGCACCAGTGTCCCAGAATCTGGGAGCATGGGTGTTTCAGGAGGGCTTGAGTGACTGAGGACCTTGAATGAGACCGGGGGCTGGAGAGCAGTGAGCAGAAGGAGTGGTCCACTGAATGTGGCAGCAGAGAGGACCTCAGTGAGGTGCCTGGAGCCATCTCTGTACTATTATGGTGGGAAAAACATGTGGGGGGCTGAACAGTACCCAGAATTAGGGCAACAAGGCAGTCCATCATGGGCAAGCTTTTAGAAACGGGGAGGTAAGGCAGGTATGTTAGTCCATTCTCACACTGCTATAAAGAAATACCTGAGACTGGGTAATATATAAAGAAAAGAAGTTTAATTGGCTCATGGTTCTGCAGGCTGCATAGGAAGCATAGCGGTTTCTGCTCGGCTTCTGGTGAGGCCTCTGGAAACTTACAATCATGGCATAAGATGAAGAAGAAGTCAACACTGCACATGGCTGGAGCAGGAGGAAGAGAGGGGGAGGTGCTACACACTTTTAAACAACCAGATCTCACGAGAACTCATTCACTATCACGAGAACACCACCAAAAGGGGAAATCCGCCTGCATGATCCAGTCACCTCCCACCAACATTAGAGATTACAACAGGACATGAGATTTGGGCAGGGACACAGATCCAAACCATATCAGCAGGGATGGGGAAATATGGGTCTAGGAAGGTGGTTTGTTTTAAGGTGAAAGACACCAGAGCATGTGTGTAACCTCGTGGGACCAGTAGCCGGGGAGGAATAGAGATCATGATGAGCTGCAGCACTGCATCCTCCTGCCCGAAGATACCTGGAGTCACCCTGTCACCTGCTGCCCCTCCTCCTGGGTGCTGCACATCAGCACGATCCTGAGCTTCAGCTCTTCATTAAAACTTGCAACCTTTTGTCCCCTTCCCAGTCCTAGGGACTCCAATTCCTTCAGGAGAGTCAACATTCTTTCCCCCTCAAAAGCCACAAGCTCCATTTTCTTCCTTCCAAAGGTGCTGGACTTTGGAAACAAAGGCTTGTTCATTGTCCTCTGCGTATAGAAAAACACTGACCCTCTAGAATCCAAAGCTCTGGATACATTTTTGGTACATGGAGAGAAATTCCCTTTCCTTCTGAGGCAAAGATCCCACAGCTGACCATGGAAGTCACAGTTAAACATTCCATCAGTTTATTCTCTCCCATCAATTTTAAATAACTCCCAGGCCACCTTTTTGTAATTAGCTTTGTAACTGACGTACATAGTGTTATTTAATATGTTGTAAGCATTTTCCTATGTCACTAAATCTTCTTTTACTAAACAGTCATTAATGGTTACACATTATTTTATGTTTTGGACATACCATAATTTGTTTTACCAATATCATAATGTCAGATATTTAGTTTCAAATAAATTTTCAGATTTTTCACTATGCTAAATGATATTACAGTGTTCATTAATTTGTTGGTGTTTATCTGACCATGCCCTTAGGACAATTTCCCAGAAGTAGAATTTTGGGATTAGAGGATAAGAATATTTTAAGTATTCAAGACAAAATTGTCAATAGAAGATAAATTGTTAATTTATACGGTTAATGTAGTTGGGTACTTCTGTTTTGTCCATTCTGGTACTGCCTTCCCTGAGTTTTCAGCCTGGGCTCTTTGATCAGGAAGACGAACATTTGCAAAGTAAAAAATACCCTGTGGCTTTGGGTTTCCAGCCAGACTTGAACTTGGTTAAGACTGTGGCCATCCTTTCTCTCAACGAAAAGGAAAGACAGATGATGAGACTTCTTGAATAACACTAATTTTTCTTACTAAACAGTAGGATGAGATAAGTGGACACAAAACAGAAACATATAAACAACATTTTCTTGGAAATACTCAGGGTTTATAAAATGAAAGGAAATGTATTTGGAAAGGTGTCTTGAGGTTGCATGGGGGTAAAAACGATTTGAGAGGGTCTGAGAAATTATCTGCAGGTGCACAGAGTGAAGCAACACATCAAGAGTGTTCAAGACACATCTTTGGGTCTGGAATTGCAAGTAAAAGAATAAATGACAAACTGCTGACAAGTTTACTGAATCTCCCCTGTGACTCCTACTGGGCTAAACAGGCAAGTGAGCAGAGACCCCTGGCATAGAGCTGGAACGCATCACACAGGGCAGCTGCAAGGGGAGTCCAGAGAGCAGGGAAGGGGGATGATTCCGAATTTAGAATACAGCATCGAGCACCATACTCCCTAAATGCCAACTGCTTTCTCTTCTCCAACCAGTATAATCATAACATCACTGGCTACAGTGAAGAAACCTGGTAGAAATTCTGAACCTTATGAACCAATATCCTGAAAAATCAGTCTACAGTAAAGGGAGGTTGGATTTATTCTTTGTGTCACTTTCCCGTTAGTTTCTTCTGACCTGCCCCATTCTGGAGAACATCACTGACCTGCAACGAGGAGTGGGCTTCATTGGCTGTTTCTACTGGACCCTTCAGAGCTGGCTCAACCAGAAAATGGTTTTTGTTATTAAACAGGTTCATGGAGTTGGAAAAGCAAAACAAAATACAGCAAAAGAAACTCTTCCCCACCCCACCCCCAACGTATACATATATATATACACTAATTTTAACTCAGTTATTTTTCAGAAGCCTCAGAAAATTCCAGCAAGCAAAGACACCAACAGAATGTTTGAAGTGAGACTTCTTGAGTCAGAGTTATTCTGATAATTGAGTTAATTCTACATGGTGCTTAGAATGATCCTGGCTTATGGAAATTGTTGACTATGATGCCAGCTCCGTTAGGGCAGGGGCCTGCGTTGATGTTTAAAGAACAACAGCAGTGCCTGGTACATGGGGTGTTATTCATAAATATTTGTTGGTGACTTTTATTATTGTAGTTGTGAAATCTGAGTAGCATGCATGACACTAGTATTAATAGTAGCAAATATTTATTGAGTGCTTACTACGCACACGGCACCATGCCAAGAGCTTTATATTTCTTATTTCCTTTAGTCCTTATCATAACCCTATGAGATAGTTACTGCTGTTCTACCGCTTTGACGAAAGGTGATACTGATATCAGGAGAGATTAAGTAACTTCCCCAGATCTACACAGCTAGAAAGTTAATAGCCTGGATTAAAAGCTGGGTAGTCTGGCCCCGGGGCCATATTAGTAAAATAACGAAATATGTTCTCTTGCCAAAACCACTATGTGAAAAATTAAGATGTTACACAAGCCCCAATTTATGGGGTGTCTTGAAGAAATAACATGTAAGTTAGGAAGATATTGGTCATCTCTCTCTCCAGCTGGTAGGGTGGTGTAGATCACCTGACATTCTCTAGGAAACAGACAATTGCCAAGCCTCCTGCATTTGTGCAGAGACCCTGTCGATTAAGCTGAGCTTCCTCTCCTATATTTAAAAAATTATTTTTGTGTGTTTTCTTTCTCTGACTCTCCACACACACATATGTATAGTTTTATATATAGTTATGTGTGTGCCTATACACATACATGTATATTACATATATATCTCTGCTTTGCCCTTTGAAAGCAAGTTGCAGATGTTATAACAATTCATTCCTAAATACTTTAGGATGTATCTCCTAAGAATAAGGACATTCTCCTACATAATCACAATGCTATCATTACCTCAAGAAATTTAACATTGAATGAAGACTATTATTTAATCTATAGTTTATACCTTTAGCTTTAAAAAAAATCCAGGATCATAGATCAAAGACTGAAGATCTTAGATTACATTTATTTGTCACTTTCCTTTATTTTTCTTTAACCCAGAAAATTCCCTTGCATTTATTTTTCTTTCTGGTGTATTAGTCCATTTTCACACTGCTATAAAGAAACACCTGAAAAAAAAAAGAAATACATGAGACTGGGTAATTTATAAAGGAAAGAAGTTTAATTGGCTCATCACTATGCAGGCTTAACAGGAAGCATGGCTAGGAGATCTCAGGAAACTTACAATCATGGCGGAAGGTCAAGGGGAAGCAAGCATGTCTTACATGGCGACAGGCAAGAGGAAGTGAAGCAAGAACTTCCAAAAACTTATAAAACCATCAGGTCTCATGAGAATTCACTCATTAGAGGGAAACTGCCCCTATTATCCAACCACCTCCCTCCCTTGACACATGAGGATTATTACAATTTGAGAGATTTGGGTGGGGACACAGAGCCAAACCATATCACACAGCATAGGCAATTTTAAAGAATCCAGGCCAGCTGGTTTATGGAATGTGACATACAATTTTTGGAAATGTCTGATTTGTTCCTCTTAGTTAGATTCAGCTTATGTATTTGTGGGGAAGAACCACACATAGGTAATACTGAGTCCTTCCCAGTGTATCACATCAGAAACTACATGCCATGTGTTCCATGATTAGAAATGCCAGCCTGGTCAACAGAGCACATTGCTATCTCAAAAAAATAAAAAATAAATATTCAATTTGATTACTTATCCAACGGATTTCTCCACTGTGAAGGCATCTTTTCCTCTCTGTAAATAATTACTAATCAGAGGAATAGCATGTGAAAACCTTGTGACTCTCTGCTTTTCAACAACGTTCATCCAGTGGTATTACTACCCATCGGTGATCACTGCCTATGTCAATGATTGCATTTGTAACTATAAAATGCCCCACTTGCATTTGACTTTTTAAGAGAAGGATTATTTGGGAATGAAGCTCCCATGTATCGAGGCCCTTTTTAAATCCTTGCTTAGGCATCCTACTCCTTGTGTCTCTGTTGAGAAATAGAGCAAAATCTTTTAAAAAATTTACTAGGATCTCAAACCATTTTCACATTAAGCAGTTTTGTAACCAAACAAATGAACTCCAGAGTTTCAGGCCATGGCCAAGAAGACACCATGGTATTTTCAGTAGAGAAACACTTCCTTGTGTATCTATAAAGTTTTCAAAATTATCTGTGGGATATTTGACATAAGAAGGCACTAGTGATCAACCAAAGAAGGCAACTGCTCTAACATAAATAGACCATTACTCTAACTCATCTTTTCAGTCCATTTGGAGTTTAATGTTAACAACTATAGATAAGGTAAAAACTAGTCAGAAATTAACATGCAGTCATTGAGTAGAATACATTCACTCTCTTTCCATTCATTTACTCAGTCTTAACACAAACGCGGTTTCAGGTGCAGGCTTGCTCTTCGTTACTGATGGCTGAGATGAAAGACTGAAGGTGAGAATGCTGACTTTATCTCAGGTTACAGATGTCAGAGGGAAGCCAGGCATGGTGGCACATGCCTGTAATCCCAGCTACTCCAGAGGCTGAGACAGAGGATCACTTGAACCCAGCAGTGAGCTATGATCGCACCACTGCACTCAGCCTGGGCAACAGAGCAAGATCTTGTCTCAAAAATATAAAAAATAAAGAAATAAATGTAGGAGTGTTAGCAAGCTTAAGATTTTTGGTTAAAAATTACAAATCTTCAAAGAAATTTAGAGCTATTATCCTACAAGATTAGATTTATCCCTGAGGAGCAGGCAGCAATCTCTGAGGAGATTGAGCTCCTGGGATTCCATCTTCAGTCCATTTCTTTTTAGACTTTATTTTTTTAACCAATTGACTTTCTTCTGCATCATTTTAAAAAAAATAGTCAAGGTCTAGGAAGTTTTAGGAAGAAAATATCCAGTTGGATGTCATTCCCCTCTTCTCATCGTTCTCAAATTCTGTAATTTCATTTATTTCATTCAATTCATCATTTTTTAACGTGTCAATCACCAGGTTTGGGGCTGTGCATCCAGATACAGCAAGAAGAAAAGTAAAGGCTATTCAAGCAAAAACTGATGGCAGTGGTTTCTGCCTTCTGGGGAAATAGCCAAATTCTAATTGGGAACAGATGATTCTTGGATTTAGGGGAGCATCTTGATGAGGCTTGATGGACCCTCCTGGGTAAGAAAGGTGAGTGCCCAGCCTCATCCCAGCTCACTCACAGTGAGCCTGACTCCAGAGCTGCCTCCACCCAAAGCAGCTGCCCCTGGGAAAGGGGCCGAGCCACAGCACTGCAGCCCTGTGAGTTCTTATTGCCCAGATGTCTCCAGTGTTCTCTGCCATCCACATGAGAAGTGCCTTGAATATCTATGGAGAAGCAGGGGTTGTTGGTTTTTTAAAATATTCTTACTAAGAAGAAAAAATAACAATATCCCAGCAAGTCTTTTGCTGAGATTGGAGGTTCAGAAGCCCTAGATGACTTAATAGCTAAGTCTCACTGCAGAGACCCTGGGCACTGGAAAGAAATAGGCACCCTAAACAGCTGTGACTTTGAGTGACTTTGCCACTGCAGCTGTCACAGAAAGTCTCAGTAAGACTGAAGATTTAGGGACATAGGGACTTTCTCAAGCTCCAATGTGTATAGTCATCAGTTTCAGAATATTAATGAGAAATTGATAGATAGATACACATATCTGTAGATACACATGTGTATGTCTATATTATACACATGATATACACTACACCTTAATACACCTGTATATGTTTAATTACATGAATAAATGTGCACAAAATTTATCAATACATATAATTTTCAATTCAATGTGTATTCCTTGGTTTCCTTTGTTTTATTTATCCTCTTTTTTTTTTTTTTTTGAGACAGAGTTTCACTCTGTGGCCCAGGCTGGAGTGCAGTGGCGCAATTTCGGCTCACTGCAAGCTTCACCTCCTGGGTTCACTCCATTGTGCTGCCTCAGCCTCCGAAGTAGCTGGGACTACAGGCGCCCGCCATCACGCCCGGCTAATTTTTTTGTATTTTTTAGTGGAGACGGGGTTTCACCGTGTTAGCCACAGTGGTCTCCATCTCCTGACCTCGTGATCCACCCACCTCGGCCTTCCAAAGTGCTGGGATTACAGGCGTAAGCCTCCGCGCCCGGCCATATTTATCCATTTTTTATTACTTGGGGAGAATAGTCAAAATATTGTACAACGGAACTAGAAAAGTTTGCAACTAACATGAGATATATGCTAGAAATGCACAGTATATTTTTGGATGGAGAAATTTACCATATACTCTTTGGAAAGAGAATAACGAAGCAGGACAGAAAATGAAATAATTAGTTCAAATACGCTCCTCAAAGGGAACTGTCAGTAATTAGTACAGGCAAGGAAATAGTTGGGCAATTCAGTTTATTCTTCCTTTAAAGATTATTCACTGGACACTTGCACTAGTAGCAAGTTACAAAGGTGACTAAGACAGTTGCTGCCTTCAAAGGTCTCACAGTAGAGTGCAGAAAACAGATGTAAGAACAGACAATTTAGCACTATGTGATGAGGGGTGAGGTAGAAAACTGTGTAAGTAATTATAGTGGCATCAAGAAAAAGACTCTAACCCAATCAGCAGTGGGAAGTGGGGAGGGGACAGAGAGGATGTCCTGAAAGACTTCTGGAGAAAGCGTGTATTAGTCAGAGTTCTTCAGAGAAATAGAACCAATATGACAGATAGATATGGATAGATAGATTGATTTAGGTGGATGGATATAGATACAGCTGTAAAGAGATTTACACAAATATGTAAGAAATTGGCTTATGCAACTATAAAGGCTGACAAGATCCAGGAGAGCTGATGTGCAGTTCTAGTCCAAGTCTGAATGCCTGAGAACCAGGAGAGCTAATGTTGTAGTTGCAGTTCAAATGCCAACAGGCTTGCAAACAAAGAAGAGCTGATGTTTCAGTTCAAGTCCAAAGACAGAACAAAACCAACGTCCCAGCTATAAGCAGTGAGACAGTTCTCTGCTACTTGTGGGAGGATCAGTTTTTTTGTTCTAGTCAGGCCTTCAACTGATTGGATGAGGCCCACTTACATTTGAGAAGGAAATCTACTTTACCCAGTCTGTGATTCAAATGTCAATCTCATCCAGAAACACCAACACAGACACATCCAGAATAGGGGTTGAAACGTCTGGGCACCCTCTGACCCAGTCAAGTTGACCATCATAAGACGATGCCTGAAATAACTCTTAAAGAATGGAGTGTAACTTGCTAGACTGTGGAATAAGCTGAGTATTCTAGGCAGACAAAAGAACACACACAGGCATGCACACACACACACACCCACAGTGTGCATAGAAATTCACATGCAATTCTAGCTGAAAATCCTTGAAGCAATGGAGAGATTTTAAGATGATAATAAACAGCAATTAGTAAGTTCTATGTAAGTGTAGGATGAAAGAGAATTGTAGGGAAGAGACCAAACAAATGTGCAAACACTATCTTCTTTCATTGCTTAGAACCTACAAAGCAATTTTCAGTGGAAAATGCCCACCTCCCAGTGATGTTATCTTTCAGTCACATTATGGTAAACTGTTATCAGACTGAATGGAGGGGTCAAAGAATGGATTAAACTTACCCTGAATTCCCCTCTATCACAAATATGTCTCCAGTAACAATGAATTTTTCTTGTAAGAAAACATAACAGTTGAGAGAGAAAATTCTATGCACCACTACATTACTGCTCACACATGCCCCAAAATCCCAACCACAAAAGATAGTAAATGCAGTCCATGTTAGGCCTCATCTTTGTCCATCTCACATTTGGGTGGAATGGTACAGTTAGCCAAGCATCACATCAAGAGGATAGAGAAATTGGCATCCTTGAAAGAATTCTAAGAACATTCTCAGACACTGAACTCTCAAGTTCAAGGACTCTAGCCACCTCAGCCTACTACCAGGATAATGATAGTAGTAATGATATCAAAATGTTAAAGACAATTAACATTTATTAAATGCTTCTGTTGCTAAGCACTTTACGCAGATCATTTTATTTAATCTTAACTACAATTCTATGAGATATGTAATCTTATAATCCCTCTTCCATATATGTAAAAAGATGAGATTCAGAAAGGTTAAATAATTTTGTCAAGTTCATATAGCTAATATATGGTAAAGCCAGGATTCAAAATTAGGCCAGACACACGAGATCGTGCCACTGCACTCCAGCCTGGGCAACAGAGTAAGACACCATCTGTAAATAAATAAATAGATAGATAGATAGATAAATTTAGGCCAGGCACAATGCTCCATACCTGTAAACCCAAAACTTTGGGAGGCTGAAGGAGGAGGATCCCTTGAGTCCAGGAGTTCAAGACTAGCTTGAGCCTTATAGTAAGACCCCATCTCTTAAAAAAAAAAATTAGTCAGGTGCAGTGGCTTGTCCCTGTAGTCCCAGGTACTTGGGAGGCCGAAGTGGGAGGATAACTTGAGTCCGTTATGTCAAGGCTGTGGTGAGCCATGATCATACCACTGCACGACAGCCTGGGCCACAGAGAGAGATCTTGTCTGAAATAAATAAATGAATAGATGTGTCTGATGCCCTTCAGCCTGATTAGAATCAGAAAATCTGGGTTTGAACCTGGTGCTGTCACTTACTAAGTAGGTGACTTGAGTGTTGCTTGTAAATACAATGGTATGATGTATACAAGCACTTTGTAAACCAAAACCCATGAGACCACTATAAGGTTGTATTATTTATAAAGTGAAGGTTGCTATACTAACAGGTGGCAATAGAGAAAAATTAAAGTGAAGGATTTGCCAAATGAAATATATTCCAGCAGCCCTTGACAATCACATGTACTTTCTAAAGACATGCAGAGAGACTGTCTCTAGCCCCCAGACACTGTGAAAAAGCAGTCTCAGGTGTGTAATTTATTGATCAGGTTTGTAATTTTTTAGGCTTTTGGTTACACAGGTAATCATATAAAATTACTTCTAACAAGCTATAGGAAAGTTATGTTCATAAAAACAGTAATTGCTGTAATCTAACATTATGAATAATTGTACTAAAATATAAATATATATTAAATACTTGTTCCTACAAGGAATAAGAACTATTTTTCAGTTCTGAAATTATATTCAACCTTACTTTAGATGACTCAGCTGATTTCCAGCATGGACAGTGAAATGAGTGAATTTTGCTTAGGACATGCCTGGTCTCAACGTAGTACACTTCCAACCAGGGTGGTCTAAGCAAATCAGAATGATACTTTCTTTTAAGAAGTTTAAACAATTTCAATTTCCCTGGCAAAAGAGTAAGTTCTTGTAAGGTTAAAGTCTTGACAGTCAGCAAAAATACTTGTTCAGATGCCAAAAGATCCTAGTCACATTGGCAACATTAGTAGTCACGTTGGCACCATTAGTATTACAACAAAAGTGTCAGTACAGATAAACTTAGAATTTGCTCATCATTTTGGATTGCAGCTGAAATACAAGTCAAAATATCCTACTCAAGTTAATATTTGAGACTTTTCTTTTTGTTCTTTCCCAGTAGATCATGGAAATGTGAGGATTGCATGAAACTTTAATAATAATAATGATTATGAAAATAAACACTAAATTTAGAGCTTACATAGTGATGGAAACAGTTACAAATATTTTACAAATATTAGTTTAAAAAAACTTCTCAAGAAGCTTATAGGAGCTAGTGTGTCAATTAGCATTTACTTTATAACAAATTACTTTAAGATTTAATAGTGTTAAACAATAGCACTCATTTTTGCTCACAATTCTGCTGTTCAATGATTTGGACTGGGCTCAGCAAAGTGGTTCTTCTGGTCTTGATTGTGCTTATTCATGTATTTGTGTTTGAATGGTGTTTGGCTGGGGGCTTTCTGGTCTAGGATAGCCTCAACAGGGATGGCTTGTCTCTGCTCTGTGTGATCTCTCATTCCTGAACACAGTAGCCTAGACTTGTTCATATGGCAGCTGGGCATGGTTCTGAGAAAGTGGAAGCAGGCAAGCCATCTTAAGGTCTAGGTTCATAACTGGCACACTGTCACTTCTATCACATTTTACTGACCAAAGCAAGTCACCAGGCTAGACCAGATTAAAGGGGTAGGAAACAGACTTCACTTCTTGACAGAAGGAGCTGCAAAGTCCCATTGCAAAGAAAATGCAGACATGGAGTAAAGACTGTGGACATTTTTGCAATCTACCACATGTGGGTACTCTTACTGTTACCATTCTTCAGTGAGGAAACGAAGGCTCAGAAAGGTTATCAAACTAATGGAAAGTCACAGAGCACCCTGATTTTCATTTATCTCTTAACCAGTCATTTCCCTACCCTGTGAAAAAGAATATGTATTGAGTTAAATCTGAGTGATAAGGAATTTAAACAAGATTCAAGCTAAACTTTAAAGTGATTTGGCAAGGCTTATTCAAATTTTGGCCCCAACCACAAAGAACACACTAGTACCCTAGTAAATCAGAAAATGGTATTTGTCTTTTGAGAAGAGAGTGAATACAACAATTTATCACACTTTGAAAGGAGAACATACAGTTGGTTTTCCTTTTAGTTTTAAGGACAAAAAGAGAAATATTTGCCTTCTGCCTCTCCTCATATATCACAAGAAAATCTCATGACTTTTTCATTCAGAATGGAAAATGGAGTTCTCTTTTTCAAGGTTTTCTTAGGAGTTGGCAACATTTTAAGTATGTAAACTGGGGTTGGATGCTGTGAGTTCAGTGTGGTGTCAGCAGCCACCTTGTCTAAGTGCCCTGTCCCTCCCAGGGTTGGATCTAGCTGGTGAGCTGGCCACTACTCGGGTGAAGGAACTCATGAGTGATTTAGAGCAATTTTTCACTCTGGGCTATGAAAGTACAGAATGAGCAAGTTGAATTGTTAGAAGCAAAGCCTCTGTCGGTTATTTATCATGGGACTTCAAAATTCCTCACACTTTCACACAGTGTTTGACTTAATCAGAGGTCATCAGAAAGGCAAATATTCAAAATGTCTAATTGGTTATTCTGGGTAATGTTATAAGTGACTTTTATTTTCACCTTTACAATTTTATTTTGTGAACAAAAATTTCTACTATAAAGGTATTTTTTATCATCAGAAAAAATGATTAAAAAGATCTGTTAGTGATAGAGGCATACGAATGAAGACGGAATTTGGAATCTACACCAAATATCATCATTTATAATTCAGATAGGTAAAGATAACAATACTTTTTCTTAGGATCGTCCTTGAATTACACATAAAATATACCAGCCTGGGGGATGCCCCTGTCTTCTCAGCCAGCCAGCAGCTCCCAAGCTGTGGCGACGCTCCCAGGTCATGAAGTCAGTGGATTGCCACTGCTGAAAAAACTCTGAGGCTGAGGATGAAAGTTTGTGTTTCTTTAAAGAAAAGAAAGTCCAATCGGTTCTCATATTAATGGACCTTACATACCAAAGTATCCCTTATCGAAGCACCCTGGTCAGCCCTTGACCAGTTGAAAACTTTTATGTTCCTTCTTTTCTTTCCACCTTCTCCTTTGTGCTTTCTCTATCTATAAAATATTGTAATTGGCTGGTGCAAGAGACATTAAAAAACAGTTGAGAATTTACACTTTGTATCACAAGATGACTTCATGTGGAGATCCCTCACAAGGGAGTCCATTTATTTTCTGACCACCTCTATTTATTAGACGTGATCATTTCTGGGCATCTTCAAAAGTCTTTCCTGACTATCTCTTTTCTACCCTAGCCTGGGTAGGTGCGCATCCTTCATTCCATACTACACTGCATTTTATCAGATCTGGACTTACCACCCTGGTGGTGATGGTCTTATTTGCACAAATATCTTCTTTGCTAGTATGTGAGCTCTTTAAGAGCTAGAGCTGAGTGTAGTTCATGTTGGATGCCTACCACTGGGACAATGCCTGGTTCATAGTACATGCTTATTTAAAAGTTGTTGATTGAGAGAGTGAATGAATGGTATGGTTTACTAAATTTCCAATGGAGGTGGACCCTCCCTAGAAGGAGGGCCCAATGAATAATGTAAAGAAAAATGGCTTGCCTTCTTGCTACCTGGCATAATCACAATTGGCCTGCAAGTATTGGGCAGAGAACTGTTTACAAGGCTACTCTCCCAGCTCCTAGTGCCACTAAACACTGGGAGCACACAATTTCATGATACAAAGCAGGAAAGGGCTTAAGAGACTCATGAGACTCAGACTTCTTAGACATCAAAACACTCTTATGAAATCATATTTTGATGAATGAAGGGTAAATTAGTAGGAAAGATGTGGATTAGGAGTCCCCTGGAGCACAATTTGGTTGAGAAACCAAGAGGCGAAGCATCTGCCTTCATGTAGTTGGAGTTTCTCAGACCAACGCATTCAAGTCTCACTTG
The DNA here is from genome assembly GCF_000001405.40 of Homo sapiens. Taxonomy (NCBI): domain Eukaryota; kingdom Metazoa; phylum Chordata; class Mammalia; order Primates; family Hominidae; genus Homo; species Homo sapiens. The sequence goes on along the minus strand of NC_000010.11, from coordinate 29,207,464 downwards.
CAGAAACGCCAAGCCTTCCTGTCACACCACCAGGCAGGCCAGTGAGGTCTTTAGTGATCCCCACTAGTGAGTCAGGGCCCAAATGCACATGACAGGGGCAGGTGCTCCAGGTAGTTTAGCTTTGCTTTGTTTATTTATTTATTTATTTATTATTATTTTTTTGAGACAGGGTCTTATTTTGTTACCCAGGCTGGAGTGCAGTGTCACGATCAGAGCTCACTGCAACCTCGAATTCCAGGACTCAAGCGATCATCCTGACTCAGCCTCCCAAACAGCTGGGACTACTGGCATGTGACAAAATGCCTAATTTTTTAATTTTTTGTAGACATGAGGTCTCGCTATGTTGCCCAAGCTGGTCTCGAACACCTGCTCAAGACATCCTCCTGCCTCAGCTTCCCAAAGTGCTGAGATTACAGGCATGAGCCACTGCGCCTGGCCCAGGTAATTTTTCTTAATGCATGGTGTGGCTTCACCAAGAATCCCTGGTGGGATCTGTTCCTGCAGGATCAGAGCTTGAGGCATTCAGTGCGGGCCCATTAGAGAAGACATTCCAGACTCTGTCAGGGGAGAAATTTTGATAGCATAATTGAATTCCAAGATGGGACCAGAAGGGTGAAAGGTGTAGAAATCAAGTCAGGGAGTGGAGAAGAGCAAAGAAGTTTGGCTCACAGAGGAGTCCATGGGTCTGGAGAAGCCGATCTTGCAGAAGTGTGCAAAGCTCTCCATCTGAGACAGTTTTGTGGTCTCTCGTGTCTGGCTTGTTGCATTCAGCATGATTCTCTACTGTTTATCTGCCTCTGACCCTCTCCCTCTTACCTGTGTACCCTCTGACACTCTTGAGATCATAGTGGAGAACACATCTCAGCGTTATAAGAGAGAATCCTTTTCTAAACTTCTCGACACGAGGTTATCTACTTTCTGCTTGGATTCGCTCATGGATGTGGAGATCACTCCCTCTCAAAGCAGCCCATTTCTTTTCTGCTCTCCTCTAATTATTAGAAAACTCTTGCTTGCACAGAGCTGAAATCTCATTCCCTAAAACATTGACCTTGTGGTCTGCGTCCTGCAGAAACACAGATTAGGTCTAAAAAATACATCTGCATGACGGACCTTCCACTTCTCTGTGAGCCCAACAGCCTTAATCCCTTCTGCTCCTTCCAATTGATTTCTAGACCTGCACCCTTCTGTGCATCTTGGAATTCACTTTAGCTTATCAAAGTCTTGCAAAACAATAATATCCCAAGCTGACTACTGCTGTAATAGGAAAACTGCATCCCTAAAACCCTTTGCAGTATTATTTTTTAATCACAATCTGTATAGGTCATTTCAATGAGAAAAAGTTGGTGGTGATGGTATGAGGGAGTGGTTAGAAGCTAGAGTTTCAGGCTCCCAGCTACAAAGTTGTTTATTTTCAGCAGGAATTTCAACAGCAAAGATGTCTTTGTAAGCTTATTTTGATTTTGCAACCTAAAAATAATAAACAGGTTTATCATAAATGGGAGGAGGGGGAAAGGAAACTAAACATTGAGCAAATTCTGAACTGCACGTAAGCCCAGACGAAAATCAACAAGTTCTGACGCTGGAAAAGTAAAAGGAAGCCAGCATTGACAACCATCAGTGAAAATCAAAGGAAAACAATGGCCCCGAGTGGTCGCTGTGTGCTCTGGGCTGACTGCTGCACACCAGGCTATCTCCCAGTTGAGACCACACTATCAGCCCATAGCATGCTCAGAAGTCACATAAAGCAAAAATACACTCTAATGAACTGATTTCTTCTATCCAGTTCACATGATGAAAACTTGTCTGGTAGAAAGAAAAATCTTGTCATTGAGCTGTGATTTTAACATCAAAAGATACAGCATCTTTAGCCAGGCATGGCAGTGCATGCCTGTAGTCTCAGCTACTCAGGAGGCTGAGATGGGAAGATCGCATGAGACCAGGAGTTGGAGGCCAGCCCGGGCAATATAGTGAGAACCCATCTCTACAAAAAGTGAAAAAACAGCTGGGCATGGTGACAGGTGCCTGAAGTCTCAGCTACTCAGGAGACTAACTGCATCCCTAAAACCCTCTGAGATGGGAGGATCACCTGAGCCCAGGAGTTTGAGGCTGCAGTGAGCTACGATCATACCACTGCATTCTAACCTGGGCAACAGAGCAAGACTCCATCTTTTAAAGAAAAAATTAAAAATAAAGGAAAAAATAATAAAAAGAGATATAGAATCAGTCACGTCCCCCATTCTAAATCTTTTTCTATCAGTGAAGCCTCATTTCTTAGGAAGCACTCTTGCCGCATCCTGGTGTAAAGACAGCAACTTTAAGATGCACTGGGCAAAGCCACCTGTGCCTGTCACTGCCCACCCCACACCCCGCCTTTAAGCATATTCCCCTCAGCCTTGATCATGCTTTGGTACCCTGTGGTCAATACTTCTTATACCATATGTTGATAACTGGGAGAACCACAAAGAAACAGAGTTTTCATATGAGGTTAAGTAGTGCTTTAACTGGAAGTTACTGTAAGTGGGTTCAATGTACATTGACCCAGTTAAGTTTGGGAACTCTAACTGCAGGCTGAAATTGAAATTGCTTTCCCATGCTCTCTGTGAGCGGCTGCTGAGAACCAGGACAAGTGTGTCTAGCTCAGGGTTTTCCCTCCATCTTTCCACTGGATTGAAAGCCATTGAAATGGGCTCTCCTCTCGCATCCCCACACTTCAGAAATGATTGAAGTTCTGGTCTTAGTAACCACCTAGATTTGGTATTTCAGAAATCAGGGATCTCAAAGGCAGATGATGACTTGGGGAAATGGCCTCAGGATATGAAATGCAGAAAACAGCACCTCCCTCCCCTTTGCTGGAGGGAGTGCTGTCCACATTCTGCATGTCTGGGTCGCGTTGTTTTCCCTCTGGGATGATCATTTCATGGGCTAAAAAACCATAACCATAAAGATGAAAATGCTCTAAAGTGAAGTGTTGCTTTAATCTTTCCATCACTCCCTGCTCTCTCAGCAGCAAAAGGGCCTGGACTTCCCCCTGCTTGGATGTGAAAAAGAAGTCTCTGCCCCACCCCCATTCCACATTCCTCTCATGGGACAAAGAGCAGGGATGGGAGGGAGGATTCATTTCAAAGGAAGAGTGAAAGATGTAGCTCCTCACTGGTGTCACTTAATCTGTGATGGTGGAAAGCAGGCTCTTTTCTGTTTACTGGATACTGATCAGAGATAGGATGATGGCCAGGGCACAGGACATGGGAATCGTGAGAACCAGGCCGGGAGGGCTTCTCTCCCGGGCTGATATTATTATACATCCCTCATGTCAGTTGTGGGAGTGAGGAAAGCTGCCCTCAGAGCTTCAAAGCGAGCCTTGGCAATGTGATACAGATGGCAATGAGAAGCAGAGAAAAGCGAAGAGCCCCGGTTCTAGCCCAGGCGGGGCCCTCACCCTGGACTCGGGCCTGGTGTGACTGGAGTGGGAGAGGCTCATCTGCTAAGGGCACTGGGGACCTGGAGACTCCACCTTCAGTGTTCCTTGTCACTGATCGTGATTTTACTTGGGCAGGTTGTAGCTTAAGCTTCAGCTCCTTCACCTAGAAAGTGAGAGTGTTGGCCTTGAACCCTAGGTGATCTCAGTGACAACTCCAACTCTTCAGGTCCATTTACTCATTCATTAGTTTATTTGTTTAATCGGTAGTCACTGGGCTTAGGCCTATTAAATGAAGAGATTGGATTAGATATTTCCCTAGGCACCATTATTCTAGTTATTTCCTTCCTTCCTTTTTCCCTCCCTCCCTCCTTTCCTTCCTCCCTCCTTTCCTTCCTTCTTTTCCTTCCTTCCTTTTTTCTTTCCTTTCCTCCTTTTCCCTTCCTTCTTTTTTCCTTCCTTTCTTTTTTTTCTCTCCCTTTCTTTCTTTCTCTCTCCCTTTCTCTCTCTCTCTTTCTCTCTCCCTTTCTCTTTCTTCCTCGCTCTCTTTCTTTCTCTCTCCTTTTCTCTCTTTCTTTCTCTCTCATTCTCTTTTTCCCTCTCTCTTTCTTTCGAGACAGGGTCTTGCTTTGTTGCCCAGGCCAGAGTGCAATGGCACAATCATACCTCACTGCAGCCTTGAATTCTTGGGCTGAAGTGATCCTTCCACCTCAGCCTCCCAAACTGATGGAATTAGAAGCATGTGTCATCACACCAGCTAATTTTTTTTTTTTTTTTTTTTCAGAAAAGAATCTCATGTTGACTAGGCTGGTTTCAAACTTCTGGCCTCAAGCTATCCCCCTGCCTCAGCCTCCCAAAGTGCTGGGATTATGTGAGCCACTGTGCTCAGCCTAATTATTTTTTTTCTAGGTATCGAACAATCCCTTTTCCCACCTACAAATTCCTGGGCAGACAGCTGAATGCTGAATTTCAAAACTAGTTGCCCTTTTGAGTTAAACTGTTTCTTAAAAAAAAAAATTGTTTACGAGGAGGAGGGTACCTCACAAAGTACCCTCTACCTCAGTGGGCATTAGCTTATAACTTTAGTTCTGATGATAATGAAATTCTGAACAACTGTGCAAATCTAATGGGGGCAAAGAAGACAATGGAGAATGAGAGAACAGGAAAGCGTGGGCTCAGGAGGGATCCTGACTGTGTGCGAGTACTGGATGCTGGGAAAGAGAATTATTAGGACAGGCAGGACGTTGTGCAGGGCCTCGGATCCTGGGCAAAGTATAAGGCGTGGAAGCTCCATACTAATCTGAGAGTGTCTACGGCCAATCGCACTGACTTGGCAAAACAACTGAGGCCATTTTCCTGCATTTATTTCTGAATCAGAGAGTAATGTCATTTGCAAAGACTCATGGGCCTCATTTCTAGACAGGAAAAATCCCCCTTATTATCTTCTTAAATTATTTCCTGTAGGTTCCCCTCAAGTAAAACCACTAAGCTCCCGCTGATCCGGTTCCCACTGACACATGGGAGTGGTGCCCTCAGTAAAGGAAACTCAAGCCCCTAGAACTTGGCACAAAGTGATATGTGTTTCAGTTCAGGCTGGTTACACAGAAAATGAAGGCATTTTCCCTCCAAATCCTGAAAGGAAGGGGATATAGCGAGCTCATGGGGCCCTCTGCATCCCTCGAGGGGAGGTTGTTTACCTGCCCTTCTGGGCTTCGTGATGGAGTAAGGCTCGGTAGCTGAGCCGGACTCTCTCCATTCTCAAACTGCTTCAGGGCCATTGATGTGCATCCAGCCTGTTAGCTTTCTGGGATTAATAACATCTTAACATCTACTGTTGCCATAAGTTTGTAATTTGCGCTTTCAAAGACATTGATCTCATATGCATCTCATGTGCATTTCCTGTTTATTCCCTGTACATCTCATGTTCATCTCCTGGGCATGTACAGGAAAGGGACAGGGAGCAACAGCACAATTTGATGGCTGAGGAAACTAAGGCTCAGAGAGGCAGTGAAGTGACACCATAGGTTCACAAGGCTGGAAACAACAGGGACAGCTAAGGGGGAGGCTCAGGATGGCTGACCTCTGCAGAGGTTTTCATGGACCCCTGGGCCTTGTTAAACCATAAGTCCTTCAAGGGCCCCCCCGAGCTCCACGTGAGTCACAGGGCTCCTTCTGTGGAGGGTGGCTCCCCACTTGCACGTCATTTCTCAGATGCCAGAACAAAGCATCTTCTCACCAGAGCCCAGAATTCTAAGCTCCATTTGCCTTACGTGCCCAAGATTGTCCTGGAAAAGCTTACAGAACTCTAGGGAAAGAAGAGGCAGAGAGATGCTGTTAGGAGAAAAAGCAAGAGTGTCAAACACTGGACAGGGAAAAGTGGGGGAAATTCAGGGACGGCTGTCTGGAAGGGCCCCTAAGTAGTCCCAGAGTTTAGCAGGATGTGGTCCTGCCTCCTATCCCCAGTCCACACTCACCTTCCCCCCTTTCATAAAGCTCAGCACCATCAAATCAACACAGTGCATCTTCAGGGCATGTGCATAAATTGGGGAGCTCAGAGACCATCAGACGGAAGACCCAGGAAACAGTCTGAACCCATTAGTGCTAGAAAGCCAACACCATAACACCTTTCTACACAGATCCTGCAGAGAGAGCTTGCTCTTCCTTGGCTGCTCGGGCGAGCTGGGTGGGTTTGAAGTGGTGGCCTCCCCTCTCAAGGCTCCCTTTCCAGGGGACGTTGTACTTCTGTGACTGCTCTTCTTTCTCAGGGCTGCTTTTGATTTCTAGTTCCCTCTGCACAACACAAGTATCCAGGTTGCAGCACTTTGAGAGGCCGAGGCGGGAGGATCACTTGAAACCAAGAGTTCAAGTACCAGCCTGAGCAACGTAGTGAGACCCTGAATCAACAACAAAAAAAAAAAAAAAAAAAAAAAGGAATAATGGAATAATGGGTGGATGGAGTTATGGATAGATGGATAGATTTATGATAAAGCAAATATGGCAAACTGTTAAGTATGGAATCTACATAGTGGATGGTATTTACGGGGACTACTGTATGTGTTTTAGCCAGCTCGGCCTGCTATAACAGGTACCACAGGCTGGGTGACTTAAGCAACTGAAACTTCTAACAGTTTTGGGAACTGGAAGTCTGAATAGGTATTCACTGTATGGCTCTTTCAATCTCCTGTATGTTTGAATAGTTTCATAATAAAATGGTGGCAGAAAAAATGCTTCCAAGTAAATGAGATGTGTTTCATTAGTGGATAAAATTGACATTAGAAAAGGGAGTTGAAAGGGCTGTGCATGATGGCTCATACCTATAATCCCAGTACTGTGATTGGGAGGCTGAGGTGGGAGGATCACTTGTGACCAGGAGTTTTGAAGCTGCAGTGAGCTGCGATCATGCCACTGCACTGCAGCCTGGGCAACAGAACCAGACCCCATCACCCCCAAAATAGTTTTAATCTAAAATAAAATAAAAACAAGCATCTGGGTGGCAATGCGGGCCCTGGGCTCTGTGTGCAGCTAGGAGCAACCCTATGCCTCTCTGTTAGTTTCACTTTTGCCACCAAGCAAGCTTTTCTGAGCATTTGGGGGCTGAAAGCTGACTTGACTCTTCTCTCATGTTCATATTAGTCCCACAGACCAAAATTCACCCTAATGAGTCAATGTTCTGCTTGCAGGATGCAAAGATCTTTGCAGGGCAGAGCAAAATACAGAGAAATGAATGGGGGACAGAGGAAGAAGGCGGTTAGCTTGTCCAGTGTTTTCATTTTGATTTTTTTAGGCTTAAAAAAACCCGAGAGTTTGTTTTTACAAGCTTCTCTACCATCATCTGTATTCTAGGGTTCTTTGAAATACATTTCTGTGATAAAAATCTAAAAAGCTAAACTGTAATCAAAGCTAGATATCTGTAAATAATCTGTAATGTAAAACCAGACACCACCACATTGTTTATAATGTTTTTTTCCCAAATAAGAGCTTAGCTGAGGGGTGGCTTTTTGCCAGATTTTAGGAGAAATTTCCATTTGTTGAGTATTTTTCCCACAATATATTGGTGCAAATTAGATAGTGTATATGGTGTATATTTGCATGCATATGTCTTGTTCTGTATTTTGTCTTTCAAAATTATATTCTTATATTTCAAAGTGGTAGAAATTATTTCTCACTTAATATCTTATACTTTTCCTTAGTTTTTGCCATAATGTACCCTCAGGGTTACTTGTCTAGGTTTGTTTATTCTGCTTTCTTTCCCAGTAAGCAAGACAGAAGCTCAACACCGATGCATTTCGAACAGTGAAAAACTGCCTGTCACACTTTAGCAGTTACTTGTCTGTGCTAATTAGAGCAAAGTATTTGTGAATCAAGGCAGCCAGAAGGTGGGAAAACAGACATGCCCGTGAAGTTTTGGGATGTGTTTCTAATTCTGGGGCTTTTCGATTAGATGGAGAGGTCACCTGAGCAGAACTGACTGGGAGTTGGCCCTGCCCGGCTTCTCCACTGGGACTCCGCCTCCCCGCCCCATTGATCCCTGCCGGCTGGGGATGGGCAGCCTAAGCAGTGTTTCATGTCTCTTCAGCCTTCCTAGAATTAGGCACTTGGTAAAGAGCCTCGTTACAAAGAGCTTTCTCAACATGTTAAGAAGTAATGGAATTATGTCCTTGGCAAAACTTGGGATGAAATGAAGCAGGAAGAATGGGTAGGGCATGTATTAAAACAGAATATAGTAGCCACCGCTTATCCATGGAGGATGCGTTCCAAGCCCCTCAGTGGATGCTTGAAGCCATGGGCAGTACCGAACACTATATATACTTCGTTTTTTCCTACACATACATAGTCACTGTAAAGTATAATTTATAAATTAGGCACAGTAAGAGATTATAGCAATAACTAATAAGATACAACAATTATAATAATACACTGTAATAAAAGTGATGTGTATGTGCTCTCTCTCTCTCTCTCAAAATATATTATTATTCTGTACTCACCTATTTTTTGGAGCACAGTTGATTGTGGGTAACTGAAGCAATGTAAAGGGAAATTGCAAGGGGGACTCCTACATGCATTTTAGCCAGCTCAGCCTGCTGCAAAAGATTCCACAGCCTGGGAGGCTTAAGCAACAGAAACTTCTTTCTCACCATTTTGGGAGCTGAAAGTCTGGGATGAGGGTGCCAGTATGGTCAAGGGTTTTTTTGTTTTTGTTTTTGCTGTTTTTGAGACAGGGTCTTGGTCTGTCACCCAGGCTGGAGTGCAGTGACGCAATCTTGGCTCACTGCAGCCTCAGCCTCCTGGGTTCACGCAATCCCCCCATCCTGACATTTGAGTGAGATCCCACCTCAGCCTCCCAAGTAGTTGGGACTACAGGCACATGCCATCACACCTGGATAATTTTTGTATTTTTTGTAGCGATGGGGTCTCACTATGTTGCCCAGGCTGGCCTCAAACTCCCCAACTCAAGCGATCTACCTGCCTCAGCCTCCCAAAGTGCTGAGATTACAGGTGTGAGCCATCACACCCAACCATGGTCAGGTTCTTGATGAGGGCTCTCTTCTGGGTTATGTCCTGAAAAAGCCTTTCCTTGGTGTGTGCACAAAGAGAGGGAGTGAGATCTCGTGTCTATTTCTCTTTTTATAAGGGCGTTCATCTTAATCGTGGAGGCTCCACCCTTATGACCAAATCTAACCCTAATTACTTCCCAAAGGGCCACCCTCCAAATACCATGACGTGAAGAAGTAAGGCTTCAACATATGAATTTTGGAGGGGACACCAACATTTAGTCCATAATAGTAATCATAGTACTTATAGTAATACTTATAGTAGTATTTAGTATATAAGTACTAATTATATACTAAATACTAAGTATATACTAAGTACTATTTAGTACTTAAGTATTAAGTAGAGTACTTATAGTACTAAGGCAAGCAAGTTCTAAGGCAAGCAAGACATGCAACCAAGAAGTCACTCTGTGGGGAGTCCACACTCTCATAAGCAGAGGCTGCATACGTCTCCATTGGTGGTGGGTACTGAAGGATTCAGCAAAGTTGCTCCCATCACTTTTGTAGGCTGATCTTTGAGTGAGATCTCACCTACTTCTCATCCATAAAACAAAGTTCTGCACCATGCCTAATATCAATATTTCCCTCCCTTTTGTGATTTGTGTCTTGCATACGTGATTTTTGCTTTATTTACATATCATCTATACTATTACTTTTCACATTTTTAAAATTATGAAAAAAGTATAGAAACAAGTATGCCAACATTAAAGCAGTTAATTCTGGTGGATTAGGATTTGGGGCAACTATTTTCTTTTCTGCTTCATACCTTTGTTTCCTTTTCTAAATGAATTACTTTTTATGTTTTAAAAAATAAATTGCTTCCTCATAAACAAACTTTTAAGAATATTGAATTTATTGATCCAAAACACACCAGTAGCTAGCTAGCCCTTACTCTGTATGGCTTCATTGACTAAAATTTGTATTAGAATTGGGAAGTTTGTTTTGAACTGAGGCACCCTCTAAATCCAAACACTTGGAGCTGTCACTGTGTGGCTCTGGGAAACCTTCTCAAACGCAGAGGAAGTCTACTGTCCTTAATTTGGATGGTTTGACTTTGAATTCCATGCTAATAGCAACCACTTCTTGTATCGCACTCTACAGTTTGCATGCTTGATTTTATCCTCACAACAACCTTAAGATGGAAATACTGATTTGGTTATCCTCACTTCAGAAGAGTCTAGTGATTTTTCTGAAATCACACAGTGTGGAGGTGAACTCCAGATCAAGTGCTCATCATGGCAATATCCTGACTTTCAGGATCACTGGGAAACTTCACATCAACTCACATCCTGTCCAATGTCTAAAGTCTGAGGACACAACTGTCCTTGCTCAGCCTGGAATATGCCCACGGCTTCGGGAGGGCCACCATCCGGTTATGCTGGGATGATCAGCAAAGAGATAAAGAAAATCTATGTATACTTTCTATTTTATAAAGAACCGACCTTAGGTGTCAACTTGTCATATCATAAGCAAGTAACAGTATTTTTACATCGTTCTATCATTTTGTTAATGTTTAATTAACAATTATTTAATTACCAAATATCAATGAAATGACAGTTCAGTTGTTATTCCAGCATCACGCTAAGTGCCATGGGAAATTTACAAAAATTATAACACAGTCCTTACCAAAACAGAGCCTCCTATTTACTTACGAATTCTGAGTTGTGAAGATCCAGATTGAGATTTTGTTTTAAAAGTACTCAATGTCAATAAGAAGGGGAAAATATGGTAGATTATATAAATATTTACAAACATTTTAATGACACAGCTAGATGTTTTTCATGGCTTTGCTTTCTACTAGAAACATAGTGTCTGGGTCACAATTTATAATTTCTCAATCTGGGGTCATCCTCTCCCAGTGGTCAGAATCTGATAATCTGGGGTGGGATTCAGTGAAGAGCTTCCTTGGTAGAGTGGGGAGGAGAGTAAAGACAGGAATGCACACATCCAGGCACTAACTAAACAGTTTCTTCCTTTTGGAAAGGAGGGGTTGTGCTACATACCCAGGGTGCTACAGACCCTGGTCTGCAGCTCTTGGAGAAAGTGGCTGAGAAGGGAATAACCTTTCATGTTGGTGGTGTGGGGATTTGGGAAGAAGCCTCTTTGCTTGGCAGGTCCTGGTCCTGAGCTTTTCCACTAATTGGCCATGCATGGTGTTGATTTGCCATCTCATCTCTCTGGATCTTAATCTACTCCCTAGTAAAATGAGACAGTTGGGCAAAATGAGCTTTGAGTTTCTTTTGAGCGTTAATGCCCTGTTATTCTAAGAAATCAACTAGTCAAGCAGTTAACCAATCAGGCCATGGGGTTTACAGAGGGTCTGTATTCCGTGACCTTGGCTTCCATCAACTCCACATGAGAAGTGCTAGATAAATATGTACACATGCACAGACACACATGTGCATGCATACAGAAATTATTTTCATGCCTGTTCTTATTTTGTCCTGTCCAATGACTGCAATCTCACCTTCAGTTTTTAAAAGTACGAGAGATCTCTAGCGTATACAGGTTGTGAAGATGACTGCCCCAGTGTTTGGAGAATGATTTCTCTATGGGGAGTTAGGAGACTATTTGGTGACTATATCTGATGCTGAGCATATTCAAAATGAGACGGCTAAGCTACAGAGAGACGCTTGTCTGAGAACGCTGCCGCCGGACACCACAGGGTGCCAGAACTCTTTCCCCAGTGCTTGCTCTGAATGCTCCATGTTCAGGCTGGAACTTAGGTAGTTGGAACTGACTTTTATTTCTGCCCTCTTAGATCCAGTGAGAAACGTCAGGAGCATTTATTACTCATAGGCGCAAGAGCCCTGGTGGGTCAGCCAGAAGTCGAAACCTGAGGGAGAGGGTGCAGGTAAAGCCTGCATGGAACACTGGACCGAGGCATTAATTAGAAACACTGGTGCCCTTGACAGAGCCAGCTTGTATAAGCTGTTGGGGCCCGTGTTCACTTCATAAAGATGTTTTATATGGTATTCCTGGCAAAAGCTGGACACTGTAAAAGAAAAATAAAAGAAACATTACTGGTAGCTTGTGGGGGGTGTCTTAGTCCATTTTCTGCTGCTATAACAGAATACCACAGACTAGGTGATTTATAAAGAAAAGAGATTTACTTGGCTCATGGTTCTGGAGGCTGGGAAGTCCAAGAGCATGGTGATGACATCTGGTAAGGGCCTTCTTGCTATGTCATAACATGGCATAAGGTGTCACATGGTGAGAAAGCACATACATGAGACAGAGAGAGAAAAAGAGAACCAAACTCCAGAAAATAACTAGCCCACCCCTGTGATAACTAACCCACTTTCTTGATAATAGCATTAGTTCATTCATGGAGGTAAAGCCTTCATGATCTAACCACTTCTTAAAGGTCCCACCTCTTAATAACATCACAATAGTACTTGAATTTCAACATGAGTTTTTGAGGGGACATTCGAACCATAACAGGGAGTTGAAAAAAAAAAAAAGAGTGTCTTCTCTGTCAGTCAGCTGTCAAACCACCCTCCTTTCCCCTCTGAATATGGGAGGATGAGAATTGTCAGAATAGTGTAGTTTCTGCTGTGATATGAGTTCCTAGGGAAGTCGGTCAGCCTTTCTGAGTAATGGTTTGCTAGTTTGTAAAGTGGAGACAATAGTATCTCTCTTGCCTTGCCTCTTTGGGTTATCTAAATATGTTCAAATAAAGCAGAGAAGGGGCTTTGAAAACTGTAAACTACCATGCAAATGCATGGGTGTCCTTATACCTCTAATTCTCAGGCCAGAAATCCAGGGTGACAATGTAGACAGAGGTTAGAGTAGTGATTCTCAACTGGCAGAAAGTTTGTTCCCCAGGAGATATTAGCAATGTCTGGAGACCTTTTTGGCTGCCATTTTTTATTCACTGTAGGTAGTGAGAGAGGAGGCGTGTTACCACTAGTACCTGGTGGGTGGAGGCCAGGGATACTCCTCAGCATCCCACAACACTACAGTGCACTGCACAGCCCCTCAACAACAAGGAATTATCTAGCCTGAAATGTCATTAGTGGGCTAGATAATTGAAGTTGATGTTGAGAAATCCTGGGTTATAAGCATGCTGGTAACCTACAAATGAGGATCCCCAAAATCCTCTTTTCATTTTTCTTTTCTTTTTTTTTTTTTTGAGATGGAGTCTCGCTCTGTCACCCAGGCTAGAGTGCAGTGGCACGATCTCGGCTCACTGCAACCTCTGCCTCCCAGGTTCAAGGAATTCTCCTGCCTCAGCCTTCTGAGTAGCTGGGACTACAGGCACCCGCCACCATGCCTGGCTAATTTTTTTTTTTATTTTTAGTAGAGATGGGGTTTCACCATCTTGGCCAGGGTGGTCTCGAACTCCTGACCTTGTGATCCACCCGCCTCGGCCTCCCAAAGTGCTGAGATTACAGGCATGAGCCATCGCGCCCGGCCTCATTTTTTCAAAGAGAGACAGGGTCTGTTGCCCAGGCTGGAGTGCAGTGGCATGATCATAGCTCAATGCAGCCTCAGACTCCTGGGCTCAAGCAATCCTCAGCCTCTGGAGTAGCTGGTATTATTGGCATAAGCCACCGTGCTTTGCTAATTTGTTTATTTGTTTGTAGAGATGGGTCTTGCTCTGTTGCCCAGGCTGGTCTTGAACTCCTGGCCTCAAGCAACCCTCCTACCTCAGGCTTCCAAAGTGCCGGAATGACACTTGGAGGATTTTGTGAGCCCCCAAATCCTCTTCAGGTCTAAGCTTAGTCATTGCAAGGAAACAAAAAGGGATAGTCCCACAGTTTATAATGACGGATCAGGAAAAAGAAAAACTAGGTTTACAGTAGTGAAGCAATGGAGAACTTATCCAAGTGTATTTGTTATTAAGTGATTTTTCTCTGCTTTTGATGCTGGAGCTGGGACCTGCAAATCACATTTCTTCAATGCCAGTTGCTTCCTGCTAGGTGCTGCTAACAAAGGACACTGGGGAGAGGTTGAGGAGAAGAGTCACACTTCTGCCACATTCTTTCACTCCTGCACTTCCTGTTCCCATCAGAATCCCCCTGGCAATGCTGCTTTGCCCTGGCCATGACTGGATGTCCCAGTAGCAGCAGTTGAGTCCCCTTTGCAGTTTTTTCAACACCCACAGACACTGCCTCTTTGCATCCCCCAAGAGGCAGCTTTCACAGCAGGACAGGGTCCCCTTTGCAGAGGTCAGAGTTTCAGTCCAAGGAGCCCTCCTCCAAACTTTAAGATGTAATAATTCCAGCCTCTTCCTTTGCTTCCTCAGCCTGAGGGCAAAGTAGCTGCTTCCTTCAGTTTTCATCTCCTTGATACCCTAGTATTTCATGGTTGCCTTTTCAGTTCTTTAATGGAGTTAAAAATTATTTTTTAAGACAGGGTGTCACTTTGTCACACACATTAGAGTGCAGTGACACATTCGTGGCTCTCTGCAGCCTTAACTTCCTAGGCTCAAGCGATCCTTCTACCTCAGCCTCCCAAGAAGGTGGGACCACAAGCCTACACATCATACCCTGCCAATTTTTGTATTTCTTGCATAGACGGGGATCTCACTATGTTGCCCAGGTTGGTTTTGAACTCCTGAACTCAAAGGATCCTCCTGCTTCAGCCCCACAAAGCGCTGGGATTACAGGCATGAGCCACCATACCCGGCCAAGGATTCTTTACAGCAAATTCCCTCTTTCACTAACTGGTGTGCTTCCTGGATCCTGGATGACTGCTGGCTGATACAGGAATGAGGCACAATCTCCTTGCCACAGTGAGGGGACTCAGGGAGGTCCATGTCCCACCTCACTCCAGTTGCCTCGCATGGCAGTTTCCTCGGTGGGAGGGTGTGGGTACTTTGGTCATTTCTTCTGAGGTTTGCAAACAGCATCATGGTGAGGTGTCATCATCAAAGATGACAATATATTTCACTCCATCAAAACAGATTTTTGAGGCTGAGGTGCTGCAGACAAGGAAACAAGAAGCTTGTGAGTTCTTGGGTCTCAACGTGGTTTCTCTGGACTCTTCTGGCCAGTGGTCTCATTTGGACTTCACCAGTAGACCGCACCCAAACACAAAATCACCTCTCAGTAGACACCTTCATATGGTGGGAGCTCCTCTGAACACAAAAGCACCCCTCAGTAGCTCAAGGACTGAGCCTGTGGTCAGTCCTTCTGGGTTTCTCAGAAAAAGAAAGAGAATGTGTTTGTGTGTGTGCCTGTGTATGTGTGTCTGCATGTATGTGTGTGCATCCACATGTGCATTTGAGTTACAGAGAGAGTTAGAGTCCACAAGACAGGGCAACCCAAAGCTGCCTTCCAGTAGAAATATCCAGCTTCCACCATCTTATCAACAGCTGTTTTTATCTTCTCTCTCTGAGTCTAATATACAGGAAAGCAACTTTGTGTAGAACATATGAAGGCTTCTCTCCATAAAAAAAAAAAAAGTTAAAATAAAAAAAAAATATATGGTAGAAAATCATTCATCTACCAGATCTATAACGACAATAAGAAATGCCCCAGCTTTGGAACATATATCACTTGCTTAATGGGAAGAAACGATGAGATACCTATCTTTATTTTCAATAAGTAAATATTTAAAAGAATATACTGCTTGTGTATATTGCTCTGCCCCAGCTGGAAACAGTAGTTGCAAAATAGTCCATGAGCAGCCACCGAGGAATGGAGAGGAAATGAAAAGGAAGCCACAGGGCTCCTTTGCGGTGCGGCCAATGTCCTCAAGTTATTCCTTTCCAGGAGGACAAAAGGAGAAGAAAGTACACACTTGAGGGATGTGAACGTGCAAGTGTGTCGTTCCTTAAAGCCTGGAGTCACCAGGGCTGGGAAGCTGTGGCTCCGCGGCTGTCGCCCGTCCGACATTTCCCCTCTGACTGCAACAAGCAGATGTCCGTCAGGGACCACATCACTGAGGGTCCTGGGCTAGAAAGACCAGAGACCACCTCGGGGTGTAGAACGTGGAGACTGGTATTTTTCTTCCCTGGACAACTCCCTTCCCATGATAATTTTCAGAGATGCATGGAGGGGGAAACCTTGTGCCGAGCAATATGGCAGCTCCTAGAGTATCTGCGTTCAGCCAGTAGGAACTTCCATATGGCGAGACCTCATCTAAACACAAAATCACCCCTCAGTAGACACCTTCATATGGTGAGACCACATCCAAACAAAATCACCCTTCGGTAGACACCTCCATATGGTAGGAGCTCCTCTAAACACAAAATCAACCCTCAGTAGACACATTCATATGGAGTGGCCACATCCAAACACAAAAGCACCCCCCAGTAGACACATCCATATGGTGAGACCACATCCAAACACAAAATCACCACTCGGTAGACACCTTCGTACGGTGGGAGCTCCTCTAAACACAAAAGCACCCCTCAGTAGCTCAAACACTGAGCCTGTGGTCAGTCCTTCTGGGTTTCTCAGAAAAAGAAAGAGAACGTGTTTGTGTGTGTGCCTGTGTATGTGTGTCTGCATGTATGTGTGTGCATCCACATGTGCATTTGAGTTACAGAGAGACAAACAGCTCTGTCAGAATGCCAGGCTAGTTTCCTCATTATTATTATTATTGTAATCATAATACTTTTCTAAGACAAAAGGAAATAAAAGGCATACGGATTGGAAAGGAAGAGGTAAAATGGCCCCTATTTGCAGATGTCATGATGATCCATCTAGAAATCCCAAAGAATCTACAACAAAACTAAGCAACAAACATGATTCCTCTTATGATTCCTACTTCCCTGAGGTCTGTTCCTCAAGCTCTCTGAGAATTCCCAGAGTCACCCTGTCTGGACCCACATCTTCACTTTTAATTTGAGGCCCTTCTTACTGTTTTCTCTGACACTGTTTAGGGGGAGACGCTCTCCTGGAACACTGAGGGCTCCTCTTCCTCCTCTCTGAGCAGAAGCCTAGGGCCCCAGGCAGAAATTTCTACCTTTGTCTTCTCACCTCACTCGTGCTTCTACAGGGCTTTCCTAGAGGTCGGGGAAGGTAGGCTGGGGGCAGAATGGGCTCTGGGAGTGACCAGGAGCACAGTCTCTACACTCTCATGTCTATCCTGGTTAATTTCTGCCCAAGACTTCTGGTAGAACAACTCTGTGCTCTCTTGGTGATGCAGCTAATCTGGGGACCCCCAGAGCCACCATACCTACCCTCCTACAGGGATGAAGGTGCCACCCCTGTAGGGCTAGAGAGTGCTGTGGACTGAATGCTTGCATCCCCCACCACAAAATTCATTATGTTGAAACCTAACCTGAAGTGTGATGGTTTGAGAAGGTGGGAACTTCGGGAAATGATTAGGTCATGAGGGTGGGGACCTTGTGAATGGGACTAGTGCCCTTGAGCAAGATCCTGTCTCAAAAATAAGTAAATAAAATAAAATTAAATTAAAGGGATTGGTGCCCTTATAAAGGACATTTTGGGAGGCTGAGGCAGGAGGATCGCTTGAGGCCAGGAGTTCAAGACCAGCCTGGGCAGCATAGCCAGACCCCCATCTCTATAAAAAAATTTTTAAATTAGTTGGGCATGCTGGTGTGTGCTTGTAGTCCCAGCTACTCAGAAGGCTGAGGTGGGAGGATCACGTGAACTTGGGAAGTTGAGGCTACAGTGAGCTATGATCGCACTGCTGTATTCCAACCTGAGCTATACAGGAAGATCCTGTCTCAAAAATAAGTAAATAAAATAAAATACATAAAATAAAATAAAAGGGACCCTAGAGAACTGTTTTATTCCTTTCCACCGTCTGAGGGCTCAGCAAGAAGATGGCCACAGGAAGCAGACCCTTACCAACACCCAGTCTGCTGGTGCTTTGATCTAGGGCTTCCCGGCCTCCAAACTATGAGAAATAAACATTTGTTGTTCAGGCCACCCAGTCTATGGTACTTTGCTATAGCAGCCCCAACAGACTAAGACAGCACTCTAATGGCCTGAATGCCCAGTGAGTCTGGGAACCCAGGTTCTCCCTGGAGGCATAGGCCTGGAGTCCAGGCTGTGCTCCCTGCTCACTCCAAACCACTTGGCACTCACCAGTAGGATGGTTTCTGCCAAACTTGTGGCCAATCTGGCAGCTACTGTGAAGTCTGGGAGATTGCTTCTCAGACATCTGGTTCCAGTTTCAGCCTTTCCCCACCAAGGACTGGGACTGGTGCATGGTGAGTTCATGGGCTCTGCACTTGCCCCTCCCAAGGGCAGAGTTCGAGTCACACTCCAAATTCAAGGACATTGCATACCGTCTCTTCACCCCAGGCTCATCCAGGCTCTAAGTCCTCTATGTACCTTTATTCCCAAAGCCTCTTGGTCAACACAGGCACTGGGAATAAGTTAACAAACAAAAACATACCTTGGTGCTGCAGTCCCAAAGACACAGTTTGGCCAGGGTGTATGTGGGGAATGTGCCAATTCTTTATGAGAATGGAAGGTAAGAAAGTCACATGCACGAACAGTTTCACCTACTCCAGGGCCACACCAGGGTCTCCTATTCTAGTTCTTCCACTTTCAATGACAATGTAATGCTTATAACTTGGTCAAAGCAATTTTATATTATTAATTTTACTTTATTTCTGAAATAGTTAAGATTGATAGAGAAGGTACCAGTCATGTATCACTTAATGTTGGAGACACGTTCTGAGCAATGCATCATTAGGCAATTTCATCGTGTGTGAACATCACAGAGTGTACTTACACAAACCAAGGTGGTAGAGCCTATGACACACCTAGGCTGTATGATATAGCCTATTGCTCTCAGGCTATAGATCTGTACAGCAGGTTATTATACTGAATACTGTAGGCAATAGTAACACAATGGTAAGTATTTGTGTGTCTTAACATATCTATATAGAAAAGGTACAGTAAAAACACAGTATTATAATCTTACGGAACCATCATTATATATGTGACCTGTAGTTGACCAAAACATTGTTATGTGGTGGCATGATTGTATAATTCTTAACTGGACATCTGAGTAAACTCAGGCATCAAGTGATTTAGTGACTCCTAAATGTTGATTGATGAGTAGTGGAACTAGGATTAGAACTAACTCTCACTCTGGTCTATTTCTACTATGTTGCCATTTCTCCTTTTCTGGGTTATGTAAGTTTTTGACTTTTATATTATAATGAAATAGAATAGAATTATCTTTGTATCAGTTCAGGGATCCGTGAAAACTGTATGCTCAGTTTGACGTACATGTAAGATCCTCCTTATGAGACGACTTATAGCTTTCATGAAGTTTCTAAAGGGGTCTGTGTAACCAAAAAGATTAGGAACGCTGACTTGCTGTGTTATAATGGGACTGAGGTCAAGTCTAGGGTGACCTTTCTATGGACTGTAAATAGGGGATTCCTTCCTGGTTGTTAATACCCAAAGCCCAGAGAAGATGAATGTTGGGAATGGGAATAATCATTTCATTTCTCAGAGTCAGAGAGTGTTGGTGTAGCCATCTTCCAGAGAAGGTGATACACGTGCTCACAGCTCCACAGATGCAGACTCATACAAGCTCAGAGCCTTACGTAGATGAAGGAGGATACTTGAAGATCATTAAACCTGAGGGTCCGCAATCTGGCTACACATTAGAATCGTACAGGGAGCTTTAAAAGATATCATGTCTGGGACCAACCCCCAGGGATTTCTACTTTAATTATCCTACGCTAAGACTCTGGCTTCTGTAATTTTTTAAAGCTCCTTAGATGGTTCTCATGTACCAGAGTTGAGAACTACCAATCTTCTAAACTAGCAGTTCTCAACCTTGGCTGAACATTGAAATCACTTGGGGAGCTGTAAGAAGTCCTCTTGCCTAAATCTCACCCTCGGATCTTCTGATTTAATTTGTCAGGGATGTGCTGGGCATCAGGAATATTAAAAGTGACCCCAGGAGAATTCCATGGGCACCCAAATTTGAGAACCACTGTTGAGATCTAACCCAATATTTTCTACTGCAAAGAAAACCAAGCAGAAGAGAAGAGGCCTAAGGCCATAGGGCTAAGACAGAACCACAATTAAATGCAGGACCCAACTCTAGGCCTGGACTCTTTCTGTGGTTCACCTAGCCACCGTGCATGGAGTTAACTTAGACAGTTCAGGGTGTATCTGGGAAAGGAAGCTCATAAGGGACAGGCCTTGCTTCTCTGTTTGATTAGAGAAGAAATCTATTTTTCTAGTTCTAATACCTCTGGGGTACCTGGCCAGCCTGAGAGAGTGTATATACTTAATATAGCTAAGAGTGGTGTATAATTAATAATAATAGCCTACATTTAGTGAGCATCTACTACCTGCCAGGCATTCTCTTAAATACTTTATTACTCCTAGTTATCTTTGATTATAGGTGAAGAAAGAGAAGCACTGATCAATTAATATGTCCAAATTACCGAAGCTAGTAAGTATCAAAATGAGGGTTTCAATCCAGAACCTGCTTTCTTAAATACAACATATGGTTCAGGGGTCTATTCCATACTGGAGGGGAGAGATGTCCAGAAAAAAAAATCATGTTGGGATAAGGTTTTGTTTTTAAGCAATGCTGGGAAAGGAAGCTTGTGAGTGACTAGATTTTATAAATGTGAAGTGATAGGGGTTAAGAGGCACACATATTGCAGAGTGAGGGTTATCACCCTTTGTGCTGGGTCAGAATGGGAAACTTGCAGAGAATTCCTTTGCCTTCTCTGCTTCCTGGAATTTCACCCTGTCCGTGGGATAACAGGACTAGATCTCCTGCCTCAAAGCTCTGAGGACCCAGATTAAAGTGTGAGTTTGTCTTTGGGGTCTCCCTTCTTCTTTTCTGTCCTTTCTCTGTGCCTCTGTGCCCTCTCCCCTGCATGTATAAATGTGCCTATGCAGGGGCCTCTTCTTACAGGGAGAGAGAGAAAGCCAGGGGCCCCCACAGCACTTCAGGTGCCCGTTCAGTGTCAGGAGCCCAAGTGTGAAGCAGAAAGCTGGAAATAAATCATCTTGATAGGGAAATCACCACTGGTCAAGTGTTGGAACGCAAGCCCCAGGAGCTAACATCGCATTGTTCTACATTACAAGTACTGGGTCAGGAAGAAAAATCTAGGGTAACATGGGGGACTACAGGGACCTTCTTACCCCTTCATACCACTCCTCTGTGTAATTTTTCAATATCTATTGTGACTCATCCTGCAAACATCCACAGAAACAAAGATTTATAGTGACACCTAACATTTTGGTATTGGGCTCTGCAATTTACAAAGCCCTTCTCAAGTTTTCATCTTTATTTCGTCCTTGCAACTACCACAAGGCTAGCAAAACATCTGCTTGAATGGGCAGACACTGGGAACCAGTGGACACCAGGGGACGCACAGGGAGCAAGTCATAGGGGTAGGACCCCAGGGCAGGTCTCCTGACTCCAGGTCTCAGGCAACTGTCCACCATGACCTTGATTTTGAAGTCAGTATCCCTCTTAGTCTGTTCAAGTTCAAGTGGATGGACCATCTCAGTCCAAGGGCAGGGATAGGACAATGTTCACGCGGGAGAAGATTAGGGGATCTTACATCCAAATAGAGAAGCCAAGTGTTCCGGCAGTTGCATTTTTTTTTCTTGCCTCTAAGAAAGACTGAAAAAGACAAATCTCATTTCAAGCCTCTTGTGTCTAATCTTTGACCCCTCAGTGAAACACTCTGAAATGCTTTTTTTTTCCTTAGGAGAGTACTTGTCATTGTGGAATCTATTTGAAAGACTAAAGCTGTATTTGTTGTTTTGCAGCTTATAGGCCAATGTCCAAACGCATTTTCAGCGAAAGAAAAGAAATGTGCTAGAATGTGGTCATAGAAACTTCTCAGAGCTTATATCAACTGTGTAAGACTGATAATTGCTTCCAATAAACCCTCCCTTCCTCCCTTTCTTTCTTTCTTTCTTTTTCTTTCTTTCTTTCTCTTCTTTCCTTTTCTTTCTCTCTTTGGAATGGTGTAAACATTATGAAAGAAATGGGTGCATACTCACAAAGGAATAGCCTAGGTAGGCACCATTTTTTAAAGGATGTTGCTTTTCTGGTCTTCCCACTTGGGGCACCTATTAAAGCTAACTAAATATGGCCTGAGAAGAACTTCATACTTCTATATTTGAGTGCTTGTGAACTAATAACTAATTGTAACCTAACTTAATAGGTAAACGGGATTGAAAACCTAACTTAGTAGTATGCACCTGTAACAGTAGCTGAGTCTTGGCCAATCCCAGCAACCATACATCAACCACTCATACACTGCTGAGTGTTCAAACTGTGTTCAAATAAGGCAACCGCTGAGCTGTAAGCAATCCAGCTGTTTCTGTGCCTCACATCCGATTTCCGTATATCACTTTCCTTTTTTTGTCTATAAATTTGTTCTGAGTACAAGGCACCCTTGGGGTCTCTCTGAGTCTGCTGTGATTCTGAGGGCTGCTCGATTCCCAGATTGTTTTCTTTTTCTTGCTCAATTAAACTCCATTAAATTTAATTTGTCTGAAGTTTTCTTTTAACACACTAGAAGAGAGACAAATTTTGGGTGAATTTACCTACTCCTTAGCAGCACCACCTCCTTCTTTTGACTTGGGACCTTAGAAGAAACATTAGAAGCTTCATTGAAAAGAATTGCACACACTCTATGAAATGAATTATATAGTATGCTAAATATATATGGTAAAAATGACAATAGCTAAATCAGTTCTGGTAGAAACTACCAATTTCTACTTTGTCTGGTATTGCTTCTGAAGGTGCCTGTCTTGGGTGGGTCCAGACACTCTTCCTTCATCATCCTTGATCTGTGGCACTAATCACCTTCTGCTTCTTACTCTGGTGCGTGTCTTGTTGATTTCCTGATTTCAGAGTTCTAAGTTGAACTGTCTGCAGGTGCTGAAAGTTACATCTGTATAATATCCAGAAGCATTCTGTCCAATGACATAGACTTCATCAGCTCTTTTATTGCCTCATCAACTGTATATTGGAAGCAATTATAATTTTTATGCAACTGATATGAGCTCTGAGAAGTTTCTATGACACAGACTTCATCAACTCTGTTATTGCTGAGGTTTTTCTGTTTCTAATTGTGTGGTACAAACCACTGCAAATTCTGAAACTTCTGAGCGTATAAATGTACCTACTCATGCCATCAGTCAGATGCCTGTAAAGCCTCTCTATAAAAGAGTCTGAGGACACTGAAATGTCTCCAACATGTCTCTGACGGCTCCAAATCTAACTAAGAAAAAATGTGTCTTCCTGTTGACTGTTGCCTGGGACACACACACAGAAACACACACACACACACACACACACACACACACGTTATTCAGAAATCATTGCCTTCATCCATTATTGTTTGCAAAGTCCCACTATTGATGTTGTCCCCTGATTGCAATAGATGGTGTCAGATCTGCCTGTGTCCAACAGAAAGCTACATTTGCTGAAATTTTTTGCTTCATTTTCATTCACTTGTGAGTAATGATGGATTACTCAAAAATAATTGACAATGATAAATTATTTTTATCTATTTTGTATATATTAATTTTTAAAAATTATAGACAATAATTAAATCTTCAGATATGTAAACATTTACCCTGTATCTACTTCAAATCCTAGATGTTTGTCTGTTTGTGTCTTTCTCACTGCGAATTCAAGGGTGCAGTGGATGCTGTGGGTGCTGTCCCGATGCCCCCTCCAGGTCTGAACAAATCCTCTCTGCTGCTGTGAGTGTGGCTGCCTTTGGCTCACAGCTGAGTTCCCCTCATGGAATCGCCCTCAGCCTAAAAGGAGTTGTGTGTCCAGGATTTCTCCCTTTCTTCCCTGTGATGAGAGCAGCCCAATGGCAAAGGGAGTGAGGAAGATGGGGAGGGGTTTATAAGCCTGGCCCTGACACCCCAATTTGTGACAACACTAAAGGGCCCCCCAAGGTCCAGCACTTCCTGTTGACACAGCCGAGGCCTCTGTCACCACCACATCACAGCCCACTTTCTCCCCACCCAGTCCTGCCCCTCTCAATCTCTTATAGGCCTTGGTATTTTTCCCTAGAGCACTCTCTCAAATAAACCATTTGCATACAAATCTCCATCTCAGAACTGTTGCCCAGGCAACCCAACCCATGACAGAGCGGAAGCCTATCCTTCACCTGTGTTGTATGTAGGTCAACCTGATTATATGTCTCTGCTTTAATTTTGTGTTATAACAAATCCATTTAAGTTATTTGGTCGTTTTCCAATTTGAGGTGAGTGCTCTCAGTTTTAAAACCTATGCCATTGGATTCCATGTCAAAGACTCTTCCTTTGGAAAGGCTTATACCTGCTGGTGGGAATGTAAATTAGTTCAGCCATTGTGGAAAGCATTTTGGAGATTTCTCAAAGAACTACAAACAGAACTAACATTTGATCCAGCAATCCCATTACTGGTTTTATATATATATGTATGCAAAGGAAAGCAATGCATTATACCAAAAAGACACCTCTACTTGTATGTTCATCACAGCACTACTCACAATAGCAAAAATATGGAATCAACCTAGGTGCCCATCAATGGGAGATTAGATAAAGAAAACATGGTACATATACACCATGAATACTATGCAGCCACAAAAAAGAACAAAATTCTGGCCTTTGCAGCAACATGGATGTAGGTAGAGGCCATTATTCTAAGAGAAATAACCCAGGAATAGAACACCAAGTACTGCATGTTTTCACTTATAAGGGGGAGCTTAATCTTGGGTATACAGGGGCATAAAGATGGGAACAGTAGATACTAGAAAATCCCAAAGGAGAGAAAGAGAGAGGGTGGCTGAAAAACTTCCTATTGGGTTCTAGGCTCATGATCTGGGTGACAGAATCAATAGAAGCCCAAACCTCAGCATCACGCAGTATACCTTTGTAAAAAACCTGCCCATGTTCCCCCAAATCAAAAATAAAAATTATAATTAAAACATAAAAATAAAACAGGAAAAAAGAAAGTTTTTTTTTTTTTACTTTGAAAATGGACACTCCAGAAATAGAGTAAGATGCAGAAAAAGAAACCTTCTTGGGTTGCTCCTCTGCGCAGCTGCATGACAAACGACACAGCCCAGCTCTCTGGAGATGTCAGCTTCCTTCTCTGCTATTGCCTGGGAACTTCGGCCCCCAATAAGCAAGTGGTCTGAGGGATTGCAGAAGAAATGCCTGTGCCCTGCTAGCCACGCTGGACCTAAGAAAAGTCCCCCTCCTAATGGAACTTTCTCCCTCTACAGCAGGATTTTGAATATTTTTCTATTAAGTTGGTATCAACTAAGGTTCTGGTCTTTACAACTTTTGCTTAGAGAGCAGCTCCTCTGTAGACTTTGTCGCTACAGAAAAAGAGTAGAGAGAGAGATGATTTTAAAATGTTGTAACTGGAGGGCGAGGAGGAGGATGCCTCCCTTCGTGCATTCTCTGAGCCTCCTCACATTCCATAGTTTATGTGTGGCAACTGGGACATGTTTGGGGAAGAAAGTCATACTTGACTAAATTGTCCTCCTGACGTAAACCTATAATTTAAAAATTATATATATATATATATATATTTAGAGAAGAAGTCAAAACAGGAAATGCGTTCCCAACGTGGATAAAGCTATTTATGCATTAAAATACCTCCTGTTATCATAGTAGACTTGTGTCCCTATGTTTAAATAGAAAAACTCTGAAAAGTACAGAGAGAAAGAACAAAGGAGTCAGCCTACATTGGCACTTCCGGACAGGGCTGTGGATGCTTTCCCTGGATGGGAGACATTCTCTGTTCGCTTCCTTCTTGGGGGAGGCTGTGGTACCCATTGCTCCATGCACAGGGTTACTGCAGACACAGAGCATGAGTTCAGGCAGGCACCACAGAAAGGAATACATGTTCTTATAGAGAAAAAAGGAAGGGGCAGAAAAAATTAATCTAAACTCAAGAAGAGCCAGAGGGAAAGGAAATAATCAAAAGCGGGGCAAAAATAAGATTGTGCCCCTATAAACCCTTCAGCTAATGATCCCGTATTTGTTCTGTGTGTAGATTAGGTCCCTCTGAAAGGGGCATCCAGGCAGAAATCATTTTTGTACATATTCATTGTTAATGAAACTTGTTTGGATGCAAAGAAGGATGAGAAGTAACTTCTGCTCTCCGAGAACTTATCTATTAGGGAGACCAGAAGGACATACAGAAGTCAAGTAGGTTGGGTGCAATGACTCACACTTGCAATCTCTGTGCTTTGGGAGGCTGAAGCAGGAGGATCACTTGAGGACAGGAATTTGAGAACAGCCTGGGCAACAAAGTAAGACCCTGCCTCTACAAAAAAAGGAAAAAATGAAAGTTCAGTCAGGCGTGCTGACATGCGCCTGTAGTCCCAGCTACTCAGGAGGCTGAGGTGGGAGGATGGCTTGAGCCCAGGAGATTGAGGTTGCAGTGAGCTATGATTGCGCCACTGCACTCCAGCCTGAGAAAAGAGTTAGATCCTCTCACAAAAAAAAAAAAAAAAAGGAAAAGAAAACTCAAGTAAAAGTCTAGATTGTAACAATAAATATTAGAAACGATGATGGATTGTGCCAGGAGAGATCATCTCTATTTTCCAGTGTCCAGGAACTGTAACCCTCAGTTGTTGTCTTGGAGAAAGAGAATCAATAAACAGAATTGGCACTAGGAACTTCATATAAAACTTCTTAAAAAGTGGTGAAAGGCAGGCAGAGCATCTCTTTTCCATTCTAGAGCTTTCCCAAGGTTTCAACTGATGAGAAAGTGGCTGGAAGCGTGAAGGCTGAATGTACACCTGCTCTACCCCGAGCAGATCTGGTTGTCATCTGATGGTGTGTTACATTTCAATGAAGGAGATGACTTGACTATCCAAAGGTGCTTTATGTTACATGAATTGTCAACTCTTTCATCTTTGGCCTTGTCAGAGCGCTCCTCACGGTGCCTTGTAAATAGCAGGTACATAGTAAATGTTTACAAAGTAGTGAATAAAATTTTTAAAAAGTATTTTTGAATGGGCAGGAAGTGGTGGCTCATGCCGCTAATTCCAGCAGTTTGGGAGTCCAGGGCAGGGTGGATCGCTTGAGCTCAGGAGCTGGAGACCAGCCTGGGCATGAAATAATGCTAGTAGACCCCATGAGGTTGGAAGCCACCTGTTGCCTTCCTTACCCTCCCTTGACTTTCTTTCTTAATCTCTTTATAGAGTAACCATTCAGTACTGAACTTTTTCCCAGGTAATATCATTCCTTTAATAATACAACTTTGTCTTTTGTAAAAAACAGAGATCCCAGGCATTCAGTGTGCACAGTAACAAAGTGAGATGCTGAGGCATGGAAGGAAAAGGACTTTCAAATAAGCACATAATGATCAAGTAATCTTCTCTCTACCTTTCATGCTGAGAACAGTCACAGATTTTTCATTCCTGAGAATCTCGTTCCCAAATTGACAGTGCTTCAAGAAGTACCTTCTTAATTACACTTTCTTCTTACTTAATCAAGTGGAAAGAAAAACCATCATAAATACAAGAGGAGTATTTTCCCTTCTGGTGAAGTGTGGAGCCAGGACCCCCAGCATTCTTTCCACAGAGAGAGAATATGGTTCTAAACTATCATTCATGCAATTGAGCACAACACTTAGATAGAGGAATGCTTTATGTCAACCAGGCCAATTTTTAAAAATCGTTGAAGAAATCTAACAGGCACTTAAAAAAAAAGAGGCATCTCATATTGTAACATTCTAAATGTCTAGACATATATATTAAGTGTGCTTTTCTGAAAATCTCTCAAGTATATAATTAAAACAAACCCTAGAGTCTTGATGTCTTAGGGTCCTCATATTCAGTGGCCATCATTGGCAAGTTGAACCTGGACAGGTTTCAAAACAAAGACTATTTAAGAAAGGCTTTCATATATTGAGTGGTCAGTAAGTAAGGAACAAGTAGGTCTGGCACCAAAAAAAAAGAACTTCCGCTTCTGGGAGAAAACGCTAACTCTAGTACAACATTGCCACTAAACCTATTGCTCAAGGCCAATATGGTCTTTGCAGCACCTCAATAGACTCAGTGCTCTGGGCTGGCATGTTGACAACAACCATATCAACAGTGAAATGGATACCAGGAATGAAGCTTTTTTAAAAACTTAATATGTTGTACTTCAACAGCATTTGGGGGTACAAGTGGTTTTTGATAAGATGGATGAATTGCACAGTGGTGAAGCCTGAGATTTTAGTGCACCCATCACTCAAGTAGTATGCTTTGTACCCAATTGCAGTGTTTTATACCTCACCCCTGCAACCCTTCTCGCTTCTGTGAATCTGGTGTTCATTATACCAATCTGTATGCCTTTGCATACCCATAGCTTAGCTCCCATTTATAAGTAAGTACATGCAGTATGTGGTTTTGTATTCCTGAGTTACTTTGCTTAGGATCATGGCCTCCAGGTTCATCCAAGTTGCCGCAAAAGACATTATTTTATTCTCTTTTTATGGCTGAGTAGTATTCCATGGTGTATATACACCACATTTTCTTTATCTACTTATTGGTCAATTGGCACTTAGATTGATTCCATATCTTTGCAATTGTTAATTGTGCTTCCATAAACATATGGGTGCAGGTGTTTTTTAATATGACTTCTTTTCCTTTGGGTAGATATTCAGTAGTGGGATTGCTGGATTGAATAGTAGATCTACCTTTAGTTCTTTAACAAATCGAGAGAGGTGTTTTAGACCAATAATCTCATTTATCCACCACAATGATCTTGGTATGTAAGTTTTACTTTTCCCACTGTACAGGGAGAAACCTGGAGATCAGAGAAGCTGAGTAACTCAGCTAAAGCTATTTAGCTAGGAAGGACTGAGGCAGGATTCAAGTCCAGATCTCTTTGATTCAAACGTCTGGGTGTTCAGAACTTTGCTATATTGATTCCAGAAATTCTGACTTCGAAGGCAGTGGAGCTTCAGATCTTTGAGTGCATGACTTTAACCCATGCTGGGACACAAAACTGCTCTTGGTAAAAAGAGTATGCATGGAACCACAATGTTTAACTATGTTTAGAAGGACATGATTTTCTGAGAAAAATCACCACAAAAGTAAGATTGAGAGGTGGAAACCTCGAAACAGTCTTTGAGGGAGGACTGTGAGGGATGTGAGAAAGTTATTAATGAGGGTGATTTTCCCAGAGTGGTTCAGAGGAAGAAGCCCAACACTTTTTTCTATTTTTTCCAAAAGAGTTCACATGAAGGTTTAGAATAACATAAGCACATTTTATTAAAAGGCCTTGTTTTCAATCATTGTCTATTCATCCTTTTTAAGAATGCTGAACATTTAATATTTCTAACCTCATTGGAGAATAACGTGGCTTTTTTCCCCATTAAGGACACTCACTGTGATGTATTGCAACAGCAAACTGCTATTTTATGTGTCATTTTTCCAGCAAATAAAATAGTCTGAATTGCTCCTTAAGAAATTATTAAGATATTCTTTTTCAAGTGAATACTAATGCTTCTTGGACACTTTGTGTCAAAGAAGGAAAAAAAGGTGATAAGTGCTTGAACTAGTTTTAAATTTTTGCAGCAATCCTTGTTCCTCTTAGCCATGCCTCCTAGAATGTTCGCTATTATTATCATTGAACAGAAAGTCACTCTACCTACAGGTATTTATTTATTTCTACTAAAAATCACTTCAATGGACATTATACCGTGTCAGCCTGTCTTATTTATGGTGAATTTTTTATATTTCCTGTAATTCTTCAGGCAATTTTCTCCCCAGACCATCTATTTCCCTCATTAACTCTTCAAAATCCCTGGGAGGTAAGAGTGTGCATATAATTTCTTCTTATTCTAAAATACTGTTTAGAGTTTCGCTTTGAAATGGCTTTTAGAGCTAAATGTTTAGCTGTCTTAAGTGAACCTGCAATAAACACTATTGAATTCTCTCCAAATTATCTCGAAGAATTACCTGCTTATCTGGAAAAACCATCAGTGTAATTTTAAGGGATTTTGTTTTTATTCTGCAGCCCCGTCTTTGAACTTCCCTGCTTTAATTTTTCAGTCTTTCCACAGGAAAGACTGCTGCGAATGAGCCCTGTGCAGGACTTTCCCTCATAAATGCTGAAGAGAGTGTTTTTGTTTCTACTTCGGTACATGTGATTCCAGCTCCAAAGGAAGCAAGATTTCCAAGATTAGGACAGTTTAGTCTGGAAAGGAGACTCGTTAAAAGTAGTGTGATTAAAAGCTACTTAGGGTTTTGAGAATGCTTGTGAAAACTAAATGATCCATTTTTGACCTTTCAAAAAACTCAACAAGGAAACGCTCCACAAACTAAAGGAATGGTAGACTTAAATCCAAATATAAATTTCTTATGCCACTTTTGGGGATGGGTACTATTTTTAACCCTATTTTGCAGAGCAGGAAACTGAGGTGCAGAGAAGCTAAGCAGCCTGCTAAACATCATAGAACTACAGCAGTGGAGTGGGCATTCAAATGTGCTTGACTGGAGCCCAGAACCCAAGCTTTTAAATATATATATTATTAAAACATATGCATATTTATTTATTTAAACATAAATATTTGTATATTTAAAACATATACCTATTTTAATTTTTTTATATTTATTTTATTTTAAGTTCTGGGATACATGTGCAGAAGATGCAGGTTTGTTACAAAGTTAAATGTGTGCCATGGTGGTTTGCTGCACCTATCAACCTAGGTATTAAGCCCCACATGTGTTAGCTATTTATCCTGATAGTCTCCCACCCCCTCCCTCGCCAACAGGCCCCCGTGTGTGTTGTTCCCCTCCCTGTGTCCATGTGTTCTCATTGTTCAGCTCCCACTTATGAGTGAGAACATGCGGTGTTTGGTTTTCTGTTCCTGTTAGTTTGCTGAAGATGATAGCTTCCAGCTTCATCCACGTCC
This sequence comes from Homo sapiens, assembly GCF_000001405.40. Lineage (NCBI taxonomy): Eukaryota > Metazoa > Chordata > Mammalia > Primates > Hominidae > Homo > Homo sapiens. Next base: position 29,176,687 of record NC_000010.11, on the reverse strand, counting down.
CTGCAGAGAACATGATCTCGTTCCTTTTTGTGGCTGCATAGCATTCCATGGTGTATATGTACCACATTTTCTTGATCCAGTCTGTCATTGATGGGCATTTGGGTTGATTCCATGTCTTTGCTATTGTGAATAGTGCTGTAATAAATATATGCTTGCAAGTGTCTTTATAATAGAATGATTTATATTCCTTTGGGTGTATACCCAGTAACGGCAAGCTTTTAAATATCGTGCTCTGTTTCTATGACATGATCATTACTTTTTAACATTAGCTAGCAGCTATCATAAGGGTTTTTCAGTTAACAATTGCATACAAATTGCTCAGCAATATTTCCTGCTGATCCTCTAGTTCACAAGGCTAAGCAGAACCAAGGTGCTGCCTAGGATAGAGCTTGGCACTGCAGTGGGTCAGGGAATGCCATTTTTCTGCAGATGGCAGCAAAGGAGAGGCACCAGCAGACAAGGTGTAAATCCTGCCTATTCTAGCTGTACAATCCTGGAGAGATTATATCATCTCTCTGAGCCTGCTTCTTTATATGTTAAATAAAGATATGAATAGTAGCCAGGTGTGGTGGCTCATGCCTGTAATCCCAGCACTTTGGGAGGCAGAGGGGGGCAGATCATCTGAGGTCAGGAGTTTGAGACCAGCCTGGATGACATGGTGAAGGCTCATCTCTACTAAAGTACAAAAATTAGCTGGGGATGGTGGCGCGCACCTGTAATCCCAGCTACTTGGGAGGCTGAGGCATGAGAACTGCTTGAATCCGCAGCCTGGGCAACAGAGCGAGACTCTGTCTCCAAAAAAAAAAAAAAGATATGAAGAGTAATTATCTCAGAGGATTCACTGGGAGATGGAGTGAAGGGTGATTATTTTCTCAGAGAGGGGAAGGAAAGAATGATGATGCTGGCAGATGAGCAGTGGAGACAGTGGAGTCGGGGACATTTTATTCACTGTTGTCAATATGGAATTGGTGTGCAGAGGGCTATGATTTTTTTACAGGTTTTCCTACATGATGGATTTGCAAAGACTGGTGAGAACAGTCCTCATGTCATCTTACAAATTTTCCTTTCGTTGCTGACTGATGATTCAGAACAAGACGCTGAACCTTCAAGTGAAAGGATGAGTCTGAAGTTAAAGTCAAGTGGTGAGACTGGGATCACCCGCACAGGGTTCAGTTTCGAGCAGCAGCAGTTGTAGCAAAGGAGACGCGAGGTCAAGAACCAAGTTAGACTTATGTCTAACCTAATGGGTGTGGGAAAGCTCACTGAGGCTTCCTAGGTCAAAGTCCAGAACAGCAGTGACCAGAGCCAGGAGACATACAGGCGTCACAGTAGTAGGCAGTTCCTGTGTGAACTTGGGCACCCTTACTATTCCTAGGCCCATGTTCCTTTGTCTATACAATAAAGATGAGATAGTGTTGCCTTCAAAAGGTCAGTGAATGTGATTCATAATGCCTTGCTCGCAGAAGGCACTCAAAAATTACAAGGGGACCAGGTGCGGTGGTTCACACCTGTAATCCCAGCACTTTGCGAGGCCGAGGCGGGCAGATCACCTGAGGTCAGGAGCTCGAGACCAGCCTGGCCAATATGGAGAAACCCCATCTGTACTAAAAACACAAAAATTAGCTGAGCATGGTGGGACACGCCTGTAATCCCAGCTACTTGGGAGGCTGAGGCAGGAGAATCACTTGAACCAGGAGGTGGAGGTTGCAGTGAGCAGAGATCACACCACTGCACTCCAGCCTGGGTGACAGAGCAAGACTCTGTCTCAAAAACAAAACAAAAAAACGAGATCTATATTAAGGAAAATATAAAGTATGAGATAAGGAAGATGACAATGGGGTGAAGGTAAGGACTGCCTTGTTAATCACTGAATCACAATGCCAGGCACAATATAGGTGCTCCATGACTATGTTTTGAATGAAGGATTACTCTTAAAAGAGGCAGAAGAACCTGGTTAAAATGAACGTCAAGGGTAGGAATGAGGGGGAAGAGGTATCACAAGAAGAACCCATGCAACTATAGAGGGCAGCAGGTAGCAGAGAAAGTGAGGCAGGAGAACAGTGTCTGGAGACAGGGAACCTAAGGCTGATTCATGCTGACTGGATAGCTGAGGCTACTCCCTCTTCAACTCTGCCTTTTTCTGTGTGGCAGTTGGAAAATGAAAGTACCTGATTGGTCCCCTCCCACAACCAATCAGGCTGGTCGCAGACCTACTATTTACCTCCCACAACCAATCAGACTGGTTGTGGGCTACTACTTCATTTGCATAGAGTGAAGCAATGGAGATCTCTAGAGGGTATTTAAACCCCAGCAAAAGCTGTAACTGAGGCTCTTGAGCCCCTTGCTTGATCCCGCTCTCACCCTGTGGACTGTGCTTTCATTTAAAATAAATCCCTGCTTTAGCTGCCTTGCTTCGTGTGTGTGTTTTGTCCAATTCTTTGTTCAAAATGCCAAGAACCCGGACAACTACCCTCAACTGATAACATTTCCAGTGAGGATAGGCTTTCCAGGGAGAAAAATTTTTCATAGCAAAGAGTTTTGCACTGTCTTTTAAAATCAAGTGGAAGTTAAAAATATAAGTTATGTTTTCCATGCTTATGTATGTTTTAGGAAATAAATCAGGAGATTTTTTTTAACTTTTTATTTGGAGATAATTGTAGATTCACACACAGTTGTAAAAAATAATATAAAGAGATCCAGAGTATCCCTTCCTCAGTTTCCCTTACCATCAATCAGTTCTTCATTTTTATAATTTTGTCATTTCAAGAATGTTATATAAATGAAATCATACTGAATAGAATCTTTGGGGGACTGCCTTTTTCACTCAAAATAATTCTCTGTAAATTCAACCAGGTTACTATACATATCAACAGTTCACTCCTTTTTATTACTGCATAGTAAGCCGTGGTATGGATTTGCCACAGTTTGTTTAACCACTTATCATTGAAAGTTATCTTAGTTGTTTTCAGTTTAGGGCCATTATAAATAAAGCTGCTATAAACATTCATGCACAGGGTTTTTGTGCATACACAAGTCTTCATTTATCTGGACTGCTACATGAGTGAAAAGCAAACTTCTTCAAGCCATCGCATATTTGGGTCTATCTGCTACAACATATCTGTATGTGTTACGTACATATCCTAAATAACCCAAGAGTTTCTTCTATACTGGGCACTGCAATGATGTAATAGTCACTATCAGTTTTCAAATGCTTATTATGATGCAGGTATTGTGTGTAATCACATGCTAATAGCTAATAACGGAGCACTTACAATGTACCAGGCACTATTCTAAGTGCTAGAGAGACTAATCCACAAAATCATTCTACAAGGTAGGTATTATCTTATCCCTCATTTTACAGATGAAGAAACTGAGGACACAGCCAGAAAAGGCTGAAATTAGGGTTAAAACTGAAATGGACTGATACCAGGATTAAAACTGAAATGGGGTGGGTTTTTCCCATGCTGCTTTCATGATAGTGAATAAGTCTCACAAGACCTGATGGTTTTATAAAGGGCAGTTCCCCTGCACACACTCTCTTGCCTGCTGCCATGTAAGATGTGCATTTGCTCCTCCTTTGCCTTCTGCCAGAATTATGAGGCCTCCCCAGCCACATGGAAAAGTGAGTTTATTAAAGCTCTTTTTCTTTATAAATTATACAATCTTGGGTACTTCTTCATAGCAGTATGAAAATGGACTAATACAATGTCTTTTATCAGTTTTCAAACATTTCTGCTGTATCTCTTCAAATAGTTCTTACACCCCATTCTCTCTGTCTTTTCCTTTATGAATTCCAATTTGTTTAGTCATGTGCCATGTAACAACTTTTTGGTCAATGACCAACCAATTATACGATAGTGGTCATAAGATTATAATAAACCTGAAAATTTCCTATCACCTGGTGACACTGTAGTCATTGTAACATCATAGCACAATGCATTACTCATGTGTTTGTGAGGATGCTGGTGTAAACAGACCTACCTCACTGCCAGTCTTAGTACATGCAACTATGTACAGTGCATACTACTTGATAAAATGATAATAAATGATGTTACTGGTTTGTGTATTTACTACACCATATTTTCTACTGTTATTGTAGAGTGTACTCCTTCTACTTAAATAAAAAAATACTTTTTTTAAAAAACTTAACTGTAAAACAGCCTCAGGTAGCTTCTTCAGGTGATATTCTAGAAGAAAGCATTGTTATCATAGGAGATGACAGTTCCATGTGTGTTATTGCCCCAGAAGACTTTCCAGTGGGACGAGATGTAAAGGTAGAAGGCAGTGATATTGATGATCCTGACCCCTGTATAGGCCTAGGCTAATGTATGTGTGTGTGTTCCTAACAACAACAACAACAAAATTAAGTTAAAAAGAGAAAAGCGTATAGAATAAGGTTATAAAGAAAGAATATCTTTGCACAGCTGTACAATGTGTTTGTGCTTTAAGCTAAATGTTGTGACAAAGAACCAATAAGTTTAAAAAAAAGATTATAAAGTGAAATATTTACAGAAGGTAATATGGTAGGAGTTATTAACAAATTATTTTAGGTAGATAGAGAGGAAAGCGGTCCTTGGAAACTTTTCATTTTTAAAGCAGCTCCAGAAACATTTCTTGTCTAGTTGGAAAGCTCTGGCTCTTAGAGCCAGGCTGGCAACCTTTGATATGCAAATGCAAGCCATTAGAAACTGGGTCCACCCAAACATGGTGATTCCCGTGGCCTTCTTGCCCTTGCCTCTCACGTGCCTGGCAACATGGCTGCCCCCACATAACCCCACGTGTGTAGAACATCACGGTGCCCTGCATTTGCAAATTAAAAGGCTAGGGTGGGAGAGCCAGTGTTTTGCAGGCTACGTGAATGACACGCCTGGTCAAACCAATCCCGTGAACTCTATGCAAATCAAACACCACCTCCTCCAGCGTCTTCATATACCTGGCTGGTATCAGTGGCATATGGGGTCTCCTCTCTCGGCTTTGGAGCCCCCCTCCCTCTGTCTCTGTATGAGGGAGCTTCTTACTTCTCTCTTGCCTATTAAACTCTCAGCTCCTTAAAACCACTCCATGTGTGTCCGTGTCATTTTATGTAATTCAGCTCAAGACAAGAACCATGGTGTTCCTCCACTCATCAGAGCTAAATCAGTAAGTTTAATTTATTACTGAAAAAAAGAAAAATATTTTTATAAATTTGTGTAGCTTAAGTGTACAGTGTGTATAAAGTCTACAGTAATGTAGTAACATACAGTAATGTACAAAAATATCCTAGGCCTTTACATTCACACACACTCACTTACCAAACACCCAGAGCAACTTCCAGTTCTGCAAGCTCCATTCATGGTAGGTGCCCTATACAGGTGTACCATTGTTTATCTTTTATACTGTATTTTTACTAAACTTTTTTGTGTGTTTAGACACACACATACCTACCATTGTGTTCCAATTCCCTACAGTATTCAGCACAATAACAGGCTGTACAGATTTGTAACCTAGGTGTGTAGGAGGGGATACCACCTAGGTTTGTGTAAGTACACTCTATTATGTTTACACAATGACAAAATCACTTAAAAACACATTTCTCAGAACATAGTCCTGTTGTTAAACAATGCATAACTATATATAAGATTGTTGATACTGGCCGGGCACAGTGGCTCACACCTGTAATCCCAGCACTTTGCAAGGCCGAGGCGGGTGGATCACGAGGTCAGGAGATGGAGACCATCCTGACTAACATGGTGAAACCCCGTCTCTACTAAAAAATACAAAAAAATTAGCCGGGCGTGGTGGTGGGCATCTGTAATCCCAGCTACTGAGGAGGCTGAGGCAGGAGAATGGCGTGAACTTGGGAGGTGGAGCTTGCAGTGAGCCGAGATTGCACCACTGCACTCCAGCCTGGGCAACAGAGCAAGACTCTGTCTCAAAAAAAAAAAAAAAAAAAAAAGATTGTTGATATTGTCTCACGGACCTCAGAGGCACTGTTCTCTCTTTCTGTTTCCTCCTCTCTCCTTCTTTCTTTATCACTCACACTCTCTCTTCCCCTCTCCTAAAACTTAGAAAAAAATCATTCTTTCACCATTAAGCATAATGTTAGCTGGAGGCTTTTCTCAGATGTCTTTTATCAGATTAAAGAAATGCATTTCTATTCCCAGATGACTGTTTCTACCAGGAAAGGGAGTGAGGTTTCATTTTTAAAAATCTGTACTTATGAAGATGAACTTATGGTTTTTCTTGTATATTTAATAGTTTTTTAATGAGTCACATTGATTGATTTTTTAATGTCAAACCATCCTTGAATTCTGGAAATAAACCCTACTCAGTCATTGTGGTAGACATATCTTAAGGTGGCCTCCAGGATTCCTGCCTCTTGGTAGTCACATATGTGTATTATCCCTTCCTCTTGATTGTAAGCATGAACTGTGACTTGCTTCTAACCAATGAAATACAGCAAAAGTGATGGCATATATCATTATGTGATTATATTAGATAAAACTGTAGCACTTGTCCAGGAGTCTCTCACTTCCTTGTTACCTTTCAAGAAGCAAATGGCCATGTTGCTTCCTCACATGACAAGGAATGATAATTGGCCTCTAGGAGCTGAGGCTGACATCCAGCCAGCAGCCATAAAGAAACAGAATTTCTCAGTCCTGTAGCCACAAAGGACTGAATTCTGCCAATGAATGTACGACTTTGGAAGTGTATTCTTCCCCAGGTGAAAACTTTGCCTCAACTGACCCTTTAATTGCAGAGGGACCAACTAACCACACCCAAACTCCTGACCCACAGAAATTGTAATATGATAAATGTGTGTTGTGTTTTAAGCTGCTAAGTTTGTGGCAACATTGTTATGCTGCAGAAAGTAAATAATACAGATTTTATACTGGAAGGGGAGTGCTGATATAATAAATACCTAAAATGGAAGTGGCTTTGGAACTGGGCAGTGGGCAGAGGCCAGAAATATTTGAAGAACATTGAAAGCCTGACTTGCTTTGGACAAGCCGTTAACAGAAATGTGGGCATTGAGGATGCTGCCAGTGAGGACTTGGAAGGGAGTAGCATGTGATTGGAAACTGGAGGAAGAGGGGTCCTTCTCAGATAAGTGACAGAAAGCATAGCACAATTGTCTCTTGAAATGTATAAAAAGTAGAGCTTGAAAATGATAAACTTAGTTATCTAAAGATAATTCCAAGCAAAATGCTTGAAGTTACCATTTGGTGTATCCTTGCTGCTCATAATACATTGTGTAAAGAGAGAGACAGATTGAGGGGAAAAAAACTATTGAACTAATAGGAAGCAAGACTTGATCTTGAAAATTCTCAGCCTTTCCAAATGTTAAAATGTGCTAAAATGGAGAGATAGCTTCCAAGCACTCCAGAAAACCACACACATGAGAAAAAGCCAAGGCTATGACTATACGATCTTTTCCTAAAATCTCAGAAAGAGCAAAAGGCCAGAGGGTTCAGCCACACAAAGGGCTCTTTCAAAAAATTAAGGGTATGCCTCACAGATCTTCTCAATCAAACCACAGGGCCTCTAGGAAAATGAAATGCATTGTCCCTCAGCAACCTCGGCAGAAGCCCAAGGTAGAGAAGGACTTTTCTAAAAAACATCTGTGGGTGAAGATGTGTCTAATGGAGTAAACCCCAGGGAAATTCATGGAAGGCCCACAAAGTTCTTGAGAAAATTCTTTCAGAAGAAACACTGCCAGGTTGGACTAAGTGGGACAGAGATAGGATCAAATGAAAAGAGACCCTTGTAACTCCAATTCTACTAGTAGGAAGCAGGTTGATAAAATGACTCCAAACGTGAGCTGACTTTCATTTAGAAAAGGAAGAATGACTCAGATGGTAGAACTAAGATCCCAGGAAGCAGATTCTAGAGCCATGGAGAATTATTCCCAAAGTTTGAAATTTAATTTTAAAAATCTGAACATTTTCTCAGTTGTATTTTGGAATTATTATGGACCAATGATTCCTTTTTATCTTCCATTTCCCCTTTTTTAAAGAAAAATGTCTGCAGCTTCTTTCCTATACCTCTCCCAGAATTGTATCTTGGATGTTGGGGGAAGATAATTTGTCTCTTTCATTTACAGATTCATCAGTTGAGAGGAACTATGTGTCCATGGAGCCTCACCCACACCTGGCCTGATTTAGATAATGAAACTCTGGTCTTGGAGCAAATGCTGTTATTAGATTACATTCTCGGGGATCTTGGTGGGGGGGTGAAAGTATTTTGCGTGTAGGAGAGACATGAATCATTGAGGACCAGAGGACAGACTACAACCACCACCAGTTAGTATCCATGCCCTTGCATAATTCCTGCCCCTTGAAAGTAGGTAGAAAGTGGGACTTGCTTCTAACCAATTGAACATGGCAAAGGCAATGGGTGATTGGGCACTATATAAGATTGCATGTGTATGACTGCCTTCCATAAGAGTTTAGCACTTGTCTTGCTGGAGTTTTTCATTACCTTGTTGGCTTTAAAGAATAAAATGGGCTAGGCATGGTGGCTCATGTCTGTAATCCTAGCACTTTAGGAGGCTGAGGCAGGCGGATCACCTGAGGTCAGGAGTTTGAGACCAGCCTGGACAACATGGTGAAATTTCGCCTCTACTAAAAATACAAAAATTAGCCAGGCATGGTGGTGTGTGCCTGTAATCCTACCTACTCAGGATGCTGAGGCATGAGAATTGCTTGAATCTGGGAGGCAGAGGTTGCAGTGAGCCAAGATTGTACCACTGCACTCCAGCCTGGGTGAAGAAGCAAGACTCTGTCTCAAAAAAAAAAAAAAAAAAAAAAGAAGAAGAAGAAGAAAATGGCCCTTTTGGGGAACCCCAGATGGTCAAGAACTGTGGGTGGCCTCTAGGAGGTAATAAAAGCCTCTATTCAATAGTCATCAAGAAATAAAAGCCTTCAATTTTACAGCCACAAAGAACTGACTTCAACTAAAAATCTGTGTTTGTAAGCAGATTTTTCTCCAGTCAAGCCTCCAAATGAGGGAATCTTGCTGTTACAGGCTGAATGGTGGCCCCAAAGATATGTCCACATCCTCACGACTGGGACCTGTGAACATTACCTTATTTGGAAAAAGGATCTTTGCAGATGCAATTAAGTTAAGAAACTTGAAATAAGGAGATTATCCTGAATTATCTTGGTGCACCCTAAATGCCATCACAAATGTCTCATTATTTTAAAGATTGCCTTAGGGTGTTGATATACATCTCTAACTTATCATAGTACACCTTCAAGCAATATTATATCACTTCATGTATAGTATACCTTACAATAGTATGTTTTATTTCCTTCCCTACTGGCCTTTGTGCTATTGTCATGTATTTTACATCCATATGTAAAAAACCTCACCTTATTATTTTCATTAAACAGTAAATTATCTTTTAATGAGATTTAAATAAAAAGAAAAATATTTTATATTTCCTATGTATTTACCATTTCCAGTATTTTTCATTCCTTGTGTAGAACATATTTCACTCTGGTATAATTTTTCTTTGGTCTTTATTATATATAGTAATCTTTAATATCTTTTAAGTCTGGAGGTGATAACTAAAAGAACTAAATTCTCTTAGTTTTTGTAAGTATAAAAAAAGTCTTTACCATCACATTTGAATGATTTTTCTTACTGGATATAGAATTTTAGATTGTTTTGTTTTTCTTTTCTATAAATTAAAAGTGTCACTCCAGTTTCGTCCCACTTGGATTGTTTCTGACAAGAAATCTGCTGTCGTCCTTACCGTTGTTCTCTGTATATAACTTCTCTCTTTTTTTTCTGCCTGCTTTTCAGATTTCCTTGGTTTTATGCAATTTAATTAGGATGTTATTTGTAGTTTTTGTAGTTTTCCTTAAGTTTTTTTTGTTCTTAGAGTTCGTTGAGTTTCTTGGATTTGTGAGTTTATAGCTTTCATCCAACTTGGAAATTTTTTGACATTATTTTTTAAAATATTTTTTCTGTCCTTCATTTTCTCTTCCTCTTCATAGACTACAATTACAACTATCTTAGTTTTCTTGCTATTTTCCTGCCACCCACTGGTGCACTGTTAATTTTAAATTATTTTATCTCTTTGTATTCCATTTTGGATGATTTTTAGTGGCATGTCCTCAAGCCTGCTAACTTTTCTTCTGATGTATCTAATCTGTTGTTAATATCACCCTACATATTTTCATCACAGACATTGTAGTTTTTATCTCTAAAAGCCTAATTCAGGTCTTTTTAATACTTTCTATGCCTCTACTTTATTTTTAGATCTATGGAATACTGATGAAATGACTGTCTTAATGTCATTTTCTGCTAGTTGTAACACTTTTATCTGTTCTGGTCAGTTTTGATTGATTGATTTATCTCTTCACTATGTGTTATATTTTTCTGCTTTTGTACATGCCTGGTAATTTTTTATTGTGAGAACTATGAATTTTACCTCATTGCATTCTGTACATTTTTGTACACCTATAATATTCCTGACCTTACTTCTAGCATACAACTGTGTTACTCAGAAACAGTTTGAACTTTTCAGTTCTTACTTCTAAATTTTGTTACTCAGAACTAGACCTACTTATTACCCACTTCTGAGACAAGACTATTCCAATTTGCTATGGACTGACTTGTGTCTCCCCCAAATTCATATGGCAAAGTGCTAACCCCCATGTGACTGTACTGGAGATAGGGCATTTAAGGAAGTGATTAAGGTTAAATAAGGTCATAAAAGTAGAGCCCTGATCCAATAGAACTTGTGCTTATAAAAAAGGAAGAGACACCAGAGGTTGGTGTCATATGAGGACACAGCAAGAAGGTGCCTTTCTAGAAGCCAAAGAAGAGAGCCCTCACTAGAAACTCAGCCTTGCCAGAACCTGAATCTTGGACTTTCCAGCTTCCAGAACTGTGAGAATATACGTTTCTGTTGTTTAAACTAATCAGTCTGTGGTATTTTGTTATCATACCCCAAGGTCACTAATATATAGGTACACTACCAAGTGTGATGTATAAGGTTTTCTTCTCTAGGCTGTGGGGGGAAAACATCATTTTTATCCCTACATGAGCACCAGTTACTATTCCTTCTAATATTTTGGGGTGATTTTTTTTCCTCCAAGCCTCAGGAGAATGCATAGACATGCACTGATCAATATTCTCCCTGATACTTAATGGAGACTCTCTGTAGCTCTCCAGAGTTATTTCTTTATTCAATTTCCCTCTCTGGTATTCTGTCCTACACACTCTAGCTAAGTTGGTATCCCAGACTTTCCACTCCATCTCTTCAACTCAGGAGTCTTCTGGGCTGCAGCTGGGTCTCTTTCTCTGTGTCACAGCCTGGAATCTGTTACAAGGCAATAAACTGGAACATTTGTAGGATTCATCAATTTTATTATCTGTGTCTGAGGCATCACTGCTCTTGTTGTTTAATGCCCATTGTCTTGGAAATCATTGTTTGCTATTGTTTGATTTTTTTTTCATTTGTTTCACACAGAAGAGTTAATCAAGTCATGATTACTCCATCTCAATCAGAAGCAAAATCTCACTAGCATTTCTTTTACTTCTTTTTCATAGTTTCTATTTCTATACTAAAACTCTCATCTGTTTTCCTACAATGTTTACCTTTTCCACTACATCCTTTAAGCATATTTATTGATATTTTAAAATTCCTGTCTACACTATCTCTAGGTGTGTTTTATTGACTCTTTCTTCTCTTGACTATGGTTAATGTTTATTTTCATCTCAAAGTTCCCCCAAATTTTATTGCCTAACAGATATTTTATATAAAAGGACACCAGAAAGGGGAATAAATAATACTCCTAAGAAATGTCATGCCCTTTCTTTTGCCAGGCTTCAAGACTGGAGGGCTAACTCTATCTGATAGGTGTCAGTTTGGGTCTGAGCTTTGTTTCAGCTTTAGTTTGATTCAGTTTCCCACTGGCTTCAAATGTTTTGAGACAGAGGTAAGTTTTTCCCCTTCAGCAGGTTCTAGAATGTGAAAACTTGAAAGTCCACAGATTTCTTTGTGTTATACACAAAGCTGTCAGTTTTTCCAACAAACCATAGGAGATCTCCCTCTGCCTTACAGCCTGGCTGCAAAGAGATCACTAATGACCTCTCTTTGCTCTCTGTGCCTGTCCTCAAATTTCTGTTCCTCTTAAATCTGAAAGCAAGGTGTGCCTGCCCCTCCCTAATCTTTGGTCATTAAAAGCCCATAGTGCCTTAGATGCTTTTCTCTTTGCTCTCCTGGTCTGTCCTCCACCTTTAGACATCGGCTGCCTTGCACCTGGGGAAGACCCATCATACTTTGTGAGGATCTCTCTAAGCTATCTGGTCCCAGCGTTTAACATAACCACCCATGAACTTGGTGAAAACCTACATTAAAAAGCTGATAAGTGGATACAGATTTGCTCTGTGGATAGAACTCCTTGACATTCTAATTTTTCACATTATCTCACACATAGCCATTAAAACTTTCTTACAAGTTTGAAGGGTTTCTCCCTACCATCTAAAGTAGATTTCTCCTGTCCCACTGATTCTTCTTGATTTGGTTTTTAGGGCAAGAGTGGCAGACAGCTTCTTTTGACTTTCTACATCATAACCAGAAACTAAGGTCCCCTAACCCTTCCTTGTAACCCTCTGCCTCATCGAAAATGAAAAGTGCCTCTTTCTTACAGATGTTCCTGTCATAGATGACATTCCATCTCTCACTGTGTTTGCCTGGCTCCCCTGAGGGCTGGGAGGGCTGGACAGAGAACTGGGGATTTCCAGATTTGGAAGGAAACTCTGAGGTCATCCTGTCCAGGATGTTTCTTACTTGGGAACTTCTTCCTTGGGCTTTCTCACACCCAGCTACTCTTCTGTCTGTGTGTTTTAGTGTCCATGTATCATCTTCACCGTGTCTGGCTGCAGGTAACCTGGTGATTCCCACCCTACAGTGGGCTCAACTTTTTTTTCTCCCTCTGAATTTTGAACATAAAATCAAAACAACATCTAGAAAACTTTCTATGTGCCCAAGCAGCTGTGTCTGGTTTGGCCCACACTTTGGGCTGGGACTTGGTCAGTGCCATCTTTTTATCCAAAGCGGTTCTATTCATCTGAATTCAGTATCCCTGGTCTTATTTGATGATGAAGTGACTAAGTGCTTAACTTGGGTTTGGAGTTTTATTTATTGTTTTTTGTTGTTGTTGCTGTGATTTGAACTATGTCCATTTATTTTGGTTTTCTTTTGTTTTTCACTTGGTAGCCTACTGCGGCAATAAAAGTTTAAAGGAAGCTCAGCTCCTAGTTATAGCAAAACACTCTTTAATAATGACTTTTTGCATAATTAAAAACAGGACCTGTAAATTTCTGAATAATTCGTCATTTTATTGGCCAAATGGAACTGTACTATGGTTAATGCAGGAGAATCACTTGAACCCAGGAGGCAGAGATTGCAGTGAGCCAAGATCTTGCCACTGCACTCCAGCCGGGGCAATAGAGTGAGACTCTGTCTCAATTAAAAAAAAAAAAAAAAAAAAGAAAGAAAAGAAAAGCATTTACTAAGAACTGGGATTACCTGGCAGCAGTAATACAGCTACTATCACATATGAAATACCTATTATGTGTCAGGCCCTACAATAGGTGTTTTATTTGCATTATCCCATTTAAACTTCATAACACCCCTAACTAACAGTCCAAATGATTACCTCAATTCACCAACACAAAAGCTGGAAGCATCCCAAGATGACAGAGCTAGTGAGTGTGTCTGCAATGCCAGGGCTGTCAACCCCAGAGCCTTTCTCTGAGGCCAGGCTGCCTCCTGTCTTAGGGACAAATTTTTATCCTCCTTCTTCTCTCCTCCTCTACACAAAACACTCCTTAATCCAGCAAGATTCCTCTCCCATCCTGGTTACTCGGAATCCAGCTTAATACCTGCCCAAGGCAGATCAATGGCACTTTAGCTACCATCCTCATCTCTGAGCTTCTTCTCCTCCTCTTTTATCACCTCTGCTATACACTCTGCCCCCACAACAGGTGTATTCAAGTAAATGCTGTTGTAGGAGTTATTAAGAAATTATTTTAGGCAGATAGACAGGAAAAAGGGGTCCTTGGGAAGTTTTCATTCTTAAAGCAGCTCTTAAAGCCAGGTCAGCAACCTTTGCTATTCAAATGCCAGCCATTAGAAACTGGGTCCATCCAAACATGGCGATTCCCGGCCTTCTTGACTTTGATCCACATGTTCCTGGCAACATGGCCGCCCCCACATATCCCCACGTGTGTAGAACATCATGGCGCCTGCATTTGCGTACTAAATGGCTAGGGTGGGAGGGCCAGCTTTTTCAAGGGCTATGTGAATGTCATGCCTGATCAAACCAATCCCCTAAGCCCTATGCAAATCAGACACTGCCTCCTCCAGCCTCTGCATATACCTGGCTGGTATCCACCACACTTGGGATTCCCTCTCTCAGCTTTGGAAACCTCCTCCCTCTGTCTCTGTACAGGGGACCTCTTCTTTCTTTCTTTCCCCTTCTTTCTTGCCAATTAAACTCTCCGCTTCTTAAAACCACTCCAGTGTGTCCGCGTCGTTTTATCTAATTTGACTCCAGACGAAGAACCTGGTGTTCCTCCACTCTTCAGAGCTGTATCAACATGCGCCTGGCAGAGAAGGGGGAGGGTGGAGGGCTAGTTCCATGATGTGAGGGTATGGGATGCAAGCGTTCCACCACTAGTGTCTACCTGGGTAGACAAAGGCTGTGGAGAACAGAAATCAGAACAATGATGTCTCTGGGATGGGATGGGGGAGCTGGGAAGGACAGGTGGAAACTCTTGGGGTGGAAATGTCCTAGATCTTCTTTGGAGTATTGGTAATTTGGATACATTTGTCAAAACTATAGAACTCTACACTTAAAATCTATCTATTTTATGCATAAAACTATATATCAATAAAATATTTATTTATTTATTTGTGTATTTATTTATATATTTTTAGAGATGAGGTCTTGCTCTGTTGCCCAGGCTGAAGTGCAGTGTTGTGATCCTAGGTCACTGTGGCCTCAAACTCCTGGGCTCAAGAGGTCCCCTTGCCTCAGCCTCCCAAATATCTAGAATGACAGGCATATGCCACTACATCCAGCTAATTTTTTAAAAAATTATTTTAGAAATGTGGGTCTGGCTATGTTGCCCAGGCTGGTCTTGAACTCCTGGCCTCAAGTGATTCTCCCACTTTAGCCTCCAAAGCATTGAGATTAGAGGCATGAGCCACTGATTACAGCCCAAAATATTATACACACACACACACACACACACACACACACACATATATATATTTTTTTGAGATGGAGTCTCGCTCTGTCACCAGGCTGGAGTGCAGTGGCATGATCTTGGCTCACTGCAACCTCTGCCTCCCAGGTTCAAGCAATTCTCTTGCCTCAGCCTCTTGAGTAGCTGGGACTACAGGCATGCACCACCAAGCCCAGCTAATTTTTGTACTTTTAGTAGAGACGGGGTTTCACCTTGTTGGCCAGGAAGGTCTTGATCTCTTGACCTCATGACCCACCCTCCTTGCCCTCCCAAAGTGCTGGGATTACAGGCATGAGCCACTGCACCAGGCCTAAAATATATATTTTAAAAGAATGCAGGTGCTATGGCACCCAGATGGCTACCTTTCAAATGGCATGGCTTTTGCCTTTGACAGCCTGCTCCCATCCTCACACAGCCCCCTCACTCCAGTTATACTCTTGAGCCAGTTTGGTGACCCCTGATTCTCATCAAAAGAGCTTTACAAGCTTTTGGGGGAGCGGGATTCAAGGACACCAGGCCAAGAAAGAGCCATGTCCAAGAGCACCCAAGTTCCTGAAAGGAGAAGTGGGCACTGTACAGAGGCATGAATGGGGCACCTACAGTGGACAACCTTAGCAAAAGGTTCTCTGGTCCCTGTTATGACTCAAGAGGGACAGGCCAGCTCTACTTGTGCTCTTCCAGAAACCAGAAGAAGTGAGGGCAAGGGCTGTGGATCAGAGGACTTCCCACTCATCTGGCCACTGGACTCTGCCCTGAGGAGGTGAAGTCTCCATCATTCCCCTCTCCTTCCCTTCTGTGAAATGCTGGTTCTCTAACCTCAGAGGCCTCACGCCTTTGGAAGGAGTAAGTGACCAGTATTGTGAGGCTCCAGATAAAGCCATCGCCTGACTCTTGGCAAGAGTGACTCTGAGGAAGCTGGTGCTTCAGTTGCTGAACAACCCATCGGTGTCTCTGTACCACGGTGGGGTCAACCCTACCCCGGAGCAGTGGAAATCCCAGAAACACCCTTTACTCGGCCCTCCTCTCTCCTACCCCTCTGCCCACCATCTCCCAACTGGTTTGCCTTTGATCTCAACATAAAAAACTCAGGCTCATTTTAAACCTGTTGATACTCTAATGACAAGAATCGAGACAACAGTAATTAATGATGAACATTAAATGGCCCAGCCCAGCTGCCCAGCAGAAACCACAAGGATAGTCATAGTGAGTCACCAGCTCTGGCAACAGGAGTGTGCTGCAGGCTGTCTGGGATGTGGCTTTGTTATGCCCAAGGTCTTTTCTTCCTAGCACAACACCTCAGTGAGGGCCACTTTAACAGAACTGTGAAGCCTTCTACCTGCCTCCAGTTTCCCCTTTAAACAATTTCCAAGGACTCCACCAAGCTCTTGCTCCTATTTCAGGGGCCTGGGTGAGACACAGGCGTCTTCCCCCTTTTCCTCTCCAATTTCGAAAACAAACTCTGATATCAGACATTTACACCTTAGTGAGAATCGAAAAAAGAAAAATAACAACTAAGTCTAATGTGTGATAACTGAGGCAGGAGAATAGGGCCCGGAGGCAGGGAACATAAGGCCCATCCACACCTTTAGTTCCTAGAACTAAATCAAATGAAAGCACTTCAGCAATGACAGGAATGTGAATGGCTTTGTAACTTCATTTCCTCCTCTCCAGTCCCGCCATTTACACTTTGTAACTTCACATTCATCCTCTCCATTTACATAGACCACACACTCCAAGTAACAGCCTCTCCATTTACAATAGGGCAGATTCTGAGTAAATGACTCTGTGACTTCACTTCTTTCTTTTCATTTACATAGAATATTCACCAAGCAGCCAGGTTGGTGATTACACCAGTAATCCCAGCACTTTGGGAGGCCGAGGCAGGCAGATCACCTGAGGTCAGGAGTTCAAGACCAGCCTGGCCAAACTGGTGAAACCCCATCTCTACTAAAAATACAAAAATTAGCCAGGCATGGTGGCACCTGCTTGTAGTCCCAGCTACTCTGGAGGCTGAGACACAAGAATCGCTTGAACGTGGGACGTAGAGGTTGCAGTGAGCTGAGATCGCGCCACTGCACTCCAGCCAGGGAGGCAGAACGAGACTCTGTCTCAAAAAAAAAAAAAGAAATTCACCAAGTAACTAAACAGAAACCTCTAGAGTATTGAAACTCAGAAAATTCTGTAACTGGGCTCTTGAGCCCCTACGCTTGGGCCCGCTCCCACACACTGTGGAGTGTACTTTCCTTCTCAATAAATCCCTACTCTTGCTTTCCTTGCTTTGTTTGTGCGTTTTGTCCAAATCAATTCTTTGTTTAAGATGCCAAGAACCTGGACACCTTCTACTGGGAACAATAGCCACCCAACCAAGTTCTAGGTACCCAGGAGTGAATTAAAGCAATCACTCCCCATGTCAGCATCGAGGAGAAAGGCATGACATTGCAAAGCCACTTCTAAGTGTCTTGCTGGGTAATAGCTGCACAATTCATGTTCTGAAAAATAGAAAGCATCAATTTCACTGACACACTAGGCTGGGTATGGTTGATTTCTGTCTTTAGCTGTACTACTGAACCAATGTGCTTTTAATAGGAAGGCTGCACCCTTTTCTTTTTTTTCTTTTTTTTTTTTTTTTTTTTTTTGCACAATAACTTGCTTTTCTGTGCCCTGTGTACTACTCTCCTAGGGGCTCTGTGAGCTTTTATGTTTACACTGGAAAGAAATATTGAAAGCAAAGAGTTTCTTTCTGTCTTTTTTAAAATAACCAAGTACAGCACTATTCCCAATGGTCCCAATCTAAGTTGCTTTCAGTCACCAGGAAAGAGATTAAGCAGTCCCTACCAACTTTGCAGCGCTTTACTCTGAAGCATGAACCAAGCCAAGGTCAAGCTCACAGGCGGCATCTTTCATTACTGTGGGGGCAAAGCTCCAGTCAGACCCATCAGAGTGGAGGCTTCTGGTCTCCAGCAAGTCATTATGTACTTAGGATTATCATTAATTTTCTCTCCCTGAAGTGCTTCTGATGAATGTGAGAGCTAAAGCCGACTATGCATTCGCTAATAAAAGGTTCTATGTTCAATTTTCTAAAAGTGCCCTTAGAGAATCCCCAATTTCCTGCCTCTTCTAAGAAGAAGCTGAGTTTGTGCTGCCTTCATAAAGGGAGAACTGAATCATCTTGGTGTAAAAGCTTCCTGAAGGTTGGAAGGAGAGGCCCCTGGGACATTCAGGAGACTTGGAACCTTCTGGGGCCTGGCAGTGTAGATAGAGCGGTTATTATTTATTGCAGACTTAAGAACTGTACACCGATGTCTATGTGGCTCCTGTTTCTCCATCCCATTTTCCATTTGCAAGGCTTCAGTCTCCTTCCTGGGAATCTTAAACAAGCTCCTACAAGTCCTGTTGAGCCCAGCGCATAAAGCCCATTTAGCTCTCTATGATGGGGTCCACACTGCCCAGGGGGGTCACCTGACTCAATGCGTTCTTTTGGCTATATCCTCAGTTGTCACATTTGATTGAGGACATCAGCTGTCTTAGATATGGTAGGGATGGATCTGTGCATTAAAGCAGGCAGCTGGGATGCCTTTTGCTCACCAGGAAGGAAGGACATGCAGGCTCTGAGTAGGAGCAGCTTTGAGTAGACGGTGCATGTGTTCACACTCAGAGCCCTGTAGCCTGGTCTTTTATTGAGACATAGAGACTGTGAAGCATTTTTTTGCTAAGCTTTAAAGTTTTAATTAGCTTATTATCATGAGCTGGAATGGGCTGTAGACGTGTTCAGGGCATTGAAACAATGCCTTCTGTGTGGGGCCCTTTTGGAAGAGAGCTCTGGGGCTTAAGGCACAATGGCTTCCTGTGTCCCAGGGCCCTGGTATGTCCTGTTCTTCCACCATTGCCTGGGCCACTCCCAGGCAGCATCCAGGGTGTTGTTGTGGGGTTTCAGCCACTGCTATGAACATTAGTGCAATGCATTTCCTCCTCATGGCACTAATGAAGGCCAGGCTACATAGGCCGGCATTGTCCAACATCTGCCTAGATGCCTAGCTTATGGCTGCAAACAGCAGCACAGATGACCAACAGATGCAAGCTCTGCAAAGAGCTCTGTAGCTAAACAATGAAGTCCCTGAATCTCCATACATGCTGATAGAGTTCAAATTAATCTATCACACTGTGGATCTGGCAGATTCTTGTCTTTGTTTCTGTTTCATCATCCAAGTGAATACAGTAATTACACTTGGGTGCCAGAGTGTAACAGCTAGTTCTCAGCCCAATAGTCTTGGCATGAAGAACCAAAGTAGGCTCTTTAGGTAAATTGCATGGTAAGGGGAAGGCCTCTGCTCCTGACAGGAGACTTCCATACATTCCTGGGTGCTGTACTGAGTGAGAGTTGCTAAGTAGCTAACATGGGCAGTCTGACTTCGGGAAGAAGTGAGGAGTTTCTTTAGGAGAGCTGGAAGTTCAATAGCTACACATTCTGGACTGGATGAAGCCAAGACAGGCCCTATTCAGCCTCTGACACAAATGCACTCCCAGATCTTTTAAGGCACTCTCTGATCTTGAAGTTGAGGTTTCCAACTCTAAATTTGCAAACAGTTTTCTGGTGATTTGTTGGATTTTTGAAAGAATTTCAAGGATGTGGGAATCAAGACAGAGGACCAGTGAGACTTGACCCAGCTACCCCCTAATTTCAACCAGGCCATCTCCAACCTGAACTCTCTTATAGATTGTGGCTGAGTGGGATTTATTTTAAATAAAGGATTTTACTGCTTAAAAAGCACTACCATGTTATAGCTTGAAACCTTCTGGATTAAACAATCTCAAAGGCCATGCCCCATTCTAACAGTCTAAGATTTTAGAGAGTTCTGTAGTTGTAATACTCACAGGTGTCGACTGGGCACGGTGGCTCATGCCTGTAATACTAGCACTTTGGGAGTCTGAGGTGGGTGGATCACCTGAGGTCAGGAGTTCGAGACGAGCCTGGCCAAGATGGTGAAACTCCGTCTCTACTAAAAATACAAAAAATTAGCTGGGCAAGGTGGCAGGCACCTGTAATCCCAGCTACGTGGGAGATTGAAGCAGTAAAATCACTTGAACACAGGAGACAGAGGTTGCAGTGAGCCAGGACTGCACGCCATTGCACATTGCACTCCAGCCTGGGCAACTACAGTGAAACTCTGTCTCCCCCCCACAAAAAAATGCAAGTTAAGCCAGACCATTGTGGGAGCAGATCATAGCAGAGCTAAAAGACTATAGTCTTAGGGAAGTGAGAAATTTAATTAGACTCTCTCACCTTGCAGAAACTTTAGGTCCAAGACAGAGAAAAAAGGAGGGATTTTGATAGTATAATTAAGGAATTTTTTTTTGGATTCCCATTCACCAACCCTCTACCCCCTGCCAGCCTCTAAGTCCTGGTAAAGTGACTGTCATGATATTCTAGTAAGTTTGGGATACTCAGAAAAAGATGTGCTGTTGTACAATGTTGGTCAACAGTTTTTTGTTCTGGATTGTCTGACAAGTCCAGGTAATCTCTTACTAATTCTTTTCCCTAATAGCCTCTACCTCCAGCCCATTCAACTCTTGTCCCTTTACTAACCTGAACAAATCAATAGCTAGTCTAACACCCACAACTTTAAAATTTTACCTCCTAAGGAACAATTTGACACTGTAGTAATATTTATGACTCTAAAAGCCAGCCTATTTTATCAAACGATTGGTTAGTTTCAGGAAGCTCTTTGTCATATGTAACATCAAACAACAGATTGATTGGCTTGAAAACAATTTTCAATTTAATTCCTTGGAAGTTAGGTAGACACAGCCTACTTTTGGGAATAGCTGTCAAAAATGCTGTGTCATTAAGGCATCATGTGTTCAGTATTGAGTACCAAATATACACATTTCAGGCACAATAGGAAATCTGATACGCCCTTTGGAAAAGGAACAGGTAGAACTAAACCTTTTATCTCTGCTAGGATGTGATTTACATGGTACTTCTATGCTATTGCATATTCAGTTATAATGCTTTGGGAGATAATGAATCTTTTTCATTATTGTAGTTGTGCTTGAATTCAGTACTCAGGGCCAGAAACACATGACACTTAATGCTTGCTTTAAGATAAAACCATCGGGCCGGCACGGTGGCTCACACCAGACAATCTAGAACAAAAAATTGTTAACCAACATTGTACAACAGCACATGTCTTTCTGAGTATCTCAAATCTATTGGAATATCATGACAGTCACTTTATCAGGGCTTAGAGACTGGTAGGGTGTACACGGATGGTGAATGGGGGAAAAAAAAACTCCTTAACTGTACTATCATAATCTCTCCTTTTTTTCTCCTTCTTGGAGCTAAAGTTTCTGCAAAGTGATGAGTCTGCTTTAATCCCAGCACTTTGCGAGGCTGAGGCAGGTGGATCACCTGAGGTCAGGAGCTTGAGACCAGCCTGGCCAACAAGGTGAAGCCCCGTATCTACTAAAAATACAAAAATTAGCCCGGCGTGGTGGCATGCGCCTGTAATCCCAGCTACTTGGGAGGCTGAGGCTGGAGAATTGCTTGAACCCGGAAGGCAGAGGTTTCAGTGAGCCGAGATCGAGCCATTGCACTCCAGCCTGGCGACAAGAGCGAAACTCTGTTTAAAAAAAAAAAAAAAAAAAAAAAGATAAACCTGTCTTACTGTAGAAGGGAAAGAACTATAAGTCCAGTGACACAGATCCCAATCCCGGATATTACAGTGTATCTGCAGAGGGAATTGCTCCATTTCTCTTGGTTAAAAGCCTTGCTCAATCGTAGTTAGGAGCACAAGGGTGGAATCAAACAAAGCTGGGTTTGCATCACTTATACAATGAGTGATTCCCGAGCAAGATACTTAACCACTCCAAGTCTCCGTTTTATCCCCTTTAAAGTGGGCATAATAATTATACCTATCTCATGAGGCTGTTGTGAAGATTAAAGAACATAGAGTGAGTGCTGAGTAAATGTTCATTATTCTTAGTATTGTACCTGATTTCCTATAAAATGATTTTGTATAACACTACTTCTAATATTATTCTCCATTTTAAAATTCTATGATCCTCAGGTCTGTGGAGATCAGGCTTACTCCTCTAGAGTTCAAAGCATCCAGCTGGTCCTGGGAGCTGTGCTGAGGATAGCCTGTTTCCGTGTCTTCTTACTGGGGTGACTACAGTGAAGTCGTTATGACCTGCCTTCAGACACTCAGAACAGGCTGGCCCAAGGCACCTAGAGGAAGTGGAGATCAAAGTTGACAACTGTGCAACAAGTTTCTGGCTAGTTGGAGACACACAAGCACAGAGGTCTTGAGCGATGCCTTAGAGTATTTGCAATTAAATTGGGCGAGAGAGTGCTGGTGTGCTGCTACTCACAGCGTGCTGGACTGTGGACCAGAGCATCAGTATCATCTGGGATTTGATTGCAAATTTAGTATCTCAGGCCTTGCCCCAGATCTACTGTATCAGAATGTGCATCTTAAAAGGACTTGTGCCTTTTAAAAGGACAGAACGTTGTGTCCTCCCAAAATTTCTGCATTGAAACCCTACCACCTAATGTGACGGTATTAGGAGGTGAGGACCTTTGGAGGTAATTAGGATTCAATGAGGTTGTAAGGATGAGCCCTTGTGAATGGAATTAGTGCTTTTATAAAGGTCATGAGAGAGCTTGACTCCCTTCTCTGTTCCCCACCATGTGAGGGTACGAGAAGTCAGCAGTCTGCAACCCAGAAGGAGATCCTCACCAGAGCTCAGCCATGATGGCATCCTGATTCAGACTCCAGCCTCCAGAACTATGAGAAAGACATTTCTGGTGTTTACAAGGCACCCAGTTGATGGTATTTTGTTATAACAGCCCAAACAAACTAAGACAGGACTCCGCAGTGGTTTGCTGATATACTATTTTATTCCACTGAAAGTAATGGCAAAAACCACAATTACTTTTGCACCAACCTAATAATGTTTGAGGAAGCGCTTATTCAGTGGATTCTAGCAGGAAGTGTCTGTTTCATGTTTCCGCCCCCTAAAATCAAGATGCTTCAAGAATAAGGCGCAACAGTGGTTATGAGACATGAGCTGAGAATTGCCTTCAAAGTAAGAGGATCTGGTGGCCTTCGTTTGGAGACCTTTCTGCTCAGTGTCATCTGGAGTATACTTTGGGGCAGAAAAGCTCTTAAGGCACAACCATTTTTACTGCCATTGTGGGATGTGATGGGTGGCATTGGAAGATGAGTGAAAATTTCACCAGCATCCTGCTTCATGGCTGGATGAGAGGTATTACAGGAAGGAGTGGATGCAGGAAACTGTGTCAATCTTCTTGAGGCAGAGACACTTATATTGAAAGAGGAAAAAAAAAAGTCAAGTAGGAAACATATCCTAAGTAATAAGCACTCAGCCAAGAAACTTAAACAGAGAAAACTATGTTGGGTTTTGTTTTCCCAAAAAACAAAATTTGAAAGTTATCTTCTAAATGTTTTTCCTATGCAGTGCAATAAACCATCCCTACTAGTGGATGTTGCAGAATGCAACCAGTATCAGATTGTCTGTGATTCTAAAAAGGGATGGAGATGCCTGGCAGAGAAAACCCAAATGCAATTCTGCTCAATGAGCCCACAACTGAGTCTCTGCTTTCTTCCTATAAAGGAGCTTTCTGGAGGACACCAGCAGTCAGATTCTCGTCATCAGCAGTTAACAACCTTTAGTTTCAGGATGCTTTGATGGAATCCATCCAGGGTTTGTTAAGAGGAAACATGAGTTTTGCCTTCTCTGTCTTGCCACGTGTCTCGCCAGTGCTCTTTTACTCATGACAGCTTCACCTATCTTATGGGTAAGGAAACTAAGTTTAGGAAACTCGCCCCATGTGACAACTCCTGTGGCTTCCAGAACTTGGACTTGAATGAGGGTCTCTCTTTCTGCAAAGCCTGAAGTCTTGCTTCTCTGCTGTATTGCCTCTCACGTCGTTTGTTCATTTGGGGTTAGACGACGTGGCCATCCTCAAAAAGCTTAAAATTCTTGTTCCAATCGTTGTTCCAATTTCAATAGAGTAGACATTTGTTTCACCTCCCCCCTTTCAGCATAATCCTGTAACCCACATGTAAAGACATGAAATAACCAAACCACAGGGCCCTGAAAAAGTTTTATTGAGCTTCAGCTCAGAGACAAGGAGTTCCTTTGAGGTAGAGGTGCTTATATTAAGACAGAAAAACAGTCCCATAGGAAATATTTTCTGAGCAAAGGGAAAGCACAGAGTCAAAAAACTTAAAACCATTGAGATCTGAAAAGATCGTCCCATCCAAAGAGCCCAGGACAAATTCACTTTCTTTCACGGGTGTCCGTAATAAGGAGCACACCCTCCGGAAGTTTCTATGTTGCATCAATTTGTACAACATCAGTCAGGAGCATAGAGTCTCAAGATAAATGAACTTTTCAAGGCCTTGCTCCTTAAAGTATAGTTTCCCCACGTAGCATCACCCAGGGACTTGTAAGAAATTCTGATTCTCAGCCCCACCCCAGACCCACTGAATCTGAACCTGAATTCTAACAAGGCCCTTAGTCACCATGAGCTATGATCGTGCTACTGTATTCCAGCCTGGGCAACAGAGCCAGATCCTGTCTCAAATAGTAATCACATACAAAAACTCTCGACAAAACACAGCAATAAGATAACAAGGTCCACAGGTTATTTGTATACACCTTCAAGTTTGAGAAATTCTGTGTTAAGGCACTGTTATCTGTGGGTACCTAATGCTGGTTGATCCCAGTGATACTTGGAATCATTGTCCCGGAATTTGATAAGCAGTATCCTTCAGGCTTTAATTCCTGAGTGGGGGCTATTCCTACTTGAGTGAGCCGTTTAGTGGGTGAGTGGCTAAAAAAATAATCTGGCTACTGCACTTAGTTTATGTCATATATGATGCCAATTTTGGAAGATCTAAAATATAATAAATGACCTCACAAACTGAAAATTACATTGAAAATGGAATCTGTGATAGGCATTGGGGATTCACTGGATCTTGAAGGGCATTGAAGTAATCTCAGGAACATCAGCTCTCTTTGTACAGAAGATGTGAGAAGCACCAACCAGTAGAACATCCCAGCTGCTGGAATGCCCAGGCAGAGAGAGCTTAGTGCATTGCTGTGAAAGAGCCTGTGGGTGGGTGGTGGGTGCCTGGGGTGGAAGCCAGTATTCACAGCCTGCCAGTAGGAAAGGATGAGAGTATTCTTCACACTGAAAGGGCTGGTTTCTCTGGTCAGATTGATTGGAATTGCTGGTCACCAGGAATTTAACCTAATTAAGGCTAAGCCTCTGAATGGGAATTCCTTTACAATCAAATTCTGCCTGCAGGCTGGGGGTGGCGGTAGGATGGGGAAGAAGGGGGAGATCCTCCCCTCCTAAGCTCTGTTAGCCTTCATTCTGCTGAGACCCCCATCCATCCTATAGTGCCTTTTGCTATTTTCTCCCATTTCTGTGGACTTCAAGATTTGGAGATGCCTGGGCTTGGCACATCTGACTTAGGATCCTGACACCAATTCCCTTCTGCTCCATCACCCAGGCTTGCAAAGAATGAATATAACGGTGTAAATTCTGTGTTCAAAATACCTGGATCAGTTCTTGCCTCCAGTGCCTGTTAGCTGAGAAAGCTACTCACCCTTTCTGTGCCGGAATTCTCCCAGCTGGGAATAGAGCTGACTGTAAATAGCCTTGAGAAGTGTTTCTACAAGGTTGTTCTGAGGATTAAATGAGTTGATGTTTGCTAATGTGTTATTATGTGCAATGCATGGGCTAGTACCTGGCACGTGGTAAGGGTGGCTATCATTTTTATACCAAATCTCGAACTTTAACTCAGGCGCTTTGTTACCCATAGGGAAAATAGAGTTAGATTCCTCCTAGCCGCTAGAAAATTGAAGCTATTCTCCTTTCTGCCCTGGGTCTTGGGATTCTAGGAAGTCCAAGAAGAGAATGATCCATTTTTGGTGAGTACAGGCCTGGAGTTTGGGGGGTACCTGAGAAGCTCTGAGGGTTTAACACAAGTTGACTCTTCCTGCTCCCATGAGTGAACTCTAGGGGCTACGCAGTTAGGCTATTTATAAACAAACACAACATTTTCTGGGGAAAGGTTACAGGTTTATTTTAGGTGGGCTCCTGCTTGGCTGGGAAGGCCTGTACTTGTTATAGCTGCTTGGCTTAGCTCTCTGCAGCCTGGCAATGCGGAGTTCAGCTTGAGGTCAAGCTCTGTTGAAGTTGGCAACGTGACCTAACTCAGGCGGCTGGAGCTTGCGATAACCCCAGGGCTTCCCTTGGAATTTGCTGCTGTCCTGCTCTCCAAACTGGCATTGCAACCTCAGAAGTTTATCCTGGGATTGGACTGGAACAGCAACATGAATGCCACAAAGTTAAAACAAGCAAGATCTTTTAGGAAGAGAGAGCAACTTTAGCTAAGGGATAAATCAGCTACCTTAATAGTGGAAGGTCAGGTACATGCAGTGACATTTTCCAAGCCTATACAGATGGGGATGTCTTTGGTATTTTCTGCTTCTTGCTCATTGGACCCTGCTGCTTTGGGTACCATCATGAGCCAAGACACATTAACCTGAGCAGACTTAGCAGACTGATTTTTTTTTTAATCTCTTTTGGATTTGTTGTTTTGTGATTCTCCTGTTGAGATTTATGTTGCAAACTCAGAAAAACAAAGAAACCCAAAATTTTCCACCTTAGTCAGTCCTTATAATAATGTCACATAATAATAGACAATATTTATAAGAATCTGGCAGAAGTGTCATCTCTCAGAACCCAAACGCAATCAAAATCTCACATCTACTTTCATAAGGGACAAAGTAATAGTAAAGCCCTTTGCAATAGGAACAAAAATTCAGCAGTTACTATTCTTTGATTCTTAGAAAAGAAAAGAATGAGCTGGTTGGGCAGGCACAGTGGCTCACGCCTGTAATCCCAGCATTTTGGGAGACTGAGGAGGGCAGATCACCTGATGTCGGGAGTTAGAGACCAGCCTGGGCAACATGGTGAAACCCCATCTCTACTAAAAATACAAAAGCTAGCCTGGCGTGGTGGTGCACGCCTGTAGTCCCAGCTACTTGGGAGGCTGAGGCATGAGAATCATTTGAACCCAGAAGACAGAGGCTGCAGTGAGCTGAGATCGCACCACTGCACTCCAGCCTGGGTGACAGAGCAAGGCCCTGTGTCAAAAAAACAAGAAAAAAAGAGCTGGTTTATGCTTCTGGCCCATAAAAACTAGCAGATAAGAAGTCTTGATTGAGACATTAATGCTGAATGATTATGCATGCATAGAAAATTCCTCAGTTAGGTCAACATAATGATTTCATCGAAGGCTTGAAATAGATGTCAAAACCTGGGTATTCGAGAGCTTCCAGAGAAAGCTGGGAAATCCAAGGAAAGGCCTTGCAGAAGAGTAAGGGAGGAGATATGGGAATATACAGGGCAAAATTTATTTAACTTACCGAAAGGTATGTGTATATATTCATGCCTTTGTCACAACCTATTTGGGTAAACCATAAATGTCCTTGAATGACAAACTTGTGATTATATTTATATTAGACATGCACAAATTTGCATAATAATATTTTTTGAATCAATTTATAGAGAGTTTGGAATAACTCTGATTAAAACTGCCAACGGTCAAATAGAAAGCCAATAAAAACCAATATGTCAACAAACTGCACTTTCTAATTCCACATAAAAATGTAAGTAGACTCTAGATTTAAGGTAAGGTTGTCTTTAACCCAGACACTGAGGGCAGGATTCAAAATGGATTACTAAAGAAAAGGGTGGATCTTATAAAATGAAGAAAAATCAATTAGCATTCACTAAGGATGGATAAGTCCAATCACTTTAATTTCCATTTTGGGCAAGCTGACTGGACAATCTGACTGGACAGATGGTCAGGAAACAGGTAAGTCTGACCTTCAGCAAGGCGTGTGACAGTATATTTTGGGTTATTCTGTAGACAAGATAGAGAAATACAGATTGAAAGCTAAAATAATTAAGTGCATTAGTAGCTGATGGAGAACAAAGGACATGAATGATGCTGACGGCTGTCTTCTTGCAGAATAGTTACTTTTTATTTTCTGAGACGGAATTTCATTCTTGATGCCCAGGCTGGAGTGCAATGGCGCGATCTCAGCTCACTGCAGCTTCCGCCTCCCAGGTTCAAGCAATTCTCCTGCCTCAGCCTTCCGAGTATCTGGGATTGCAGGCACCCACCACCATGCCTGGCTAATTTTTTTGTATTTTTAGTAGAGACACGGTTTTGCCATGTTGGCCAGGCTGGTCTTGAACTTCTGGCCTCAGGTGATCTGCCCACCTTGGCCTCCCAAAGTGCTGGGATTACAGGTGTGAGTCAACATGCCCAGTTGCAGGATAGTTACTTTAGTGATACATTCTTAGTTTTAGGTTTTACCCTGTTTAGCTGTTATCAGTGACTTAGGTGATATGTACAAGGCATTCTCACCACATCTGCAGGTAACGTGAAGTGGGGAAGGATGGGATATATGTTGAATGAGAGATGTGTTGGCTATTTGTCCCATTTCCAAAAATTCAATAGTTTCTTTGACATTCCTGAAAAGTTAACAAGATACTTACACGAGGAGTCAGGTTTCATGAACTACCTCTGCATCTTACACTTTCATAGATAAATCTGCCTTAAAATTGAGATCACTTGTATCTATCATTAACCTTTAGTTAGCCCTATCTTCTCTGGGGATTCTAGGGTCTATGACCTCGCTATATGGATTGAACATGAAAGCTCTTGCAAAACCTATATTTTAATTCTACCCCAAGAAACAAGATCAACTGGATTAAACTCAAGAGAGGCACAATATTTCCAAGTAGTGTAAAACATTTGAGTTTTGATTTCTTATTATTCTTACTCTAAGGATTTAAAACCCTTCCAGATTAACTGCATGCATGATCACTTACTAGAGGAAAAAAAGATGCCTTTCCATGTGCTATTGATAGATTTTGTGAGCATGAACCTGGAGTGATCTTTAAAGTGACTCAATTATTGCCTGAAATACTGACTAATGTTAATGATGACAAAGTTAAAAATCATTATTCTTTACATGTAATCTCCAAATGCCATCAAGCCAGCACTTTCAATTGCCAGAGGTACATTTTGCAGTGAAAACACACAGACAGGTGCAGTGGCTCATGCTTGTAATCCCAATGCTTTGGAAGGCCAAGGTGGGGGGATCACTTAAGGCTAGGAAATCAAGGTTTCAGTGGGCTATGACAGCACGACAGCACTCCAGCCTGAGCAACACAGCCAAACTCTGTAAAAAAAAAAAAAAAAAAAAAGAAAGAAAGAAAATAAACAAAAACACCCAAGCAAAACAGCAGAAGGCCCTGATGCTCAGAATCAGGCATTCCAAAGGAATGATCTGAGTCTTTTGTCTTCTGTAACTTTCTCCAACATACCAAATTCCTCTTACCTCTGAGCCTTTGCACGTTATTCCCTCTGCCTTGATGCTGTTCCCCATATTTTACACATCCTTTATGAAAGTGAAAGTCCTTGGGAAGAAATTCCTAGAATTTCACCCTGGGGCAGATTCCCTGCTGAGCACTCTCCATGCTGCCTGTATCTTCCTTTATGACATTTACACCCTTTGTAATTATATATTCATGCACAAGTGTCAGTGCATTTGTTCACTGTTGTGTTTGCAGCATGCATATGCTTCACATGGGGAAGTCATTCAATGCATAAACAGAAAGGGAAGATTATTCAGACATGTGGTTTGTCCATTTCTGGAGGGACTTTTCTTAGGTCAAGTCAGACCACCCCAAGACTGCCCTGGAGTATGATATTCTTGGCTTTTATTGGAGATTTCCAAAAGAAACTTTTCAGGGTGAGGCACAGTGGCTCATGCCTATAATCCTAGCACTTTGGGAGGCAAAGATGGGAAGATCATTGAGGTCAAGACCTCAAGACCAGCTGGGTCAACATAATGAGACTCCATCTCTACAAAAAATAAAAAAATAAAAACTAGCCGGATGCAGTGGTGTGAGCCTGTATTTCCAGCTACTTAGGAGGCTGAGATGGGAGGATCACTTTAGCCCAGCAGTTCAAGGCTGCAGTGAGCTATGATCGAGCCATTGCACCCCAGCCAGACACTGTGTCTAGATTTAAATGAAAAATTTTTTTCAGGGAAAATGCTTCCACCTCACTAGTGTGCTATTTTCCATCTCTCCAGGGAAAGAGGTCCTACTGTGTTTATGAAGTGCTTCATTTACTTTAGCACCTTGGGGATCCAACACTTTTGTGTCTTTCCAACAGTGCCTGACCTCAAGAACGGGAGGCACAGCTAAACACCTGTTGAAATGAAAATGCTTATGCCAACACTTAAAAACGATTCTTCTAGACAGCTGCAAAGAGAAATGGTGACAGCCCTGTATGAGAAGCCCAGTCATCAGGAGTCTTAGCTTGTGTTTCTCTGGAACCCACTACCTGATGTAGAGCAAGTCAGTGCTGGGTCCCAGTTTCTAAGGCGATAAGAAGAGTGGTATCAGACTAGATAAGCTCCCAGGTCCTTTGAGACTCAATGCCTGCTATTCCATAATACTGCTGCCCATTAGGTGTAGGTAAGCTGCCCGGGGCCCTGTCTGGCTCTGTTGAGCAGAGAGAATGACAGGCCAGAGTCCAGCATGCCAGGGGAGAATCAGGGCTTACCACCTCGTTATGTGGAACTTTTCCCGTTTTGCTTTGTGTATTAGTCTGTTCTCACGCTGCTAATAAAGATAAACCCAAGACTGGGTAATTTATAAAGGAAAGAGATTTAATGGACTCACAGTTCCACATGGCTGGGGAGGCCTCCCAATCATGGCAGAAGGCAAAGGAGGAGCAAAGTCATGTCTTACATGGTGGCACGCAGGAGCTTGTGTAGGGGAACTCGCCTTTATAAAACCATAGATCTTAAGTCTCATGAGATCTGATGGATCTTAAAAAACCATTAGATCTCATGAGACTTATTCACTACCATGAAAGCAGCATGGGAAAGACCTGCCACCATGATTCGATTACCTCCCACGGGGTCCCTCCCACGATGCATGAGAATTATGGGAACTACAGTTCGAGATTTGGGTGGGGATACAGCCAAACCATATCACTTTGGGGTTTTTGTTGTTGTTGTTACATTTATGCCTAAAAAGTAAAACATGCCCAGTGTGAAAAATCTGAAAACTAGAGAAAAGTTGAACCATTCAAATAAGCACCTGAAAAGCCATTATCTTAACACAACTATGGATACTAGGTAAGCACATTTCTGCCCTGGCTTCACTTTACACATGTGATTTCTTCCTGAGATTGCACTGTGCATGGAACTGTGTGTCCTGCTTTCTGAGCTTACTATTGCATTCCTTAAAAAATTGTGTAGAGGCCGGGCACGGTGGCTCACGCCTGTGATGCCAGCACTTTGGGAGGCCGAGGTGGGCAGATCACGAGGTCAGGAGATCAAGACCATCCTGGCTAACACCGTGAAACCCCATCTCTAATAAAAATACAAAAAAATTAGCTGGACGCAGTGGCGGGCACCTGTAGTCCCAGCTACTCGGGAGGCTGAGACAGGAAAATGGCGTGAACCCGGGAGGCGGAACTTGCAGTGAGCCGAGATCGTGCCACTGCACTCCAGCCTGGGCGACAGAGCGAGACTCCGTCTCAAAAAAAAAAAAAAAAATTGTGTATTGAGTATCATCTGAGTGCCTGCATTGTACTGCTGGAAAGCTCAATGAACAAGACAGTGCTGCTTTAGGGAATTCACAATCCCGCCTTTTCCATACCATTAAGAACTTTCCATAAGCTTAATTTGTAATGGCTGCAACTGACTCTTAAAACAATTTGTAGCTGTTGATATTTTGCTGTGTGTTGCACTGGAGGAGAAAATCCAGCTCATGAGACAGTAGAAGGCTGAGTAAAGGACAAAGGGTGAAGAGTGATGAGGTGAAGTCAAAGTCGCAAACAAGAAAATGAGAAGGAAGAGAGAAGGCAATCAGGAAAGGGAGAAACAACCAGTAGAAGCAGGGAAGGTGACCCACTTTAAGACCAACTGCTCTGACCCCAGGAATTCACTGTTTGATTTTGCACTGAGAATGAAGAATGCAGGCTCCAGTCCCACACAGGCTGCCGGCTGTGGGCTCTTGGGCAAGTTCCTTCACACATCTGTACTTCAGTTTTCTTGTGTGGAAGATTGAGATAATAATACTTATCTTCCAGGTGGGTAATAATAAAGATTAAATGAGACAATGCATGCCAAACTCTAGCACCTAAGTACTCAATACATGAGATTATTAGCCCTCATGAATTACCACCATATTTCAATACTGCATAATACATTTGGACCAAAGGGATAAGGAAGAGACCAGACGAAGTAATGAAAAGTCTGATTTATTGATTTTTTTTAAAGTACAGTTACCCCTTTAATCTACATAGCTGCATGTGCCAGAAAAAGAAGACACTCAAATGTGATAATTAAACAGTTTTTTTAAATAAAAGGAGGTTATATGAAAGTAAGGGCAAGGAAACCAAGACTCTGTAAAGCCCCTCTGGGGCTAGCAAAAGGGAAGTGACTGCCACCCTTAAACCTACAAGCAAGGATGCAGGTAGTTACAGGACCTACCAAGCTCTAAGACCACCGGATAGGAGCTGTGGCTTTCAGCAGAATGAGTCCCCCTCTGCTCTGCTACAGTGGTTGTCATTGGCTGAAACCGCAAGAAAGCCAAAGGAAAGGGGTCTCAGACCCACTTGATGCAATCTGCAGAGGTCAGCTTCCTGAGCTCAGAAAAGAAGACAGAAATGCCGACAGGGGATCTGGAAGGAGAATGGAGAAAGTTCAGTGCACCACCAGTTTCTGGGACATAGAATTCTGGTTACCCGTTGGCACTTATGAATTTACCTATCGAATACCATTTGTAAATGTCCTCATCATTTACCTAGTGCCCGAGTGTCACTGCAGACCACGTGCCTTCATCTCTGTACACATCTGTGCTGGCTGCAGAGAACAGTGACCCAGATCACAGTTTTAAGAGCTACCACCACTCTTCTGAAATGGAAGAGGTTCCCTTGTCCCCCTCCCAGGGCGTGCGATGAGGGTGTGCCCTGCTGCTCAAACCTCTAGGGGAGCATAAAGATGGGCAGGCTGTGGGGCTCCGACCCCAAGACAGTGTCTAGGGTGAATGTTTATAGCTGAAGCCCCAGTGGGTATGTGTTACATGTGTTACAGGGTGCTCTTTTAGCTTGCCGTCTACAGGCGGCGTGTGCTAACCAGCTCAATGAGACTCCCTTCCTTATCAGAAGGACAGAGGGATTTCAGTATCCTGGGGTTTCTTGCCTTGGTGTACCAGAAGAATCGGATCACACGTGGGCTGCGAGAATGTGTAAGGCTTTGTTGAGTAGAAGTAAGGCTCAGCAAGGATGCAGATGGGGGAGCCAGAAGGGAGATGGTTTTGTTCTGGAGTCGGGCTGCTGGGCGTCCTGGGCTCTCCTCCGACTGCTCCAGCCAAATTCCGCGTCGTTCTGCCAGTCAATGACCTCCCGGCCAGCGGGTGCCTGTCCTGCTCTTCTGCCCGCGCTCTCCTCTGGAGGCCCTCTCCACAATCAGCCGCTTGCGCCTTCTTCCGCCAATGTGCTCCTCTCTACGTCCAGCGGCTTGTGTCTCTGTTGTGCTAGGGACTCCGGTTTTTATAGGCCCAGGACGGGGGCATGGTGGGCCACAGTGGTCTTGGAAAATGCAACAGCCGGCGAAAGCAGGAGTGCCTGTCCTCACCTGGGCCCGTGGGGGTGGAGCCCTAGCCAGGGACCACACCCTCCCCTACTCAGCACTTCCCTTCCTCGGTTCCCTATCATTTAAAGGGACCACGCTCTTCCCTTCCCAGCACTTCCACACCACTTCTAATGGCAAGGAGAAATCATGGATGTAGATTGCAATAAAAACATGGTCAAGTGCTGCAACTCTTGTTGGTGTGAGGTTGATTTAGTATTGTAAAAACATACATTTGTGTAAGAAAACTACTGTTTATATTTAAATATTCCTTATGCTAAACCAAATGTGTTTATTTGTAAAAAGTATTAATATAGGGGTGGGGGAATATATTAATCTATATTTAGGTTTTTTAAAAGAAACTCTAACCTCTCGCAAGTTACCTTTGAACTAATAAGTCTGTTATTAATTTAGAGAGGGTAGAAGGGAGCTGTGCCTTTCAGGAGCTTGTTTTAATTTGTTGGGGTTTTTTGGTTATTTCTGTTTTTATTTCATTTATATATTTACTGCCAACATCAGTAGCCTCTGCCATCTGAGAAGGCCTGCTCATTCATTTCCAGTTTGGATGAAGTAAAAGATGACAGAGTTAGTAGAAAGCACATATGGTAAAAGAGAAGGCTCTTAAGAGATTTCTTCCTTCTCACACTGCCAGGCTGCCCTCCAGGGCTGGCAGATAGGCATCAGGACTTTGTGTATTTTGGTTTGTGTTCAGAGATAAGGGTATTTCTGCCATGATGCAGGAATGAGTGGAATTTAACCATTGTATTCATTACTGGAGTTTCAAATAACTTTGTTCTAGGTTTATTAAATTTCCAAAATAGTCTCTTAAGTTATACCAAATGCAAACTGTTTTTTTCCTGAAACCTTCTGATTGGTTACCAATATCCCAAATTCTCTTGTGACTGTTCTTAATTTTTTTCCCAAGCTCTTTGTTATAAAGAATGATTCACTGACTATATTTTTCTCAAAAGGGATGTTAAGCTTCAGCATTGGATTCTAATCATAATTCATGAGATATTTGAACATGCTATTATTTATCACACAATTACAAAAAGTTTAAGAATCCCGCCAATATATACCACCGGTCTAAGAATGTGTTAGGAGGTGGGCAAACTGATTTAATTTAAATACTTGCACAGATTCTTCCCTCTTTCCCAGGCCTTTACCCATGATTGAAATGCAAATGTTTGTTTTTAAAGCTTTAAAGCAATTTGGTTGGCTTTCTTTGACTGTATTTTTTTAGCCCTTTGGAATTTGCAATATCAGATATAACAGTACTAATACCAGAACTGAAAAGTCCAACTTGATGACATTTTCTACCTCACTAGAAGCCAGATAGAACAAACATCCCTTGGTAAGGAGGACTTAAATAAGTTTTTTGCCCAGTTATTCATACCCAGAACCACATATGGCAAGGCGGGGACCCATACTGGGTGCTAGTCAGAGGCAAAAAATTCTCCTGGACTTAACTCATCATTTGGGAATCTCTTAGAAAAAAAAAAAATTGAGAACAAAGTAGAAGTTTTTTGCTCTCCAAGCCCAAGGGAAAAGTTCATTGGAGAATCATATCAGAAAGTAGATTTTCATCAAGAAATCAAATTCGTGGCTCATGACTGTAATCCCAACACTTTGGGAGGCTGAGTCAGGCAGATCACTTAACATCAGGAGTTCGAGACCAGCCTGGCAAACATAGCAAAACCTCGTCTCTACTAAAATATACAAAAATGAACAGGGCGTGGTGGTTCATGCCTGTAATCCTAGCTACTTGGGAGGCTGAGGCATGAGACTCGCTTGAACCTGGGAGGCGGAGGTTGCAGTGAGCCGAGATCGTGCCACCGCACTCCAGCTTGTGTGACAGAACGAGACTCTGTTTTTTGGATTTTTTTTTTTTAAGTCAAATTCAAAATGGCCTTTCTACTTTTCTCAATTTGGAGTGTTTATGCACAAGGACAGAGTGGATACGTAGAGGCAATTCTCCCAAGTAACCTAACGGATGATTGTTCTGTGGGCTCACATCTAAAATAACCTGCACATTTCAGTGTAATTGGAGTTGGGTCTTGTTTTTGTTTTTGTTTTTAAAGAATAACTTACATTCTTCCTTCTGCCAGAAAGTATTTTAAGCAGGTTTCAATAAAACGTTACATACACAGTAAGTTTGTTAAAATAGACAGAAAATCAAAAAGCATATAAAAGGGGAAGTTTAAGATAGTTACTGCAACTGAACATTAAATTTAATTCTGAGCTTCCTTGCAGTTTAGGGAAAGAGTAAAAACAATGGGTTACATTGTTTTCTGCCTCCAGTGAAAGGAAGCATTTCACTGCTTCAGAAGATACTTGCTTTTTTCCTGCCACTGATTTTTAAGAGGGTTGTAGCCAATGAGCCCTTATATGCTTTACAGAAAATACAAAAAAAGGCCTTCATATGACCTTTTTCATCCCCAAACAAAATTTGGAAGCACAATACTAAAAATAAACCCAAGGAAAGTAAAACATTGCCACCCATAGGGGTGGGACTAATGAGATTAATGTGTTCTTTAAAAATCATCTCAAGGCACTAGGGAGTATATATTCTAGATTTCCTATAAGATAAAATGTCCCCGATGGCACTTTTTAAGTGTATATAAATATTCTTTTTCATTTACTTCGAATAAAAATAATGGCAAAAATAATGGCACTCACTTTCTGCATTGGTAGTTTTAAAAATTCTGAGAAAACTAAGAATTCTATAATAAAGGTACCCCAAAGTAGTCATGATAGCACATAACAGAACATGAGGCCCCCATGTGTGCTTAATATAATATGGAAATGAGTTTTCTCCTATATTACAGCTTGTCACAGAACTGTTTTTTGTTGGGGCTCCTTTATTTTTGAGAATGTAGTGAAATAATGAACACCATTATCCAGGGTTTGTTGACATAGAAAAGGGGAACGCTAAATTTATGAGTGGTCAGAGGAGTTTAGTGATCTCAGCAGTACTCCAGGTCGTAGCAGAACCAATTTGGATTTCTATTCTGAAGGCACTATATGGAAGGATCAAGATGGTTTCCCGTGGGCTCAAGCTTAGCTGTAGGGGAAAAAGTGACTCGGCCCTCCAAATTTAACTTAATTGGCATTGTGGGAAAACTTCTTTTCCACAAAGCAGCCCACACGGTGTACCCTTTGTAAACCAAGGACTGTTGTTGAGGGAGCTAAAGATGGGGCGTGGCTTTCTACCACAGTTTCCATGATCCGCCATCTTGGGCATCAGCAAAAGCCAACACAGCCACATCACACCAGGACAGAATGCTGAGGAAAATAAGATTCATTAAAAGAAGGGTTAGCTTTTAATTTATATATATTTAAAGGATTCCGTTGTTTTTCCTTTGGGGTTGTTCTGTCTTCATTCAAAGCTGCCTTATTTTAATATTTCTTTGAATTCCCAGAACAGTCATTCTTTTAGTTCTTTAGATAATCTCTTAGGTCATAATAACTTTCCAACAGTCACAGTACTTTGCAAGTTATTGAAGGATTTATTAAAGCATGTCTTATGGCCAGGCACAGTGGTTCACACCTGTAATCTCAGAACTTTGGGAGGCTGAAGTGGGAGGATCACTTGAGGCCAGGAGGTTGAGACTAACCTGGACAACATAGAAAGACTTAATTTCTACAAAAATTTAAAAAATTAGTCAGGCATGTTGGCATGTGCTTGTAGTCCTAGCTACTTGGGAGTCTCAGGCAGGAGGACTGCATGAGCCCAAGAGTTGGAGGCTGCAGCGAGCTATGATCACAGCACTGCACTCCAGCCTGGGTGACAGAGTGAGACTCTGTCTCTATAAATAAATAAATAAATAAATAAATAAATAAATAAATAAATAAAACATATCTTCTTTCAAGTATTTATTAAACAAACTTAAAAATATCCAACTAATACTAATTTTGGGGGACCTTGCCCTCTTTTTTTGTATTTC
This sequence comes from Homo sapiens, assembly GCF_000001405.40. Lineage (NCBI taxonomy): Eukaryota > Metazoa > Chordata > Mammalia > Primates > Hominidae > Homo > Homo sapiens. Next base: position 29,138,711 of record NC_000010.11, on the reverse strand, counting down.
ATTCTATGGCCATTGACTATTCTTCATTGGGCTCCCTGAACCATTCCTTGTGTATTCTAATGCAATTTCATGTTTTTCCTCATTGAATTTCATTCATTGTTTTGCTAGTTTAGTGGTCAAACAGTGAAACTAAGTACTGAGGCTTTCTTTACTACGTAACATAATGGCTCCTGATTAGCACTGCTTTAATTCACACTTCACCTATTTATTAAATATCTACTATGTGTAGGGCATATTTTATTTGCTAAGTGAATTTTAGATTTAAAAAGTATTCGTTGTAATTGAAACTAAACTCAAAAGCGTATCTATTACATGAACTGTTGCAGTATCACCTTCTCCCTAGCAGATAACAGTAGAAAGGAAGAGAAGTGTCATTGTGCATAAAAATATTTTAGTAACCTCTTTGGATGGTGAAGGCTGTTTCTGCAATGGCCCAGGGCAAGACAAAGAGGGACCCTAATTGCTGTGCACAAAAGTGTTGTTAGAATATTAGTTTATAGCAGCAGCCAGGAGAGGAGTGGAGTGAGGTGAAGCTATAAGTAGTTCCAGAGACTAACAGGCTGGAGGCAATATCAGGTGCCTATAACACGTGGTGGGAGTGAACAGCCAGTAAGAAATTCCCAGCAACAGAAATGGCCTTGGTGTTTTTAAAAACAGCATTGTCTAACATTCATTTAAAAATCATTTCTCTGTCAAGTGGAATGTGATCTTGCTATTACCCTCGAACCTTCAGAACTTATATCCGTATATTCGAGAAAGCCCTGTATTAACAGGAGTTTTATGGAATTAATGAATAAGGGAGCTGGGACATTTAGGGTGGGGTGAGGTGGAAAGCGGTGACCTGTAGCTAGAGACAAGATCTGATGGATCAAGAATTAAATGGAAACGGGAAACTTGAACAATGGACAACTTAGAAACACACGTTCAAGAATCCGTAGGTGTTGGATCCATGGAGTTTTAGGTGGACTAGAGTACGTTGCATTTAAATTACATGTAACCATCAAATATGCAAAACATTATGTATCAACCCAAAATATATATGTATAATTTTTTTAATTTTCAAAAACTTTAAGATTCACCCTGAAAGTTTAAACGATTTGAGGCATCAAGAATGCTGATATTTAGAAACCACTTTAGATCTCTTTAAGCCTTGACTTCCTCAACTATAAAATGGGCATAACACATTAAGGTAATTATGAGAATTAAATGAAATATTATAAACACACTGTTTTTGGACAGTAGGTAAACTATTAGTAAATACTACTTTATTCCTTCCTTAAGATCTTCACATATAGGTAAAAAAAAAAAAAAGCCCAAATGATGGTTTATATCTATAATAAGGCTAATATTAATAGTTATTGACAAGTTTGGTTAATGCCTGGGTAAAAAAACAGTTCAACATGTAGCCTATCATACTGATGTTAGTGAGTCAGCTGACATTAATATATTTAGGCGATTTTGAAGTTTAGCAGTGGTGGATTAAAAATGGCTCCGTATTCTTCAATACTTCTCCCATGAAGAGATGGGGTCTCTGTTCCCTCCCTTTGAATTTAGGTAGGCCCTTGGTTAGTTTGAACAACAGACTATGGTAAATATGATACTGTATCCGTTTCTTGGTCCAGGCCTTAAGAGACTGGTAGATGTCACTTCCTTTTCTTGAAATACTTGGAACACTCTGAAGCTCTGCTGCGGTTTAAGATGTCCAACTAACCTGAGATTGCCATATTGTGAGGAAGCCTAAGCTTGCTATTTTGGAGAGAGAGAGACAGTGAGAGAGAGAGAGAGATAAAGGCAGAGTAAGAGAGAGATACCCATCCAGCCTTCAGCTGTTTCAGCCCCCAACCATTCAAGTCTTCCCATCTGAGACTCCAGACATTGCTGAGCAGAAGCAAGACATCCTGAGGCATGCAGAGATGTTGGTCAGTGGGTACAAAGTTACAGTTAGACAGAAGGAATAAGTTCTGGTGTTGTATTGCACAGTAGGGAGACTATGGTTGATAATATTGTCTTGTATATTTCAAAATAGTTAGAAGAGAGGATTTTGAAATGTTCTCATCACAAAGAAAAGATAAATGTATGTGGTGATGACTATGTTAAATACCCCGATTTGATCATTGCACAATGCATGCCTTTATTGAAACATCACACTTTACCACATAAATATGTATAGTTACTACGTGTCAGTTAAAACTTAAATAAATAAATAACAGCGAAAGAGAAGAAAAGAAGCATGCTGTTGCACTGTGTTCCACCTGAGTTTTTCATCCACAGAATTATGATTATAATAACAATAATAAATTATTATATTAAAGCCACCACACTTTGGGGTAACTTGTTATGCAGCAATAGATAATCAGGATATCAGTGTCTTAAGTTTAATTCCCAATACTGTTTTTGGTTAGCTTCAGGATTAGGTGGTCCCTAAATTTAACTTTAATACCTATTTTAATTTTTTTAAACTCACCTAAAGTAATCAGGCAGAAAGTCCACTTGAGGGAACATGAGTGAACTATGAAAGCAGATCCATTTGGTGTTAAATCTTAGCTCACCTACTTATTAATTATGTAAAGTTGGGCATGCGAAAACATGTAATGTACCTGATATAGACCAAGTACTGGGCAGATGCCAATTCCTGCCCCCTTTCATCTCCTGGTCCCTTTCTTATGATATATTATTGCTGTTTTAGAGCTAGGAGGTGTGGCCTAGCATGGATTCTGCAGTCAAAGACACATGGAATTCAAACCTATGCATTATGTACACGGCCTTAGAAAAATCACTTAAAATCAGAGTCTCAATTTTCTCAACTAAATTACTGAGAAGATTAAGTGAAATAATTCATGTCGAGTGGCTAGCACTGTCCCTGGCACAGAATAAGTGTTCCTTGGAAATTCCCATTGTCATTATTCTAATGAATCATGTCAAGCATATATGTTAATCAGATTATATTAGGAGATTGAAACATACATTTAATGATGCTTTGGGGGAACAGAAAAGAACATTTCAATCATTTCACGACTTTTCTGTGATGTGATTCTCTTCCTCCTAAAATAAAAAAGAGATTAATATGTGCTCCCATAGATTCAGCTCTATGGAAACTGCTATCTCTTTGGAAGCAATGTCTTACATCATCAGAATATAAACATAGTTATGGGGTTTAGCGCCTCTGCAAGGCAACTGTAAAGACAGAAAAAAAAAAGAAAGCATTCCCATTTTCATCAGCTCCTTTCCTCCTCCTGTTTATCTGTTGTGACCACTGTGTTCATTCTTATCTCAACATCTTAGCTTAGTCCTGCAAACATGTTTCTTTTTTCAATCAGAGTAGCCAAGGGACTTTTAGGACACATATTTCTACAGAGAGCGACATTCCTTCTCTATCAGAAAAATAGGGAATTAAATCAGGATGACCAAATACAGACCATGTAGCCTTCTAGAAACCTTTAGAGGACAAGGTACCTGCTTACTATCGGCTGATTTTGAATACAGCCAACTGTTGTGTTGTTGAAAAGCTTTAGAAATCCCGTCATTTGCACAAATAAAACACTGGACAGAACATTCTTCCTCCTTTTGTATTTTCTAGACGTACGTTCATGCTGAAATGGGGCATACCTAAATCCCTTTAGGAAGAGTATGGGGTCTGTCTGAGATATCTTTTGCTCCATTCATTTCAAAGTTTTTTTGTTTGTTTGTTTTTTTAGAGAGGGTCTCACTCTGTCACTCAGACTGGAGTTTAGTAGTGCCATCATAGCTCACTGCAGCCTTGAACACCTAGGCTCAAGTGATCCTCCTGCATCAGCCTCCTGAGTAGCTAGGACCACAGGCATGCACCATCATGCCCAGCTAATTGTTTTAAGGTTTTTTTTAATAGAGACAGAGTCTCCCTATGTTGCCAGGCTGATCTCAAACTCCTGGCCTCAAGCAATCCTCCTTCCTCGGCCTCCTAAATGCTGGGATTACAGTTGTGAGCCACTGTGCCTGGCCCCATTTCAAGGACTGATATGGAAAATATTTCTCTAATGAGTGGTTGCCTCCTTCCTCACTTACCATTCTACTTACATCCTCTGAAAGTTGTGTTCATGGTGGAGGAGGACAATCTTAGTCAGAGGTGCACATGTCCCTGTGATCCTCTACTAGAACTGTCACATCCACAAAAGCCTTGCATGCACAAGCAAAATGACAGCCTTGGAAAGGAAAACACATCTAGGGTATGGCACACAGTAGACAGGTTCTTAGTGTTGGTTCTTTTCCGTAGCTACTATGAGCCCTACCCTGTACATGTCTTATGCCATTTCATACTCACAGCAGCAGGATGATAACTCTGGAGTCATAAAGAGCGATGTTTGTGTTCCAGATTTGCCACTTGGCATGCTGTGTGAATGCTGTGAGTGTCAGTTCTCATGCCTATAGAATAAGGAAATCATAAGGGTAAAATAAAATGATGCATGGAAAGCTCTTAGCACAGTATCTGGCACATAGTAAGTGCTCAATAAACATTAGTTAAAAGTGATGAGTTAAATATTATTGCCTCCACTTGAAACATGAGGCAACAGGGTTCAGAGAGTTCCAGTAGCTCATTCAAGTCCTACATACATAGTTAAGGAATGGGAGGAGGGGGACAGAACTTTGATTCAAGTCTCTGTGACTTTAAAACCCCGTGATGAATCTGCACTGTGTTTTGGGATCTGTTATCTGCTGATATCATAGCAAGGATAAGCTGTCTCTGTTATCTACCAACTGGAATAGAAAGTGCTTCCTATGGCCAGGCATGGTAGCTCATGCCTGTAATCCTAGTACCTTGGGAGGCTGAGGCAGGAGGATGACTTGAGCTCAGGAGTTCGAGACCAGCCTGGCCAACATGGTGAAACCCCGTCTCCACTAAAAATACAAAAAATTAGCCGGGTGTGGTGGTGAGCACCTGTAATCCCAGCTACTCAGGAGGCTGAGGCATGAGAACCACTCGAACCTGGGAGGTGGTGGTTGCAGTGAGCTAAGATTGTGCTTCTGCACTCCAGCCTGGGTGACAGAGTGAGGCTCCGTCTCAAAACAAACAAACAAACAAACAAACAAACAAACAAACAAACAGAAAGTGCTTCCTACAATGCAGTAAGAACCTAGGAATGGATATTGATTTCTACTTTATTCTCTTCTACTCCCTTTCCTAAGCTGACTTGCTGGAAACTCCATATTTTGACACTGCTTTTTGATGGGATCCCAGTTTGCCAGCTCAGAGAAAGCAAGGTTCAGCCTGAAGGTACTAAGGTCCAGGATGCTCTATGTTATGTTACACTCTTTCTCCTGTTTTCTTAGACTATTTAACAAGGCCAGTAAATTAAAAAAAAAAAAAAAAAGAGGAAAAAGAAAAAAGGGAAAAAAAAGTTAGCAAACTTAAGACAGAATTAGATTTCACAGCAGTCCCTGTGGACTTTTTTAAATCTAATTAATGGCATTCCTTGATTGGATAAAGACAAAACACTCGCCTGGAATATCCATAAAATGTCTTTTGGAAACAACAGTGGGATGGGTTTAAATATACAGGAGTCAGGAACATCCGGATTACATTTCCAGGGAATTACCTAGGAATTTTAAAACTTAGGGGAAGAGAGTCTTGGCAACTAGCATTCTGGGTTTCCTACAAAGCTTTCCAACCAATTAGACCCTGGGCCTTGCCTTGCGCAGAGATGGTTCATTAAACAGTGCCACCTAGCCCCAGGTGACGGCGTCAGAATGGTTCACAGTCACCATTTACTGTTCACAGCTTCATCCGTACTGCCAGTCAGTGTGAGCTGATGGGAAGAGGAAGAGGACGTTTGGGAGCCACACCCTCCCCTTGCTCTGAGAGGCAGCTCAGAGCTTCGTTAGACTTCAGTGAAGGACCACTTGTTCCCTGAAGGCATCTTTTGTTGATCTTGCTGTTCGGAGACAAAATTATCCTGGAACAGATTTTTTTCTATTTTTAGGTACATTGTTGATTGTGAAACTGGAGTCTCCAGTGATCTTTTCATAAACATGCCAGAGACGGTCTCAAGAGACAAACAGACTGATGTTCTTGCCCCGAGCAGTTTAGGGTGAGCTCAAAGGAATCTTGAGGAATCTGACATCTCGTGTTTCTGGGAGGAGAAGGGGACCGTGTAGAACTAACCTAGGAACCTATGGACTCTGTGGATATCCCTCTGGTTTTGTTATTTTCAGTTCTCCAGGAAAATTACGGGTGGCAGGAAGGACAAACTTTCTCAGCGTGAATGAAGAAAGCTGCAGACGAGGCCCCGGCTTCATGGCTCTCCTGAGCGTGAGTCCACGCTACAGGCTCTAAGTCTTCACTAGCCTCCTGCCTGCAGAGGCCCTTGTAGAAGTCCCAGTGGCTTGGCCGGCCACCTTGGCCCCACTGCTGAAAGGAGAAGGCAGATGAATGTGAAAGTCAAAATCAGATCCCTCCAACCCTCTAATTCATGTTCGTCTTCAAAATGTCTTTCATCTGCAGCTTCATTTATTCCATCGTGGCCCGGTCTGTTTGTTTTCATGATTCAGAGGAAGCAGCACAGAGCTTATCATCCACGCACAGGCAGAGCTGCACTGGCTCTGGGAGGAGGCCCCAACTGGGCTCCTGCTCTGCAGGGGCCCTGGCTTCGGGCCCAAGCCAATTGTGACCACTTTGTCTTCTTGGCAGTCCCCATGGGTTCAGACTCTGTTGTAATTTATGGGCAAAACTCCTACCTCCTGTCCACATCCTAAATCTCAAACTTGGTTTCTTCTCAACTCCAGATACAGGATAAGCAAACAAACCACCAAAAGACTCCAACCTGGAAAATTTCGGCCTTCATCCCACCATCCCAACATAGTGTGCATTAGAAGAAGGAGCTATGTTCCTCAATCCTGAAATCTTTTCTTTTTAGCAGTCACCCTTTGTGGGATTGTGTCCAGATACCCAGGACTGCATTTTGAGACCACAGCACTTTCTAGAGGAAAACTCCAGACTGCTACTAGATTCCTTGTTGTACTCCATGGCCAGCTTCTTTTGGAGATGAAGCATCTAAGCTTTAAGTCAAGTCTGCAAGTTTGAGCATGATTCAAATGTTGAATAAAACCTGGAGATGACAACTTTAATTATTAGGAGGATGCGTCACTTTTATATTATATTCAACAGTACTTAAATCCAATTACAACCACGCAGCTTACAGTACTTTTCTTCAAAGCTATTTCTGCAAGGTAGCAAATGAACCATCTTGTAACCGCATCAAAAGGAAGGTGAGGCCTTCCTACAGTCAGCTGAACCTTGGCCTGACTCTGACCTGTGCTTCATGGCCACCTAAGTATCTAGGACGTATGTACTTAGGTGGTTGTGTCCAATAGTCTGTCCTTGTGTGCAATTGTGATAAAACTTAATGACATCTTATACAATCTGTTTAATTACCTTCAAAGAGACAATGGTGTACCTGGCCAAGAATGGTACCACTTAGGAAGCGAACAAAGGCAGGGAAGGACAAAGAAAAGAGCACCTTTTCTAGCTGGGTGCACTGGTTCATGCCTGTAATCCCAGCACTTTGGGAGGCTGAGGCGGGTGGGTCACCTGAGGTCAGGAATTCTAGATCAGCCCGGCCAACAGGGTGAAATCCCATCTCTACTAAAAATACAAATATTAGCCAAGTGTGGTGGCACATGCCTGTAATCCCAGCTACTCAGGAGTCTGAGGCAGAAGAATCGTTTAACCCTGGGAGGTGGAGGTTGCAGTGAGCCCAGATCGCACCACTGCACTCCAGCCTAGGTGACAGAGCGAGACTCTGTCTGGAAAAAAAAAAAAAGAACACTTTTTCCAGAACAACTGGGGCAATTCTTCTCACCTTGCATAAGAGGACAAATTGCTGTTGGATGGAGGGTTTGGTGGAAGTGGGAGGTAGGATGTTAGCCCCATTTCTTTTTTTAGGATAAAGAGTAGGCAAGCAATATTTGACCACAGCAGGTAGTAGTGAAAGGGACATCAGCTTTCTTATTTTCATTCTACCGACTTTTGTTGACAATTATGGTCAGAGCAATCATTTTATACATGCATCACTATTGTACAGTAATCCATTCCCATGTCAATACTGGGGAATTCACATGTATTTTTTCCTTTTAAAGAGGTTTCAAAAAGTAATAAAATTAGAGAAATACTGATTTGCTGAGTATGATGCACCTGATTCTACCCTTAGAATATCCCACCTTAGGATGGGAGGAGGTCCTTATTTTTGCTCCCTGGGGGTGCACTGGGGACCTTTCCTTTGAACTGGGAAGAGAATTTAGTCAAATGGCCCCTAGTGGCCTGAAGGAATTACTGCAGTTTCCCTAAAATACACATCTTCATTATTGATCCCTGAATTCAACAGATTTCCAGTGTGTGTTTACTAAAGATAATGAACTTGTTACACAACAAAGAAAACAAATACACCTGGAATTAGTACGCTGCACTGACTTGCAGTATCACTAGGAGGAGCCCTTGCTTTTTGCTAACAGTTATAATGCCAATGGTTACAAGAATAACTTTGTGTTTTAAAAAATTAGGTAAAAATTGGCCTGATGCGGTGGCTCACGCCTGAAATCGTAGCACTCTGGGAGGCCGAGGCAGGTGGATCGCCTGAGCTCAGGAGTTCGAGACCAGCCTGGGCAACACGATGAAACTAAAAAAAAAAAAAAAAAAAAAAAATACAAAAAATTAGCCTCGCCCTACTCGGGAGGCTGAGACAGGAGAATTGCTATAACCCAGGAGGCAGAGGTTGCAGTGAGCTGAGATCATGCCACTGCACTCCAGCCTGGGCAACAGAGTGAGACTCCGTCTCTTAAAAAAAAATGTAAAAATTAATTTCTAACACTTATCAAAATAATAAATTTATATTCTTGCTTGTTTCAGAAAGATTTTAGGATCGTACAGGAATATGTAAATTACAAAAGAATATATAAAGGCAAAATAAAAACATAAGAAGAATGTAAATGAAAGCTCTGAATGAAGTTAATTCTCCAAAAGATAGTACGCTCTTCTGTTTCAGAAATTTCTGAGATTATGATTTTGCTACTCATCCAATGAGCTTATTGTCAGATTTGTCCAGAAATGAGGTGCACAACTATTAATATTATTCTCCACTGCGCTGTTAGAACACTTACTCTGTTAAATACATAGTAATGATCCTAAGTTTCATAGTGTCCACAAAACTCTATGGCATAGCTTAAATTAAAAAAACAGACAAACTATAACAACAAAACCCAATATGCCCCTAATTTCCTTCCTTCTGTTACAAACATATTAAGAATTCCCGGCCAGGAGTGTAGCTATCTGTAAGTATTTTGGGAGGCCAAAGTGGGAAGATTTTTTGAAGCTAAGAGTTTGAGAACAGCTTGGTCAATGTAGCCAGACTCTGTCTCTACAAAAAAAAAAAAACTTTTTAAATTTAACCGGGTATGGTGGTGCATACCTCTAGTCCCAGCTACTCAGGAGGCTAGGGCACGAGGATCACTTGAGCCCAGGAGTTCGAGGTTACAGTGAGCTATGATTCCACTACTGCACTCCAGCCTGGGCAACAGAGCAAAGCTGTCTCTTAAAAATAAATAAATAGAAATAAAATATAGAATTCCTTAGCTCACACTTGGTTAGGGTTGGGCTAAAGAAGAAATGAACTCACTTTTTCACCTCTTATTTCCAGAAATCATGTATTAGGCAAGAGTATAAGGCCATATTTTTCATTTTTCAAAAATCACAAGAATAACACTCTAATCCAGAATAACAAGAAAGGAAGAACAAAACTGAAATCACAGGGCTTAAGAAGACTTTGCGAACCCAAATTCCTAGGTTTTTCACAGTTTTTCTTTTACGTAAGCAAATACTTCCCGACCAACTTTTTATTCTGACTCCAGATTTTTTGATTCAGGATTATAGGCAGACTTTCTGACTTCTGTGACTTTTTTCTCTTAAAAACTCTGGTCATTCCCAATGACTAGGAGGTTTTTTTGTGTGTGTTAAAACAATTGTCTCTTTTCACAAACTGGCATTTCTGCCATTTTGCATAACATTACAGAGCTCTTTCTCTATGGATATGAAAAGATAAGGCTAGAGTTGTATTCTGTCACTTCTCTTTTTTCCCTCTGTGAACTTTGAAAATTTCAGACAGGTCTCCAGTTAAGTTAGACAGTTTATTTTGGGCCGGGCGCAGTGGCTCATGCCTGTAATCCCAGCACTTTGGGAGGCAGAGGTGGATGGATCACCTGAGGTCAGGAGTTCAAGACCAGCCTGACCAACATGGTGAAATCTCGTTTCTACTAAAAATACAAAAATTATCTAGGAGTGGTGACACGCACCTGTAATCCCAGCTACTTGGGAGGCTGAGGCGGGTGAATTGCTTGAACCTGGGAGGCGGAGGTTGCAGTGAGCTGAAATCATGCCACTGCACTCCACCCTGGGCGACAGAGCAAGACTCTGTCTCAAAAAAAAAAAAAAAAGAAAAAGAAAGAAAGTTTATTTTGCCAAGACTGAGGACCTGCGCCGGTGACACAGCCTCAGGAAGTCCTGATGACATGTGCCCAAGGTGGTCAGAGCACAGTTTAGTTTTACACATTTTAGGGAGATATGAGACATTAATCAATGTATGTAAGAAGTACATTGGTTCTGTCCACAAAGGCAGGGGCAACTCGAAGCAAGGAGGGGGCTTTTGAGTCACAGGTAGGTGAGAGACAAATGGTTGCATTCTTTTGAGTTTCTGATAAGCCTTTCCAAAGGAGGCGATCAGAATATGCATCTATCTCAGTGAGCAGAGGGATGACTTGCCTAGAATGGGAGGCAGGTTTGCCCTGAGCAGTTCCCAGCTTGAATTTTCCTTTTAGCTTAGTGATTTGGGGAGCCCAAGAGATTTTCCTTTCACACCTCCCTATCTGGTCTCTTCCCTGTTTTCACTTGTTGACATACAGCATATGGGATTTGAGATCAATAGCACATTGTGCTGAGACACAAGCTCCAGAAGCGGTAAAGAGGGCACAAGGTGGCATCTCTTGGCCAGAGATCACAAGACTGCAATCTTCACCCATCTCTTCAGTGAGAGTCGAGACCAGCGATTCTCAATGCATTTGGGAAGAGTTAGCTTTCTTTTATTCCTTTGTTATGAATAAATAATATGTTTATGAAATATATGTTGTTTAGAAAAGGATCTACGTAATTAAATTTACTGCTGCTATTCTCTTAACAGGATAACAAGCTGGTGAAACAAAAAATACCATTATGCAACTCCAGATCACATGAGAGACACAGAATATTTTTCTACAGTGAAGTATCTAAAAATGTTACCTCTCTGTTAGAATTAAAACTTTTGTGTCTCTCTGAGTCCATCTGAAAGGCAGACAAAATCAATTAGCAACCCTTTCACCCTCTGGCAAAAGAGGAATTTCTGCAAGAATGCCTTCCAGAAGCTATCGGTTGTTTGGTTATTGGCTGTTTGGCTGTGTGTAGGCTTAGACACAACTTTTGGGCTTCCCTGGCGGACAGGAACTGGCTCCATCCTGTCTCTCCTCTACCTTTGTCGGCTCAGTTCTCCACCCCTGGGGCCAGGACCACTGCTCGTCCCTATTTGGGGTCAGCTGTCAGAAGACAGATCTGTTTAATATTTAGCTTTGAAGGAAATTGGCTGAATCAAAGATGAAAGGGGTCAGCTCCAAGTGATGGGGAAAAACAAAAACAAGTCTCAAGTGTTTCAACATTTCCATAGAAAAGTAAAACGATAAAGTCAATGTAGGTGAAAGAGATAGAGAAAAAATGGAAAGAGAGAGAGAGCTGGAGAAGAGAAAGAGAGAGGGAGAGACAGAGATTGAGAGAGGGAGACAGAGAGACAGGGAGACACAGAGAAAAACAGATCTCCAAATTCCCAAATATCATGTCGAGCTGCAAGACTGGCCGTTATTTCCAATGAATAAACAATTCATTGTAATTAAACAGATCTCATTTTATTATTCTCATGTGTGCTTGGATGCAGGCATAAAGTTCAGAAACACAAGTGATTCTCAGCTCTTCAATGACAGTCCTAGAACAGAGCTTCTCAACTTTAACACACATACTAACCACCAGGGAACCTTGTCAAAATGCAGATTCTGAATCAGTGGGTCTGGAGTGGAACCTGCAATTCTGCATTTCCACCAGGACCCCAGCTACTCCTCCTGCAGCTCTTCTGCCAGGGGACCATCTAGATACATTGTTTTCCTAAACAGCAAATGCATTTAGAGACTGCTTGTATGCGAGGACTTGTTTTAAAGTCATCCTCAGAATAAGGTGAAGAAGTAGACCATAAAGCTACATACATGACAATACTATGACGGGAAGGAAAGTGGGGTTTTTTTGTTATTTTATTTTATTATTTTCTTTTTGAGACGGAGTCTCATTCTGTCGCCAGGCTGGAGTGCAGTGGCACGATCTCGGCTCACTGCAACCTCTGCCTCCTGGGTTCAAGCAATTCTCCTGCCTCAGCCTCCCTAGTAGCTGGGATTACAGGCACCACCACCATGCCCAGCTAATTTTTGTATTTTTAGTAGAGACGAGGTTTCCCCATGTTGGCCAGGCTGGTCTCGAACTCCTGACCTCGGGTGATCTGCCTGCCTTGGCCTCCCAAAGTGCTGGGATTACAGGCATAAGCTACCATGCCCAGCCCTATTTTTTTTTTTTAAACGAAGGTGCCAGGCACAATGGCTCACACCTGTAATTCTAGCACTTTAGGAGGGTGAGGCTGGAGAATTGCTTGAGCTCAGGAATTGAAGACCAGTCTGGGAAGCACAGAGAGACCTCATTTCTACTAAAAATTTAAAAAATTAGCTGGGGGTCGTGGCACGCGCCTATAGCACCAGCTACTTGGGAGGATCGCTTGAGCTTGAGAGATTGAGGTTGCAGTGAGCTATGATTGTCCCATTGCACTCCAGCCTGGGCAACAGAGGGAGACCCCTGTCTTAAAAAAAAAAGAAAGAAAGAAGAAAGAAAGAAAGAAAGAAAGAAAGAAAGAAAGAAAGAAAGAAAGAAAGAAAGAAAGAAAGAAAAGAAAAAATAAATATTTTTCAAAAAAGTTTTGGGGCAATATTTTATGCAGCAATAGATAGTGAATACAATCGCTTGAGGTATTTTAAGATATGTGGAAAATAGGCCGGGCGTGGTGGCTCATTCCTGTAATCCCAGCACTTTGGGAGGCTGAGACAGGTGGATCACAAGGTCAGGAGATCGAGACCATCCTGGCTAACACGGTGAAACTCCGTCTCTACTAAAAATACAAAAAATTAGCCGGGCGTGGTGGCAGGCGACTGTAGTCCAAGCTACTCGGGAGGCTGAGCCAGGAGAATGGCGTGAACCCGGGAGGTGGAGCTTGCAGTGAGCCAAGATCCCGCCACTGCACTCCAGCCTGGGCGACAGAGAAGACTCGTCTAAAAAAAAAAAAAAAAAAAAGATCTGTGGAAAATAGAAAGGACTTGTCTTACTAGACAATCTGCCCCGTGCCAGTAACGACTGCTGGATGATGGAGGTTTACGTGCCTGTGGCCCTGGGAGGGTCACCTGCCCTCTTAGATGCCTTTTATCCTGCCCAATGCCTCCTTGAGCAAAGGCCCATCTCCTGGCTCCTGATCCCCATGATATTTTAGTGCCCGGGGAGATTTTTATCAGATTTGAGCTGCAGTGTCATATTTTCTGACTCTCGGTTCTGTTATTTCCAACAGGTCATCTGCCTGGTAAACAACCATGTGCCGGAATAACTGGAAGAACCAACATTTGTATCATATCTGACAGCTTTATTTATTTTCCAAATGTTTATTTGGAAACTTCTAGGTCTTTGGAGAGAACTGAGGTAACTGGCTAAGGTCACTCATTAAGGGAAAGGGAGATTTAAAACAGAACCAGGTATTCAGCCTCTGAGTCCTAACTCAGCAATGATAGGAATAAATGATTCACGGGCTAAGAATAAATAATTCATTGTAATTAAACAGATATTATTGACATTAGTCTGCCTGAAATTATAGTGAGAATTAAAATTAGTACAACTCATTTTATGTTTTTAAAAAGTTATCATTTCAGCGGTTACCAATTTAAATTGCTCCACCTCAGATATATGAAATTAACACAATTTTACTACAGGTCTAAAGGAGTTCTGGGTTGCCTGTTTATGTCATTCTGATCTTCTTTTCATTCACCGTTAATTCTTTTCTTGAAATTACATTTATTATAAGTCAGAAGTCAGGCTTTTTTTTTTTTTTTTTTTTTTTTTTGAGAAAGGTTCTCATTCGGTCTCCCAGGCTGGAGTGCAGTGGTGCAATCATAGCTTACTGCAGCCTCAAACTCCTGGGCTCAAGCAGTCCTCTTACCTCAACCTCTTTTATAGGAAAAAGCCACCACACTTGGCTAATTTTTCTAATTTTATTTTTTGTAAAGATGAGGTCTTACTATGTTGCCCAGGCTGGTCTCGAACTCCTGGTTTCAAGAAATCCTCCCACCTCAGCCTCTCAAAATAATGGAATTTCAGGCATTGGGGCACTGTGCCTGGCCAGGCAGGCTGCTTTCTAAGTACTTTACATATCAAAACTTGTTTAATTCTCATTAAAACTCCATGAGGTGGATTTAATTGTTTTCTCAATTTTATATACAGAGAAACTGAAGCACAAAGAAGTTAATTGACTCATCTCCTTATCAGTAATCTATTGCTACATAACAAACCAACCATATTTAGTGGGTTAAAACTATTGCGGCAGGGTGCGTTGGCTCACGCCTGTAATCCCAGCACTTTGGGAGGCTGAGGCGGGTGGATCACAAGGTCAAGAGATCGAGACCATCCTGACCAACATGGTGAAACCCCGTCTCTACTAAAAATACAAAAAATTAGCTGGACGTGGTGGCGGGCGCCTGTAGTCCCAGCTACTCGGGAGGCTGAGGCAGAAGAATTGCTTGAACCTGGGAGGCAGAGGTTGCAGTGAGCCAAGATTGTGCCACTGCACTCCAGCCTGACAACAGAGCAAGACTCCATCTCAAAAAAAAAAAAATTGCAATTGTTTCTTTTTCTCTCTCATCTACAATTTTGGCAAAGATCCACAGGAATCATTTGTACCTGCTTTCTGTGGTATCAAGACGAGCAGCTCATCTGGGGGCTAGAGGACCCACTTTCAAGATGTTTGACATGGCCGGTAAGTTGGTTTCTAATCTCCTGGGAGCTAGGGACCTCAGTTCTCTCTGTGTCAGCTTTTCGTCTACGGGAAGTTGAGCTTCCTCATAGTGTGGTGGCTGGATTCTCAGAAAGAGTGTTCTCAGAGGACCAGGTGGAAGTGCATAGCACTTTTATGACCTAGACTCAGAAATCACAAATTGGTGGAAGCTGTCACAAAGGCCAGCCTAGATTCAAAGACAGAAAAAATTGTCTCCATCTCTTGTTGGGAGAGTGGCAAGGTTCTAGAAGATTCTACAAGAGCATGCAGAATAGAAAATATTGCTGTGGCCATTTTTTGAAAAAGACATTTTTTGAAAAATCTGCCACACACTGCTAATTGAGATAGGGTGTATTCAAACTCAAGTAATCTCACTTCAGAGTCTATGCTAATCACACCCTAATACTCACTCCTCCTCTGATGCTTCTCCTGTGAGAGAAGAGTGGACACTCATCACTTCTCTAGTCCATAGCAGAGGGCTTTCTTATTGAGAGTTACAGAGATTTTGATCTCTGACTGAGAAAGGTATAGCTGTCTTCCTTTCAATTCCAAAAGTAAACAAAATAAAAATTTTAAAGTCCTTTTGAAAATAAAAACTTTGCAGGATCACCAGGCGCGGTGGCTCACACCTGTAATTCCAGCACTTTGGGACACCAAGGCAGGAGGATTTCTTGAGCCCAGGAGTTCAAGCCCAGCTTGGGTGTCTCTATTTAAATAAATAAAACACAAAACAAAACTGCGCAGGAGTGTTCTCACTCTTTAGTACACATCACAATCACCCAAGGAGGCTGCGGAAAATGTAGGTTGCTGCTTCCACTGCAGAGATTTTAATTCATAAGATTTGGGGGTTGATGACCAGATGCAACGGCTCACGCCTATAATCCCAGCACTTTGGGAGGCTAAGGTGGGAGGATTGTTTAAGCCCAGGAGTTCAAGACCAGCCTGGGTAACATAGCAAGACCCTATCTCTACAAAAAAAGTTTTTTAATTAGCTGGATGTGGTGTTGCATGCCTGTAGTCATAGCTACTCAGGAGGCTAAGGAGGGAGGATTTCTTGAGCCAGGGAGTTTGAGGCTGCAGTGAGCCGTGATTGCACTACTGCACTCCAGCCTGGGTGACAGAGTGAGAGACTCTGTCTCAAAAAGTAATAATAATAAGAAGAAGATTTGAGGCTAAAGCCCAGTAATCTGCATTTTTCTTCAGCATCCTGATATATTATGATGCAGATGATTAGCACCATGCTTTGAGAAGTGACTTCGACATTTTCCATTCTTTTTGGCTAGCCAGCAACTTTAAACACTCTTCCTGTGTTTTGAATTCCCTATCTTTCAAGTCCGCACCTTCCGACTTTCTCTAACTCCCTTGCAGAGAAACATTCTTTTCAGCCTCATTGGCAGCTAGGGTTCAGGCGATGTAGTCCAGACCTAGGCAACCAGATGCAGCCCCATAAGACTGCGTCGGAAGCAAATGCGTCCAGAACCCATGGTGCAAGCAGATACCGTTGGGGTTCCAGAGACAGAAGTAATGGCATTTCCAAGAGTAGAGTCCAGAACCCAGCATCAGAGGGCATTTTTCAGTGTCCATGCCCTCTACTAGGCCACTGTGTTCTGAGTACTCTTCCTGGATCCATTGCTTCTAAGACTGTTTTTCTGGCTCTTCCAGGGAACCTGTGAGTGGTTATGTATCTATTTTTCAATAAATTTCATTTACTTAAACTTACTGCAGATGGTTTCTGTTGTTTACAACTGAAGAAGGCAACTACTTGTATAAAGTATTTCTTGCCTTGAAGTTCTCCTTTTAATCACCCTCCCTAACAGCAAAGTCTATGCTTCATTTATAAAATGCTTCTGCTTTGGTATTGGTTTATGGTTGGTTGCTTCATATTGGTAAATAGGAAAGTATGTTTTTAGGATTTTTTTTTTTTTTGAAAGTCTCTGTCACCCAGGCTGGAGTGCAGTGGTGCAGTCTTGGCTGACTGCAGCCTCCACCTCCTGGGCCCAAGCAACCTTCCCACGGCAGCCTCCCAAGTAGCTGGGGCCACAGGTGCACACCACCACGTCCAGTTATTATTAGACAGGGTCTCCCTATGTTACCCAGGCTGTTCTCAAACTCTTGGGCTCAAGCGACCCTCCCACCCCGGCCACCCAAAGTGTTGGGATTATAGGCGTGAGTCACTGTGCCTGGCTGAAAGTATGTTTATATCTATATATGTTAGTACTTGTGCTGATTATTTTAAGTGTAAATGTCTTTTTTTTTTTTTTTTGAGATTGAGTCTCGCTGTCGCCCAGGCTGGAGTGCAGTGGCGTGATCTCGGCTCACTGCAGGCTCCGCCCCCGGGGTTCACGCCATTCTCCTGCCTCAGCCTCCCGAGTAGCTGGGACTACAGGCGCCCGCCACCTTGCCCGGCTAATTTTTTGTATTTTTAGTAGAGACAGGGTTTCACTGTGTTAGCCAGGATGGTCTCGATCTCCTGACCTCATGATCCGCCCGCCTTGGCCTCCCAAAGTGCTGGGATTACAGGCGTGAGCCACCGCGCCTGGCCTAACTGGAAATTTCTAAAGCACAGGGCTTCTGTCCCTTTGGCTGGTTTTGAATAACCCTGAGAACTCCACTATACATGAACACCTTCTTTATTATGAAACAAACATCAGCTACACTGGGTCTCAAGGTAACATAAGGATTTCCAAAATCAATTAAATGCTTAATTAACAACAAATGGTACTTGGTATAACATATTCCACAATAATAAAAATAATGTATCCAGGCACGGAGGCACATATCTGAAGTCCCAGCTACTTAAGCATCTGAGGCTGGAGGATGGCTTGAACTCACGAGTTTAAGACCAGCCTGGGTAACACAGTGAGACCCCCACCTCTAAAAATAATACTACTTTAAGAAGAAGAAGAATTTAGACAACACTGCAGTTTGTCATAATGAAATCTGATCTCTGACACTATTTGAGCCAGTCCTTCCACAGTGACAAAGAAAGAAAGGGACAGATAAATTCAGGGAACTGAAGCTGAAGAAACTTTATTTGTTTATGAATAACTAGATTAATCACAGTTCACCTAGGAAAGGCTCCCTCAGAGTCTGTCTGTATTTAGATAGGGGTTCATGCTAGAGTATGACTCATGGAAAGCCCCAGGGCCTCAGGAGAGTGAGCTGACTCAGATGTTGCTAGTGTTGGAATATGGGACAAGAACTGTTGTCCGATGGTACGTTATGAGACGGAATGTCACTGAACAATCTAAGTTAAGGTTATTTCATCAAAGAATAAAATAGAGGTAGGTTGAAAAGGAGAACAGAAGAAATAAGGCTTTGCTTCTTAAAGTGGCTTTTTCAATGATCCCTCTGAAGGTCCACTTTCTTTTGCTAGATAGTATTGTACTCACATTTCTTTTTCTTTGTTTTTTGTTTTGTATTGTTTTGTTTTTTGTTTTTTGAGATGGAGTCTCATTCTGTTGCCCAGGCTGGAGTACAGTGGCACAATCTCCACTCACTGCAACCTCCACCTCCTGGATTCAAGCAATTCTCCTGCCTCAGCCTCCCGAGTAGCTGGGATTACAGGCGCATGCCACCACGCCCGACTAATTTTTGTATTTTTAGTAGAGACAGGGTTTCACCATGTTGGCCAGGCTAGTCTCTAACTCCTGACCTCAGGTGATCCACCCTCCTTGGCCTCCCAAACTGTTGGGATTACAGGCGTGAGCCACTGTGCCTGGCCTCACATTTCGTTTATAGACGAAATAATATAAACTCCTGGGGCATAAACACAGCTCATTATCCTGAAACTCCAATAATCCATAGTGACAGCATGATAAAATAAACTAGACCTCAGTGCAGATGGTAAACATGGTGTGCTGCTTATTAAAACATAGGCTGTCGAGTCTAAACCCATCCTATTGTCATCGGCTTCCTGAGGCTGGGTGGCGTTTATCCTTTGCCAGCTGACTTTGTCTGAGGCTCTGCCATTAGGGGGCGGTAGAGAGGGGCTGTGAGGCTGGATGAGGGAGAAGAGAAAGGCTGCTTCCTGTTTGCGTCTTTCTCTGGGCAGTAGCAGTTTGTTCCAGTAGCAGACACTGATTCTAGTCGGCAGCTTTTCCAGCACTCCCAGAACAAGCTTTATTATGCCTTCCGAGCAACACCTGACAGGCACTGTCCTCGGAGGCTGAGTGTCAGCCCCTGGGGCCCCTCAAAGTTCCCGAGGCACCAGCATGGCCCGCTTTTCACAGGTCTAAATTTTCGCTCCATGGACTCTTCCTCCAAACTTCTATGTTTTAGTCATTTCATCCTCTTTTCTTTGATCTTCCAGCTTTAGGGGCTGTAGCTGCCACGAAGCAGTTGATACCTTAGTATTCCCTTTTTGCCTTTAGAATTCCTCAATACCTGGCTAACAATTGCTTCTATTAAATCCTCTCTTCTAAAAAGCTGGTGTGGTTCCTACCTCCAGCATGGACCCTGATGACACAGATGGTCTCCTCTGTCCTCAGGTACATGAACATTGAGATCAGCACTGGCTTGAATCTCAGGACACAGTTTCTTGACAAACATACTGGAATTAGAGGCAGGCTTAATGCAGGCATGTTTGTCACTTTTAGTCAATTTAAACTTCCATGAGTTTAGGCTGGTTGCAATGGCTCACACGTGTAATACTAACACTTTGGGAAGCTGAGGAAGGTGGATTGCTTGAGCTCAGGAGTTTGAGACCAGCTTAGTCAACATAGTGAGTCCCCACCTGTATTTAAAAAATTAAATTCAATTTTTAAAGTTATAAATAAACTTCCATGATTTAAAGAACTGTGTTCTCAATGTATTATAATTTTCTCTTTGAAAAGTCCTGAGCCAAGAAATCATTGAATTTCCTGATGTAGAAGAAGAATGTCATCCCAAAAAGCTGAGGTTATTTACCCAAATGTATACTGTGTATTAGTACCAAGGACAATAATTCTATATAGTTCTTTTACCTATACCATTTATAGAACCTCAGAAAAAAAGTCTCAGTGGAAAGTTTGACAATTATATTACTCTTGGGATAATTTGGACAAGTTCTCTTGCCAAAGACAATCAGAAAATCTGGGGAAATTATTTTTTCAATCTCCTTGAAGGTACCAAAAAGCTAACCAAGATAAGATTTAGTTAAGCCAAATCATGAATAAGACGGAAGCCTCATGGGTCTGGGAGGACAAAAATAGGTGTTCCAGGCTCATGAAGTGTGGAACACTCTGGTGAGCCCTTGGATCTTTAATTGAGACCCAGAAAGGATGAACACTAGAAGAAAAAAAAGTCAGTCCTCAAATAGATTTCTGCCCAGTTTCAAATAGGATGACACAAAAAATTCCAGTCCCTGAAACTGGATTCAGGTGATTCAAAAGTACTAGCACACTGAGGTACCTGGAAGAAGAAAAAAACTTCATATAAAACATTAAACAGGGGATTTGAAAAGGAATCAAATAGAAATTCTAAAACTGAAAAATACAAAACCAAAATTATGAGCTCAATGAATAGACATAACAGCAGTTTAGACAGAGCTGAAGAAAGTATCAGTGAAATGGAAGATAAACCAGAAGAAAATATATAGCATGAAACACAAATAATCAAAAGGATAGAAAATACAGAAGTGAGGATGAGAAAGAAAATAATCTCCTAAAGAAGGTTAGAGATGCAGGAAGAAATGAAAAATGACATAGAATTAAGTGGGTAAATCTAAAGTAAAGTTGACTATACCAAGGTCAGAGGGGGAATGAGAAGATATAGATCAAAGTTTACAAAGTAGCAGATATGTAGGATTGACAAGTTGAAAGATCTAATGTTCAACATGAAGACTATAGTTAATGGTGTACTGCATTCAGGATTCTTGCTAAATAAATAGATTATAGCTGCTCTTGCCACAGTGGGAGGAAATGTGTAACTATGTGAGATGATGGATATGTTAATTTGTTTCACTATGGTCACCATTTACTTTCTTCTCTCTCTGTTATATATGTACAAACCATCATATTATATACCTTAAATATATACAATAAAATTTATTTTAAAAATAACTGAACAAGACAACACTGTTAAAGTTTTGTAGTCTTTAAAATACGTATAGAATTACAATTCCCACCCCCTCCTCATTTTCATTTTTTATTTACTTTTATTTTTTATTTTTTGAGACAGAGTCTCACTCTGTCACCCAGGCTGGAGTACAGTGGTATGATCTTGGTTCACTGCAACCTCCGCCTCCTGGGTTCAAGCAATTCTCCTGCCTCAGCCTCCCAATTAGCTGGGATTACAGGTGCCCACCTTCACGTCCAGCTAATTTTTGTATTTTTAGTAGACATGGGGCTTCACCATGTTGGCCAGGTTGGTCTCCAACTCCTGACCTCAGGTGATCCGCCCATCTCTGCCTCCCAAAGTGCTAGGATTACAGGCGCGAGCCACTGTGCCTGGCCTCATTTTCAAAAGAAAATAAAAATAAAAAGAAGAAGGAAAAGAAAATTATGCCTAAAATATGACCTGATCAGAAATTCCTTCGGGTTGTCTTCCATGGGGAGAGCAAAGGCTTTCCTTTTTTATCTGCCAGTGACTCTTTAGCAGAGTTTAAGATTAGGTTCCAGAAAGTCTGGAAAATACTCAGAAAGCCAAGAAGTAGAGGTGGAGATCTTTCTTGCTCCCAAGGAATAGTAAAAAGAGTTGCTATTATTAAGTGCTTACTATATTTCAGGCACTGTTGTAAATGCATGGCAGATTTTATCTCATTCAATTCTTATTGTAGTCTGATGAAGTAAGGTTTAATTTTCACAGTCTGTTTTATAAATGAGGAAATGGAAACAAAGTGTTAGTAAATTATTAAAGTGACAGCTAGAGTGAGTGGGGACTAGAGTCTGAAGCATCTTGTACTGCTGCTATTCACAGATCCCCTTCCAACTTCACTCCTTACAATTCTTCACATACAATACCCCTAGTAGTTTCTGCAACCTCAGACTATTTAGCACCACTGCTTCAACTGGAAAAGGGGCTCTTGTCTGGGTTTTCAGAGGCCGTGGATTCTGATTCACGTTAGTTTTCACGTTAGGGAAACTGTGTGTGGGTCACTAGCATTGAGTAGCTGGAGGTTGCCAGCATCCAACTGATTGGTGGTCATCAGGGTGAATCCTAGAGGCATTTGAGACCAGTCATGGTGCCCAGAGTATCATTCTTCTTATGCTAAATACTGCCTTGGCAACAGAAAGAAGTCATTCTTCCCTCTTTTCATGGGATGATAAAAGCCAGAGAGAGAGAGACTAAACTTCCATATATTTTTGTAGCAGGGGATGAGGTCTTCTAATTTCGAAGCTGAACTCCATTGGCCTCTGTTTGGAGACAAGACCTGGGCTACTGATGTGTTCTCTCCTGTTTTGCATTCAAGTATCCTAGAGATGTGCCCTTTGCTGTGATACCAGTAGTCATTTGTGCACATATTTACTAATACTTATATCTCAGCCTGTTTTGCATTGATAGAATGCCTGAGGCTGGGTAATTTATAAAGAAAAGAGGTTTATTTGGCTCACGATTCTGGTGGCCGGGAGGTTCAAGAGTGAGCAGCTGCATCTGGGGAGGGCCTCAGGCTGCTTCAACTCATGGCAGAAAGCAGAAGGGGAGTGGGTGTGTGCAAAGAAATCACACAGCAAGAGAGGAGGCCAGAGAGTAACTGAAGAAGCCAGACTTTAACAACCTGCTCTCTCAGGAACTAATCCATTCCTGTGGGAGCCAGAACTCACTCCCTTCATGATGAATGGGGAGGAGGAGGCATTACTCTACTCATGAGAGATCTGGTCCCATGGCCCAAACACCTTCCACTATGCCCCACTTCCCAACACTGCCACATTGGCGATTGAATTTCAACATGAGTTTTAGCAGGGTCAAACCACATCCAAACTATAGCACCTTATATCAAAACTGAATTGAACTTTATTAAAAATCGAATGCAAGGAGGAAAGAATAGGATCTAAAAGTTTGGTGGGGCCCATTCCCTACCTCTATCCTTTAATTCAGTTGCTTGTTGTGTTTGCGGTTTTGCCTGAGGACACACAATTGCCCTGTCATGGCCCTCACCACTCAGGAACTTCCAGATTCCTTCATTCAGGTGGATCTGCCCTGCCAGGATGAGGCTGGCCTCTCTGTCTTAGTGCTCCCACAAAATCCTGTGACCTCAAAGAGATAGGGGAGGTCTTTACACTGAGGGCCACTGCCAAAAAAATTGTAATTTTGTTGGGCATTTTAAAATGCATTTTTTTTAGGAGTGAACATCTGGAAAGCTCTTTCCCCAGAAAGCTGCATGGCAAGAGCTATTCCTCCCACTAGGTCTTTGGCAAATGCCTGTCCTAACCACTCTATCAAAAATTATAAGCACCCCCCAACTCTCAGTGGTCTATACCTGACCTTGTTTTAGTTCTCTACACAGAACTGATCTTGGGATGACACATACAATATTATACTTGATTATTCCCATCTCCTGCCTTCATAAGGGAAGGATTTCTGTTTTGCTTACTGTCATAGTCGCATAGCACAGAGGAGTGCCTGGAACTCTGTAGAAACTCTGCAACTATTTGCTGAATGAATTATTGTATACTGCTCAGAAATTAACCCAATATTATGCTCATTGAGACACACATGCACACACACACACTTTGAAGTGCAAGGATGTTTGTGCCTCAGCATAGTTTGGATGTTCTGTATGTAGATATATTTTAGTCTTGGAAAATGCTGAAATACTAAGGGTTTATCCATGTAACTATGGAGTCTCACGCAGGATCACCTTACCTCATTGGAACAACGTGGTCCCTCTCACCATGGCCCTTTGCTTGAGGTGAAATGTATTCACCTTCTCTTTTTCTTTCCTCCAACAATCTATTTTTTCCTCCCTCACACACACAGTCCTTGACCTTTTACCCTTGGTGAAAGCACTGATTCAGCCTTTACAGAGGATCTGGGTGCAGTGAAAGAGAGGGATGGCCCACCTCTCAGTCTGGGAGGTGCAACCAGGATTGAGTCTGAAGGTGTTTCGGAGATGTGGGAAGGTCTGTGATCATGCCAGACACTCAGCATGGCACTGGACTTGGGTCCAAATGCCTTCACATTAGTCTGACCACAATTCACACAAAGGCTTTGAGGATCTAATTCTGCATTCAGAGATCAGCCTTGTTTATAAGGCAGCTCACAGTTCAATGAACGTCATTCTTCCCCAGAGAGGTGCGTTGGGCACAGACAACCAAGTTTGGCAGCGTGCATCTCTCAGAGCAATAAATATCTGACACACAAACAGATGACAGCGATGAAAATGGTGCTCTCTTTGGGAAAAGAGCCAGATAGCAAAAGGACAATTTCGGAAGTGGCCCATTATCTGCTGTGACCAACTTTGAGCCGACAAATACATCAGTTGTTGCTATACCTTTTTCTTCAAAATTCTACCTAGCAGGGACTAAAATGAGTTTTTCCTTAATAAGGAATCAAATTCCTTAAGAATTTAGGAAGATCTAGAGGAATCAAATTTCTCCAGATTCAATGTAGCTCTTGAGGGAATAACACTCTTCTCTTCATCACGTGTTTTCTCACTTATCCTTGAAACTTCACATCAAACCCTCAAAACCTGTAACAAACGTGTTTGCTCCTACTGCTGTTGGCGCCCTGGGTATCTGGGGTCCCAGCCCTAAGACATCCCTCTAGGCAGCAGAAACAAGGCTGCCCTGGTGACGTGGGGGCATGCACTTTGTCTGGGGTTTATGGTTCAATAAGCAGAAGTGACTCACTGAAATAAGAAAGTGGCTCGAACCCGACAGGGGTGCAATCAATATGGATATTTTGGGCTGCCCTTCATGCTTCAGCAAGTGTCCCGGATGCCTGTTATCGTCCTCTTTGTTCACCCTTATTGTCCGGACAACCTCACAATAGAAACTGCATACACTTCAGATCCAATCACAGTTTAATAAACCCACTCTTCCCCGCTAGCTCTTAGGAAAATGTATACACTGGCACAGAAAGGCCTGTCTGTTCAGCTCAGTGATAGGAGACGGGAAGGGAAAAAATGCAAAGCCATTTTGCTTATCGTCTCCTTTTGCTCCTGTTTCTCCAGGCACCCTCCGGCAATCTCAGCTGAAATCTGGCTTTAGAGCTACTTAAGCCAGGCTCCATTTCCTCCTGGTGACACATTCCTGATAGCCCTGCCCCGATGGCAGTCAAACACTGGAGGGCTATGGGCTCTCCGCTAGGCCAGTTGACTTCAGATCTCTACCTTTGTGTTCTCTCTTTCCTGCTTTCATTTATAGCCCTCTCTTTTCAGGCACACATACAAACACACATACACACGCACACACACACACACAGAGAGAGAGAGAGAGAGAGGAAACTTTTTAGGAATATTGCAAACTATTTAACTCCATGGTCAAAATTTTTTTCTTCCTGTCCTTTTTTTTTCTTGTTCTATTATTTCCATCCCCTTCCTGTGGTTTTGCTCCTGCCTGGATCTGCATTATGCCGAGTGCAGGGAACATTCTGTGCTCTATAGTCTGTCTCCAGCCTTTATGGCAGAGCTGTTTCCTGGCTTCCGATATCACTCGCTCCCCTCACCAGCAGAGCCCTTTGAACCTCTCGTTAGCATCTATCACTTTCCCGCTCATAACTTTGTGATTCTGCACACTTGGCGATCTCATCTTCTAAACTGTAAGCTTCCTAAGGGAGGGAGCAGGATTGTACTCATTTTTGAATCTCCAAGTACCTAGGAACATGCCTTGCTTTTGCAAATGGTTTTGATGAATGACCAAATGAACATCTACAATGAAACCTGTTCTCTTCCATTTAGCTCTTTCTGTTGTTCTTCAGCATCGTCACCAGTGGAACATATAAAACGCAAGGAGGTGAGATTTGTGCTTGTTTAGTATAAATGCGTTTGCTGGTTAAATATATATACATATATATTTATATGTATATACACGTATATATTTATATATATACAAGTATATATATTTATATATACACATATATATTTTTATATATATATACACACACATACATACATACATATATATATAGAGAGAGAGAGAGAGAAAGGCAGAGACAGAGAGAGAGATCTCCCTCTGTCACCCAAGCTGGAGTACAATGGCACTATCATAGCTGACTACAGCCTCAAATACCTGGGTTCAAGCCATCCTTCCACCTCAGCCTCCTAAGTAGCTGGGACTGCAGGTGTGCACCACCAGGCCAGTTAATTTTTTTATATTTTGTAGAGATGGGGGTCTCACTGTGCTGCCCAGGCTGGTCTTGAACTCTTGACCTCAAGCAGTCATCCCTCCTTGGCCTCCTAAAGCACTGAGATTACAGCTGTGAGCCACTGTGTCCTGCTGGTGAAATATCATTGTGCCTGACTGTGTTACCCAGTGGCTCCATGAACATGTTAGTCGCTGCTGACCTTGATGGGGGTAGCACTTGCAGGCCTCGTGGAGCCAGACACTAACCGTGGGCCCAGCAGAGCTGGCTCTTGGCTCCCCAACTACATGGGAAGCCACCTACACGACCCTGGATAAGGCTCCTGTCTGTCTTCAGTTTTGTCACTTGTAAAATAGGAATAACAACAGCTATCTCATGAAATAGGAGTGAAGATTAGAACTGAAATATACAGAGTACCTAGTACAGTTCTTGGCACAAAATTGGCCCCCAATAATCCAAATGCATTTTTACTTTACTTATTTGTGCTGTCTCCTTCCCCATGACCATGGGCAATGACAGCACTACCAAAATGCCAGAGAAAAGATACAGAAGAGAGGTAGAAATGGACAGAACTTCCCGCCTGCCTCCTTTTTGCCTCTGATATCCAAGTTTTGTTAATAGAAAGAAAATGTTGACTCTTCCAAAAAATGTAGGTGAATTCCTAAATCTTCAAATATAGACTTGAAGGTGCATTTTAGAATTGTCAGATAAAGTCACATGTTGAAGGGTTTTGTGGAAATATTTTCATTCATCAAACATCTTGCAGAAATAATAAGTACTCTGAGGAACTTCAAAGAAGGGAAAAGATACGGCCCCCTACTTTTGAGTTTGTATTAATAACACGTGGCCAAACTAGCTTTTCACTTCCCTGAAAGACTATGACCCAGCTCAAGCACTTGCTCTCAATGGCTACCTTTCTTGCTAGAAGGTTCCATGATTGCAGGTCAGCACTTGGGCCAGGGCTCTATTTCTCTTGGCTAAGCTTCCTATAGATAATCAGACCATTGGGTTTACATCATCCAAAATAGAACAAGGATCATTAATCCCTCCCACCAGAGAGTTTGTATCTGACTGGCTTTCTGCACAGCAGAGGATAATAAAAAAGAAAAGCAAAAAGGAAGGGAGACAGGAATGAAGAGAGAATGAATGCAATTTCTTTGTTCAAGCATCTATTAAGCACCTGCTACGTGGTAGACACTTCCTAGGGCAACACTTAGAGAGGTAAAAGAAAAATGAAGAGAGCTTGGCCAGAGAAAGCCAGGGAATGAAAGTCTTCCAAGAAGGAAGGGCCATTAGTTATGTGAATATGAATAAAGTTGCCACTGGATTCAATGGTAAGACAGTCACTGCTATTCTGGGGTAGAAGAATTTCAATTAAATGGTGGCAGCAGAAACAAAACTGTGATAGGACAATGAGACTCTCTGGTCCGCAGCTGTATTCCCACACCAGCACTGTGCCTGGCAATGTACTTGTTGACCGGCTGATGGTTGTGATGGTGACAGCATATGATTGAAATTCTCCCAGGTCACCAAGAAGTGTGCAGAGGCCAAAAATATATGTACTTGCTTTACCTAGCAGATGGAAACTGTGGTTTCAGCTGCAGCATTTTATTGAAACTCTTCTACCCTAGAATAGTGTAACTGCCCCATGGGGTCACCTTGCCCGCTGGTGGGTTCCAGGTTGGCATTTTATTAAGTAAATGTGACCTAGGGACAGAGCAGTAACTTTCACCAAAGGTAGCAGGCACAGGCAGAAAGGAAAGTTTCTCACAATAGCCTGCAGCACTGCTACATGATAACCTGACCCCGAATTGTCTCCCCAGGGGTAGGAAGTTTTCTGGAAAACCTAGGCAGCAATCAAGGATGGCTGCTCAAATTTCCTGCCCTTCTTTTCCTACCATCCCAGGAAAATTCCCACCAGGACACAGCATTTGGGGTAGGAGATTGATTCTGTGCTAATTAACAGTCCAAATTCACAAGCACCATGAGGTAAAGCTTAGGTACTCTTGGGCTTGTTCAAGGCCAAGTTCAGACTATGAGTAAACCAATTTAACTCTATGGCTAAACCCACCACGGCACCAGTGAACCAGAGTGACCTGCTGCTCAAACATTTTTCCATCAAAGCACATTTGCCACTTAAACTATTCAACCCCATGGAGGCTGAATTTTGTTTCTTTTTTTTCCAAGTGTCAAAAATACGTTACTCACTTAGAAGAGGACTGCCATTACAATCTCTAAGATTTCCTTGATTTAGGAAAAGCAGAAGGAATTAGCACAAGCAGGAAAGAGGCAAGAACAAGGGAGCGAAAGGCCACAGGAGGCAGGAAGGGCCATTTGTGGTTAAGCAGGTATCACATAAAGACGGTCCCGGACTTTGATAATTGAGTGCGTCTGTGATGTGTGAATGAGGCCCTACAGCCGGGGACTGCACTCCAGCTTTGGTTTTTGATCTCTGTCAGTAATGAGATGCCAGCAGCCCCTACTTCAAAGCCTTAACTGATACCGATAATCTCCTGAAAGACTCCCAGAATTTCAAGTGATCTCTCAAACTAAAGTTTGGAGGATTACATAGACAACAGCACAGATGATGGAAGAGGCATTGCTTGTTTGATATTTGCTCTTTGATTTCTTTTAAATGTTTTATTATCAGTTTCCCAAAGGGCTAGTCTGTAGTTTCCAAACCCTTAACGCTAAAGATTAGCATTGTCAGATTATCGCTGTCTGGCTACTGGGAAGACCACGGGATATCCATAAATTTTATCTTTCCTTTTTTTAAAAAAAATCCCAATTGTCTGTAAAAACACAGCCACTCCAGATTCAGTGACAAATGTCGTGCAGAGTAACACTATCCAGCCTGCAATGGAGACAGAGCTTTCCTGAAAAATCTGTAGCCACTCCAAGGTTACTCTCAGATTCTTTTGAGGTTTAATCTCTTTTCTGAAACAGTTGTGCCCTCATGGAGCGGGAGGAGTTGGGACAAAAGGCCACAGGCTATGAGAAACATGTTATAAAGCAGCACGAACATTTGTTTCTGGTACCCAATTATGCTTTAAGTTGAAAGCATATAATTTTCAAGACATGTTGTACCAAGAAACATATCTGGAGTATTTTATAGCAGACGACCTTACACTCTGGAAGCAAAATAGCAGGGCGAGGTCATGCCTCATGACCTGGTCTTCTGTTACCCTCAGGCATGAAAAAAAAAAAAGCAACATTTCAGTGCTCCAAGAAAACACATGCGACCCAGAGGTTAGAGGCAACCATGAATTCATCTGCTTAAAGAAAGGTATAAGAACTTTACACCCTCAATATACATAAAATTCACTCTAAAGGATTTCTCAAAGTTAGAATACCAAGAATCCTGCAATATGTCATATTCTGGTCTAAGGATGTGATACCTCTCAGCTCTATCAGGCCAGGGACCCAACCTCTCTGGTCCACAGCTGTATTCCCACACCAGCACCATGCCTGGCAATGTGCTTGTTGACCGGATGATGATTATGATGGTGACAGCATATGATTGAAGTTCTCCCAAGTCACCAAGAAGTGTGCAGAGGCCAAAAATACATGTCTTTGCTTTACCTAGTCAATAGAAACTGGTCTCAGCTTCAGCGACAGCATTCAGAATTCACAGAGGTTTGGTAACCTCACTGATCTGATATGGCTGCTGTGGCAGAGGTTGCTAACACTCACTAATATCCCCTTCCTGGGCCCACAGCTATACTGCACTTCTAGTCCCCTGGCATCTAGGCAGGGCCATGTGGCTGGTTCTCACCAATGGAGAGTGAGTGGGAGAGATGTAGGCCACTTCTTGCCTGAGGCAGCTTAAAAGCAAATGGGTCTTCTCTACCATCTCCCCCTTCCCCCATCTATAACTTAATGCTGAAGAAGATGAGGCCCTAGAATGGGAGAAAGCATAGAAGAAGCGTGACTGCCCATATGAAGCAGAACCCCACTGCATTGCACTGGACTGTGTTATGAGCAAGAAATAAGCATGCCCTAGGTTAGCTCTCGAGGGCTGTTTGTTACAGCATGTAGCTTACCCTGACTGATGCAGACAGTAAGTGGTGGTGGAGGTGTTGTCTGAATCTAGCTCTGTTTCTCTTGAAATCTGGGTTCTTCTGCATTGTCAATGGCCTTGCAGGTTAAAAAATACAACTGCAGAAACTCAGTCAACTTCAATGTCAATGTCACCTCTCCAGGTAGCTTTTCTGTTTCTCCTGTCTGGGTTGGGAACCTGTTCTCCTTGTCCTATTGCTCCTTGTGTACTTTTTTTTCTCTAGTCCTTGCCACATAAATGTTGAATGTATGTTTGATTCATATCTCAATCCACAGAGGCAACATAAGTCTAGCAAGCAGTAGTTTGCTCATTTAATGTTTATTTATCCATATCAAACTAAAGGGAATCATCTTGTTCCTTGAATTTTCTGCCTAACAAGGTGAAACAAAGCTAGTCAAAGTAAGACAAAGCAAAAAATAAGACTAGAAAAAGAAAACAAAATGAAACACTCTGAGTCTGATTCCATGGTGCTGAAGGTCCCACTACAATGCATTGGTCTACAAGTGTAGTTCAGTGAAATAAAGTTCAGTGTTTCTTTGAGGACTCAATAAATTGCTTGGATTTTGGTTCCCAAGCCCAGCTCTGATCTGGCTCTGGAGTCAGCTCACCTGGCTGTGTTGGACCTGGGCCCCACCGAGTTCTCTGAGTTAGCACCTGTCAAGAATGAAGGACTTGAACGTGCACCAAGATGACCCCGACACTCAGTCCAGGCTATTGGTACAAATGTGGAAAGAAGAGGAAATGTGTTCCGTTTGCCTTGTCTCAATGGCAGGACTTGAGGACCTGGTCCCCAACAGCTGGCCTTAGAGAGGGCCCAGCATGTCAACTCAGACCTCTGCTGGGTCCCAGCTTCCTCTCTGGCACTGAGAATATTTAAACACTGTCCCACAAGGTGCCTCTCTCTTTGTCTTCTGAGACATCTAGCTCACTTGTGGCCCTCATCCACAGCACTTCAGGGCCACGGATAGAGTGACACGGGTGTGGGTACACCACTGACAGAGGTGCGGTTTGTAAGACAGGCCCACTGTGGTCTAGACAACATTTCAAAACCATCTCAGAACATCATCGGGTGGGATATGGGAAAGAAGTCATCTGTTCTGTTGGGCACAGTGACAAGACAGCACATGTCTTTGCTGGTGCCATGGTGTAAGAACTTCAAGCTTTGATTTTATTTTATTTTTATTTTTTTGAGATGGAGTCTTGCTCTGTCACCAGACTGGAGTGCAGGGCACGATCTTGGCTCACTGCAACCTCTGCCTCCTGGGTTCAAGCGATTCTCCTGCCTCAGCTTCCCGAGTAGCTGGGATTACAGGCACGTGCCACCACGCCCAGCTAATTTTTGTATTTTTAGTAGAGATGGGGTTTCATATTGGCCAGGATGGTCTTGATCTCTTGACCTGGTGATCCACCAGCCTTGGCCTCCCAAAGTGCTGGGATTATAGGTGTGAGCCACCACGCCCAGCGCAAGCTTTGATTTTAAGTTGAGAAAAGAAAAAGACTTTTAAAAGTTTGGAATTGATTGCTCAATTGCCATTGTGCTGTTATAACAGTAATACCAGAAAGGAGAGATCAGTTATTGTTCTATTGTCTCCCTTTCTCTCTTCTCTTGTCCCTTCCATACCCCACACCTCTCCGATGAGCAAAGCCAGCTGATATTTACTGTGTTCTGAGGACAGATGAGAAATGTGGGTACAGCACACATCACACAGTTTCCTGTGCAGCCAGCAAGCTGAAGGACTGTTCCGGGAACTCTCCGTGCATCACTCGGTGGAGCTATTAGACTTAGTTCCTCTCAGGGCCTTTACATTCTTTGGGCTCTGTGATTTTGTAAGAGATTAGACCTGTTTCCAAGCAGGTTCTGTTTACCTGGGAGCTACTCTACCTTTCTTAAGTCCAGGAACTTCTCACTAAGACTTCCCCCACAACCCAACACAACACACACAGGAAGAGGAGCATCTAGAAAGAGGGACATGTTGCCTCTACTGACACCAGTAGTATTTGATACTCACAGGTGAAAGGAACGTAGCTCATGATCATCCCTAGATAATTCAGTCACATAATCTCCTGAATTTCTTTTTCCTCTACTTGGGGGTTCTAAGGGTGAAATGCATTCATGCGTGTAGAACAATGTGAATAGTGTCTGGGTAAATACAACATAAGCATTTGCTATGAATGCTATTATTGGTTGCATTTTAGATGAAGTAAAACCTTCTGGGTAACTAGTCCCGGGAAAGCTAACAGTAGGTTGCATTTAATGTTGAAACACTTACTCATAGTCATGCATGTAAAGAGGTTGTCCTGGAAAATTTGGGAGGTGGTAAAGATATTCTAGTGTCTTCCACTTCCCTCTCATCTTCTGCTGTAGATTTTCTGCTTCTTTATCCCCATCTGCCTTGTGCCCCTCACTACCTCCATGGCCTCCTAGACAACTCTTCTGGCGTGGACCTCACCGTGGAGCCCTAGGGCCCCAAATACCTTCTTCCCCTTCCAGTGAAACAACATCAGCCTGTCACATAGCTAACTTCAGCTAGTTCTTATCACTAATTTAAATAAACTCACCCTCAAGGTTTGCATGACTAATGGATTTAAAATGTTGGCCCTTTCAGGGAGGGCTGGGGTTGCAGTTTTTTTCTCCTCAGTTTGGCATCAAATCTCACCATTTATTCAGTCCAGAATTATTTACAGAGTGTCTACTATGTGTCAGGAACTGTTTTATGCACTGGAGATATGATAATAGGCAAGATGGGCCTTCCAGGAATTTCTATTGTATGGATGAGATAGACAGTAAACAAGTCAACAAATGAATAAATATAATTCAGCCAGTTATTTAGGATCTTACATGCTGCTCTCTTTCCAGCAGCCTCTAAAGCTATAGGGCTTGGTCTTGAATTGCTGTGGATAATTCACGTGAGAATATTTGAATGTTGAGAGTCAAGCGTTCAAAGCAGCAGCCAGGCAGAAGGAGAAAAAGAGATGTTTTCAGATACGTCATGAACAGGTTGCCCTCTGATTTGACCTTGTCCCTTCCTCCCACTGGTGCTGTGCCCAGCTCCAAACATACTGGATTCCTACTGCAGCCTATCAAATATTTACACTGACATTACAAATATATATATTATTTACTTTAGCTTCTATAAAATATTTACACGTCATGCTAAATATACACAATATATTATATTGCACTGTGTTTTTCCTGCTGCCAGTCAGAGAGACTGTCTGGAACTTTCCCAAAATCATGAGAAAAGACCAGGGCGAAGGGAGAATGCAGGGTGGGCATATTAGGAGAAAGAAGTTGTGTCTACCTGCATCCAGGGAAAGTGCTCCCCAGGGAAAAGCAGGACGTCGAAGATCTGTCCAAGAGAAAATAATTGTGCACTTTGTCCTCCATACTTTTCCTCTACATTTAGTTCCTGGTTCAAAATAAGCACTGAGACTGAGGTCAGGCAGAGTTCAAACAAACAGAAGCTCTCACTCACCTCTGACATTGGAGATACCAGTTAGATAGGTCCATTGGATCAAATCCCAGGGCAAGGAGCTCAGAACCCCTTGTAGGGGCTCACAGAATGGTCCACAGAATGCTTTAGAAAATCTTGGCAGCCCTGCTCAGGTGCCCAACACATCACTGTGCTTCCCACCCATAGGAGGGGCCACCCATACCCACTGTCCATCTCACACCACAGGTGAGGTTAAACCATGGTGGCTGTGAAGCTGATGCCTCTGAAATAGACTCTTTTTCAATTACATTATAACACTGAATGTGTATTCCTGCACAAAATACCTCTCAACCTGATCTTGCATCTCCTTTTCTGCTTCCTGATGATCTGAGTGCCTGGCAGACAAGACTGTCTTCAAAGTCTTCGCTCATTCCACTTGTCCCTTTAAAAATGTCCCGATGGGTACATAGATGATCATCTTCAAGCTTTGTATCAGCGATATTTCCCTCTGCGTTGTGTCTTGAAGTCAAGGTCTGTTTCTCCTCCAAGCCTATTGTCTTCTTCAGGGTCCAAAAACATGATCTTGGCTTAATAACTTTATGATGGATCCAATGTTTATAACCAAAGGTGGACCTTGCTTAGTCAGGGCATAAATTGTATCATTTCAGAATCAGTAATGTTCCACGCTTCAGAATCTCCTGCCACAGGGGTCTAGATGAGCCCAAGGCAAAGAAGAAAAGGTCTTACCTTGTGGATGTCACTGATTCCATGTTCATCTGCTGCATCAGTGTTATGTTATTTATGCGAGATGCTGATGGAAGCCTCATCTCAGTCCATACAAGTCAAGATCTCTGTGGTTTTAATAACTTGGTAATGGCCACAGCCACCTTTTCCTGTAAAGATAATACCAATAATCTTGGCACACATAAAAAGAAACCAGTCAGCTTCCAAGCTCTCTGGATTTATTGTATGTCCTTATAAAAGGGGTTTCCCACAACATTCAGCCCTTTTTTGTCCTTTCAGCCTTCTACCATATAGGGCACAGTGTTCCTCCTTGCCTCTCAGGAGGATGCCACGTTGAAGGCGCCACCGTGGAAGCAGTGTCTGGGCTCTCACCAGACACCAAACCTGCTAATCCCCCAGCTTAGACTTCCCTAGTCTCCATAACCCTGATTTCCCGGTTTGCATAGTTGTCAGCAATAAGTTTATGCTTTTTATAAATTACCCAGTCTAAGATGTTTTGTTATGGCAGCATGAATAGACTAAAACAATATGCCTATCTTTTCCGTTACCAGTCTGTAAATTCCTCTATAGAATATAAAGCCTCTGTATTAGTGGTCTTATTTTTCTGGAAAGACTCTCCTAGAAATCAAAGAATCTACCTGTTGTTGTAACAATAACCCAATGTCTTAGACTATTCAGGCTACTATAACAAAATACCATAAAATGGGAAACTTTAAATAACAAAAATTTGTTTCTCACAGTTCTGGAGGCTGGAAAGTCCAAGAGCACGCGATCAGCAGATTCAATGTCTGGTGAAGACCTGCCTTCTGGTTTATAGAAACCAGAAGCCGGTGCCTTCTGGCTGTGTCCTCACATGGGGGAAGGAGCAAGCTAGTTCTGTGGGGTCTCTTATAAAGGCACTAATCCCATTCATCAGGGTTCCACCTTTATAATCGAGGCTTCGCCTTAGGGGTTAGGAATTTAACTCATGAATTTTCACACCATCACACTGCACCTTTGCATTTTCTCCACATTTAAAATGAACGTATAGAAACTTGGGAAGTTAGAAACTCATTATTTCTCCCAGATGTCAGGCCATCCTTATGCATTCATGGTAGCACTGCTAAGTTGTGGTTGTCTAACCCAGGCCAGCTGGAGTGGGAGCCCGGACAGGCCTGCGGTGCCCTCCTCTCATCTCTCCTCACCATCACCCTTAAACAGCTCTCCTTGTCCAGAACTCCACCCACACAGTAACCCAATCCCCTTAGTCCCTGTGACCTAGCCAGGTACTGACTCACCCTGCTAGGTGTTTAGGTGTTACTGCATTTCTCTGGGGACGGAGATTTTTATGGAAAACTCTGAAAGACTACAACAAGGCTCAAAAGAATAAATGGTTGAAAGTCAGAGGTGGTGACAATTCATTAGAGGACACAATTGGGGATAGATGGCCCTGCCACACTCTCCATATAGCCAGCCTCCTCTGGAGAGGGGGTGCCCAGTTGGACGAATGCCTCTGTCAGTGTGTCAATTGGAAAACAGAACTCGATTTCCCCATGGCCCCTGGGCTCCTGCCAAGGCCTTCAGATTTGCTGAAGAATGGCACCATTAACTAGTTACAGAGGCTGTCTGCTTCAGCGTGGGGGAAGGAAGGGATGGTGTCTGAGGCTTTTAGATTGGGGCCAGGATTGGAGAGAAGGAAGAATAAAAGAAGCAGATGCTGTCAAAATAGTTTATTGGCTTGATTCATTGGGTTCAGCAGCTGCCACAAAGAAAACAGATTCCTAGAGAACTACCAGCCAGACAGCGTGCTCTTTCAAGGGAGCTTGATGGAAAGAGAAGATAAGGCTTTGCTTTTAAGGTATTATGCTTACCTTAACTGGGATTCCTTTTAAAAATGGCTCTGAGTGTGTGTGTGTGGGGCGGCGAGGGGGGTGTGTGGCGGGAAGGAGTCAGGGATGCAACAATACCAGGACACTGGTATACAATGCTATCGCTTTTATGCACTCCTCCTTCCCCAAACTCACACCACCAAGAATTCGGCTAAGGATTGTGATTAAACAGAGCTTTTCTATGTCAGCCTCATTCATACTCAGCAACTTAATTCCAGAGATAAGGGTCCGAAACACACAGCACAAAGCTTCTGGAAACCACCCAGACATCACCCTTCCCCAGGAGTCCCACCCCAGCCCAAGGTTATGGGGCTGCAGTGTTCCCATTGCTGGGTGAAACAGGGTTTAAATGTCCACTAAGTGAACTGCTGCTAGAACAATTTGTCTTTTTTTTTTTTTAGATGGAGTCTCACTCTGTCGCCCAGGCTGGATTGCAGTGGCATGATCTCGGCTCACTGCAAGCTCTGCCTCCCGGATTCACGCCATTCTCCTGTCTCAGCCTCCCGAGTAGCTGGGGCTACAGGCACCCGCTACCACGCCTGGCTAATTTTTTCTATTTTTAGTAGAGACGGGGTTTCACCGTGTTAGCCAGGATGGTCTCGATCTCCTGACCTCGTGACCCGCCCGCCTCGGCCTCCTAAAGTGCTGGGATTACAGGCGTGAGCCACCACACCTGGCCTTGTCTTTTTCACTCTCTAAGTTCTTTTTATTTTCTTAATTAAGCTAAATAAAGAAGAGTGCATAAAATATAATGGATTATATAAAGAATGATAATAAAGCAACTCCAGGGTAATCACAACTTGGGTCAAGGAAGAAAACGTGGTCAGCTCCTGGGAAGGCCTCCTGTGGCTGCTCCATCCTGACCTCACAGCTTACATATCCAAGGGGAACCTGGCCATTCTGACCTCACAGCTCCTCCCACCCAAGGGACACCTGCCCCCTCCTGACCTCACAGCCCCTCTCCTACCCAGGGGAAACTGCCCTTCCTGACCTCACAGCTCCACACACCCAGGGGACACCTGCCCCCTCCTGACCTCACAGCTCCGATACCCTGCCCCTCCTGACCTCAGAGCTCCCTACCCTTTGACTTTGGATGGTGGCATTACCTAAATAGTGTCTCCAAAGTGCAGTGCATATCCTAGTGGGTAGCATTTGACATGGTTTTTGTTGGAACTGGGGCGAATATTTAAATTTGAATTATGTATTTATATGACTGTATATGAGGAGGAAATAATCCTCAAAACAGAGATTTTGTACATAATAGGCTAAAGAAGGTGGTTTTTTAAAAATTCAGAACGATTTAAAGAAAAGCATAAAGGCAATAAGGTCATGGCATGTATAAATATGGCAAAATTGTGAAGGTGGCACACAATGACCACTATGTGGAAATCCAATTTTTAAGGAATTCGAGCAAGACCCTGTCGGGGTCAGCAGCAACTTGAGAGTCATGCAAACCACTGTTCCCCCAACTTCCCTGATAAGACTTGCCTGTTATCTGCACTGATTCCTGGCTCCTCCCCTGGCCCACTAATCCCAAATCCTCAAGAGGGGGCCCAGGTATCCGAATGATTTGCAGGAATCTCAGGTGACTTGTGACCTGTACAGATGAGAAAGTTTACATGGGGTCCAATTCCTACAGTTTTAGATAAACCCTGACACTCGTTCATATCTAGACAGGAGCAAGTCCCAGAACCTGGATTCTGACTCAGGGGCAGAACCAGGGTCTTTTCCTCTGTGCTGGCTGAGCAGAGAGCTCTAGCTTCCAATGATCACTCTCCAAAAGGTTAGGACAGGAAAAGGCAGAGACCAGGGATGGAATCTGAAAGCCATAGTCACCTGAGGCTGAGAAAAGCAGAGTCCAAAAGAGGGGTGGACCAATGACCTTAGACATGTGAGACAGCAAGGAACCCAGGAGTGAGAATGGGCACACCTGGCTCTCCTTGATCGTGGCAGTGGGGGAACTTCATGGCAGTTTTGGAGGGCTCGGCTTCTGGCCTCCTTTCTCACTGTCTAGCTTAGTTGGAGTCCCTTCTAAGCCAGCACTGTGGTTCACACCTGCAGTCTCAGTGCTTTGGGAGGCTGAGGTGGAAGGATCAAGAAGAGGAGTTTGAGATCAGCCTGGGCAGCAAAGCGAGACCCCATCTCTAAAATATGTTAAGAAATTAGCTGCGTGTGGAGGTGTGCACCTGTAGTCCCAGCTGCTTGGGAAGCTGAGGCAGGAGGACCGCTTGAGCCCAGGAGTTTGAGGCGCAGTGAGCTATAATCACACCACTGCACTCCAGCCTGGGTGACAGAATGAGACCCTGTCTCTAAATAAATAAATAAATAAATAAAGCAGGGGAGTAAAGTCTCAGGGGGATTAGCTTCTGCTTTCACAACAGAACCAGGTAATGATGCAATTAATCTATTGACAAATTTTTATTAAATTTCTACTATGCTCAGTGAGGGGTGGTAGGGATGGGGGAGTGACAAGAAGAGAATGCCGTCCTTTTCTCAAAGGGCCCACTGCCTACCTGGGCACACAATGATGACCAGGACATGCCCCAGCCAGCTTCTGCCTGCATGCCTTCTTCCTCTGCAGGTGATTTAAAAGCAAGATAATTGCAGGCCCGAGTGCCGGATGTACACGAAAGAATTCAAGGGAGACTGAGAAAGATTTTAATAAGGTATGTGTTGGCGGAGGGGGTGGCTATGCCACCTTTATGGGAAATTGAGGGTGGCCCAACAACTGCAAGGCATCCTCAAGGATCCTGGCCATCTTCAAAGAAGGGCAGGAAGGGTATTCTGAAATCTCAGGCAGGAATTGGAATCCTGTAGCCAAGCACAAATGCTCCTGCCATCATCCAAGTTTGCAACCACGGTAATGAAAAGAATCATCTCTCATTATGTGAACGCTTCCCTTCTCTTACCTCATAAACTCAGCAGGTCCATGGGAAACTGGATTTGCAAGTTCAGTTATTTCCAAGTGATCCATGTATGACTCTGACTTTTTGGAAAGGCTGTGGTGTGTTTTTAATCCTGGGCTGGGCCTCCTGGTTTCTGTCCTTGTTTTCCTCCCTACCTGCACACACACACACACACACACACACACAGAGTTGAGTTAAAGTAAATATTGAGATGTCCTGCACTTTTCAAAAGAAGATATACAAGCAACTAGCAAACATATGACAAAATGCTCCACATCACTGGCCATCAAAGAAATAAAAATCAAAACCACAATGAGATACCATCTCACACCAGTCAGAATAGCTACTACTAAAAAGTGAAAAAAAACAACAGATGCTGTAGAGGCTGCAAACAAAAGGGAATGCTTATACACTGTTGGTGGGAGTACAAATGAATTCAGCCCCTGTGGAAAGCAGTTTGGAGATTTCTCAAAGAACAGCAATCCTATTATCCCATTATTTGGTATATATCCAAAAGAAAGCAAATCTTTCTACCAAAAAGACACATTCATTCACATGTTCATTGCAGTGCTATTCACAATAGCAAAGACATGGAATCAATCTAAGTGCCCATCAATGGGGGATTGAATAAAGAAAATATAATATGTGTACACCATGGAATATTATGCAGCCATGAAAAAGGATGAACTCATGTCCTTTGCAGCAACAGGGATGCAGCTGGAGGCCGTTATCCTAAGCCAACTGATGCAGAAACAAAACCACTGAATACTGCATGTCCTCACTTAGAAGTGGGAGATCAAGATTGAATACACATGGACACAAAGATGGCAACAATAGAAACTGGGGACTAATAGAGGGGGAGGAGGAGAAGAGGGCAAGGGTTGAAAAACTATTAGGTACTATGCTCAGTACCTGGGTGACAAGATCATTCATACCTCAGACCTTAGTATCACACAATATACCCAGGTAACAAACTTGCACATGTATCCCTTGCATCTAAAATAAAAGTTTAAAAAAGAGAGATGTGCCAGCGTGGTGGCTTACGCCTGTAATCCCAGCACGCCTGTAATCCCAGCACTTTGGGAGGCTGAGGCGGCAGATCACCTGAGGTCGGGAGTTCGAGATCAGCCCAACCAACATGGAGAAACCCCGTCTAACCAACGTGGAGAAACCAGCCTAACCAACGTGGAGAAACCCTGTCTCTACTAAAAATACAAAATTAGCCAGGTATAGTGGTGCATGCCTGTAATCCCAGCTACTTGGTAGGCTGAGGCAGGAGAATGGCTTGAACTGGGGAGGCGGAAGTTGCTGTGAACCGAGATCGTGCCATTGCACCCCAGCCTGGGCAACAAGGGCAAAACTCTGTCTCAAAAAAAAAAAAAAAGAGATGTCCTGGTAGGTGGAAGAAGTGATAAAACGGTAGCTTAATGTGGGGACGTGGGGATGGGTGAAAAAGATCGCATGAATGTGTGCGTGCGTGCGTGTGTGTGTGTGTGTGTGTGTGTGTGTGTGTGTGTGAATCTGTCTTCTTTAAAGGATGTCAGCCATTTTCAGGTTTCTCCATTGAGAGAGCCATCATTTTGAAGCAGATCTTCTTTGTCTGGAAAAGAAAAACCTTAGTGTCATGGCTGTAAGGTGAGTAGGTCTCCGTTCCCCTGGTGGGTGGTTGAAACTGGAACTATTTTATGGCTTAGGAAAGTCTGCCCCTTCCTGGAAGCTGAAAAGAGGATGGTGATTTAGAAAGGAACAGTTTCGATAGTGTAATTAGACAAAAATAAAGTCTTTTAGGAAATTGAAACAGAAATTTAAAAGATAAAGGAGAAAGGATTGAGGAAGATTTTGTGTTACCTGTTTGTTTCATTTGGGTGAGCTAGGACTATGTTATATGTTCAGAGGCCATGGAGAGCACAGCTGAAGGAGGAGATCTTCATCAGAGTGATGCCTTGAAAAGTGGAAGGCGAGATACAGAGCATAGACTGGTGCTTCACATATGATCTGGGAGAGGGATAAAGGACATTTGGTGAGAAAGCAACTACCACCACCCTCACAATGAGTAATGGCACATATTTATTTCACACTTATTATTTGATGGTCCTTGAGCTAAGTTCTTTGCATTTATTACTATTTCACTTAATCCTCAATAATTCTATGAAATAGACAATAATTTTGTTCCCATCTTCAGCTGCGGAAACTGGAACTCAAAGAGGTTAAGTAATTTGTTTCAAGCCACACAGCTGTAAATAACATCATCTGGATTCAAGTTGATGGCGCCAGACTCCACAGCCCCCAGTAGGTGATGGATCATGACTAGTATGAATTTAAAAAAAACGAATTTCTGCAGCAACAAAGGTGTCAGAGGTTGAACATCTTGACAGGATTGAAGAAGGAAGACCATGAAGGTCAGTAAGAGAGTAGACAAGAAGGATGGGGATGGGGATCAGATGGGTCATGGAAGATTATAGTTAAAGGTTCCAGTGGCAGAACAGTTCCAGGTGATGAGTATCCCATGTGGCTGTGGATAATGTTGGCCAAATGGGAAGGAAAGTGGTAGTTGTTGGAGCTGGAATAGGAGCAATCAAGGGTCTATGAGCCTAAGGTGTAGGATAGTGCATGGGACATTTCTCTTTCTGCATTATCTTTCTCCTTTGAGGTTGAGACAGAGTAGGGACTGTCCTAGAGGCCTGCAGGAATCCCCCACCTAGAAGGGAAATAAGGGAAAATCTTGAGTTCTTTCAAGGGAAATTCCAGGCACCTAGCTAGCCCTAAGAAGTAAATGAGCAACTTTGTAAGCAAGAAGGTAATAGTAGTTTAAAACAATAGCCAACAAAGTTAGAGTCACGGGTGTTTGGTTCCCTATTGAAACTAAAGATAACATCTTAACATATGCTTCTGAGTTGTTTTTCAGAAACCTGGAACCCCATCAGATGAATCCACTGGCACACAGACCTCAGATAAGGGGAGACTGAGGACTGAACGCTGACCACTGTCCTTTGTTCTAAATTTCTTCCTGAGGGTTCTAGAGGAAGTCACACCCATGAGCCAGAGCTAACATTCTTTATCTGCTGACTCCAATTTTTAAAACAAAGCCTCTTTTCCTTAAGCAGTTGCAAACCAGGAAACCTTTGAATCTACATATGTAGATTCAAGCCCCCACTGTAAGCCCCCACTTCAGGATAGTCCACCTTCTTAAGCCAAACCAACGTGTAACTTCCATGTCTTGATTAACAGTTTTGTCTGTAACCTCCGCTTTCCTGAAATTTACCCCTGCCTTTAAAATCCTTAGTTACAAGCCATCGAGGAGGTTGGGCCTTAAAGGTAAGCTAGCTGCCTGATTCTCCCTGCTTGGTGCCCTGCAAATAAATGCCCTCCTTTCTCCAGCTGCAAACCTCAGTGTGGATGTGTGGCCTCACTGCGCTGGGCTAGTGGACTCCAGTTCAGTTTCCTAACAAGGTGTTCAACTCTGCTAAGTTGATGAATTCAGAAGTTTCTGAAATTACTGAGGCACTTGGGGTACAGGAGGAGACAATGTATGAGATGTGCTGAAGAGTGATGAATAGGAGAAAACGACCAGGAAAACCACAGATTACAGCCGTGAGGGATCAAGAATGGTGGTGCGGCCAGGCACAGTGGCTCACGCCTGTAATCCCAGCACTTTGGGAGGCGGAAGCGAGCGGATCATGAGATCAGGAGTTCAAGACCATCCTGGCCAACAAGGTAAAACCCTGTCTCTACCAAAAATACAAAAATTAGCCAGGCATTGTGGCACACACTTGTGATCTCAGCTACTAGGGAGGCTGAGGCAGGAGAATCGCTTGAACCTGGGAGGTGGAGGTTGCAGTGAGCCGAGATTGTGCCACTGCACTCCAACATGGGTGACAGAGCAAGACTCCGTCTCAAAAAAAAAAAAAAAAAAAAAGAATGGTGGTGTGGGTGGATGCCCAAGAGTTTGAAAAGAATGGTGATTTCTATGTGATGGTGAAGGAATCATGGTTTGGAAGCTGATGGGGAGGGCAAAAAGAGACCTACTGGCCTCTGGGCTCTCAGGAGGATGAGTGCCTTCCCCGCGAGGTGTTTGCCAGGCAAGTGAGCCCTTAGAAGAGAGCCTTCCTTGTTCTATAAAATACAAAACTAGGGATAGAACACTCTTAAATGTTTGTTTCATAAAAGAAAAAAAGTCAATGATCCGCCCATCTGCTCTATCTGGAGCCACCGTGCTGGATGATAATAATAATGCAACGATCAATAAGAAATGCATGCTTCCTGCTCTCATGGGTGTCCAATTTAGCAAATGCATTCATTAAGCCAAAAAAATGACCAATGCAGCTATTTATTGTTGTGACAAGTGGTATGAGATAAACTTTAGTGTCAACTGTGGCTATGTATACAAAATATGAAGACTTAATCTGGCCTGACGGGTCATAGAAAGCTTCCTCATGGCATATGATTGTAGCAGAATGCCCTGATCTGCGGAAAGAAGATGATACAGTTTGAGTATTTGTCCCCTCCAAGTCCCAGGTTGAAATGTGACTCTCAATGCTGGAGGTGAAG
Source organism: Homo sapiens (assembly GCF_000001405.40). Taxonomy (NCBI): domain Eukaryota; kingdom Metazoa; phylum Chordata; class Mammalia; order Primates; family Hominidae; genus Homo; species Homo sapiens. Next base: position 29,094,764 of record NC_000010.11, on the reverse strand, counting down.
CCTGGTGGGTGGTGTTAGGGTCATGGGGATAGATCCCTCATGAATGGCTTGGCACTGTCCTTGTGGTGATGAATGAGTTCTCACTCTATTAGTTACCATGAGATCTGTTTGTTAAAAAGACTCTGGCATCGGCCAGGTGCAGTGGCTCACGCCTGTAATCCCAGCACTTTGGGAGGCTGAGGTGAGCAGATCACCTGAGGTCAGGAGTTCGAGACCAGCCTGATCAACATGGAGAAACCCCATCTCTACTAAAAATACAAAATTAACCAGGTGTGGTGGCAGGCACCTGTATTCCCAGCTACTCGGGAGGCTGAGGCAGGAGAATCGCTTGAACCCGGGAAGCAGAGCCCGCAGTGAGCTGAGATAATGCCACTGCACTCCAGCCTGGGCGACACTGCTAGACTCCATCTCAAAAAATAAAAAATAAAAATAAAAAGAACCTGGCATCTACCCCTCTCTCTCTTGCTTCCTCTCTCGCCATGTGACATGACTTATCCCCCTTCACCTTCCACCTGAGTGGTAGCTACCTGTGGCCTCACCAGCAGCAGATGTTAGTGCCATGCTTCTTGTACAATCTCCAGAAATGTGAGCCAAATAAACCTCATTTCTTTATAAATTACCCAGACTCAGGTATTCCTTTATAGCAACACAAAATGGAAAATGCAGAAGAACATTCCAGAGAGGACACATATCTAGGAGGCAACTAGGAATACAATAGTTTGTCTATTATGGAGCTTAGAGTTACAAAGATGGAGAGAGATGTAGGGGGATAGGCATGGAGGGAGGCTGGGGCATGGGAGAGAAATAATAGAATAGTATGAATAGAAAAGTACAGGAGAAATGAGATAGCCAAAGGAGCTTATGTTCTTCTTGAACAAACATGGAAAAAATGTGGAGCTCAGAGAACATAGCTTGTCTAAGGATTCTAGGTAGGACCCTGGGGTCACCTGGCTTCAGGTGGTTCTGGAGGCCTAGTCTTTAAATGCAGAGCCCAGCAGAGGCTGAAACCAGGAATGGGATCCATGTCCTGGTCTGACTTTATCTTACCTTTCTTGGATCTATGCATTCCTGCTTCTGAAGACTTCCTCCTGACTCTTGTTGCTGATGTGGGATCATCACCTTTGGTCTGTCTGCAGAAACCCTGGACAATTCATCTATTTATTGAGAGAAGAAGTCAATATGCTTACTACAATTTAATGTAACAATTGTTTTGTTTACATGGTAGGTAGCCTCTAAGATGGTTTCAAGGGATCCATGCATCCTGGTACTGATACCCTTGATAATCCCCTCTCCTTGAGTAACTTGCTTCTAACCGATAGAATACAGCAATGTTGACAGGTTCTCACTTTAGTGATGAGGTTCCAAAAGATTAGGACTTCCCTCTTCCTAGCAGATTCTCTCTTGCCTTATTGGAGAGGCCCACATGGCAAAGAACTGAAGATGACTTCTAGCCAGAAGAAGGAACTGAATCCTGCCAACAGCCATAAAGGTGAACTTGGAAGCGGATCCTTCTCCACTTGAGACTTCAAATGAGACTGCAGTCCTGGGCGATATCTTGATTGCAGCCTTGTGAGAGACATGGAAGCAGAGGACCTTGCTAAGCCATGCCTGGATTCCTGACCCACAGAAACTAAGATAATAGGTGCTTTTAGCCACTAAGTTTGAGAATATTCTTCCCTTTTTTTTTTTTATGATGGAGTCTCACTGCAACCTCTGCCTCCTGGGTTCAAGTGATTCTCCTGCCTCAGCCTCCCTAGCAGCCGGGACTACAGGCACGCGCCACCATGCCCAGCTAATTTTTTTGTATTATTAGTAGAGACAGGGTTTCACCATGTTGGCCAGGCTGGTCTTGAACTCCTGACCTCAAATGATCTGCCCAGCTTGGCCTCCCAAAGTGTTGGGATTACAGGCGTGAGCCGCTGCACCCAGTCTGGAATATTATTCTTATACAGCAAGAGATAACTAGCAACAATTAAGTACTTAAAATACATTCATTATCTATAGGGCATTATTTGGAAATTAATGCATGTAAGCTTATAGTCCTGGATTAACAATATAAATAATTTGTACCCTGGAGGTTTTGATCCTGTGATGTGCTGTAACAGAAAACATTATATTTGGCTACCAGCATTCACTCACTTTCCTAACAATGCTCTGATTTTCTTAGGGATGAATCTATCCTCCATGGGGTGGAATAATGATAGCAAACTGCTTTTTCCATTATCCAAATCTGATTCCAGCTCCTTCCTCTCACCACCACTGTCCATACCAGCAACAAGAGTCTCTAGGACTTTAGACTTTGAGAATGAGGGCAGGAAAAGAAAATTTTGGAAGGCCATCTATTGTAGTGGTGACCTGCCCAGACATGTTAGACCATGAGATTATTGCTCTGGTGTCTGCTTCTTGTCCCTCTGGGGCTCTTTTGGTTTCTCTGTGCTCCCAATCTTAGGCCTTTAGTCCCTCATGGATTGTGGGAGCAAAATCTTCCTCATAAATTTCTTTTCACTGAAGTGAGCCAGCTTTGCCTTCTGTTGAGTCCCAAGAGATACATGCATACAATCTTTGGAATCTGGTAGGTGAACTTGTCTCTCACAAATGGCATACTAGTAGTCTTTTACTTGGTGGCAAGGTTACAGAAAAACTTTCTGGAGAATTCATCAAACAGCATCTTAGTGGGTTCTAATAGGATTCCATTGAAAGACATTCTTCTAGCAGAAAATTTTTGAGACAACCTCTCAGAAAAATTACTGCTGCCACAGTCAACTGGAAATTGAAAAACAGTCAACCAAAAGGCTATTTGGGTAATGAAATTTCACACAACCACTCTGGGTAATCCTTACACTGAATTGATTGGTAGTTTGAGCCATTGTAGGCCCAACTCACCCCACATTTGCAAGTGTTGCAGGAGACATTCTTTAACACCAGGGACAAGCAGATCCCAACATGGAAAAATGTCATTTGGAGTGGAACTGGGACAGGCCAGGTAGCAGCCTCCTTCTGGGACTGTATCACAGGTATAATGGTACTTTTTCAGGTTTCCATGGAATCTATGCCCCCTCATTCTGAAATCTGAGTGAAAAGATGTTTGTTTCTCCTACCCAAAATCAAACCTTTTAATTGCTTTTCTGCTACTCAGCCTCCTCTTTTTACAAGTACACAATATATTCACTGTTTTCAAGTGAGGATTGACAGTCTGGATTGCTAGAGGGGAGTGAGAAAAATGATCTATGAAAGTTCAGATCTGAATTATTGATTACCTTTAAAGATTATTTTCAAAATAATTTCATCAGTCCATTTAGATTGGCATAATAAAGTTACTGCCAATGAAAATGGCACTGGAAAATATGTTTGCTGCGGAGCACCTCAGCCAAGATCTCATACCCATACCCCAAACAAACTCAGAAGGCAGAGAAACCCATTCCTAGATGGACATATTACATAAACAGACACAGTCAATTTGCATCAAATTTTCCTTGTGGAGTTTAAATATCCATAGACCAAGTTTATGAGCACTGAATAGGGTTTTTGAAGCCATAGAAAAATGATTCTAGAATTGCATAGAATAATTTGGAGCCAATTTCTTGTCTAGAATGTGATTTGGAAAAGGAAAGGAGCTACAGGGATCATACTCTGGTTCCCAGAAAGAGTCTGAACACAGGAGTCTTATACTTGTGAAACTGAAACCTGGGAGAATCCAGAAGAACAATAAATGAAGTCTGAATCTCCTTTAAATAATCCATTTGAAAGGAGTTTAGTTACTTCCTAATTTTTTAAAGAAAAAAGCAGGGGGAAAGTCCATTGGCTGACTTGATTTTTGTTAGGTTTCCCCAGTATACCAGCAGCTGCAATAACAAATTTCCGTCTTTAGATTTTACAAAGATCTCATTCATTTGATCCTCACAAAAATTATGTAAGATAGTTAGATATTTTACGTACGTTGAGATGGACACTAAACAAGATAAACATGGTGCTATAAATACATAAAACAGATACTACCTTAGATGGAGCTGAGTATTAAGTGGAAAAATAAAGCATGCATACAGCTACCTTCTGTGTCCTCACATGATGGGGAGAGAGAGATAGAGCTAGAGACAGGATAGAGTTAGGGATGGAGAGATAGAGAGAGAGATGGAGGTGGAGACCGAGAGAGAGTGAGAACAGGCTGTGGTCTATCTACCTCCTCCTTTAAGAAAAGTAATGCCACTATGGGGGGCCCCATTCTCATGACCTCATTTAAAACTGATTACCTCCAGCCAGGCACGGTGGCTCACGACTGTAATCCCAGCACTTTGGGAGGCCGAGGTGGGTGGATCACAAGGTCAGGAGATCGAGACCATCCTGGCTAACACGGTGAAACCCCGTCTCTACTAAAAATACAAAAAATTAGCCAGGTGTGGTGGCGAGTGCCTGTAGTCCCAGTTACTCGGGAGGCTGAGGCAGGAGAATAGTGTGAACCTGGGAGGCAGAGCTTGCAGTGAGCTGAGATCGTGCCACTGCACTCCAGCCTGGGAAACAGTGAGACTCCGTCTCAAAAAAAAAAAAAAAAAAAAAAAAGCGCTAATTCCCTCCCAAAGGTCCGGCCTCTAAATTCCATCACATTGCAGATAGGAGCTCCAACATATAAATTGTGGGGGGACACTTTCAGTCCATAACACAGTTTAGAAGAAAGGGAGAGGAAATGGAATTGGGAAATGTAGTTTGATTACCTGGCTATTCTGAAGGCCTATGTAAGGTTAGTGATCACAATTTTCAAGTAAGAGATGTCAATATGCTGGTATTTTTCACCATCAATGTTTAGCTCAACAGGGGCGGGCACAGGTGGGAGAAGAGCTACATTCAACCATGTTTGTGGCTTAGCCAAGACAGTGGGACAAAGTGAGAGCTGGGAAAGAAATTTGGTGGTCCCCAAAAGGGAGTGATCATGGCAACTGATATGGAGTTCACACTGGGGATGGAAGGATGTGAAGATAAGAGGGTGAGAAGAGATATGAAAAGGTGATGGATCAGTGGAGTGTAGTTTCTATTGGAGCTGAAAATGGTTGGAGATAGGAAACTAGATGAAGTGGTCTGGAAGATGGGAGATGGCAGTTGGAAAGTGGGATGCCTGCAACTGAAATAATGGAGGGGTTTTAGTGAGTGGTTATGACATGGTCTGGGGACAAGAGCAGGGGAGAAGAGGTGGAACAGAAGAGGTGGAATGGAGAATAAGATGATTGCAAGAGATGAGCACAGAGGAATGAGAAGCCTCAGTGTGGAGAGACTCATCCATGGTGAATGTTCAGAAACATTATCTAAAACTTGGATTTTAGGTGAATGGAGGTGACAAACCTCTTCAATATCATACTGGAGCATGTTTTACAGGCCCACCTGTGAATCATTTCATTTTCTAAGAGAATGTACCTGGTACCGTTGTTTGACTTTATTATTTATCATCGATTAGGGTCCAGACACTGTAAGGTTACACATTAACTTGTAGAGTCTGTGCAGTAAAAGAGATAGCCCCAAAGATCATAGTTTTATGGCCTTGTAGGACATTAACTGGTTTTGTATCTAACCTAGCAATTCTATTCTAATTTTTTTCAAAATGTATAAAAATCACCAGTTTCTCAAAGTACTCTTAGAATCAGCTTTACCATCTTAGTGATTTCTTTGTCCATGAATTAATAATCTTTGATGTGTGTTCATTCAATATTTTTATGAGTCATGTTTTTAACTTTTCTTTTTCTTTTTTTTTGTGTGTGTGTGTGTGAGATGGAGTCTTGCTCTGTCTCCCAGGCTGGAGTGCAGTGGCACGATCTCGGCTCACTGCAACCTCCACCTTCTGGGTTCAAGCGATTCTCTTGTCTCAGCCTCCTGAATAGCTGGGACTATAGGCACCTGCCACCATGCCCGGCTAATTTTTGTATTTTTATTAGAGACGGGGTTTCACCATATTGATCAGGCTGGTCTCAAACCCCTGAGCTCAGGTGATCCACCTGCCTCCCAAAGTGCTGGGATTATAGACATGAGCCACTGTGCCTGGCCATGTTTTTAACTTTTCAAAAAATTATGGTTGGAGGAGTATTAAAATTGTCAACAATTAATGAGAGTAGTGATGGAGAAAGTAATGGTGAGTCAGGATCTAAAATTTTTAAAAAAAAATGAAAGGAGGCCGGGTGTGGTGGTTCACACCTGTAATCCCAGCACTTTGGGAGGCTGAGGCAGGCAAATTGCCTGAGGTCAGGGGTTCAAGACCAGCCTGGCCAACATGGTGAAACCTCATCTCTACTAAAAATACAAAAATTAGCCGGGCGTGGTGGCAGGTGCCTGTAATCCCAGCTACCTGGGAGGCTGAGGCAGGAGAATCGTTGAACCCAGGAAGCGGAGCTTGCAGTGACCCGAGATTGTGCCACTGCACTCCAGCCTGGGCGACAGAGCTAGAGTCAGTCTCAAAAAAAAAAAAAAAAAAGAAGGTAATAGTAAACTATGGGTTCATAGATAAATGCAGAATATATAGTAAGGTATGATACGATGGTAGTATGGTAGAATTCGGAGGTGGAGGATTTTGTGGAGGAGAGAATGAGAATAGATTAACAGTGGCAATGAGAGGCAAGGAGGATCTCTACGCTATCCCAAAGCCTAGTCGTATGCAGAGTGGACATCTACTTGAAAGGACTGCAGAAGAAGCTATGTACTCAGGGAAGTCAGGTTTCAGTAACAGTAGAAGGTGAAGGGACTACTCAGAGAGAGTTTGAGGATATGGTGGATTTTGCTGATTATGTACTGTGAGTTCCAGAGAGAATGTACAAACATACCACATACACTGTAGCGGAGTCCTCTCTTGGGGCAAGAACATATATGCATCCTTCATCTTTTCAGTTTAATTGGCCTCTGTTTTGGGCTGAATCATGTTTCTTCCTCATCCCAAAATTACATGTTAAAGTCCTAACACCCAGTACCTCAGGCTGTGACTGTATTTGGGAATAGAGTCTTTTTGTTCATTTGTAGTGCTGTAACAAAATACCATAAACAGCATAACTTATAAATAATAGAAATTTATTTCTCACAGTACCAGAGGCCAAGAAGTCCAAGATCGAGCCACTGGCAGGTCTAGGGTCTGGCGACAGCCTGTTCCCTGCTTCCAAAATGGCGTTTTGTTGCTGCGCCCACGTGGCAGAAGACAGGAGGGGAAAAGGAAGTAAGGCTGTGTCCTCACGTGGTAGAAAAGATGGAAGTCCCTTTAAAGGGGCCCCAATCCCATCTAGGAGAGCTCTGCCCTCATGACTTAATAACTTCCTAAAGGCTCTACCTCAATGCGATTCAGTTTCAACACATACATTTTGGGGGACACATTCAGACCATAGCAATTTTTAAAGGGGTAATTAAGATGAGACTACTAATGTGAGCCCTACAGTATGATAGGTGTCTTTTTTTTTTGAGAAGGAGTTTCGCTCTTGTCCCCCAGGCTGGAATGCAGTAGTGCGGTCTCCACCCACTGCAACCTCTGCCTCCCAGATTCAAGCAATTCTCCTGCCTCAGCCTCCCAACTAGCTGGGATTACAGGCGCCTGCCACCACACCCAGCTAATTTTTGTATTTTTAGTAGAGACGGGGTTTCACCATGTTTGCCAGGCTGGTCTCGAACTCCTGATCTCAGGTGATCCACCTGCCTTGGCATCCCAAAGTGCTGGGATTACAGGCATGAGCCACTACGCCAGGCTGATATGTGTCCTTGTAAGAAGAGACAATTTGGACATGGGCACAGAAGGAGAAAGGTGTGAACACACAGAGAGAAGAAGGCTGTCTACAAACCAAGGAGAAGTTCAGAAGAAGTGAATCTCAGATTCCAGAATGACAAGACAATAAAATTCTGTTGTTTAAGCCACCCAGTCTGTGATACTTTGGTAGAGCAGCCGTAGCAAACTAACACAGCCATCTCTTTTTGCTTTCCATGGTCAGGATGATCACTGTGGGAATTTGGTGAGGCGGATTTTTTTTTCATGGTGTAACCATTTTATCGAATAAGCTGAACTTAATAGGGGCAAAAAGAAAAAAAAAATGTATGATTTCTCACCTTTCTCCTCCCTTAAAGTCATCCCGAGGATTAGTTCTTAACTGTCTCTAGATGAAACCATAAATAGATCTTATGGCTTTTCCATGCCCTTGTAATCCTGTGATTAAAAGGATTTTAATCTCATTTCAGCAATTAAAATATTCAGACTTGCATAGTTTGGTGCAAAAGTAATTGCGGTTTTTGCCATGATGGCACCAACCTAATACATTCTAATAATCAAAACTCCGAATTTCCTCCAAAGCTAAAATGTTTTCCCTCCTGAAGTCTGCAGTGAAGGAGGTGGGTGTGGTTAGCTTTATTGCAGTTGATCTTCTATTCCTCCTTCTTCTCTCACCAGCTCTTTTCTGACCCTTTCCAGAGCTGGGTCAGTAGTGAGAGGATGAGGCTTTAGGGCGGTCTCATACACAGGCATCCTCTGGCAATGGGGCTCCCCAGGTGTCAGATGATGCTTTTATAATCTGCCCACAGAGCCTCCAGCTGAGAGCTTCCACCTGAGGTTCCTGCGGTGCAAGCCAGCCCCTGGGCCTTCGGACTTCCAGTCCTTTCCCAAGTCCCAGAAGAATTCCTTTCTTCAGCAGATTCCTCTCAAGATGTTTCCCAGTCCTCCCCTTCACATGGATCCCCTGGACCCATGGGGAAATGTAGGGGCTTTTATCATGCTGTTGATGGAAATAAACTCATATATCAATGAAAGCTTCTTTGTCAGTGCTGCTGGGCATTGCAGTTCTTCATGATTGACTAAGGGCGAGAATCAAATGCCAGCCCACTCAATTCCAGGGGACATTTGTCCAACTCCACAAGAGGTCCTCTTGAAGCCCTGCTCTCTCATTTGCTTAGATTTTAGGGGGAATACTCCTTCCTTTCCCCATGGCTGGGGGATCTGCAGTAGCACACCAGCACTTTTCTCTATAAGATCTTCCTCTCTCAGGCCAGGTGCGGTGGCTCACGCCTGTAATCCCAGCACTTTGAGAGGCCAAGGCTGGTGGATCACCCGAGATCAGCCAGTTTGAGACCACCCAGGCCAACATGGTGAAATCACGTCTCTACTAAAAATACAAAAATTAGCCAGGAATGGTGGCAGGTGCCTGTAATCCCAGCTACTTGGGAGGCTGAGGCAGGAAAATTGCTTGAACCCCAGAGGCAGAGGTTGCAGTGAGCTGAGATTGAACCACTGCACTCCAGCCTTGGCAACAGAGCAAGACTCCATCTCAAAAAAAAAAAAAAAAAAAAAAAAAAAAGATCTTCCTCTCTCAACCCTTTAGTTCTCCATCTTTCATAAGCTGGAGTATGGTTTTACCTAATGCAGTTTTACAATCTCCTAAGATATGGGGGACACATGACACCAATTCCATTGTTAAGAGCCTTCGTGACTTCCACAGTAGATCCACATTTAACATTCTCTTACTCGAACTCTATACTACATGCCTGGGTGTAAATGCCCAATCTGAGGGTCCAAATTGGATCTTAGCTTGTCATAGCTGCCTGGCAAGGCCAGTCATTTTTGTAACTGGCACTTCCCCAGGTTTCAAGAGCCTGCAGGTTCAAGAGAGAAACATAAACAATAATGACCCACAGCTCATTGACCCTGCCTCCACCTCTTCAGGTAGGGCCCTCTCCTGCTGAAGAGCCTCCTCAAACATTTGAGGGGCTGGTGTCTCCAAGAGGTCGGTATTTGTGAAAGAAAGCATGCCTGGTCCTGCCGGACCCCACACTGCCCTGCGGCTTCTTGGTAAGCATTTACTCAGTACAGCACTGTCTTAGTCCCTTTTCTGTTGCTTAAAACAGAATACCTGAAACTGTGTACTTTGAAAAAAATGGAATTTATTGCTTATCATTCTGAAGGGTGAGGAGTCCAAGGTCGAGGGGCCATATCTGGTGAGAGCCTTCTTGCTGGTAGGGAGTCTGTAGAGTCCTGAGGCGTTTCAGGCATCACATGGAGATGGCATTGAGGATGCTACTCAGATCTCTCTTCCTCTTCTTCTGTTTTTTTTTTTTCTGTTTTGTGAGACGTAGTCTTGCTCCGTCACTCAGGCTGGAGTGCAGTGGCATGATCTCGGCTCACTGCAACCTCCACCTCCCAGGTTCAAGCCATTCTCCTGCCTCAGCCTCCCCAGTAGCTGGGACTACAGGTATGTGCCACCATGCCTGGCTAATTTTTTGTATTTTCAGTAGAGATGGGATTTCACGGTGTTAGCCAGGATGGTCTCGAACTCCTGACCTCAAGTGATCTGCCCGCTTCAGCCTCCCAAAGTGCTGAGATTACAGGAGTGAGCCACCACACCTGGCCTCTTCCTCTTCTTATAAAGCCACCAGTCCCTACTCCCATGATAACCCATCAATCCAGGACCGGATTAATCCATTTTCCTGAGAGCAAATCTCTCAAGACCCAATTACCCTTTGTTTTTTTTTTTTTGTTGTTTTTTTTTTGAGACGAAGTCTCACTCTGTCGCTCAAGCTGGAGTGCAATGGCATGATCTCTGCTCACTGCAACCTCCACCTCCCAGGTTCAAACGATTCTTCTGCCTCAGCCTCTTGAGTAGCTTGGATTTCAGGTGCATGCCACCACGCCCAGCTAATTTTTGTATTTTTAGTAGAGATGAGGTTTCACCATGTTGGCCAGGCTGGTCTCGAAATCCTGACCTCAAGTGATCTGTCTGCCTCGGCCTCCCAAAGTGCAGGATTACAGGTGTGAACCACTGTGCCCAGCCATCCACATCACCTGTTAAAGGCCCCACCTCTCAATACTGCCACACTGAAGATTAAGTTTCAACATGAGTTTTGGAGGGGACAAACATTCAAACCATAGCAGACATTTTGCACCCACACATTTCAAGATAACAACGCGCACAGAGCTGTAAAGAGACACAAATATCTCTCTTCCCTTCGGGGGGCTGCAATCTAATATGCGAATCCAGTGTAGCTTGGACCCCATTGTTCAGTGGGACTTTTTACACCTATATTCCACTGCACACACTCGTCATACACTCAGACACGAGTTTGACATCTCCCTCAACTTCAGCATTGTGAAATTTGGTGTAATCCTGAGTTTTTTTCACCACTCTTTACTCAGGGCCCTGGCAACACTTGATCCACCTAGCTCCAGTCCCTACAGGGAGCACTCCTTGAGGAAGAAGCTTTCAGTGCAGGAGAATCTGAGGGACACTCAAGACCGCTACAGCTGCAGAGCCAGCGAGGACCACGCATGTGCACCCTCAGTGCTCTGGCCCTCTGGCCAGAAACTCACCCCCTCTCATCTTAGCTCTGTCACTCAAGCGTGCTGCAGGAATCATCTTTGAATGATGAGCTCAAAGCAGTGGGAGCTGCCAGCCTCGGCGGCTGATGTGGTGAGGCAGCTGCCAGGCAAGGCTTGAGGCTCTGAAATGGATTCTGAATACAGCTCTGTGCTGGGCAGTCAGCTTTACTCTCCTAAAACATCAAATCTCAGTGTTCTCCAGTTGGAGACATCCTGAACCTGACACAGCATGTCAGCGCAAAGGAAACCACATGAAAAGAACCTCCCTTTAACCGAGGCTGGGCCGGGCTGAGTTGTTTGTTTGTTTTGTGTGTTGTTTTCTTTTAATGCTTTTCAGGATCAAAGCCTTTTACTGGATTTTTTTTTGGTGAGGTGGTGAGAAATTTTGTCTTCAAGCAAAGGTCATTGGACCAGACTTTTGGATTTAGTGACGGTGGAGGCTATAATTTTTCCTGCTGGCAGCATGAGGACCGCTGGAGAAAATTATAAAGGAGACATTGTGCCTCACTGGTGCATAGGCTGAGACCAAGGAAGTAGATTGAATGGAAAGTGACGCTTATCCTACTTTGAGTGAGAGGTGTTTGCCCAAATGAGGGCAAAACAACTTTCAGGGCCAAGGAGAATCATCAGGGCAATGAATCAATGGTGCCGGAATTTTTAACCAGAGCCATAGAATATTTTCATGCCTCTTCATGCTAAAAATCGGCCCTATGTTAACGTTTTACATAGAAATGTCCTTCAACAGGTTGAGTAGAATCACTTCGCAATCTCATGAGCCCTTAAATGGTGACCCCTGGATCCTGAGCTGGCCTGGACACAGCTGGACTGGACCAGGTTGGGTTGGGCAGGCCCTGCCTGCGAGGGACTGAACAAAAGGGACTCAAGTAGCTGTTCTCTGGAAAGCCAGGGTGCCCAAGCAGAGTGGCCTGAAGAAATATTGCCGTGACAACTGCAGCTAAACCTCAAAGGGCTGCAGGGAGCAGCATGGAGACTCCGGCCTGGCCTGCTGCCTCTCAACATGGGCACTGGCATGGAGCCCGGGTGTAGACGGGCAACAATGCAGCCCCAGACACAGGCCCTGTGAGAGGACTGCCCTCCTAAACAAATAGCAGTCCTGTGCATCCTTAGCCCCCCAGCTCCCCTGCGATTTCAGTGGCAGCTCTCACCACGAGAGAACAAGTCCCAGAGTTTGCTTGTATCTGATTTATAAGCTAGAAAACAGATCTGGTGCCTACAGGACTTCAGAAGCGACTTTCACAATTGCTTCACAGCCCCCAGCCCCAGGATCAAATGACTTCCTCCAGGCCAGACAAATTCTCATGCCAAGAGCTGCAAAGGATTTTTTTCAAAGGCTGCCAGCTATCGCATCGCTGGAGGCCTCTTCGAGGTGCCAAGGAGTAGAAAATTGCCCTCTTTCCTGATGTAACGCTAGTTTTCCTCCCATTACCAATTCAGTGTTAATCCTAGCTTTCCGACAATGAAATTGAAGCCATGAGGACTTTGTGCCCTCAATGCAGTGGCTCCAATGATGCTATACACCAAGCTAGAAAGGGTGGGAGCCTGGAAGCCTGGAGACCCAGGCCCTCCTTCTGGACATAAAATTAGCATTTCACTGCACAGAACCGTGGCTTTGTCCCCTCACCTTGCCAGGCCTGGAAGGTGCCCTGAGCCCTGCCCTGAGTTGCTAGGGAATGGGCCGTGTGCTCCAGGTCGCTTGCAGCTTCACGTCTGGTTATGAGTGGCAAGGAAGAATCTCGGGTTGACATCCAGCATCCAGGCCCACATGTCCTGCCTGCAGGGATATAGGGCATGTGAGAATGGAGGAGGTTGTTGGTTTGCACTGGCTGGAAGGCCGTGAGGTGGGGCTCAGGTGAGATACCATGTCTGAAAGTCCCCCAACTCTGAAGGGATAGTCGTTACTGGTAATAGTAACATTTACAGGGGCCTACACCAGGGAAAGTGGGTGTGCCTGAGAACTCTGCAACTTCACAGCTCACTGCAGCACGAGGGCAACTTCACAGCTTGCTGCACCACGAGGGCTCTTGAAGTTGAGTGACCACAGCCCCTACTGGTTCTGGGCCTTATTAAGCAAGAAGGGTGACCAAAACAGCAATGCATCTTGAGCCTGTTGCTTCCTCAGCTGCCTCAAACATCTTCGTGAGGGCATTGGTACAATCCTATCATCCTTACTGGACAGATAAAAACATAAATGCCAAGGTCTCTGGCCACGTTGTTTGGGAAGTCCAGGCCACAGACCAATAGCCTACCTTCCAGTTCCCAGCCCTCTCTCCTTCTCTATCTCTCCTCCCTTGTACCCATGAATCACCAGGAACTTGGTCTAAGTAACATCAAATATGCCAACTTTTTGAAGCACCCAGAAGATAGGCAAGATTTTTCATTTTTTACTCCCATCTTACTCGCTAGGAAGCCATAGCCAGAAAAGAATAAGTATTCTAAGACTTTCTCTTCTGAAACTGAAATTTAAGTGTGTGTGTATATATATAATATATATATATATGAAATTTATGTATTTATTTATTTTATTTAAGATAGGGTCGCTCTCTGTTGCCTAGGCCAGAGTGCAGTGGTGCCATCACAGCTCACTGCAGCCTTGACCTCCTGGGCTCAAGCAATTCTCCCGTCTTAGACTCCCGAGTAGTTGGTACTACTGGCACACACCACCACCATGCCCAGCTAATTTTTAAATTTTGTTTGCAGAGAAGAGGTCTCATTATGTTGCCCAGGCTGGTCTCAAACTCCTGGCTTCAAGCCATTTTCCTGCCTCGATCTCCCAGAGTGCTGAAATCACAGGTGTGAGCCACTGTGCCCGACCTGAAATTTATTTTTAGTTTAAGTTCAGAATTAAAACACTTGTGGATGACATTACTATATTAATGATAGGTCTTAGATTCTGATAATCTGATCTTATTATCACAGTCCTTCTTCTATAATTAGAGACTTTTTGAAGCCAGTGAGTAAAAATAATAGGAGTCTCTGAGTGCTGGAGAATGAATACAGCTCAAGGGAATACTGAGAAGGAACACATATTTTGGGGGTAGGTAAGGTGATTCCTGGGGCTGGAGAGAGGTCAGATGGTGGCTGCAGCTTTGCTTCACATGTTGGTGGCTCCGGTCTGGGCAGGGCAGGTCTGGGAAGGGCTGTAGCTCTTCCCTGAACATCTTGGAAACTTCAGGAGCAGAGGTGTTCCCAGGCTCCTCTCTGCTTCACAGCTTAATTGTTATATGTAATATTGTTTGGCTGTGTCCCCACCCAAATCTCATCTTGAATTGTAGCTCCCATAATTCCCATGTGTTGTGGGAGGGAGTCGGTGAGAGATAATTGAATCATGGGGGCTGTCTCCCTCATACTATTCTCATGGTAGTGAATAAGTCTCATGAGGTCTGATGGTTTTATAAGGAGAAACTCCTTTCACTTGGTTCTCATTCTCTGTCTTGCCTGCTGCCATGTAAGACGTTCCTTGCTCTTCCACCATAATTGTGAGGCCTCCTAAGCCATGTGCAACTGTGAGGCCATTAAACCTCTTTCCTTTATAAATTACCCAGTCTTGGGTAGTCTTTATTAGCAGCCTGAGAACAGACTAATACAATATGTATTTTTCTGCATCAAATGTTCCACTCTCACACAGATAACAACTCCTCCAGCTCCTTATTTCCAGAGCATTAGGTAGAGAAAAAAATAAATTGTATGCAAACATTGCTCTTTATATATTCAAAGTCTTGCCTCACAGATGCAATTGGATGCAAGTCATTTTCCTGTTAATCTACAGGTAAAATTCCTCACTATCTCCTATGCAGGACTGACAAAAAGAGGTGAGAAGGGACATCTTACCTTCATTCTCATAAATGAAGAAATGAGCCCACGACCTTTCAGGGCTTCTGTTCAGCTTGTCATAACTCAATCCCATTTTCCTGAATGGCTTGTTTAACTTTCGGAGAGTATCAGATGTACTGTGGTGAAAATAATATTTGAACAAGAAGGAGATTATTAAGTTGCCAACCAAAAAGGCATTTTAAAGATACCCCCATTAAACTGTTTAAATACCCCTGACATTAATGCACTTGGAAACCTCTTCATATTAAGGAGTCATTTTAAAACAACACACATTGTTCAGCCAGAGATACCCAATTCCAGCTTGACATTTAGCACTTAAAGGAGTTTAGAGACTCCAGGCGGTCTTATCAACTCACAGACAAGGGCACTAAAAGTCAGATGGGCTGCTTTTGCCTGGAAACCACAAGCTAGAGCTCAAAATGAACCTAGGCTCCAGTTAAGTGCTTAAAGTATTAAGAGAATCTGAAAACAAAGTACACACCATTAGCCAAATTGGTGCCGGCTTTTGATGATCTGCAGTATGTACTTGTGGCTTGGTCTTTGTCAAAAGTCTTTTAAAAGAGAGAGGAGAGGGAATGACATACTTATAACTCTTCTACCGGATACAATAGAGTAAGGAGGGCCTATTAATGAGTCGGGGCCAATCAGCATTTCTAAACATCTAATTTCCCCCCTTAAATACAATTAGCTGTAAGAGGCAACCAGCAGGGGGAAAAACCAGCTTTCCTGTGAAAAAATTCCTGGCATATATTCATGAGACAATCAGAAAGTGCAAATAAATAGGCACTAGACCAGTAAGTGCCTTTTTTCAAATTTAAAACTACAGAAGTCAAGCTTTGATCTCGTCCAAGAATAAGGGATGGAAATTTAATTATGTTTTTTCTCCAATTAACTTAGAAAATTATTTAGAAGGAAGGAAAAAATACTCTTTTGTTCCCACTGTCTTAATTTCAGCCTCATGAGAGTGCCGTGAACTAGGAACGACTGTGTCCATTTTACATATTAGAAAATAGGGAGTTCAGTGCCCTAACCATCTGCAGGCTCCCTAAATTTCGATTTCAAACTTACTTCTTGGGGTTAAGCTAGTTAGAGATAGAATGGGCATTAAAACACAGGCTACCTAGTAGAATTGCAAAAATACCTAGTAGAATTGCAAAAATTCAAAACAAAGAAAATCAAAACAAATACCCCAGATATTCTGTGGAGATGCTTTTTATTTCTTGTAATCCAATGGTATGGATCCCCCAACTGGTGCCACTTAATACAAGTCAAGTCAAAGTTCTGGGGTCACAGAACCTTCACTTAATCCCATGGTGGCCTTGGGTAGATGGCAGTGACCCTCAGTTCCCTACCTTGAGAAATGGAGATAGCACCTGCTTATTGGCATTTTCATGATGATTAATTATCATAAAAGTGTTAGATGTCATAATGCAGTTGCTCACGCTTGTAATCCCAGCACTTTGGGAGGCCGAGGCGAGCGGATCCCAAGTTCAGAAGTGCGAGACCAGCCTGATTAACATGGTGAAACCCCATCTCTACTAAAAATACAAAAATTAGCTGGGCGTGGTGGCACGCATCTGTAATCTCAGCTACTCGGGAGGCTGAGGCAGGAGAATCGCTTGAACCTGGGAGGTAGAGGTTGCAGTAAGCTGAGATCGTACTATTACACTTGAGCCTGGGGGACAGAGCGAGACTCCATTTCAAAAAAAAAAAAAGTGTTAGATGCCCGATACATACTACGGATACTATGGGCTTAATGACGAATGGTGTTTCCTTAGTTCCATAGTGCACATCTCCTCAGAAGAGGCCCTAAAAAGTACAGCATGGTTTGCTTGTGCCTGGAACCCCTTTCATTAACAGAAACTCCCTCTCTTACTCAGATGGGGCAGTTTGTAAAGCAATCATGTTATACTGCCTGCATTCTGACTGTGTGCTCCACATACACCATGCCCTAGTTAACATGGCTTCAGTACCACAAGAAGTAGACATATTCCCATAATCTCTCCATAACGCTACATATGCCACCCAAAGAGATAATATGAGGATTTTACTCCCACGTCTATTCCTATATTCTAAATAATCATATTGAAATAAATATATTATATTTAAGTTTTACCTCTTATTGGTGAACTGATCTAATCTTTATCTTAGAAATCAGTTTATCTGGTATCTTTCCCTTTTCAGTTCTTCTTTCCAGAGTTTAACACACTATTACAGAGCCACTCTTTTTATGTCTGTCTCATCATGATCACTAATTCAGCAAGTATTTATTGGTCACCTACTACTGTATACAGCAAGTACATTCTGCTAGGCACTGGGGATAAAATTATGAACAAGGCTGCCTGCAGTTCCTATTTTCATAGAACTTTCTTGCATGGTAGAGCAGGAAACAATTAAAAGGACAAATAAGATAATTATAGGCTCTGATCTGGTATGAAGAAAATAATATAGAGCTGAGAGAGGATTAATGCAGGTGTCTAGTTAAGACTCTATGAGAAGAAAGTGCATGTCTGGAGAAGAGACACTTAAGCCGAGACCTAAAGGACATTTAGGAAAATTCTCCTTTCAAGACTGAGCCTAATGCATATCCTGAACAATTGGCTTCTGAAATCCAGAAAGGATTTGCTATTATTTTAACTTTTTACACACACACACACGTGCACACACACACACGCAGCCTTTTAAATACTCAAATACTGTTTCTCCTTTAAGTAATGGACTGATGTTTCTCTGAGATGGTATTTTTTAATGTAAGACAAATGTGCATTAGAGCTCAGGACTGCTGAACATCAAATCTTTCCAAAAAGCCATTTCTGGAAAACATAAATCCTCCCATTGGCTTTAATAATGGATGTTAACATGGCAAAGGTTCATTCTTTACCTAATGCTCAAGAATTCTCAGCAGCCTCTTCACCACGCAGCTGCTGTAACTCCAGGCAGGTTTGAGACACTCTAGAATACCCCTTAAGTCATTCAGAAACTCCTTCCCTGCTTAGAAATGATTTGTCTAGCTACTTGGGAGCCTGAGGTGGGAGGATTGCTTGAGCCCAGGAGTTCGAAGCTGCAGTGAGCTATGATCGCATGACTGCACTCCAACCTGGGTGACAGAGTGAGACCTTATCTCTAAAAATAACAACAATAATAATAATAGAAATGATTTGTCAAGGGTCTGTCCAAATGGAAGGAGGAAGCTTCTAGCTCCCCATGGCTCTGACCAGGGAGCCAGAAGGAAATTCTCTCAAAGCCATTTTCCTAGAGTAGATTCCACAGGACTCGACTGGCTGGTGGTAGGGAGTGGGTGTCATAGGATCACAGATAAGGCCACAGGGCCAAAATCCTACAGGCAGAAGTTTCACCAGGAGCTGTGCTCTGAGATTAGGCAGATGTTTTTCTTTTTAAAATTTTTTAAATTTTAATTTTTGTGGGTACACAGTATGTGTATATATTTATGGGGTACCTGAGATGTTTTGACACAGGCATGCAATGTGAAATAAGCCCATCATGGAGAATGGAGCATCCTTCCCCTCAAGCATTTATCCTTTGTGTTACAAACAACCCAATTACACTCTTCTAGTGGTTTTAAATGTTAGGCAGATGTTTTTCTATCAAGACACTGAGTGAAGGAAAGAGCCAATAAAAATTCTATTGCTAGGGTGTCTGCTTCCATTGCTATTAGTGCATTTACTCCATGAGAATTGTTAGCTTTGGGGTGATTATGCACACACCCTGACATAATTATGGCCATGCTTACATACGAAATATTATCAATCTCCATGTGCCCTTTGAAAAGACCAGCCAAACTGGTGAAAGGCCCTGGTTTAAGAAGAAACCAGTATCTCCAGGAGTTTTTGCAATTATTTGACTTTTCCACAGGGAGAAGAGATGCTTGGCTTTGGTTGCACATTGACCGAAAGGAAAAGATACTGCTAATTTTGGTGTAATATTAGATTTTCCTGGGATTGTTTATTTTCCATTGCTTCTCGGACAAGTCAAAAAAGATCTGGAATCCTGGGTTTCATTGACTGTGTCCATTTTCAATTGCTAAGTCTCCATCATCTGTGAATGCTGTCTTTGCAGAAGTTTGCATGGGAACTGGTTGGTGTATTTTGCCCTAAATGGAATTACGACATTCCAAACAAGGATCGAGATCCTTCCCAAGACTGTTTCTCAGTGTTCAATGCATGTGACATAATCAATGACCTGGGCATTTGATTTGATTTTCAGCTCTTCCAGGCCCCAAAATACCAATTCCAGTTCTTGCAATACACAGACACTCAAGTTTTGATGGGCTTGTTCTGCTGTCATATCTAAGCCTGGAATCAAGTTTGACATTCAAAACAAAGCAAGTCACCGTAACTCCTATAGAACAACTAAGGCCATTTAAGGTTGAACCAGGAATTCTGCCACCACAAAGGGCAGAAAGTTTTTTTAGGTCTCTTTTTCAGACAACACACTTTTTGCATGATAATCGGAACATGGTTTATTTAGCTAGAGGTGGTGAAGCACTGAGTCATCTCTTGCAGCATAAAAAACCTGGGGTTGGCCAGGCATGGTGGCTCTTGGCCGCAATCCCACCATTTTGGGAGGCCGAGGCGGGTGGATCACCTGAGGTCAGGAGTTCGAGACCAGCCTGGCCAACATGGTGAAACCCCGTCTCTACCACTTAAAAAAAAAAAAAAAGTAAAAGAAAAAGAAAAAAAAATTAGCTGGGAGTAGTGTTGGGTGCCTGTAATTCCAGTTACTGGGGAGGCTGAGACAGGAGAATCGTTTGAACCCGGGAGGCAGAGGTTGCAGTTAGCCAAGATCACACCACTGCACTCCAGCTTGGGTAACAAGAGTGAAACTCTGTTTCAAAAACAAACAAAAACCTGGGGTTTGGGAAGGCCTGGTACAGGGAAACTGACACTCCACAGCCATTGAACTCCGGGGTCACCTCAGTTTAAACCTCACAGGCACATTCCCTGAGGTGTATGGACAAACCCCACACCTCCACTGATTTCTGGTTGTTACAGTTATGTGATAGGGGGGGATTTAATCAAAGCCAGGATTACTCCAGGAGTTGAAAAAACCCTGTGGTTGGGAAGTAAAGGAAGTATTTTTCTGGTTCTTAGCAACTCTGTAAATTCTAGATGATAAAAACACTTGTCTCACAGGGATATTGTGATTTTTAGATAAGATATCTTTGTGGGTTTTTTGTTTTGTTTTGTTTTTGTTTTTTGAGACGGAATCTCTCTCGTCACCCAGGCTGGAGTGCAATGGTGTGATCTCAGCTCACTGCAACCTCCGCCTCACAGGTTCAAGTGATTCTCTGGCCTCAGCCTCCTGAATAGCTGGGATTACAGGTGCCCACCACCATGCCTGGCTAATTTTTGTATTTTTAGTAGAGACGGGGTTTTACCATATTGGCCAGTCTGGTCTCGAACTCCTGACCTCAAGTGATCCACCCGCCTCTGCCTCCCAAAGTGCTGGGATTACAGGCGTGACTCACCGCGCCCGGCCTAGATCAGATGTCTTAATACCTACTTTCCTTCCTTCTTCCTTCATTCTTCCCTCCCTCTCTTTCTTTCTTCTTTTCTTCTCTTTCTCCCTCTCTCTTTTTCTCTCTTCCCTCCCTCTTTCTTTCCTTTCCTACTCCATTTCGAAAGAGGTATTTTGGAAAGAGATTAAAAAAAAATGCATCTTCTAGGGCTAGAAGACAGATGAATTCCTTAGACACTGTTATTAGATAACCCTTCTGTGTTAAATATCTGCTGTGTGTTTCACCCTTTGCGTACAATTTCTCATTTGCTACTCTCAGTGCTTCTGCAGTCTGGGTATTGCAATCATCTCATTTAATGATGAGAAAATGGAAGTTCAAGGAAGTTTAGCGACTTGCCAAAAGTCTTAACCTTTGATCACTACTGGATCTGAGATTTGAAGCTAGCTTTGTCTCATTTCCTAGTTTATATTCTTTCTAGAGGACCAAATTCCAATTGGTAAAAGCAAATTGTATATTCTAATCAAAATCTAAAAGAGAAGCAAAGTCAGATGGCATTGATTAGTGATTATCAAATGTACTGCATGTAAGAGAAATGTGGGATGCTTATGAAAAGGAAGAGCCCCATGACCGAACCCTGGAGATTCGGACTCAGCACTTTCAAAGAGCAAGGAGGGCCTAGGAATCTGTGTTTTAAGAAATGCCCAAGGGGTTTAAGTTGATCCAGGCTCACAATTTAACAAACACCAGTGGAGATACCATTTGTTAACATTTCCCCTCATCCTACTTCCAAGATGCAAAAATAATACACACCCGAAACAACAGCTTGCTCCTTGAGAATGACGCTAATGCTAAGGAGCCATCTGAACACGCCTACCTCACAGGTGCTGCTGAAAGGCAGGGCGCCGTCTCTAACCCACTGCAGCCATGGAACTTGGGAAATCATTTCCATAGTGCAATCACTTATGCTATAAATCACTAGTAACACTCAATCAATGCCCAATAAGGAAGTGTTGAACTGAAGAAAATAGCTAGATTCAGACTTTGATGAACTTTGTAAGTTATTGGATTTTTCTTTGTTTTCTAGAAAATGTCTGGAAGACTGTTAAGTCACTTGAACTCTGGAAGCTCTGATCATGAACAATAGTAATATTTCTATCATCAAGATATCTGGGCATAGGCTAACTTCACTTCTGAATCAGTGATGTCATGAGACCCGCCTGCAGGTGAGGCTTCCGCACATCCACCTGCACGTGCCTGCAGCAGCTCCAGACCCATCCTCTGAAAAAAAATCTGCTTTAAAAGGGGTGCTAAAGACCCACTTCTTCTGGACTGCAGTTTCTGAGGACAGTGGTTCTCCAATTTTGGCTGCATTAGAATTCCAGGGAGTCTTGTTCAAACACAGACTTCTGACTCTACCCTTCCAGATTCAGTCTCAGTAGGTCTGGGGCAGGGCCCGGGAATTCACATTTTTCACAAGCTACCAGTCGATGCTGATGCTACTGCTCTGGGAACACTCAGAGAATAATTGTCTTAGGCATTAATTATGCTTCAAATCAAGACCTTTGGATTTCCACAGCCATAGGGAAATACAGGTCCTTTGCGTCAATTTTACCTCGCGGGGAGAAAGGCTTAGTCAGTTAACTTCTGTTATATTCCTAGAAAAGTAAACTAAGAATTCGCAGTAATAGCCGGGCATGGTGGCTCACGCCTGTAATCCCAGCACTTTGGGAGGCCAAGGCGGGCAGATCACTTGAGGTCAGGAGTTCAAGACCAGCCTGGCCAACATGGCAAAACCCTGCCTCTACTAAAAATACAAAAATTAGCTAGGTGTGGTGGCGGATGCCTGTAATCCCAGCTACTCGGGAGGCTGAGGCAGGAGAATTGCTTGAACCTGGGAGGCAGAGGTTGCAGTGAGCTGAGATTGCACCACTGCACTCTAGGCTGGTGACAGAGTGAGACTCTGTCAAAAAACAAACAAAAACAAAAACAAGCAAACAAAACAAACAAAAAAACCAAGAACCCCAAAAAACTTGGGATAGGTATAACAGGGTTTAAAGATTTTAAGATTCTAGATTTTTGGAAAACTTTTGGCTACAGGCCTACTAGAAGTATAACTGCTTACTACTGTGAGGCTCAGTGGTAGATAGCCTGTTTGGCCCTGGGCATAATAAGCATTTTCTGCTAAGGCTGGTTTTTCACTTAAAAGAAGTACTGTGAAAACCAGGTATAGATTGTGACCAGACATCCTATAGAAAGGTGATCATTTCAAACCTTTAAGTCAGCTCTTTGAAATGCCATGAGGTGGCCATTGGTGGAGCAGATGGTTCTGCTTGAAAACTGCACCAAAAGGCCACATTCCCTACACATTTGTAGCTACTGGGGACACATTCAGAAGCTGGAAGATGAACCAAGTAGGGAGTCAGCATTTTGTCTCATGATGTAAAGCTCTGTTCCCATTGCAGGCAGAGGCTTGGGGACATTATGCATTTAGGAAAATCTCTCTCTTCATTTGCAAACAGCCTAAATTGTCCCTTAGAAGTAATATATTATCAAGACATTAGTGTGTATGCATGCGTGTTTGTGCTAATAATTTAACAGTTAGAATTTCCTTGCAAGTGACACAAACCACTCTGCCCTGTTGACACTGGATCAAGAAAGAAAACAGAGGTTATATTTATTAATCCATGGATATGGTTTGGATGTGTCCCCACCCAAATCTCATCTTGAATTGTAGCTCCTATAATTCCCTCATGTTGTGGGAGGGACTCAGTGGTAGACAATTGAATCAAGGGGGGTTGTTTCCCCATACTGTTTTGTGGTAGTGAATAAGTCTCATGAGATCTCTTGGTTTTATAAGGCAAAATCTTTTTCGTTTGGCTCTCATTCTCTTCTCTTGCCTGCCGCCACGTGAGACGTAGCTTTTGCCTTCTGCCATGATTGTGAAGCCTTCCCAGCCATGTGGAACTGTGAGTCCATTAAACCTCTTTCTTTTGTAAATTGCGCAGTCTTGGGTATGTCTTTATTAGCAGCATGAAAACCGAGTAATACATCTATGTTACATTATCATTCACAAGTATTCTGGCTTCCAATTTGGCTTGCTCCAGAGCTCAAATAAAGTCAGCAGCATAAATAAAGTCAGCAGCATGAAGTTTCTCTCTTTTCATTTCTTGGCCCTACCTTTCCCAGTGGAAGTCCCAAGGAGTCCTCTGGAATAGTAAATGCCCAGCTCTTAAATAACCTCTGAGGCCAGGAGCACCTGAACTACAAGCTCACCCAGGCAGCCTGGGCTGAAAGGAAGCAGAGGTGAACTCCACAGTAAAAGTGAGAGCTATTGCTGGAAGAAAATGAACAGAGAAATGCAAATAAAGGATAGCTACTATAAATGGATAACCATGGATGGATGATCAGAAAGAATGAGGAGATGGGAAGAGCTCAAAGGGAACTAGATTTGAAGAGTCCTAAATACCCTCGACTCTGAAGCTTTTTGGGCATCTATGATGCTTAAGCAACTATGATGCTTTTTTTTTTTTAATTGAGGTGGAATTTCGCTCTTGTTGCCCAGGCTGGAGTGCAATGGGGCAATCTCAGCTCACCGCAACCTCTGCCTCCCAGGTTCAAGCGATTCTCCTGCCTCAGCCTCCTGAGTAGCTGGGATTACAAGCATGTGCCACCATGCCCGGCTAAATTTTTGTACTTTTAGTAGAGATGGGGTTTCTCCATTTTTGTCAGGCTGGTCTGGTCTTGAACTCCTGACCTCAGGTGATCCGCCCACCTCAGCCTCCCAAAGTGCTGGGATTACAGGCGTCAGCCACTGCACCCAGAGCGACTATGATGCTTTTTAACCCCCCATTTTTCCAGTATTATTGGGGGACTGAAATTCTCAGCCTTTGGCAAATGTGAGTCATTTTGTCTTAAGATTTCATTGTTGGTTGTAAGGAACAGGAGAGGATACAAAGGTCACGTTTCAGGGTATTACCTTTATAAAGTTAGGTTTGGCTAAGCAAATTTCCTCCTGTCTTTCCTATCTTATGTAGTGAGATAATGTCCCTTGTTTCCTTAATACCATTTTCTTAAGGAATTTCAATGTGTGTTATAATTCCTTGATTGTAGCTCCAGTCATGAGATCCTGCTGCTTGCTCAAAGTTGCGACCTTAGTTAAGTCATTGAAACTTTCTGGACCCCAGATTGCTTTTATGTAAAATGGAGGAGTTAGTTAAATAATCTGAAAGTCTCCTTTTCAATAAATAAATGCAGCAGAAATCCCAGCCCCAGCCTAAATTGTGTCCATCCTGGGGATTCAAGTATGACCCACTGAATCTGGGAAACTAGGAATACAAGTCTTGGAAAATCCTAAGGAAAAAAGTAGCCGGATAGAATGAGCCAGAATCATGATCTCTATCACCTGAATTTTCTCTCAGTCCCCATCCCCCAGCAACTCCTCTGAAATCCTTTGTCAATGGTGACAGCTGTAAGTAAAACTCAAAAGACATGTCCCACTAAATTGCTGTAAACATGCCTAATTCAGAAGGGGAAGAGACACTTTCTTTCCTCTGTCCCATCACAACATACCAGGCAGAGTCGGCATATCGAAGGCTCTGGAATATCCTCTCCAGTTAAATATGCAATGGAACAAACAAAAATCCCCCTCATTGGAAACTCACCAGCCACCTCTGCCAACCAACTTTTCAAAAATCTTTAAGATCTAAACTTCAGGTTAAAGATAGTGAATTAAAAATATACATTTAACTCTGTTCCTTCCTAAAACACCCCTAGCCTGACAGAAGGGAATTTTCTAAAGGGTCACAAGGTTGGGAAAGGAGATGATAGCAACTGAACTTTGCATGTGGAAAAGTTAAAGAATGACTGGAGATTGATTCCGAAGACCAAAGAATGCTGAACCCTCAGCTCCTGCTGAGAAAGATGAAGATAACCACATTTGCACCGAAGACGCCCCCACAATGGCTCTGATAATGATAGCACCACGTACCTCTGGGAGTGGGGGTGAAGGAGAGACTGAAATAAGAATTGGTTAAAAGTGGTTAAGACACAAAAGCAGATTCCCTCTTTCATCACATACAGCTAAGTAACCGTCTTTTTCCTATCCTGCGGAACACTGCAGGTTTATTCTCTGCATGGAGTGAAAGTTGAAGGGACATCAAATCACTTGAGACCTGGGGGACAGGGGGCAATGGCTCACACACTGTGGGAGGCCAAGGCCGGAGGATGGCTTGAGCCCAGGAGTTCAAGACCAGCCTGGGTAACATAGCGAAGACCCCACCTCTACAAAAAAATACAAAAATTAGCCAGGCATGGCAGTGCTTGCCTGTGGTCCCAGCTACTCGGGAGGCTGTGAGGTGGGAGGATCACCTGAACCCGGGAGGTTGAGGCTGCAGAGAGCCATAATTGTGCCACTGTATCCAGCCTAGGAGACAGAGTGAGACTGTCTCAAAAAAAAAAAAAAAAAAAAAAATTCAGCTGAGACCTGGGGAACCCTTCTCAATGTTAAAAACCCACAGCTTTCTTCACACATTCAGCTTTAAGGCCCAGACTTGCCATCCAAATAGAAGAACAGAATCTGACCAGACCAAAAGAAAAGACTTACAGATACAGCTATTGTTCAGGCAGACCCTCCCACAGTGAAGCCCACAGTGACAGGCTCCTCCAACAGCCACAGACCCTCCCATCAGCTTTGTAATAGCCCAACTTAAATAGGAGCAGAAATCCTAGGCTCGCCAGACAACTGAGCCTAGCCCACTCAATACAATATATATATATATATATATATTCATTTGTAAATATTTGTTTTCTCTTCCCCTCAGCTAGGTATAAATCCATGAAAATGGGCCAGGATGCATCAATGTATATTTGGGTAACACAGAGCTGCTTAATCATAGGTATTTCACACACAGAGATGAATGAGTGATAATGGCTGAAATCTGCAAGAAACAATGTAGCAGAAGCTGATTGGTGAAAATAAGAAACTAATTTAGGTGTACTTGGGGGCCTCCCTGAAATATTCAGAGGAGAGTGTACTTTACAAGTTGCATCAGAGGTCCTGTGTGAGCAAGTGGTGGGCAAGGACATAAATTTATTGATACTGATGTTAATGAGAGTCATTTACATATTACAGATAGCCTAATGAGTCTCAGTGACATTTGGGTGACTTAAATAGCATTGTTGATTTATTGAATGTTTTCTACATGTTAGGTCCTTGGCAAAGCACTTTACATACAATCTCTTAATTAAACCTTACAACAGGCCTGTTAACATATTATCCCCATTTTACAGATGAGGAAACTGAGATTCAGAAAGGTTAAGTAATTTTTCCAAGTTAATTTGCCGATCAGTGAAAAGGTTGGAATTCAAACACCTGTCATCTGACTCTAAAACCCATTTCTGCCTTTCGCACCTCACGCTGTCACAAAACACATCAATTTTCACTTAATATAATGTGATCCTGCCCCATAAATCAAGAAGTCTCTGACAATGTGATTTTATATAAAATAAATTATATAACTAGATTCTCTTATAAAAATAAATTATTTAACTAGATTTCTAATATTGTGCAGCTAATGATTCCATTTTTTCAAGTATTACAAATAACATTGCACAGAACATCCCGGCACAGAAAAGTTTTTGCATGCTTCCCTAATTATTTCCTTAGGATAAAATCCTGGAAGTGTTCTTACTTCAAAGACCAGAAACATGTTGAAGGCTTTGATAATGCCCCAGGCTAAGTTTGTACACATGTAGGCTCCCAACAGCCGCCCCCGACATGCTCATTTCATCACACTCTTGCCAGCATGAGTAATTATAATCCTTTTCAGCCTTTGACATTCTGATATGTAAAAAATGCTGTCACTCTTTCATTTGCATTCCATTGACTGAAAATGAGCTTGAAAGTATTAACTATACACTTATTGAATTTTTCTGCTTTTTGGCAGAGATTTTCCCCACTTGTTCCTTGAGTTGTCGATCTTATCCTTGCTAATTTGTGTTAACTTTTCATATAATAAGAATACCTTTTGCTTGGAAATGTTATCGCCCCATTTGCCATTTGTCTTTAAAGTCCCTTTAACTCCCCAAGAATCTCTGCTTTACATATCTGTATTCCTACAAATTTGATTCTCATTTTGTCTGGATGGTAATGGCAGTGTTGAGATTGAAAAGGAACATTTTATCAGTGAAAGGGCAGCATGAGCTTCTGGAATCTGGAGTGGGGACATGGATCAAGGAGAGACATCAAAGGATCATGGGTTCATGGGTTCAAGACAGAAGAGAGATCAGAAGGGTGTGTAACTGAAGAAGATGGACAGGGGAATAGAGAAACAAATAAAGGATGTATTCAAATAGCCATGAATAACCTTGTAAAAGCTTTATATCTACCTGGTAAGAAAATGTTGGCAATGAATTCAAACATAGGATCCCAAGAAAAAAAAACAGGTATAACAGTTTTCTTCTTTCTTTCTTTAGAGACAGGCCATCGCTCTGCCACCTAGGCTGGAGTGCAATGGCACAATCATAGTTCACTGTAACCTCAAACTCCTGGGCTCAAGTAATCCTCCTGCCTCAGCCTCCTGAATAACTAGAACTACAGAAGCATGTCACCACACCTGTTTATATTTTTTCAAAAAAATTTATAGAGATGAAGTCTCGTTATGTTGCCCCAGCTGGTCTTGAATGAACTCCTGGACTCAAGCGATCCTCCTGCTTCAGCCTCCCAAAGCATAGGGATTACAGGTGTGAACCACTGCACCCAGCCAAGGTATAATCGCTTTCTTCACTTTTAAAAAAATTGGATCAATATAGAAGCAGTTTCTTTAAAAGGATCTTTAAAAGGGGGCCTCCTCCCTCTGCACTACTTGGTCAGTTTATAAGTGCATCTGTGTAACCTTGGAACAGAAACAAACAAGAGCAGGCCCTGTATACACCCAATCTGATGTCAACTAGCTTGTTTGCCAACTTGAGGGTCCAGATTCTCAGCTACAAAAATCATTTGCCTCAACCCATTTCTGCACCCCTGGAAGACTTGTACTTTTTTTTTTTCAAACT
This sequence comes from Homo sapiens, assembly GCF_000001405.40. Classification (NCBI taxonomy): domain Eukaryota; kingdom Metazoa; phylum Chordata; class Mammalia; order Primates; family Hominidae; genus Homo; species Homo sapiens. Next base: position 29,066,076 of record NC_000010.11, on the reverse strand, counting down.
TACAATTTTGTTTTTAAATAAAGAACAAAAAATTAGTTTAGAAGAACTGAACCATGTATAGAATGAACTATGTACCATTTATTAAGTAACCACAAATGATAGAAAGGCATAGCATGCTTGTTATGAACCTTTGCAAAATACATCAAGAAGGCCTGGACCATGTTCTTTTCCTACATCAACATCCCAATATTTCCTTCATCTATGTAACTGTCTTTATGTCTGTTCCATACTTGTCTATTTCCTCCTTTGATATGAGTTTGTACCTTAATGTGCCTTCCTATAATCACAGAGGATATGTTAGTAGCACAGACTTCTTAATTCCCATAATCAAAACTTTGTCTTAAAATTTAAACATATGTTATTTATCCTAGTTTTCATTGATTTGGCTAATACTCCTGATATTTGCTGCTAAAATACTGAAATTCTGGAGATTCCCTTATTTTATTTTATTTTATTTTATTTTATTTCATTTCATTTCATTTCATTTCATTTCATTTCATTTAGAGACAAGGTCTCACTCTATATCCCAGGCTGGAGTGCAGTGGTGCAGTCATGGCTCACTGCAGCCTCAACCTCCCTGGGCTCAAGTGATCCTCCCACCTCAGCCTCCCAAGTAGCTGGGACTACAGGCATGTGTGACCCCAAGCCCGGCTAATTTCTGCGTTTTTTTATAAAGATGGGGTCTCACCATGTTGCCCAGGCTGGTATCAAACTCCTGGGCTCAAGCGATCGCCCTGCCTTGGCCTCCCAAACTGCTGGGATTACAGGTGTGAGCCACTGTGCCAGGCTAGATTCATTTTCTTCTAAAGCAAATACACTCTTCCTTCTAAAAACTTTAGCTGGGCATGGTGGCACGTGCCTGTAATCCCAGCTACTCAGGAGGCTGAGGCAGGAGAATCGCTTGAACCCGGGAGGCAGAGGTTGCAGTGAGCAGAGATCGCGCCATTGGCACTCCAGCCTGGGCAACAAGAGCAAAACTCCATCTCAAAAATAAATAAATAAGTAAATAAATAAATAATAATAAAATGAAAACTGCAGCCTTCCTTGTACTAAATAAAGGAAAGAGTTTTTAAAATCTTCCTAATTTTTGGAGGGAAGACATCACATTTTAGTCTAACCTTCACCCCATTAATCATGTAAAAGTTATTTAGTTGGTTGTTTTGCAATCCCTACCATGAAAAGTTTTCTCCCCTAAGGCAAATGGGAGCAAAGGCAGTTTGCTTGCTGCTCACTGGGTTTTACTTTTTAACTCTTCAAGTTGCACTCTGTGGTGTCTACGTGTACGATTTTATAGAGCAAAAAATATTGTTTACCTTGGTTTACAGATTTCTAACTTGCCAAGTTGATACATTAGAGCACAAATTAATTTTCTAAAACCAAAATCCTTCAGACAAAAGGACGTTGAGATATGAATAGATGTCTGATTGCTCTAGTTCCTATCCAGACTGAACCTTTCTTATCCTGTTAGGCTGTGCAGTACCAAGGGTTAACGTGACTGTGATGCAATCTCTCAGACATTCTCCACTCTCAGACAAAAGAAGAGAATGAGAGTGCAGGGGCAGAAATGATAAGTATGGAGTCAGACAGTTCAAAGATTTGCAGAGTTTGAACAACAGTGGCGACCCAAGGAGGACAGATAGTGAGTCAGGAAAAGTGTCTGCAGTTACAAAGCACTTCCAGAAGGATGAAGTGTTATATCGCCCAATATTTTGTGGACTTGATCCATTGCTTAATCACACTCTTACAAACTGTTTTAAATTCAGACTACAGGAAAATGTGGGGAAAGCTTATCATAAAATAAATCAAAGGGAAAATTAGATTCACTTCACCAAAACTCAGCTTATAGTTATGAGTCAATGTGGGGGAGACCACACCATGACATGGATTCCAGTTGAAATCAGATCTGAATCCAGAGGTGTTGAGTTACGGAAAATCCAAGGCAGGGCACTTGCACCTTTTTTTTGATGATTCATTTTAATTATTACTGACTTTGCCATTGAGACCTATGCTCTAGGGTCCCTCTCCAATATGCATTGCCCCATTTCTTTCTTGCTAACAGTACCTCTGTTTTGCTCATCCTTATCTAAACAGTCACTTCCTTTCAGGGAGGCTGAGCTCTTTCTCATTCTTCAAGGATGAAGTTGAGTGATGTCAATAATCAAAGTTTTCTAGGTCCCCTTAACATTCTAGTATTTCGGGGGTTTTTTGTTTTTGTTTTTGTTTTTGTTTTTTGGAAGCAGAGTCTCACTCTGTTGCCCAGGCTGGAGTGCAATGGCGCAATCTCGACTCACTGCAACCTCTGCCTCCTGGGTTCTAGCAATTCTCCTGCCACAGCCTCCTGAGTAGCTGGGATTACAGGTGCCACCACATGCCCAGCTAATTTTTGTACTTTTAGTAGAGATGGGGTTTTACCACATTGGCCAGGCTGGTCTCGAACCCCTGACCTCAGGTGATCTGCCCGCCTTGGCCTCCCAAAGTGCTGGGATTAGAGGCGTGAGTCACCACGCCTGACTGTATTTCCAAAGTGTGGGGCCAGGGGATATCTGAAAGGCATGTGAGAACATACTCCAGCAAGGCACTCTTGAGGGGTGCTCATGACCCTAGAACTAAGAAGCTATCTGGCAATCATGAGATGCCACACCTAGAGACCTGGACAACACATTAAAGATGTAGAAAGAGTGACAGCACCCAAGTCCTTGATGACAGTGTTGAGACATCCAGACTTTTGGTTATGTAAAAAGAGAAAAGTCTGTATACTTTAAGATATTTTAATTGGGTTTCAGCTACAAGCATCCTTCTGCTACAGTTAGCGTTCAGTTTAGACACTGGCAGTGGGTAGACCACTCCATTATTTTATTGTCTGTACATTTTGTGGTAGAAAAAATTATTCAAATGTATCCTATAGCATGAGATTTTTCAGTGATCTAATTAACAACAGAAAACCTAGCTTGGCATCTCTATGAGACATTCACTCAATTTCTCTCATCATACTTTCACTCAATTTCAGAAGAGCAGAATTTGTTCTCTTTTTAAAAACAATTTTTTGGGCCAGGTGTGGTGGCTTATGCCTGTAATCCCAGCACTTTGGGAGGCCGAGGCAAGCAGATCTCCTGAGGTCAGGAGTTCAAGACCAGCCTGGCCAACGTGCTGAAACCCGGTCTCTACTAAAAATACAAAAATTAGCTGGGCGTGGTGATGGGCACCTGTAATCCTAGCTACTTGGGAGGCTGAGGCAGGAGAATTGCTTGAACCTGGGAGGCGGAGGTTGCAGTGAACCAGGACCACACCATTGCACTCCAGCCTGGGCAACAAGAGTGAAACTCCATCTCAGAAAAAAAAAAATTTTTTTTTGGTAGGAAGGGCAGCACTTCATTCCATAAAATAGAATAAGTAGAACTTATTCTCTATTGCATATTCAGTCAAAAATTTATTTTTTTTTATTTCAATAGGTTTCTGGGGAATAAGTGGTGTTTGGTTATATGAATAAGTTCTTTGGTGGTAATTTCTGATAATTTGGTGCGCTCATCACCCAAGCAGTGTACATTGTACCTAACGTGTAGTCTTTTATTCCTCACCACCTGCCACCCTTTCCCCCAAATCCCCAAAGCCTCCAAATTAAAATTTTGATTTTATGTTTAACTCTGAAGTTGTTAGCACGCTGTGACCTAACATTGCTAATTGAATTCATTCAGCGTATTTTTAAAAATTAAAAAGATATTTGTAACATCTGATATCATAATATATTTAAGAGCTATTTCTTAGGTGAGGTGCCCTTATTGGCCAAAGGAATTTTTATGTGGAATTTACTCCATCACCTTTCTATAAGCAACCAATGAACTTCCAATTTCCTAGATTGACCCATACAAAATGGTCAATTTTATAGGTTAAAAATAGTTGAAGACCTTCAATTTTATATGATTCAACCTATAAAATCTGAAACTTATTCTCCATAACATCACATACCACTCTGAAAAGTCTGAAATGTAAAGACCATGCTTTAATACAATTGATCATTTCTATGCCATTCATCAACAGAATTTTAAAAGGTTTTGCCAACAAATGACTAGTTAACCTGTGGTCATTCCGCTGTTGAGTATCTCCCATTGGCAGGATGTTTGCCTTGGTCTGACCCAGAACTAAGTTTGAACTATCTATCAAATTAAAAATAGAAAGTAAGTAAATATAAGATTAAATGGTAGGACACATCAGTGCTCTTGTGAAGATGTTGGAAAAACTCAATGAATGTCAGTGATCTCTTTCCTGGTGAAAAACTTATAACTATATTTTTTTATTTGGGGAAATTCTAATATTATAATTGATTACTATTAAGATAAGTCTTAAACTTATAATATTTGACTTGACCTGGCATGGTGGCTGACGCCTGTAGTCCCAGCACTTTGAGAGGCCAAGTCAGGAGAATCACTTGAACCCAGGAGTTCGAGCCCAGCCTGGGCAACATGGCAAAACCCCATCTCTACAAAAAAAAAAAAAAAAAAAACACAAAAACAAAAAAATGAAGCAGGCTTGCCAGTAGTCCCAGCTACTCAGGAGGCTGAGGTGGGAGGATCCCTGGAACCTGGGAGGCAGAGGTTGCAGTGAGCTGAGATCATGCCCCTGCACTCCTGCTTAGGTGACAGAGTGAGACTCTGTCTCAAAAATAAAAATAAAATAAATAAAAATAAGAATAAATAAATAAAATTGTTAAAAATTTGCCTTAGTAATTTAACTTTTAGAAATTTATCCTAAGAAAACAACCAGACAGGTATTAGATAGATGATAGATAGATAAATAGATAGATAGATAGAAAGACAGACTAAGTCCAGTGGCTCACGCCTCTAATCCCAATACTTTGGGAGGCTGAGGCGGGAGGATCATTTGAGGTCAGGAGTTCGAGAGCAGCCTGGCCAATATGGTGAAACCCTGTCTCTACTAAAAATACAAAAATTAGGCGGGTGTGGTGGTGTGTAATCCCAGCTACTCAGGAGGTTGAGGCAGGAGAATAGCTTGAACCCAGGAGGCTGAGCTTGCAGTGAGCTGAGATTGCACCACTGCACTCCAGTCTGGGCAACAAAGCAAGACTTTGTCTTAAAAAAAATACATTGATAGCTAAATAGGCATAGATAGATAGATAGATAGATAGATAGATAGATAGATAGATAGGCAGACATATAAGGATGTTCATTGAAGCTTTATGTATAATAATGAATTTGGAATAAATTTAATTGGTAATAAACTATGGTGCTTCCAAATAATGAAATTCTTTGTAGCCATTAAAAATGTTGCTATAGATCCCTATTTATGCTGTAACCTGCTCCATGCTGAGCCACATTCCTGGTTCCCCTCCCTGCATTGCTTTTTCCCTAGCACGAATCCCTCAAATGTGCTCTGTAATTTATTCCTTCAATATCTGCATCCTTATCTGTAACTACCCGCTAGAATGTAAGCTCAGAGAGGACAGTGTTAAGTGTCTTTCTTCTTGGATGTATCTCAACTGCCCAGAAAAATTCTTCACAAGAGTTCTTGAGTAGGCACTCAATAAATATTTGTTGTAGGAGAGCAACTTAGAACCAGAATTTCTGTGCAAAGAAGTATAAACATGTTCAAAACCTCTAGGGCATCCTATAAAATTGTTTCTATGGAGATATATATACATTCACACTTTAAAAGGGACTTTTTAAAGCACCATGAAACATGCTCAGAGATGATAGATCATCAATATCTCCCCCCCGTTTTAGGATCTTCAGCAAAGCATAATGTGTTTTTTTCTATCAGAACTTAAAAGAACACTTTGTTCTTCCACAATCTTTTTTTCACTGTATGAACTTAAGACTGTTTTTTAAAAGTAAGCTCCTAGGATTTCCCTTTACAATCCAAATAGTTCCCTGACCTAGTCTAAAAGTCCTAATAAAGAGTTATTTTGAGATTGACTTTTCTTTTGTAGTTTTATATTTATTGCGTTTTAAGAAAGCATCTCCCAGAAACATTGCATTAACAAAATAAAATCTAGGCCGGGTGTGGTGGCTCACACCTGTAATCCCAGCACTTTGAGAGGCCGAGCCAGGCGGATCGCTTGAGCCCAGGAGTTTGAGACCAGCCTGGGCAACATAGGGAGACAATGTCTCTGCAAAAAGATATAAAAATTAGCCGGGCATGGTGACACGCAACTTTACTCCCAGCTACTTGAGAGGCTGAGGCAGGAGTATCGCTTGAGCCCGGAAGGCAGAGGTTGCAGTGAGTTGAGATCGCACCACTGCACTCCAGCCTTGGTGATAGAGGGAGACCTTGTCTCAAAAATAAATAAATAAATAAAATAAAAATTAAAAAGTAAAATATACTAGCAATATTGGTTTACAGAGGATAGTTTGTATATAACTTACTCATAATATTCCACTTGGTCCTTTGTCATTAGTGACAAAACGCCCTGTTCTCTGTACAACTAAAACAGTCCCCCAATCAGTAGCAGAGGGTCTCTCATAAGGAAGGAGTGCCAGCCCAGGAGTGAATATCACTATGAGACCATCTTTAAGACAGAGCTGGAAGGCCAGGGTTCCATGTCCACAGGTCTGGTAGAGCTAAAACTCAGGAAAATGCCAGTTTGAAAGGCTGTGAATGGAGAACCAAACCAATAACTTGGAGAGTTCCAATGTGAGGAACACACAGAAGTCGATTCCTGATGCTACTCGAAGCCAGACCTGCACCGGGCTGAAGGAGCTAGAAGTCCTGTTCTGAGTTAAGCTCCCTCTCCCACTATTGCTAGGAGCTCCCTAAACTTGAACATTTATTTGCAGAGAGCATCATTGGTGGGTACAGAGCACATGCCCCATTGTTCAGACCTGAGGTTTGGAGCCTGCAATAGTTTTTCTCACATATTAAGGTTTTTTAAAGCCTTCTTCTTTTTTTGTTTTTGGTTTTGAGATGAGTTCTTGCTCTGTCACCCAGGCTGGAGTGCAGCGGCACAATCATAGCTCACTGCAGCCTCACACTCCTGGGCTCAGGTGATCCTCCCACCTCAGCCTCCTGGGACTACAGGTGTACGCCACCACACCTAGTTAATTTTTTAATGTTTTTGTAAAGACAGGGTCTCACCATGTTGCCCAGGCTGGTATTAAACTCCTGGTGGTCTTCTTGAAGTTGGTTTCTGGGACTCCTCAGGCCGGATCTATGACAAAAGAAATAGTCATGTATTTTACTTTTACTGAGCTTTTATTTTATGTTATAATTGTCTTGTACCAGGTGGCTTTACAAACACAGCCTCATTAAATATTTACGACAGAGTTCTATGAGGTGGCCATTATGATTTCTCTCTATTTATACTGGAGGAAAAATAAAACACAGAAAGGTTGATTAACTTACCCAAAGTCACACAGCTAATAAAAGATGGAGCCAGGACTTAGAAGTCAGCTCTGACTTAACCATTGTGGTATTCAGTGTGTCCCAGTTAATGCATCCCACCCAGAACTGATGAGCATTTTCTCCTCATTCAGAAACAAGAATAGGAACAACCACCCCTCACTCTGCAATAACCAGAGGAAGCAATTTACATTTTATACGCTTGCCTTTAAAACTCTGTCTTTTGAATGTTTTAAAAAAACAGTCCTGAAATTTCAGTGAAATTAAGACATGTTTAAAATAGGTTGGCTCTCATCCTTGGGACCCTGTTGTTGGCAAAGTGGTTTCACGATTGCCAGTTGTTGAGAGAGTTATCTTTTATGTCCTAAAAGAAAAGACTCTTTTTCAAATGTAACTTCACTTCTCACGTTCTGCCTAGCCAAAATGTATTGCTATTCTGTTAGTCACTAGTGAATTGAAAGGGTTGTTTAAAAAAGAACCAAAATCTGCATAAATACGCAGATAAGTTTAGAGATCAAGTAAAAGCTCTCAGAATCATTCATTGTGATGCCTGAGAGCTGAGATTTCCCCCATAGGCAATCCAATAAAAGAAACTTGACTACTGAGATAAAGCCCAGACCTGTGTCCTGTGCCGGCTCCTGAAATCAGTGGGACTGGCATTCTCACTCTCTGGCATTGATGGGAAAGAGAAAACTCAACCTAGATTATCATGAAATTATTCCTGATGCCTGGTCACATGAACTCCTGAGCCAACAGATACCGTTAACAAAGAGGGTTGCTGAAGCTGGGACTTGTGCCATCAGTCTGGTTTCAGAATACTTTTTAACAGTAGATTGGGTGTGGTGGAGGAGGGAAGGCTTGGAAGGGAAGTTAGCAAGGTCAGAGAATGAAGAGGCTGTATGCTGCAAGCAGCGAGTGTTCTAATACTCTCAATACACTTTGAGACTTAGTCGTATCATAGCATATTTATTTTGAGTTTTCCATAGTGCATTTTACTGAGGTCCTTTGACAACAGAATATTTCAAAGGTGTGTGTACAAATATGGTTTTGCTGTTGCTGAAAATGGTGCCACAACCTGAGCCAATGGGATTATTCTTTCCCATTGTCCTTTTCCAATGTCATATATATATATATGTGTGTGTGTGTGTGTGTGTGTGTGTGTGTGTGTGTGTGTGTATGGAGTGGGGGAGGGGGTGGTCTTACTAGGTCTTACTAGCAGGTTCTACTTTCTAAATCCTCTGGAAAAAAAATCTCACAGTCAGTTGAATTTGGTTACACTTAAAAGCTGTTTAAGGACTTCTCTGTTATAAGTTGATTTGGCCAGGTGCAGTGGCTCATGCCTGTAATCCCAGCACTCAGGGAGGCCAAGGCGGGCTGATCACTTGAGGTCAGGCGTTTGAGACCAGCCTGGCCAACATGGTGAAACCCCGTCTCTACTAAAAATACAAAAATTAGCTGTGCGTGGTGGTGTGTGCCTGTAATCCCAGCTACTCTGGAGGCTGAGGCAGGAGAATCACTTGAATCCGGTAGGAAAAGGTTGTGGTGAACTGAGATTGCTCCAGCCTGGGTGACAGAGTGAGACTCCATCTCAAAAAAAAAAAAAAAAAAAAAAAAGGTGATTCAAACATCTGTCCAAGCCTGTGGTCTTGTTACTGTACTCTTGTCCCACTTCCTCATCCAAGCAGGCTCCTAGAAAGAAATATACTCCAGCTGTCTCAACTCCTTCATGTTCCATATGACACCTCTGCCCACTGCAAGCCAAGCTTACACTGCAGTTACTCTGTAGAAACAGTCTGGCAAAGATCCCCAGAGACTAATGTGACCATATGTCCTTGTTTGCCCACGAACACATGTTGTCCTGCTGTAATTATTAATAGCCCCTCTCTGTTCACTCTCAAATGTGTCCTAGTTTGCAGATAAATTAATTGATCTCTCTACCAATTGCCAAGTCCCAAAGACTCTTTCCCGTTTCCATATTGCTTGATCACTGCAGCAACTGGCACTGTTATTCAATCCCACAATAATAGAACTCTTCTCCTTTGGCTTCCACAGTGTCTCTCCCATATCTCTGTTCCATCTAGGTTCTTTTTGTGAGCTTCTCTTCCTTTCCAAGCCTCTTAAATGTTGGTGACCCTAAAACGTTATATTATAGCCTCTTGTCACTTTATGTAATCATCTTAAAAGATCATCTATTCCCGCATCCTTAGCCCCAATGTACAATCTTATGACCCTCTAGTCTCTCTTTCTCCCTCTCTCTCTCCCCAAGACAGTTCTCTTATGCTCCATTTCTTCACCTGATTGTTCCACTAGCATCATAAAATCAATGTCTTGGCCAGGTGCAGTGGCTCACGCCTGTAATCCCAGCACTTTGGGAGTCCGAGGCAGGTGGATCACCTGAGGTCAGCAGTTTGAGACCAGCCTGGCCAGCACAGTGAAATCTGTCTCTACTAAAAATATAAAAATTAGCCGGGCGTAGTGGCAGGCACCTGTAATCCCAGCTACTTGGGAGGCTGAGGCAGGAGAATTGCTTGAACCCAGGAGGTGAAGGTTGCAGTGAGCCGAGATCGTATCATTCCACTACAGCATGGGGGACAGAGAGAGACTCTCTCAAAGAAAAAAAATCATTGTCTCCAAAGCTGAGCTCCTTACCTTTCCCTTCAGCTCTGCTCTTCCCCTTTTTATAAACCATGGTGAGCAGTAGGCATTCTGCCTCTGCATCTTAGCCATGGCCTCACTGTGTCCAGCCCAGCACTGCCTGATCAACCCTTTGCCAGACAACTCTCAGATCCATGGGGATAAAAGCGTGTTGTTTTAAGTCCCTGAGTTTTGGAGTGACATTTTTGCAGCAATAGCTAACCAAAGCAGAAATTTAGTCTGGGAGTGGAGTCCTTCCATAAGTAAAACTTGACATATGTAGTATTGGCTTTAGGACTGGGTGGCAAAAGGTGAAGAAGTTATTATAGGCATCTGGAAGATGGTTATCAAAGTATTATAAAGGGCTGAAACAATGCTGACCTATTGTATGCGATGGTAAAAAAAAAATTGGTAAAACCTATGATAACTTGGAAGATACACAGGGTACTTAATGAATTTATGGACTTGGGCAAGGTAATTTTTTGAAGTGTTAAAATTATGAAATGGTTACATTTAGCTATATATGAATAAAGATCTAAAGGAAAGAGCTAAAGGATTAAAAAGGGACCAAGACTTATCCAAATTAAAGTCTCTCACCTTCTCTGGAAAAGATGGTAGTCTTAAAAAACAGCTCAGCCACCAAAACAGGACGTTTCTAATGCTCTCTTCCAAAATGGTCAAGAAAGATGATGGAAATGAAAAGGCATCCTAGAATGGGGAACCAAGAGCCATGACTACCAAAGGAAGAGGAAGGAAGCAGAGCTCAGTCTCATCAGGGAACATTCCTGACTGAGAGCAGGAAGCCCTGGCAACACTTTCTAAGTGAGATTTCAAAACTGCTACAAGTCAGTGCTATGTGCCTTCCCTTCTTCCCTTTTCTGATGAGTGTGTTTGTTGTGTTTATCTTGTCCCTGTTTTCACAGGACATGTATGCAGAAGACAACGTGTCTATCTAATTCATATAACTCTAAGTTCAGAAAAGCCACATTTGGACTTGATATAGATGATGGAATCTTGGACTTTGTGCCTCATGCCATGATTTGGTGAGATTTTCGGGGTTCTGGGATGCTGGTGAGTACATTTTGCATATGAGAGGGATGTTATTAATGGTGGCCAGAGGGCAGACTATTGCAAATGGCATTACTGGCCTCAATTCTCCAGCCTTCCTGCATCCACAGCACTGTTGTAGATTCCTTGTGGGAGGTATGCACTTCCTTGCCCCTTGACTTTGGACGTATTTACATAGCTTTCTTTGGCCAATGCAAATGGGTGGAACAGACAATGTGCCCACTCTGAGCCCAGTCATTAGGGCTTTGTGTGTTTCTGTTTGCCTCTTGCCCCTCTGTCACTGCAATCAGAAGTATGTGTCCTCTGTAGCTCACTAGTTTCAGAAGGATGAGGGATGCAAGGAGCAGCACTATTTCATCCAGACCAGAGACCTTCAGTGAGAAGCACAGCTGCATGGCCTGAAGCAGATCCACCCAGCTAAGCCCAGCCTGAATCAGCCAAGCCATACCCAACCTTGGGTCCATAAGAATAAGTAGTTATTTCAGACTGAGTTTCAAGGTGGTTTGTTACACAGCATAGTCATGACAGGAGATAATTCATTCTTGCTACTGCCTATTCAGTGCCCCTTCCCAATCCAACCTTTCCTCTTTAAAACTTAAGTGCTGTTGATCCTACTGCCTCTCCTCTTTGTATCCACTGTCCTTGTCTTGATCTACATCTGAATCATCTCTCACCTGGTTAATACCAAACTCTCCTTACTAACTCTCCTCACTCTCCTTTAACTCATCTTCCTCATTGCCACCAGAGCAATTTTTCCACAATGCATGTGATATTAGGATATACACCATCATCACTTACAAAAGTGTCTTGAGCTTGTAGTGATTATGTTGAGAAATAAAGTTTATATATTTTATTTTTAATCTTTTAATTCTATTTTTCTGTGAGCCTTTTGAAGTCCCTTGCACACACCTGCATTGCACACACGTGGGTGCGTGCGTGTGTTTCCTTCTACTGCAGGAAAAGCCTGCAGTTCCTGGCTCTTAACTCCCATAGCCTTTGTTACAGTCTTTTGTTATAATATTGAAGCACTTTAGGCCTCAGAAGCACAACTCAGAAAATAGAATCTCTCACTCTGAACTTCTTCTGTTTTCCTCTCACCTGCTTCTTGTTCTCCCCAAGACAGGACTCAAATCTTCTCCCACCTTTCCATAAAGAAATTCTGTGACCTACTTTGCCTGATTGTAGGTCATAAGACCTCCATTTCAGAAGGGGTCCTGTCCTATACCTTAAAGGAAGGAATGCTGTACAGATAGGCCAGGAGGAATCTGGACAGGCCTGGCTGGGTTTCCCCACTCTGTCTATTACTATGAGATCATACTCTTTTATCCAGTTATATCTCTACATGGTTGTCCATGTAATAGATCCAAGAGGCTGGGGTTCATAGAGCTTCCTGATAGCTGAACATGTGGAGGTTCCTGGAGGGTGGAGCTCCCAGTAGGGCATGAATGCTCCACGTCCTTACCTTCATACCTCACCCTATGCATCTCTTCATCCGTATCCTTTGTAATACGTTTTATAATGAATGTAAGTAAATGTAAGTATTTCCCTGAGTTTTGTGAGTCGATCTCACAAATTACTGGAACCAGAGGAGGGGGTTGTGGGATCCCTGATTTATAGTGGTTGGTCATAAGCACAGGTAAAACAACCTGGGACTTGTGATTGGTATCTGAAGTTGGAGGAGGTGGTCAGTCGTGGGGACTGAGTCCTCAACCTGTGGAATCTGATGCTATCTCCAGGTAGACAGTATCAGAATTGAATTGGGCTAGAGGGTGCCTCACTGGTATCTGCTGCAGAACTGATTGCTTGCTTCTTGGTGGGGACAAATCCCCATACATTTGGTTACAGAAGTCTTCTTTGTTAATTGCTGTGGTGTGAGAGCAGAGGGAAAAAAACCCAAAAACCTCTTACAGTCTGTGTTTCTTCTACTCAATGCAAAACTAATATCAGCATTTAGCTTAAAACTCTTGAATTCCTCCCAATGTGTAGTTGAAGTCATACACTTGGGAGCTGATGGGTCTAATTTGGTCCACAGATCTTTTGTTTGCTGCAGGTCCTGTTTTGACAATATTTGAATGTGAAGATGAATGCAAGTTCTCTAGTTTGCCACAACGCCTCCACTTCCTATTGTTTTACCCTTGGCTCGCTTTATACAGTTACCCAACAATCCTTGTCCATACAGGTACTTATGTAAACACATAACAAAATACTAAAAATTAGGTAACTGAAAGCAATTGAAATTTACTGTCTCCCAGCTCTGGAGGCCAGAAGTTCAACATCAAGGTGTAAATGGGCCCATGCTACCCCTGAGAGTCTTAGGAGAATCCTTCCTTGCTTCTTCCTCCCTTAGAGTTGTGGCCTCAATCCTTTGAGTTCCTTGGTTTGTGGCTGCATCACTTATTCCAGTCTCTGTCTCTGTCTTCACTTGGAGTTTTCTTTTTCTTTTTAATTTTGTAGAGCTGTGGTATTGCTATGTTGCCCAGGCTGGTCTCGAACACCTGACCTCAAATGAGCCGCCCACCTTGGCCTCCCAAAGTGCTAGGATTACAGGTGTGAGCCACTGCAACCAGCCCAATATTAATATCAACAACCAAGCATTGAGGGCTGGCCTTGTGACATCCACCTGGTGACTACATACTCACTGACTTTATTATCTTTGCTCCCTGCTTGTCATCCCCTCGATCCTCTTGTTAGCAACTGTAGGATGGATTACCAAATTGGCTTGGACAGACTCGTGAATAAATGATTAGGGGCGATTTCTTTTAATAGAGACGGAGCCTCACTCTGTCTCTATTCCAGCTCAGGCTGGAGTGCAGTGGTGCAATATAACTCACTGCAGCTTAGAACTCTTGGGCTCAAGAAATCCTCTTGCCTCAGCCTCCCAAGTGGCGGGAATTACAGATGCATGCCATCATACTCAGCTAATTTTTAAAATTTTTTGTAGAGATGGGGTCTCACTATGTTGCCCAGGTTGGTCTTGAACTCCTGGCCTCATGTGATCCTCCCATTTTGGCCTCCCAAAGCATTGGGATTACAGGTGTGAGCCACTGCACAGGGCTGCATTTTCTTTTTCTTATAGGGACAACAGTCATACTGAATTAGAGCTTACTCTAACAACCTCATCCTAACTTGATTACATCTGCAAAGACTTTATTTCCAAATAAGATCAAATTTTCAAGCACCAGGAGCTAGAAATTAAACATATCCCTTTGGGAGTAAAACTTTACTCCTAAAAGGAACTCACTCCCAGTTTATAGGATGAAGCACAAAGTCCTTGGCATAGCATAGACAGACCTTTCTGATCTGTTCTCCAGCTGTATCTCTACCTTGTACTCTCTAACAAAATCTTTCTCCTTGCTCACTCTGAATGGACTAAGTGATTCCTCAGTCGCTTTCCTTGTGCTTCTCCTTTTGCTTTGAAAGCCTTTTTTTCCTCCCCTACTTCACTTGTGAATTTTTATCCCACCTTTAAGACTTACTCAAATCCTAATTTATCAGCAAGTCTACTAGCTTTCTCTTAGTCTTTCGGAGAACTGATGACCAATTCTGCATTCACTCTGACTTCATAAGAGATCTCAATGTGCTATGTTTCTACATTCTCAGAATCTTCTCTCAGCATCATTTTTCTTCCAACTTCTTCCGCAGGACATATAGTTCTACTAGGATGGGTTTCACCGATTTCTTTTTGGAGAAAATTTGCCCTTAACATGCCAAGAGTCTATTTTTTAATGATGCCACTTGTCAGCTGGTTAACCACATTGCAACGTGTTCAGTCCTCTCACATATACTGTGGGTATTCTTCTTATTAAAAAAACAACCAGCCTGACCAACATGGCAAAACCCCATTTCTACTAAAAATACAAAAAAATTAGCAGGGTGTGGTGGTGCATGCCTGTAGTCCCAGCTACTCGGTAGGCTCAGGCAGGAGAATCGCTTGAACTCGGGCAGTGGAGGTTGCAGTGAGCCAAGATCGTGCCACTGCACTCCAGCTTGGGTCATTAAAAAAAAAAACATAAGCTTTATCTTCCATGGGAGAGTAATCCAATTAAATTAAACTTAGTGTACACAAACTAAGGTGTACTTTTATGAGCAGAGATGTCTTCAACCCTGACTTCCGCAGGACCTGCCAATGAATCTAGAAACCATTTTCATGGCCATGCTTAAAAAAGATTGAAACATTAGTCAACATTGGCTGTTTATCCTGTGACATAATGGTCGATTTCAAAAGTGTAGATAGTTTTTATCAGGTGGCTATGCAGGTCCACTTCCATCAAAGTGTTTAATAAATTCCTGTTCATTGAATGTCAAATGCCACACGTTCTCACTTATAAGTGAGAGCTAAAATAATGTGTACACATGGAGGTAGAGTGTGAAGGAAGTGTGGGAGGATGGGAGAGGGGTTGTAGGATGAGAAATTAATTTATGGGTACAGAGTACATCATTCGGGGATGATTACACTAAAAACCCTAATTTCACCACTCCACAATATACCCTTATATTTTTTTCACAAATAAAAAAAAAATCCTGTTTGTTGAATATCTAATTAATTTCATAAAAATTTAATATCTAATCAATTTCATAAAAAATTGCAGCTGGAAAATTTCTCAGAACCACTCTTCTGCCAAGTGTGTAGATGTAGCCTACCTCATTCCTCAAATGGAAAATGGTGAAAGAGAGTTTAATGAATGACTTCTTTACAAAGATGGGGGCAGGATGGAGACAAACCAACCACAAGAGACGGGAAAGCCCCACAAGAGTAGCAACAGCAGGAAGCCAATGTCACTCCTGGACCTAAAGAGAAGAGTAGCAGCAATTCTCAGAGCTGTCGTTACAGCTGAGGACCCCTGGTAGGAATTGTGAAAAGGAATAGAGAAGTGCAGCCCCTTCCCCCAGAAGGCTCCAGTGGAGACAACGGAAGGTAGTGGAAACCTTGACCTCTCTCTCTCTCCCTCTCACCTTCTCATCTCCTGCTGGTGTCTCCCAAGGGTTAAACCTAACTGAAAGCCAGAGGGTAAGGGAACTTAGTGATGCAATCTTTAAAGATCAGCCTCTGGGGACAAAGAATAAGGTGAAAAACCATGAAAATGGATATGAGGTGCATGCAGAGAAATCCAGTACAGATACTTTAATCCAAAGAGATTGCTTCTATTAGACGGTCAGGCTAAACTGTTCTGTCCCTGCTCAAGAGTGGAAATGAACCAGGTTAAAGATTTATAGATTGTGAGAGCCAAAAGAGTATTTAAAGTTCATCTAAACCAGTATTCTCACTTTACAGATGGATGAAATAGAGGTCCTCAGGGATGAATGACATGCCTTAGATCACCTTTGAGTTAATAACTGCACTTCTACTAAGACCCAAGGTCTTGTTTTCCTGACCAATGCTAGCTGTCCTGTTCATGAGGCTCAAATTCTTTCTAGCCTTGTGAGTTTCCAGTAACAGTTTTGTTTTTTTTCCCAGAAGCATCCATAAGAGCACCCAGCAAAAAATGAAGTTTAAGGAATTTTAGAGAAATATTCTCAAAGGACCTCAAAAGACTTGAGCCACAAACAATGCTCTAAAGACACATTCTTCCTACCATTGACCAAACCAGTTGGTCAGAAAAATAATGGTCTTTTTCTTTTCACAGTTAAAGTTCAATGGTCTTTTTTTTTTCATAGTTAAAATGTGAAGCAAAGAAAGTGAGATACATGATAATAAAGGATTAGTCTATTCTAGAAGATTCTAGAAGATTCCAGAAAACTGAAACATCTGTACTGTAAAGGCCATTCCTTTTTTCTGACTTATTGAGATGCTTCAATTTACCAGGCTTAGGCTTAGTGCTGTTAGGACACAAAAAATGAATTAAAACATTCTATTTTCTCAAAGACCTTTTGTGGCAGAAAGGGAGGGAAGTAAATGGCTGGCTGGGGCTCTGAGATAGATGCTTTGATAGTGCAGCACAGAAGAAGATGTAGTTATTTCTACCAGATTACACAGCTTCCCCAAACACTGTTTCTTAACACTTTATGTGCCACAGACTTTGAGCCACTGGGGAAAGCCAGGACTTTTTCCCAGGAGATGCACTCACTTTCACATATAACCAAATTTTGCATACCATGGTGAGAAGTTCAAGAACTTCAACTTACAAATAGAACCTTGCTCTAAGCAGCTAGAAAAAGAACAAGCTTTTGGGTTTTTTGTTGGTTTGGTTTGGTTTGGTTCGGTTTTCTCCACACCCCCTAATTAGGTACAAGATCATGGCTAGAGCCATGTATTGCCTAACTGCAGAATTTTAGTTTGAGGATCATGGTATATAACCTCTTAGTATTTTCAGATTATACAGATAGGACAATGAGTCAGGGTATTGTATGTAGGGCATCTGACTTTCTAGAATACCCTGTTTTTCTTGATCTGGCCAGATTCTCATTGGCAAATATTCAAATACTATCTAAAACCAACCCCAAATCTAGATAAGGCAGTAGCTTCTAAGGTTATTCTTCTTCATGCACAGCTAGGAAGGGAAATAAATGCATTAATTTATTCAGCAACTACTAATTTAGAACGTACTATGTGCACGCTTCGTGCTAAGGGGTATAGTGAAGCATGAAACACAATCCCTGTCCTAAACGACTTCTAGCCGAGAAGGGAAAACAAACCAATAAGCCAATTGCTAAGGATGGATGAATGGATGTAACGAGAACACATACACAGAGGAGAGAGGCATCAAACAAGATATTAGGTTCAACTGACGTAACTGTTTCTTTTTCCCCAGGAAAATGTAAGAAAGTTCATCATGAGTTAAACCTTGAAATGTGAACCTGAAGTTAACCTATTCTTAGGGCATATGGAATTACATGGTGGTTAAAAACAAAGGAGGGGGGTTCTGGGATCACTTTCCTAAACCCAGATCCCAGGCCCACCACTGTGTGTGTGGCCTTGCAGAAGATACTTAACCACTCTGTGCCTCAGTTTTCTTATCTGCAAAATGAGGATGATAATAAAAGTGCTTGGCATATCCAGGTAAAAGTAGAAAGTTCATTCCATTATCAAATAGTTGCTGGTGTGGTTTGTGCAGAATATTTTAGTCTGTCAAATATTGTGCAAAATATCCAGATAATCAGCTGATACGTTTCGATCCCATCCAAAGGCTGGCATTGTATACTTGACCTTAATCCAACTGCAGAGTCAAGGACCGCTTGGAAAATTTGACAGATTAAAGACACTCTCTTCAAAAATGCACATATTTCTGGGGGTTCCTGACCCCTAAAGTCAGAGGAAGAACCTTCTTTTAAAATGGCTTTTGGCTGGGCGCG
Organism: Homo sapiens; assembly: GCF_000001405.40. Lineage (NCBI taxonomy): Eukaryota > Metazoa > Chordata > Mammalia > Primates > Hominidae > Homo > Homo sapiens. The sequence goes on along the minus strand of NC_000010.11, from coordinate 29,047,734 downwards.
GTGGCTCATGCCTGTAATTCCAGCAATTTGGGAGGTCGAGGCGGGTGGATCACCTGAGGTCGGGAGTTCGAGACCAGCCTGATCAACATGGAGAAGCCCCGTCTCTACTAAAAATACAAAATTAACTGGGTGTGGTGGCGCATGTCTGTAGTCCCAGCTACTCGGGAGACTGAGGCAGTAGAATAGCTTGAACCTGGGAGGTTGCGGTGAGCCGAGATTGTGCCACTGCACTCCAGGCTGGGCAATGAGAGCAAAACTTTGTCTCAAAAAAACAAACACCACCACCAACAACAAAAGGCTTTTTCAGCCAGATGCATGGTTCATGCCTGTAATCCCAACAGTTTGAGAGCCCAGGATTGAGGATCCCTTGAGGCCAGGAGTTTGAGACCAGCCTAGGCAACATAGTGAGACCCTGTCTCTACAAAAATTTTAATTAAAAGAAAATTAAATGGCTTTTTTCTCATCATGACACTCCAAATATTGTCTTTTGGAATATATTGATTGATCTAGTTGTCTCAGTACTGTACTGTTCTAATTGTTTCTTATTTATTCTAATAGATATTGTCATTCTGTTTACCCATCACCAATAACTAATGTGAATATCACAATTTACAAATAAAAAGGAATAGTGTGGCTGGGCTCAGTGGCTCATGCCTGTAATCCCAGCACTTTTGGAGGCCGAGGTGGGTGGATCAATTGAGGCCAGGAGTTTGAGACCAGCCTGGGCAACATGGTGAAAACCCTGTCTCTACCAGAAATACAAAAAAAAAAAAGCTGAGCGTGGTGGTCCCAGCCATGACGGAGGCTGAGGCAGGAGAATTGCTTGAACTCGGAAGCTGGTGGTTGCAGTGAGCCGAGATCATGACACTGCACTCCAGCTTCTCCAGCTTAGGCAACAGAGCAAGACCCTGTCTCTAAAGAAAAAAAAAAAAAAAGGAATAGTACTAGGACACGTTGGTAAAGGTAGAAACGTACTTGACATGTTATCCCTATAAAAACTTTCAAAAATTAGACCACTGGAAAAAGTACTGAGTACTCTATCCACAAGTTTGCCTCAATTTTCAAAAATATTCATGCACAACTTCCCAAATATTATTTTTTAAACTGTATTCATTCACAAAGAGTTTGATTTTTCAGTGGCGTGCTCCGATTACACATAGTTGAGTACTCAATTTTTGATCATTTCAAGATGGTGGTAAGTTTTTATATCAGTTTGACAGACTAAAAACAACTTAATCAGAGTCATCAAAGAAGTCTATGAAGTCATTTTTTAATATATGAAGAATATCGGCAAAGTCTGTGCTGTATGACATTCCTGAATATTAACTCTCTAACTTGCCATACGGAAACTTTTCACAGTTTGATAAGATACAGATGACATTGACTCCTGAACAAATACACTGGTGATAACTTTGATAAAAGGAGGGTTAAAAAGGAACGTCTTATAATTTATATCTTGAGCAAATTAATGCAAACATCATTCATATCTTTTGTTTTTATATATGTTATCTTCTCCTTTTGAGGTCTCAAATAAAAAGTATTTCTTAGCTTATGGATCAGAGAATAATTCCTTTGGAGTTTCAACATTTATATATGAACTTCTATAGATTGCAAGCAGGAATAATCACGCATCAAAGTGTGTTGTTTGGGACATGCTTTTTTTATTCATTCAGTGTAAATATTACAAGCAAAATGTACATTTTAAGAGAGTGGTCTGAGCCTTTTTTCATGACAGAAACATTAAAATTTAAAAGTACACATAAGGTACATAAAAGTAGATGCTTCTGGGCGGGGCACAGTGGCTCACGCCTGTAATTCCAGCACCTTGGGAGGTCAAGACAGGAGGATCACTTGAGGCTAGGAGTTCAAGACTAGACTGGCCAACATGGCGAAACCCCATCTCTACTAAAAGTACAAAAAAAAATTATCCAGGCATGGTGGCACACACCGGTGGTCCCATCTACTGGGGAGGCTGGGACACAAGAATCACTTGAACCTGGGAGGCGGAGGTTACAGTAAGCTAAGATCGCACCACTGCACTCCATCCAACCTGGATGACAGAGCGAGACTCTGTCTCAAAAAAGAAAAGTAGATGCTTCTTTGAAACGTGTATTAATTATCAGTTTATTTCAGGATGGAAGATGAACTACAAAGTCCACAAGTCATACCTAAGTAGTGTCTTTATCAAACACTACTTTGCTCTCTCCTTCTTCTTCCTAATCCTTCTTTAGTAGTGCAAAATTTTATTTATTGTGTTGATTTTCCCTGTTTGGGGAAGGGCAAGATGGGATTTGTATTCAATGGCTGAGCCTCACCAAGAATTTGCTTTCAAAAGGCCAGTGCAACTTAAGCTGATTACAAATGCAGGTTCAAGGCCCCAAAATTTGGTCTTGTTGTCTTTATCAGACTTTTAAAATTTCTTTTGGTACATTTATTCTAAAAGAAGAGCCCACCACTCATTATCCAAAACAAAGACCAGATTGTATTTCTTGCTGCCAGGGAGAGCTGTACTTATGAGTTACAGTGCCTTTGAATAAAGCAAACTGGGATTCTAACACAGGGTTTTGGGAAGCATGGAGTTCAGAGATTGGCAAACTCTTGGAAATTGAAGTGTTGGGGGATTGGTTGATCTTTAGCTGTGAAAGCCTTTTTGATGGACTGAGGCTGTTCTGACTAGTGGACTTTCAGAAATATGAGTACTGAAGTGAAGTGTTAGTGATGATTGGTAAGAGTTTAAAAGCAATTTTGGAGATGACTTGTTCATAGATTGGGACTATGGCCAAAGAACAGTCAGTCTTTTCCTTTCTTGAATTTAGATGATATAATTCTTTATTCTTACTTTCTAGCTTTCACTTAAAATGTTACATGGTGTTTTCATATTGTCCCTTTTTGACAGCAAGATTAATGTTTTTAAATTTCTTGGTTTTTTGGGTTATTTTTAAGAGACAGGGTCTTACTCTATTGCCTAGGCTGGAGTGCAGTTGTGCGATCATAGCTCACTGCAGCCTCAAGCTCCTGGGCTCAAGCAGTCCTCCCACCTCAACCTCCAAGAGAGCTGAGACTACAGGCATACACCACCACACGCAGCTAATTTTTTTTTTAATTTTTGTGAGACGGGTCTTGCCAAGATGGGTCTTGAGCCCCTGGTCTCGAGAGATTCTCCTGCCTTGGCCTCCCAAAGTGCTAAGAATATAGGATTGCAGCCTTGAGCCACCACACCTGGCAAAAAAAAAAAAAAAAAAGAAAAAGAAAAAAGAAAATTACATGTAAATATCCAAACACAACAAAGGTAGAGAGAAAAATAGAGAAAATGGTATAATGAATTCTTGTGGCCCAGTCTTTCAATACATGTATGCTCTGTTCTACCTGCTTCATCCGAATCTCTTTTCCTGACACAACTTTGTTGTTTTATTTTAAATTAATCCCACTTATTATATAATTCTCATAAATATTTTCATATTTACCTTTCACAAATAAAGACTAAAACATATCCTTATAACACCATTGTCACACTCCACAAAATTAACAGTAGTTACTCAATAATGTCATACTCCGGTTTTCCTGGTTGTCTAAAAATATCTTTTTACAATTGATTTATTCAAATCATAATCCAAATAAAAATGCACATTGCTCAGCCTGTGCAACATGGTGAAACTCCGTCTGTACTAAAATTACAAAAAAGGGCATAGTGTTGCACACCTGTAGTCCCAGCTACTCAGGAGTGTGAGGTGTCAGGATCACTTGAACTCAGGAAGTCAAGGCTGCAGTGTGCCAAGATCACACCACTGCACCCCAGCCTTGGGAACGGGAAGGAAACCCCTGTCTTAAAAAATATACATATACACATTTCACTTGATCTTATGTCTGGTAAGTCTTTTTAAATCTATAATAGTCTCTCTTTCTTTTATTCCCATGCCATTTCTTTGTAGAAGAAACTGGATCATTTGTGCAATAGAAGTTTCCCTTTTCCTCATGGTATTGTTGCTCATGTTCTTCTACCCTCCATAATGTTGCTAACCTGTAAGTTAGATTCAAAGGCTTGGCTACATTGGGGTCAAAGTTTAGAAAAAAATGTCCCATAGATGGTGCTGGGCACTTCTTAATGCTTCACATCAGAATGCACATAATGGTTGGCTTTCCCAACTGTAGTGATGTTAGGATACATCAGTGGGTTCAGGTGCCAGCAAACCCATTTATTATGAAACTTGTCCCTTGATATTTCACTTAATGGCTTAGCTGTTATTGCTGATTGTTGGTTAGATCTATTATTTCATTACAGTTGCACAATTGTGATTTTTTAAAAATTCTATCAGCCCTTCTTCATTTGTTCACAGTAATTTTTCTCTAAGGAAGAAATGTCTTCTGTCAACTGTGTATTTGTTCTGAAATATAGCCCTTACAGGAAAGGCAAGATAAATATTCAATTTTTTTCTGATACAAATTTTAGAATAATAAATTACTGTCTTAACAACCTCCAAAGGTAATCAATGAGTTTCATTTTTAGAGTATTGTTATAACACATGGGTTCTTATATATTTGATATCTTTCCTTTTTTGCAGTCATTATTCTTCTTGGCTCTCTAATTATGCCGTCTTTGGCCAGTGAGAGCCCCTTCAAGTTGGCTCCTATGCACATTTTCTCCCATATCCTCTTGACACAATTCTAGTAGGTTTTGATAAATAATATAAGATGCACTGAGCACAAGTTGTATATTGCTAACCCCAGACAGAAAATCAACCTTTCCTCCTCCTAGGAAGAAATGGTTATTAGAGTTCATAATCTGGGCTCAAGAGGTGCTCATCATTACTGGGCTGTTCTTTTATTTGCAGTAATAATACTAACAAAATGACTAATCTGCTTTCTCCTGCAATTGATATGTAATAGTTTTACAACAATACTAATTCCTTATTCAGTTTAAGTCTAGTTGTATTGTATTTCTGCTACTTTAAATGTGGTGTATTCTCTATTACTTTTTCTAACTAGTTATGCATGTGTGTGTATACACATGTAACTTTGATTTCTGTAGGTGAATTTTATACCTTACCTATGTACTAAAGTTTTTAGAGTGGATTTTCCATTAATTCTTTTGGGTTTTCCAGATACATAATAATATCATCTACAAATAGGAATAGTTTTACCTCTTCCTCTTCAATTTGTGTCTCTAATTGCCTTCTGTTATCCAATTGCATTAGCTAATAACTTCAGCATAGAGTTAAATAGTAATGGAGAGAGTGGCCACTCTTGTCTTGTTACTGACTTAGTGGAAAAGCCTCTGGTGTTTCCCCACTAAGTAAGATGCAGGCTTTGGACTGACTTTTGTTTGTTTGTTTGTTTGTTTGTTTTGTTTTGTTCTGTTTTGTTTTTGAGATGGAATCTTGCTCTGTTGCCCAGGCTGGAGTGCAGTGGTGCTATCTTGGCTCACTGCAAGAGCTGAGGTATTAATATACATATTTCATCATGCTAAGAAATTTCTCTCAATTCTTATGTTTTAACATGGATGGTCGATAAATCTTGCCAAGCATGTTTTTAAAACATTATTGGAGATAATCATGTTACTTTTCTTCTTAGTTCTGTTCATATGATGAATTTCATTAGTTTACACTAAGATTTTGAGTCCTCTAGAAACAGCCACTTCTGAATATAAATCCCCTTGTCTTCATCTGGCAGAAACAGAAACGAAGAGGAAGGAGACATTTTTTTAGTTAGTCAGTATCAGTAATCACTCCTATTCTTTGGTAAGTTTCTGGCTTATTTCCTAGATTTGTAAGCAAAGAGAGCGTTATCTGGCTAGATGTAGCTCGATTATTATGACTGTGTGTGACATGCCATCTCCCGCACTGCTGCTCCCGCCCCTCCCTTTAGCATGTGCACAATCAGACTGCACATTTGAAAAGCAATGGCTTAAAATCCCTGTGTCTTAGGAGACCCATAACCAGTTAAAATGCCCTTCAGCCAGAGCTACAGTGCATATGTTAAGCCCCGTTTCTTACTGGAATACACAAGCAGATCCAAATTAAATGCAGACGTGTTTACGCTTGGGAACCCAATCCAATTCCAGAAGTGAGAGTGCAGCTTTATCAACCAAGCCACCCACTCTCCCAGGAAGATGGCAGGAATCAAAACCAGACTTTTCTGGTGTTATAATTTGACTTCTGTCAGCAGTGGCAACTATACTTTAAAAAATCAAGCTGCTGCTTATTTTCTTAGTCCCTAATGTCACACTCAAGGAGAACTCTGAGTCCAACAAGGTATCTCAGGTTCTGTTTCAAGTGAGAAAACGAAAATAAAAGGCCAAGTATTTCTGATGTCTGAGGTGATTTTATTTTTCATTGTCAGAAAGGAAAGCTTCTGTGAAACTTCTGGAAGGAGGAAGTAGCATTACCATATGGAGACTCTGTCGTCAATGACTTTGCTTCTCAGAAACCCTGTTAAGGGCAGGTACTATTGGTGTTAAGCCTAGTCTATCTTTAATCCCCAACAAGCCAAGAATGAAGATTAAAAGGTCAAACTTGAGCTATGGGCCTCCCTCACACATACTCTGAAATTAATGAAGATGACTCTGCAAAATGGGCAACGAGCTTTATAAATATCTTCCTCTTCTACATAAACACACACACAAACCCTCTGAGGCATGGAGAAAGGAAGTGACATCAACCCAATGCCAACCCTGAAGTTTTCCCACATCCTTTGTCAAAATGAAGTTCTGCCCTTTAATTGGCACTCTTTGTATTGTATTGGTACTCCATCAGAACCTCCACCGTCTCCATCAGCACCTTGACCATCTCAATCAGCACCTCCACCATCTCCGTCAGTACCTCCACCATCTCCATCACCACCTCCACCATCTCTATCAGTACCTCCACTATCCATATCAGGACCTCCTCCATCTCCATCAGCACCTCTACCATCTCCATCAGCACCTCCACCACCTCCATCAGCATCTCCTCCATCTCCATCAGCACCTTCACCATCTCCATGAGTACCCCCACCATCTCCATCAGAACCTCCACCATCTCCATCAGCACCTCCTCCACCTCCATCAACATCTCCACCATCTCCATCAGTACCTCCTCCATCTCCTTCAGTACCTCCTCCACCTCCATCAACCTCTCCACCATCTCCATCAGCACCTCCTTCATCTCCAACAGCACCTCCTCCACCTCCATCAGTACCTCCACCGTCTCCATCAGCACCTCCACCATCTCCAATAGTACCCCTATCATTTCCATCAGCACCTCCACCATCTCCATCAACACCTCCACTGTCTCCATCAGTGTCATTACCACTACCACCAACACCCTGCTCTTGTGCTTTCTCTTGCACCTTCCTTGAGAGACAGTTGTGGTGACCAGGGCTCTAGGGCTGAGTGGAATAACTGCCCAGGGGTCCAGATTGTCAGAAGGGGTAGAGCAATCACTATTCATTGAACTAAAATGACATTTCGGTCATTTCTAGAGCCACAGAGGTATATTCAGGATAAACCTTTTAAAAAAATTTGGGCTCCAGGCCCTGGGCTCTGGGTGACTTGTCACATTCTTTCACCCATAAATGGACTTTACTTTTACTGTCTATTCATATTATGCTTAACACAAATTCTTCATGTTGCCTTTTGACCCCACTGCCTCTTGTCGTGTGTTCTCTGGTGGAGATGGAGCCCAGCTGGTGCCTGGTATTCTGCACAAAGATCTCTGCATTAAAGATACTTTTCTTTGAATAGTAATGGATTGGCCTTCAAGTACTCTTTTCAAGGCTTCCAGCTTACAGATGCTCTCTAATAACAGTGATGAATGTGGCATCTCTGAAGCATTTTATGCATGTTTTGTTTCCCTGACTTCACACATAGGAATTTCTATCTTTCAAAACCTTTGTTGGGATGGGAGCCAAAGAGATTGGAGGAGAAATGCAAGGAACAAAAACGTGCCTCATTCCTTCCACAGAAGTGGTGAAGCTGACCTGCTTCATGGCAGAGCCCTCTGTGGTGCTGAGGCAATTGAACAAAAAAATCAATCAAACTGAGGCTGTTGCCTGAGAACAGTGTAGACAGTCCAAGTTTCCCAACACCCCACAAGCAAGGAGACGCATCAAGATCCATTGAGACACTTTCCCCTTTAACCATTCTCTTCTCCTTACCTTGCCTCCCTGTCTCCACATCCCCTTTCTCTACTTTGCCACCACTTCCCTCCCTCTCCCCTACCATACCCGTACCCCTGCCAATCTTCTTCTTTAGTTCTAGGAGACCCTGAGCCAGGAGCAGGACTAGGCAAGATTATGCCTATGCACTAGGGAAACAGATTATGGATTAGGCAACAAACTTCAATAGATTCTCCAAGGAATCCCATCTGAGTGATCTTACCTTTGGCAATGTTTTCATGTCAAGCATTAACATAATCCCTCATGTGAAGCTCCTCCACAAACGAAAAGCCCATTTTAAACACAAAACAGATGGGAAGTGTCTCAAAGTCAGATGAACCAGAAACTGAGGTTCACACATGGCTTATAAACTTCATTTCCCAAAGGATCATCCAAGAAGCTGATAAAACTAAGAGTCCCTGTCTGCCTGTGTTCCGCCTTCAGGCCTCGGTCACATTATCTTGCACCCAAAGGCATACGGTGGGTCCAGCATGGGAAAGCACGGCTACCAGAGCACAGAGGGATGAGGTCCCTTTACGGGGAGAGCAGCAGCCCAGGCCTGCAGCCCAAAGGGAAAGTGGCAGAATGAATTTGTAAAATTTCCTGAGGATTTTATTCTGATGGAGGAGGGTTTGAGGTTGTGTCTGTTTAAAGGGTAGATTTGAAGATGGCGGCCCTGTAGGGACTAGGATGAAAGACGGAAACCCACGTCTCTTCATCCAGAGATGCAGCATGATGCTCTGCCTTTCGCTAGCTGTGTAGCCCTCTCCAAGTTACTTAAGTGCTATGTGCTTGAGTTTTCTCATCTACAAAATGGGAACAAGCATACTACTTATTAATGCTGTGAAGATAAATATTAAGAGAATGAATATATACAAAATTCTTAGGACCATGCCTGGTAAATACTAAATACATAAATATCTCAATTTTGGACCACAGAGCAAGGGGTAGCTCTCTATGCAAAAGGAAATTTGAGGGATACATTTTTAACTTCTTAGCATTTCTTTTCTCAAACCATTTTTTTGAAAGGTGAAATAAAATTGATATCAAGTCCTTAGAATACACTGCAGAAAAGGAGAGAAAAAGGAAAATGCTCAGTACAGGAAATGTTGGAAAAGTAGTAGCTTACATTAGAGCTTTCCTACAATACATAATGTGGGACAGAGACGAGTTGGAGATTAAGGAAATCGGGGGATATAGCCTTTAAGGCCGCTTGCTCTCAAGTTAGCAGATGGAAAAAGGTCGCTGAAAGTATCATTTTGTTCAGTGCTATAAAAAGTGCCTGATATGGCAAGTAATAAACATTTGTAGAACTAGTGCACTTTTGACAATTTCCTCCTCCTCCTGTTATTCTTTTATGACCGGTTTGCCCTTCAAAAATAAGTGATGGCCAGGCGCAGTGGCTCACACTGCAATCCCAGCACTTTGGGAGGCCAAGGTGGGCGGATCACCTGAGGTCAGGAGTTCAAGATCAGCCTAGCCAACATGGTGAAACCACGTCTCTACAAAAACACAAACATTAGCCAGGCGTAGTGGCAGGTGCCTGTAGTCCCAGCTACTCGGGAGGCTGAAGCAGGAGAATTGCTTGAACCTGGGAGATGGAGGTTGCAGTGAGCCAAGATCGCGCCAGTGCACTCCAGCCTGGGTGACAGAGTGAGATGCCATCTCAAAAATAAATAAATAAATAAATAAATAAATAAATAAATAATGAGCTGTATAGTGAGCATGGCTAGAGGAAGAAGGATGGAGCTGTCACTGGTTTTTTTCCTGTCCCCAATCTCCAGCCCTCAGGTAAAACCACTCTCATCTCTCCCCTGGATTCTGCAGTAGCCTCTGTAAACTTAAAGTCCTAAACCCCCACTCTACCAACTGACTGGACCGCCAAGGGGACCCCAGAAAAAACTTTAAACTGAGTTCCCACCCATGATGGGATGGAAGTCAGACACGTCTCATTATACTCCCCTCGCTTTTGGAGTTTAGGCACTGACTAGCTGACCCCTGGTTCCACCAGCCATCTGGTGTGATTAGACAAGAGACTGATTTCGGTAACTTTCTCCTGATAAGAAACCCATGGACTGGTTCTGTCTGGTTTACAGAGTGTGCACTTGTGTGTCTTCATGTCCTGAAAAGACCTTTTGACATATAGGTCCTAATTGTAATACATTTAAATGTGAAGTCTCCACCCGAAAGTGAACATGGGTTGTATGTTACATGCACGTTTATTCAATACACACATGTCAGGGCCGCCTTCATGAATATTCATAACTCTTTCTGTAACCTGCTGAATATGTATGTTTACCCAACCTGTTCAGCGTAAAGCTCCTACCCAAATCCCTTTCTGTTTGAAGTGCCTGCAGTGGCCTTGGCCAGAGGCACGCCTCCCAGCCCTTACAGGCTATAACCCATATGAAGAAATAAAATCTCTCTCCTCTTCCAAATTTATAGATCTTGTAATTTTTTTTAAATTAACACCTCCTAACTGTTCTCTCTGTATCTATTCTGGTTCTTCTTAGTGCCTTCTCCACAGGGTAGCCAAGGCCATCTGTTCAAAACCCATATTTGTCATGTCACTTCACTACTTAAAACTCTTAGTAGTTTCCCTAATGTCATTAGCATAAAACTCTGAATCTTTAAAATATAAGTAAGGCCCTTGGAGATATCTGTCTAACTCTCCTGCTTCACTGCCTACTAAGCTCTCAGCTCTTCGAATGTGTGAAACTCTAACTTTTTTTGTTTTGAGACAAAGTCTCCCTCTGTTGCCCAGGCTGGAGTGCAGTGGCACTATCTCGGCTCACTGCAACCTCCGCCTCCCAGGTTCTAAGCGATTCTCCTGCCTCAGCCTCCCAAGTAGCTGGGATTACAGGTGCACACCACCACACCCAGCTAATTTAGTATTTTTATTAGAGATAGGATTTCGTCATGTTGGCCAGGTTGGTCAGGAACTCCTGACCTCAGGTGATCCACCTGGCTTGGCCTCCCAAAGTGCTGGAATTACAGGCGTGAGTCACCGTGCCCAGCCCCGAAGCTCTAACTTTAAGACCTTCCTGCTTCTGTTCCTTCTGCCAGAACACCTTTCCTTCTGTCTACCCTAGCTAACTCCTATTTTATTTTTATTTTATTTATTTGTTTATCAAACAGGGTCTCACTTTGTTGCCTAGGCTGGAGTACAGTGGCACAATCACAACTTACTACAGCCTCAACCTCCCAGGCTCAAGCAATTCTCCCAAGTAGCTGAGACTACAGGTGCACACCACCATGCCAGGATACATTTTTAAAAAAAATTTTTTGTAGCGATGAGGTCTCACTATATTGCCAAGACTGGTCTCGAACTCCTGAGCTCAAGTGATCCTCCCACCTCAGCCTTCCAAAGTGCTGGGATTATAGGTGTGAGCCATCATGCTCAGACTTTTATTGACTTAAGTATCTTCTACAGGGAAGCTTTCCACAATCTGCCACGTTTCGAGGTTAGATCTGTATTGTATTTTCTCAAAGAACCCTGGACATCTCCATTATTACGATTGTCACATGCATTAGCAATTTCTGTAAGAACTTCTCTAACGTGGCTTGGCCTCCACATGTGAGCTCTACCCCAGGCAGGGACTATGTCTATCTAGTTTCATGCTACATCTTTAGTACTTAGAAGAACCAGGGGTATGGTAGGCAGTCAATCAATAGTTGCTGAGTAAGCAATTAATGAATGAATTAACAAAAGAAAATGTGTGCCTGGCAACTCAAAAGACTTCTCATATTCAGAAAGTTGAGAATGGGAAAATCCAATGTCTTTAGATATAAAGCACTCACTTAACTAATTAAATCAATCAATTGGTAGACATAAATAATAATATGACATTTACCTATTACCTGTATAGATTTACTTCCCCTTTCCAGAGTTGTTTGTGGGTTCATCACAGGCAACTGACACTCATGATTCAGCAAACCAAGTACCATTTGTACATTCACCATGCTTCATGTTTGCAGATGCTTGAAAGACATGAGGAGATTGTTCTGGCTGCATAATTATTACAATTTTTTCTTTTTCTTTCTTTCTTTCTTTCTTTCTTTTTTTTTTTTTTTGAGACAGAATCTCACTCTGTCACCCAGGCTGGAGTGCAGTAGTGCCGTCTCAGTTCACTGGCAATTCTTATACCTCAGCCTCCCAAGTAGCTGGGATTACAGGCGTGCACCACCTCGCCCAGCTAATTTTTGTATTTTTAGTAAAAACAGGGTTTCACCATGTTGGCCAGGCTGGTCTCAAACTCCTGGCCTCAAGTGATCTGCCCACCTCAGCCTCCCAAATTGCTTTGATTACAGGCATGAGCCACCATGCCTGGCCACAATTTTTTCTATGTAAAATACATATCCATGAAAAGGAACTGATATCAAGATTCCATGCTCTTCAAAGCTAGTTTGCAAGAGGAAGGCCCAGGTTGCTTAGAAATTTGGGTTTAGTTACTGCCGACAATGAACGCTACGTCTCCAAAGCTTCAGTAAAGAAACCCAAACGCTGACCATCCTGGTCGCCTGGTACTGGCCGTGAAGTTTGCGTGTATGAACACAGAGACACATTTGGGGAAATGGCCTGCCTAGGGCTGGCCCGTGGAGGCTGCTTATGTTGTTATGAGACTCCTTCTGCCGGTTCCTCTCACACTGTGGCCCAGGCCATCAGAGAAACAGCCTTATTGCTATCTCCGTGCAGGACTGGAGGGAAACAGATCCATCCCCTTCTTGTTGAACACAGTAGTTCACCCCATGGCATCTCGTGCTGATTTATTTATTTATATAAATGTATGGGGTAGAAGTGCAATTCATTCCACGCATAGATTGCATCATAGTCAAGTCAGGGCTTTTAGAGTATTCAGCACCTGAACACCGTGCACTGTACTCATTAAGCAATTTTTCATCCCCCACTCCCCTTCCACACCCTCACTTTTCTGAGTCTTCATTGTCCATCCTTTTACTCTCTTCAACCATGTATAAACATTTTTTAGCACCCACTTATGAGTGAGAACATGCGATATTTGTCTTTCTGTGTCTGGCTTGTTTCATTTAAGATAGTGGCCTCCAGCTTCATCCATGCATTATTTCACTCTTTTTTTTTTTTTGGAGACAGAATCTTGCTCTGCCACCCAGGCTCGAGTGCAGTGGTGTGATCATAGCTCACTACAGCCTCAAACTCCTGGACCCAAGCAATCTTCCTACCTCAGCCTCCAGAGTAGCTGCGATTACAGGTGCAAACCACCAGGACTGGCCCTCAATTTTTTTTTAATGGTTGAATGGTATTCCATTATGTGTATATGCCACATTTTCTTTATCCAATCATCTGTCAATGAACACTTAGGCTGGTTCACTACCCTCTGCCCTTGTGAATAGTGCTACAATAAACATACAAGTGCAGGTATCTTTTGGATATATTGATTTATTTTCCTCTGGGTAGATACCTAGTGGTGGAATTGTTGGATTAAATGGTAATTCTATCTTTAGCTCTTTGAGAAATCTCTATATTGTTTTCCATAGAGATTGTACTAATTTACTTTCCCACCAACAGTGTATAAGAGTTCCCTTTTCTCCGCCTCCTTCCCAACATCTGTTATTTCTTGTCTTTTTAATAATTTAGGTGGTCCAGGCTGGCAACATAGACCCTGTCTCTACAAAAAAATGTTTTAGTTAGCCAGGCATGGTGTGCACATCTGTGGTCTCAGATACTTGGGAGGTTGAGGCAGGAGGATTGCTTGAACCTAGAAGTTTAAGGTTGCAGTGAGCTATGATCACACCACTGCACTCCAGCCTGAGCAAGAGTAAAACCCTGTCTCTTAAGTATATAAATAAATAATCTCGGTGGTGAGGAGCAAATATTCAAATCAGACTTTGCCTCTGTGGTTTTGCTTACAGGGTTTCACCTGGCCTCAGAGGCTGTGTCCTTCAGGAGTCCAAGCCCAGCTCCGTCCTCCTTTACACCCTCACTTCCCTTTCCACATGTGAAAATGAAGGGAAGGCAGCGACACACAAGCAGATAACTCATTGATTAGATCGTACCTGCTACCTGAGGGTAGAGACCATTGTGAGAGCTGATCTTTGAAGCCGCTGATGAAATCACAAGGAACTGGTGACATCAGTGAGGGTCCATTTCACCCACTGAGCACTCACTTTCACTTCGTGCTTTGGGTTTCAGGTTTACTTCCCTAGGAGCAATTGAGCTCCTGCCAAGGAGTTTTTTCACTGTTCATGCAAGGATCTTGTGAGAATGCATCCCACCACTTCCAGGAGCTCAGCAGAAAATATTATTTCCAGGGAATAGGTACTTATTTATGGATAGGACATACTCCATTTACACCAAATTAGAACACAAAATATTGCAGATGGATTTCTTTCCAAGATCTACTTGTATGAAAATCAAAGAAAAATGATAAATGAACAACTTGCTATGAGGGATGACTTCTACACGACAACTCTGGAATTGAAACAGACTTAACGCAAATGTCCCAGTTTTGGGGGCTTCCTGCGTCTACAGTTCCAGGTTTCTAACGGTGCCCTTGGGCACTGGAAATGCAAGGGCCTTCTGAATCATTAGGTAAGAGAAAAGTCATTTTCAATGGAAATTATACGGTATTTCACTTACTTGTAGTTCTCTGAAATTGGTCAGCGCTGTGTGGTATGGATAGGAATTCTCAATTAAGTAAAATATTTGAGTAACCAGAACATTCCATTGCCAGACCAACTTTGATAATCAAACAGGAGTTTGTCTTTCTATAGAGAGCACACTAGGCACAAAGCAAAGACTGAGCAAAATTATTGATTTATTTTAGACAGAAGGGTTATATCTCCAAGTATGATGTATATCAAATCAATTTGTAACTGCAGCCATTCAATACCTTTAAGTTCTTGCAGAGGTAGAAGAGCTTAGTTCTTACATTTCCTCGGTAAAATTGCCTTGATGTTCTGGAATGAGGTTTCTACAAATTTAATATATTGCTCCTGAAATAGCCTATTGAAAATGATGACTTGTTCTAATCTACTGCACTTTCTGATAGGGAATGCGATTAAGATCAGTCCAGCAAAGGTCAGTAAAAATGAATCGTATCTGTTCTCAAGGCATCTATGAGAAAGTTTTCAAAACCAGATAAGAATTTAATATCAGAAATTTTTGTCTGTCTAATCAAATCTAGATGCCCCAATGCTGCCTGGAATTTGTGCTATAGATTGTAATCTGCAGGTGGCTTATAAATGAGTCATGTGTCTTAAAAAGGAGTTCCTAAAATAGAAAAAAACTTTCTTTTTTTTCATAGTTCAAAGGTTCTTATCACAGACCTGTTTCTCAACAAAAATAATTGTATTTATTCTCATATTCTGTGAGTCAGAAATTCATCAGGCCTGGGCTAGACACTTCTTCTGTCGCAGGTGGCATTGACGGAGGATACTAGGTGGTCTTTAGCTGTCAGTGGGTTGACCTGGAGGGTATAAGATGGCTTCATGCATGTGACTGGTATCTCAGCAGGGGAGCCAGGAAGGCTGGCTCGGCTGGACCGGTCTCCTTCCCCACATAGTGTCCAGGCCTCTCTACGTGGTCTCTCCAGCAATAGTTGAGCTTCTTCTATGGCTGCTCAGGGCTGCGAGAAACAAAGTGGAAATTGCCAGGCCTTTCAAAACCCGCGTCTGAAAACTGGCATGGTGTCACTTCTCCAGTGTTCTATTTGTCAAAGAAGTCACAAGAAAAGTGAACAGAGACTCCACCACTCATGAAAAGTGTCAAGGAATTTTCAGCCATCTTTAACCTGCCTCAGGGTCATTGGAGGGAAAACATCCAGAATTAGAGTTTAAAGCTGTCCTCAGGCAACTGATGAGCAATATTCAAAGGGTCTTACAGCAGTAGAGTCCCTATGTAAGTGATTTTTAAAGTCTACATCTCCTTGCAACATGATTATTCAAAGTAGCTCTTTCTCCATTGCTTTGGGAGGCCAAAGTGGGAGGATCACCTGAGCCCAGGAGTTCGAGGCTGCAATGAGTGATGATCGCCCCACTGCACTCCAGCCTGGGTGACAGAGTGAGAACCTGTATTAAAAACAAAACAAAAAACAAAACAAACCAACGAAAAACACAGCTCTTTCATTTGGCAGCAATTGGATAGAAATTGAACTCCAAAATACAACCTATGAAAAGGAACCCTATGTTTGATGTCCTCATGTTCTTTTCCATTTGAAATAAGAACTTACATAGATATTCTCGTCTTTGAATATTGCTTCCTTAAGTATGTTAAGAATGCTCATAAAATTCACTGGAAAAAAAAATCCTATTTCTATATGTACACACTGGTCCAAGCTAAAATGTCTTTGGTTCACTTACTGTGCCAATTGCCTTTAAACTGAGGCCAGTTTTTCATTCTGGGTACAAAGGAAAAGGAGCTAACCCATAATTTGTAGCTTTCCCACCCAGAGTTGGAAGGGCCCCTGATGTATTACTATTGTATCAACTGCATTGCCAAGGCATGAAATGGTGAATTAGGACTCAAGTTTCAATTTAACATTGCTACTTCCTCCCTGTCTCTTTCCCTTTGACACTCTTCCAATGTTTGTTCCTATAATATAGCCTGGGTGTGTGTGTGTGTCTGAGAATTTCCTTTTTTAAAAAAATTCTTGCATAAGTCCAGGCCTAGAAACTTTTCAGATAAAGTAATCAAAGCAGATGAAAAGTCACATTTCTATTCTGCATCATAAACTTCACTGGGTGCCTAAGTCAGAGGTCCTTGCTTCAGACGCCTGACTCCAGAACATTGTCCTCTAAACACATGCTGGACCACAGAGCCCCAGCAGAGCCATGAATTAATAATATGGAAAAGGATTCTTCTCCTTATGGTAACTTCCTAATGGCTTTAAGTGTTTTTAGACCTTTAAATTCTTAACAACAACAACAAAAATGGGGTAGGGGAAGTAGAGGAGAAAAAAGAAACAAAGAAAGTAACTTTTAGCCAAAAATGTTAAGATCCATTGCAATTTGAAAATAAATCAGGGTAAATCATCTCTAAGATGAGAATGTAAAGTCTAAGCAAAATATATCACTTGGCTTGCAAAAATTGGGGGAACACACAGCATTTCAGCAACATATCTATTGCAAAAGCGAGGCTCCCTTGAAGAGAGAGAAAGAGTGTGTGTGTGTGTGTGTGTGTGTGTGTGTGTGTGTGTGTGTCTGTTTCTTTATGTTTAGGTTTCTGCAAAGGAGGAATCAGATCTGAATGGGGTTAACCACTGGTTTTCTGGGTGAGCAACAAATCAGCAAGGAGTAATTTACGTTCTGTGCATTTCCCCCTAAAACATGAATTCTGCAATGATTACCACAATCATTGTCCTGTGTCTAAGTGGCACAGAGACTGTATTCGGATCACAAGATGTGCAATATGCATGAAATGGAGTGATGACAACCTCAAAGGTGATGTGGAAATTGAGCCGCCTCAACACTTGCCCAGCAACCAGCAGGCAAAGAAATCCAGATTTGAGTCAGACTCACACAACTCTCCTGATCAGAACAGTAAAATTTCTGATGCATACCATCACCCACTCCTTCTTCTCTCCTACTCTGACATCAGTTTGCACTTTCTAATAAACAGTTAACCTTTGCATAGTAATCTAAGCATCTCACCTGTATTAATTCATTTAACTCTTGCAATAATCTATTGCAATGATTATCCATATCTTAGAGATGAGGAAACTGGACTTCAAGTCATTGAGGAAATGATCCAAGCTAACACAGCTATAAATGATAGATGTGGTAGCCAGCCTCCAAAAGGGTCTTCGATCATCTTTACATCCTCGTGTCTACGTCCTTGTATTGTCCCATCACACCCTGCATCAGGTTTGGTTCATGTGACCAATAGAATGTGGCAGAAGTGATGTGGAAAGCTCCACATGGCATGGAAATGGAGGTGTCTTATTAACAGCCAGCCCCACCTGCCCACCATGTGAGTGCACCACCTTGGAAGCTGATCCTCCAGCACCAGTTGGGCTTTGAGAGGACCACAGCCCTGAACAACATCTTGACTGCAGCTTCAGGAGAGACCAGGAAAAACAGCATTTGATAATGTTTAATGTTACCTTATGGCACTAAGTTCTGGGCAATTTATTACACAGCAATAGATAATGAATACAGTGTCTCTGGGATTCCAACTTGAATGAATTAACAGCAGCGTGCACACTCTTGACCACTGTGCTAAATGACCTCTCTTATACTAAATCTTATGGGAATTTTATTTGGCTTTTCTTTAATCCCCAGCCTCCTTAGATGTGATCTTTCATTAGCATGAAAAAGAAAATGGCACATAGTGGGGATGAGAAATTGAGGGAGAGGATGGTGACTGGCCACACCTCTCTTTCCCTACTGGACAATTATGTTTGATTAAGAACCGATATTAGGCATCCAAGATTGTCATTGTCCCTTAGGAGCTTATGATCTAACTAGAGAGACAAAGTCTTCATCAATCTAAAAGATAACCAAGACTTGATGTGTAAGTGTTGAAGGAGTGGTACCAGCACACGTAGTAAGCAAGGAGAGATCCCTGACCCCTAAGGCAGCCTGGGCTTGGGGAAAAGTGGGGTTCTGATATGGTTTGGCTCTGCATCCCCACCCGAATCTCAGATCAAAGTGTAATCCCCACATATCAAATTGGAGGAAGGGCCTAGGCGGGAGGTGATTGGTTCATGGGGGTGGATTTCCCCCTTGCTGCTCAAGTAATAGTGAGTTCTCAGAAATTCTGATGGTTTAAAGGTGTGTGGCACTTCCCCCTTCACTCTGTCTCTACTGCTCTGCCATGAAAAGATGTACTTGCTTCCTCTTTGCTTTCCAACATGATTTTAAGTTTCCTGAGGCCTGCCGGTCATGCTTCCTGAACAGCCTGTGGAACTGTGAGTCAATTAAACCTCTTTTCTTCATAAATTACTCAGCCTCAGGCAGTTCTTTGTAGCAGTGTGAAAACAGACTAATACAGCTTCCGTTGAGCATGAAAACAGAATGGGATTCTTCTCTCTCTTGCCAGCAGGAGAGAGCAGAGAAAGCAATGGTGGTGTGGTAGTGATGGATTGTGGGGGATACAAGTGAAGCTCAGTGCAGGAATATCCCAGGACCGTAGGGACCAGTCTTTCTGGAGCACTGGGTTACTGGAGCAATGCAGGGGAAGCAAGACCATGGCTCAGTGTGGCGGAGATCACAGGCTCTGTAGCCGACAGCTAGGTCTGCCCTGTACCAGCTTCCCTACTTCCTGGCCATGTGACCTTGGGGACAGTCACTTTACTTCTTGAGCTCCCAGTTTCCTTATCTATAAGCTACCTTCCTCACCGGGCTGTCATGAGGAATTTTTATCCATTAACAAATATGCGTGGAGCATCAACTATCTGCCCAGCATTGTTCTAGGCTCTTGGGATGTATCTGCAAAGAAAAACAGACCAGGCCGGGTGCGGTGACTCACGCCTGTAATCCCAACACTTTGGGAGGCTGAGCCAGGCAGATCTCCTGAGGTCAGGAGTTCAAGACCAGGCTGGCCAACATGGTGAAACCCCATCTCTACTAAAAAAAAAAAACACAAATTAGCCTGGCGTGGTGGCATGAGCCTGTAATCCCAGCTACTCGGGAGGCTGAGGCAGGAGAATCACTTGAACCCAGGAGGTGGAGGTTGCAGTGAGCCGAGATTGAGCCACTGCACTCCAGCCTGGGTGACAGAGCCAGACTCTGTCTCAAACAAAATAAAACAGACCAATAACCCTGTGGCTCGCCCAAGTACTAACATGACTTAACACATGGAAAGCACTTAGACCAGTGCCTGGAACAAAATGGACACTCAGTGTGTTTAATAAATCTTAGCTATTATTAAGACCAAACAAAGATTGGGGCTGGGTGGTGGGGAATGTTCATCATAACATATTTTCTAAATGAGTTAAATTATCAGTTTGTTGCCGGAGTCACCCAATAAAAGGAATAAACTAAGCTGCTAGATCTTTTTCCCAGGAACTATTCTGCTTTCTGACAAAGTAGGGGAAGAGAAATCTTAGCAGTGAGACACTCAGAGGGTAACTGGAAGCAAAAATGTCCCAACAGACCCCAGAGAGCCATGTGGGATGCTTTGCCGACTGAAGCACACAGGGAGAAACACTATCATTTTAGCAAATTACTGTTTTGTTTTTATTTAAAGAAAAAAACCCTCTGCTCTTCTGGCTGTGAATGAATCGCAGATACTAAGCGCAACCAGATTTCCCAAGTTCCATTATCTTTTCACTCAATAGCTTTGCCCCAAATAGAGCTCTTTGCTTTTACATGAACGTCTGCCAAGTTTTAAAACTCTTCTTTCTAAGAAATCTCACTCTAGAGGATATAGCATCTCCATTCTAGTCCAAAAGAGAGAAAACATGTATTTGAGAGACAGAGAAAGCTGGGTGGGAGCCAAATGGTAGAGGTGATTTCCTATAAAGTGAGGCTTCTGTTCAAATGCAGGATTACCTTTGTATTTGTATAGATCGGAGTTAACCAAACACTATGTCCTCTGAATATGAATTTTGATCTGGGAAACTTGAACCTGGTGTGTTCCTTAAAATATCTTTTTTGTCCTTCTTCCCTTCTTCATCCTCCTTCTCCTCCCTCCCTCCCTCCCTCTTTCTCTTCCCTCCCTCCCTACCTCCCTCCCTTCCTTCTTTCCTTCTTTCCTTTGTTCCTTCCTTCCTTCCTCCCTCCCTTTCTACCTTCTCTCCTGTCTTCCTTCCTTAATGAAAGCAGTCATTCTCCCTGCTCACCTCACCCTTGCAAGTCTTCTCAACTGTAAAGAGAGTAAGAATGTAGCCAGAAATTGAAAAGATTTAGCCAACAACATTATTGCAAAAAAGTCACAGAAATGTTTCTAGCCTGAGTGGATTCACTTGCATGTCTGTGCAAAGTTCAGGGACCCACACAAACATTTTCCTCTTTGTGTATTACAACTGCTACTGGAGCCAGAAATGTATCTGTGAAATAGAATAGAAAATAGAACTGAAAACATGACACACAGATATAAGGTTATGTTTCTCCCCCATGGCACCTTAAATTAAAGTCATTGTGGTAGGAGAAAGCAGAGAAGGAGGAGGAAGAGGAAAAAGCAAGCCACCCTGTCAATGATGTCAACAATGGGAGGGGGTCTGGTTAGTGACCCAGCTCCGTCAGTTTTGTCATCATAAAGCATCTGAATGAATACCTACGGCGGAGGAAGTCATCCCAGGGGCAGGATTCTGCGAGGGCGCTACAGCTGCTCCAGCAGATGGCTCTAGACTGGTCTTGTCGCTAATTGATACATCTTCCCGGGCCTAGGGGGTGACAAAGTAAATGCCTGGAATTCTTTACCCCATTCTACTTTTCCATTTGTAAGGGCTACGTGACGGTAGAACACCTACAGTGTTCTAAGGCAAGAGATTCCCTCTTAGATCCCCACTAAATTCCAGACATAGCTAAACAATCTACCAACTTGCACTCTTCCCAACAAGCCTCCAAGGCTGGTGTTATCTCGGTTTTGCAAGTGAGGAATCCACCTCCAAGAGGCTAAGTGCATCGCTCAGGGTCACACATTTTGTTGGTACAAAATCAAGATTGGAAACCAACCTTATCTGCTCTAAAGCCCATGGTCTTTTTCTTCACCACCTGTCTCAGTCCTCATGGTAGTGAAGAGCGTATGACCCGTCGTCCCACCAGCTTCCCTTTGAGCTAACTTTAGTTGGGTGGTTCTGCACACAGGGTTTTCTACAACAACCCTATGAGGCCTTAATTCCAAATATGGTCCTCATTTTAAACATAAGTCCTTGCCAGGCGCGGTGGCTCATGCCCATAATCCCTCTGCTTTGGGAGGCCACAGCGAGAGGACTGCTTGAGGCCAGGAGTTTTGAGACCATCCTGGGAAACATAGTGAGATCCCATCTCCACAAAAAATAAATAGAAAAATTAGCCAGGCATGGGGTGTGTACCTGCAGTACTAGCTATTTGGGAGGCTGAGGTGGGAGGATCATTTGAGCTCAGGAGGTCAAGCCTGCAGTGAGCCATGATCACACCACTGCACTCCAGCCTAGGAGACAGAACAAGGCCATGTCTCTAAAAACAAAAGCAAGATAAGTACTGCAGCTCCTAGGTGGTGGATGCCTACCACGTACTCATTCTGAAGCCACGCTTGTGCAACTGCACCACGTTGGTGAACAATAGCTTTGGCCGCCAAAGTGCTACTGCCACAGACCAGAGAATTTAGATTTGGGGCTGAGCTTCACCTCTCATCACAGAGGCTACTAGCACAGATTCACTTACCCAGTTATCTTTAGACAACTCCCCAAACAGCATTTCCTTCAACAAACAAGGCTTCAATGCAAACTTGTTTCCTCTCAGTATAAGGGAACTTGTAAAAGAAGAGCCTGCCAGTTGAAAACTAAAAAGTCCATATGTAGTGGAGTTTAGCTTTTTTTGGGGGGAGGTGGGGGAAGTCTGGATCTAACACCCAGGCTGGAGTAGAGTGGTGCAATCTTGCCTCAATGCAACCTAATTTTTGTATTATAGAGATGAGGTTTCACCATGTTGGCAAGGCTGGTTTTGAACTCCTGGCCTCAAGAGATCCGCCCGCCTCGGCCTCCCAAAGTGCTAGAATTGCAGACACAAGCCACCGTGCCTGGCCTAGACTGTAAATTTTTTTAAAAAGTTGTTTCTTTTTGCATAGATTACCTTTTTTTTTTTTTTTTTTTTTTTTTTGAGACAGGGTCTCACTCTGTCACCCAGGCTGGAGTGCAGTGGCACAATCTAGTCTCACTGCAACCTCCACTTCCCGGGCTCAGGGGACTCTCCAGCCTCAGCCTCCAGAGTAGCTGGGACTACAGGTGCATGCCATCACGGCTGGCTAAATTTTGTATTTTTAGTAGAGATGGGGTTTCGCCATGTTGCTCAGATAGGTCTCGAACTCCTGAGCTCAAAGCCTTCCACCTGCCTCAGCCTCCCAGAGTGCTGGGATTACAGGCGTGAACCACTGTGCCTGACCTAATTTCCCTTTTTTTTCCTAAGAGTTGCTCTTGTTTCTGTCCAGTTCCATGCTGGTCCTCCAGTCTTTCCTTTGATTCTGTGAGCTCCTCAGTATTCTTCTAACAAATGCCTTTTCTAAGCCAGGGTCAGTTTCTGTTGCTTACAAACTAAGAGCTCTGATGTTCTCTATGTTAAATACATAAATATAAATTATTATTTTACATTTATCCGGAATTCATTTAAGTATAAAATTAAATAATCTAAGCCCCATGATTTTTATGGGAAACAAAAAGACAGGACAGGAAACCACAAGAGTCTTGCTATTTTGCTTCTGTTTGTTTATTTAATGTAACTTGAGTATATAGAACAACTGTACATTTTTTCATATGACCACACTTTTAATATTTTCTATGATAAACGTCCCTTATGTTTATCATGCCCATCCACTAAAACTTTGTCTAGAAATAAATTTACAGTCATGATGTTAAGAAGGTCTCTGCAGATTCAACTCTACCTCCTACACTTTCCTTATGTTCATAGCTGGACAAAAAAAATATGAATTTTCATAACAATTACTCTTGTGTGAAATTCTCCTGAATTGAAGAAAAGCTGCGTCGTGTTCAATATTTTATTAGTAATCTACTGCCACAAAAATGCTGGGTAGCAAACATTCCAAAACCCAGTGGTGTAAAGTAATAAGCACTTGCTTAGCTCATGAGTCTATGGTCAGCTGGGCACTTTTTCAGGGCGTGGCTGGGCTTACTCAAACAATGACAGTCACCCAAAATTGGTTTGGCATCTCTGCCGATCTTGGCTGGGTTAATTCATATGTCTGATAGTAGGGAGCTGGCTGTCAGCTAGCCTAGGACAGCCTCAGCTGAGACAACTCAGGTGACCGGTCTCATTTTCAAGCATGGATATGTTCTCATGTGAAAAAGAAAGGAGACAGAACTGTGCAGGCACTTTTTCAAGAATCTACTTACCTCGAATCTGCTAATACCTCTTTAGCCAAAATTACAGGCCCAAACTCAGAACCCAACACTAGAGAACTATGTTCCATCTCTTGATGGGAAAAACTCCAAAGCACATCGCAAAGGGCATAGACACAGGATGGATTGGGGTCATTAATTCAATTCATCTACCACAAATAGAGAATAGTATTTTGTAGCTGGACGCAGTAGCTCATGCCTGAAATCTCAGCACTTTGGGAAGCCAAGGTGAGAGGATCATTTGAGACCAGGAGTTCAAGACCAGCCTGGGCAACAGAGTGAGACCTCGTCTCTAAAAAAAAAAAAATTAATTAATTAAATAAAAATTAAAAAGAATATACTATTTTGTATCCTTTATTTTTAAATAATTTGAAAAAGTGGTAGGCAGCCATACTCTTTGTAATATAGAACAAAACATTTTTACTCTTTGCAAAAGTTAAGCTCCAACAATATTAAATTTAGTATCTACTATGTACTCAGCAGTATAAAAGGGACTACAGATGATCTCAAAGAGGTATAATGCAGAGAAATAAATAATACTATAAACTCTTTGAATATTACATTGCTTCCAATTTCATCAAGTTAACAAAAACACAGTTGATATGAAGCTGTTCTGTTCTTTCAGAGCCAGGCTCTAAAGTCATAAGCAATTCAAATATCTCACAAAGGCCGGTTTCACAGCTTGGTATTTATTATTGCTCCCGGACAGAACGCGTCTCGGGAGAATACCACTGACCAGAGAACCCCTAGGTGGTAGGCGCTGCTGCTGGGCCCCATTATGGAGACAGAGAGCAGCAGCTTGAGGGATGTTTTCGGTGCTTAGACAAGCTCTTCTGCTTCCTCAAACAAACAGGTCACTTGCAGACTCAATCCTCATGAGCAAACACTGCCCTGGAGACCTTCAGATGCAACACGCAGATAAAGGACACAGGTGGCCCTAGATCCTTTCTGTGCAACCAGTCAGACCGTAAAACACAACACAGGCTGAAGCTCGGGGCCAGTGTCAAAATGGGGCTCAGACATGTGCGTGTGTGTGTGGCACGCGTGCACACATATCTCTGTGGTGGGGGTTAGAGAAAACAGCAAATTAAAAGAGAAATAAAATATTTAAACTATTTTCGACAGCAAAAAGAATTGAGCTGCCACATTCAGCGTTTTTAAGTCCCAAGAAAACATTCTTTCTAAGCTGCTTGGTGAGTGACGGTGGTGCTAGGACAGAGGATTTGTCTTAAATGCATGACCAAAAAAAAAAAAAAAAAAAAAAAAGACAACAGTGGCAAACGACATCTTTCAAGAGTATTGAGGCTTCCTGAACACATTGTTTTATGACAGTGGTTCATCTGCAGGCCTTCACAAAAGCAATCAAAAAGCTTTTTTTTTTTCTTTAAGTAGAACATTCATATTCTGCTCATCTAGTAACTGTTCAATAGAATATGCAATTTTACTACTAAAAATATCAAATTACTAATTGAAAAACAACAGTTTACAATTTAGGGATTTCCAAAGACCTCAGTAGTTTTGCACCCTAACAAAAGATACATTTCCTAAACTATATGAGGGGCCCTTCTGAGTCACTGTTTGGTTATTTGTAGTTTTTGCTGCATGAAGTAATAGAATGACAACTGAGTTCAGTCTAAAGATCGAGGCTGTCAGGTCTGCTGCGTCCCTCTTTAGGGGTACCCTATCTCCTCTCTGGAACCTAGGTTCCCCTCTGTTTAACTCCTGCATGCAAGTTTTTCTTTGCTAATATCCTGGCAGTTTGCACCAGAAAGTTTTTAGAGTGAACCAATATAATTAAGTGTATTTTTTCCAACATATGATGTTGCAAC
This sequence comes from Homo sapiens, assembly GCF_000001405.40. Taxonomy (NCBI): domain Eukaryota; kingdom Metazoa; phylum Chordata; class Mammalia; order Primates; family Hominidae; genus Homo; species Homo sapiens. The sequence goes on along the minus strand of NC_000010.11, from coordinate 29,021,801 downwards.
AAAAAGACCAGTGGTGGAACCATTTTCCTCAAACCATTTAACAGCCTCCAGGGAGGTAGGATTTCCTTTCAGAGTAAACTATATTTCAATTCATAGAATGTTTTTATTACCAAAATTGGACTAAGTAATTGACTGTTTTGGAATCGATTCCTCCATTGTCTCAATAACAATTAGCTAATGAAACATTGCATAGTAAAATGATAATCTGAAGAAATGCAGGTAAGAGTTCCTGTAGTCATTTGCTATAAAACCATCTTGCCTTCCCCAATTACTCTTTGACTGCTCAGGATATGATCAGTACATTGAAATCGATCCTAAAACTTGACATATTTACCAGCTTGCAAGTATACAGCAATGTTCACTGTAATGAAACAGGGCAGTAATGATGTTTTTATACTGCTTCATGGGTGCATTCTGAAACATTATTCACACAGAGACAGAATGCAAGCAGCACTAGAACCCCAAACAGTGCATTTCTTTCTCATGCAATCTATATACAATGAAGCTGAGCACATTTTCTTTTTCTTTAAGTTCTCAGCTTTGACTACTTTTTCTTTTTTTTTTTCTTGAGACTGAGTCTTGCTCTGTCGCCCAGGCTGGGCGCGATCTTGGCTCACTGCAAGCTCTGCCTCCTGGGTTCACGCCATTCTCCTGCCTCAGTGTCCTGAGTAGCTGGGGCTACAGGCGCCCACCACCACGCCTGGCTAATTTTTTTTTTTTTTTGTATTTTTAGTAGAGATGGGGTTTCACCGTGTTAGCCAGGATGGTCTCGATCTCCTGACCTCATGATCCTCCCGCCTCGGCCTCCCCAAGTGCTGAGATTACAGGCGTGAGCCACCGCACCTGGCCCATTCTTTTTTATTTCAACCATCATCCATTTGAAATATTTACTAGCACTGCTTGGTGCAAAATATCAAACTAACAAGAACTGAAAGACTGACTCTGCTCTTAGGAAGCATACAATATTGATAAGGAAATAAGACGTGAACACAAAAAACATAACTATCACTATGTACCAAATGTGGTCCACCATAGAGTCAGATTCGTGGTCCTGATTCTGTATTCTCTGGATCGCAGTAATCAGGGTCAGCTGGCCAGACCATCTAGGAAGAGGCCATTTGTGCAGAGATATGGGTAGAATCTAAATGGGGTTAACATATGCAAGAAAGGGAATGAAACATGCTATAAGCATTTCTTTTTTTTGAGAGGGAGTCTCGCTCTGTCGCTCTGCCAAGTGCAGTGGTGCGATCTTGACTCACTGCAAGCTCTACCTTCTGGTTCAGGCCATTCTCCTGCCTCAGGCTCCTGAGTAGCTGGGATTACAGGCGCCTGCCACCACGTCCAGCTAATTATATATACATATATATATATATATATATATATATATATATATATATATATACACACACACACACACACACACACATATATTTATAAATATATAATTTTTTTTTAGTAGAGATGGGGTTTCACCGTGTTAGCCAGGATGGTCTTGATCTCCTGACCTCGTGATCCGCCGGCCTCAGCCTCCCAAAGTGCTGGTGATTACAGGCGTGAGCCACCGTGCCCCGCCGCCATGAGCATTTCTAATTTTCTCAAAAGACAAATGTGCATTTCTAATTCCACCTGTGATTACAGCTATTATTTCTTTTCTTTTTACACTTGCTATTATCCACCTTTCCTAGATGCCTGTTTCTCTTGAATTTTATCTTCACACACTTTTCAGCTACCCTACCTTTGTCCCTGGGCACAAACTTGAGTTGTGGCTACACCAACTTGCCCCACTTTTCAACACTAGAAATAGTCATTAGCTGCTGTTTTTCCAGAAATGAAAAACCTGACAGAAAGACAGAAATGTGCCCATAAGAATCTTGTTTGTGGGCACCTCTTATAAATGCATGCTATTTGCTATTGATAAAAGCAGCATCAATAAATAAAACAGCTTCGTGAATGACCATTTATCTGGGAGAGTCATCCTTTTCTTTACTGTCCGAGAGGTGTGACACCAGTCAAAAACTAACATCATTTTGCTTAAAGCTCTAGGTGCTAGCCATGCAAAGTTGGTGCCAGTACGTCTGGTAGGTGGATTGACGCCACTTTCTATGGTCAGCTTGGCCACAGTGAACGAGCAATCTGTGCTGCCATTACATTGCCTTGAGCTATAAGAATGTTCTTTCTTTTAAAGTTAGGGGTATTTTTAGTCCTTTATTTATTCATTTGTTGTTGTTGTTGTTATACAGGTTCAGGATTCCCTATCTGAGATTCTTGTGACCAGAAGTGTTTGGGTTTTGGCTTTTGGGGATATTAGAATATTTGCACTGTACTTACCAGTTAAGCATCCCTCATGTGAAAATCCAAAGTCCAAAATGCTCCGATGACCATTTCCTTTGAGCATCATGTTGATGCTCAAAAAGTTTTGGATTTTGGAGCATTTCAGATTTTCAAATTAGGGATACTCAACATGTATCATTTATTTTTTAATTATCACATAGTAACTGTACATATTTATGGAGTACAGTGTGATGTTTCCATACGTGAATACATTGCATGATAATCAAATCAGGGTATTTGGCATATCCATCACCTCATACATTTATCATTTCTTTGTGGATAGAACATTCAAAATCCTCTCTTCTAGCTGTTTGGAAATAATACAGTGCAATATGGTGAACCATAGTCACCCTACTGTATAATAGAACACTAGAATTTATTCCTCCAATCTAACAGTAACTTTGTACCCATTGATTCATCTCTCCCTATCCTCACTTCCCCACTACCCTCCCCAGCCTCTGGTAACCACTATCCTACTCTCCTCTTCTATGAGATCAACTTCTTTAGATTCTACATATGAGTGAGCACATGTGGTATTCATCTTTCTGTGGCTTATTTTACTTAAGATAATGTCCTCCAGGTTCATCCATGCTGCCACAAATGACTGGATTTCATTCTTTCTTATAACTGAATAGTATTTCACTGTGTGTACGTACTATATTTTTTTATCCACTCATTGTTGATGGACACTTAGATTGATTTCATGTTTTGGCTGTTGGGAATAGTGCTGCAATAAACATAAGAGCACAGATATCTCTTCAGTGTTACTGATGTCATTTCCTTCAGATGTATGCCCAGAAGCAGAATTGCTGGATGATATGGTAATTATACTTTTAATTTTTTGAGGAACCTCCATACTGTTTTCCATAATGGCTGTACTAATTTACATTCCCACCAATAGTGTATAAGTGTTCCTCTTTCTTCATGCCAGCCTTTGTTACTTTTTGTCTTTTTGATAATAGCCATTCCAATTGAGGTGAAGTGATATCTCATTTGTGGTTCTGATTTCCATTTCTCTGATGATTTGTGATATTGAGCATTTTTCATGTAACTGTTGGCCATTTGTACATCTTCTTTCAAGAAATGTCTATTTGGGTCTTTTGCCCATTTTTTTTTTAAGATTATTTAGGTTGAGTTTTTTTTTCTTTTTGAGATGGAGTTTTGCTCTTGTTGCCCATGCTGGAATGCAACGGTGAGATCTCGGCTCACTGCAACCTCCACCGCCCAGGTTCAAGTAATTCTCCTGCCTCAGCCTCCCAAGTAGCTGGGATTACAGGCATGCACCACCACGCCCAGCTAATTTTGTATTTTTATTACAGACAGGGTTTCTCCATGTTAGTCAGGCTGGTCTCGAACTCCTGACCTCAGACGATCTGCCCGCCTTGGCCTCCCAAAGTGCTTTGATTACAGGTGTGAGCTACCACATCCGTGTTGTTTTTTGTTGGTTTTGGTTTGTTGTTATTGCTTGTCATTGAGTTGTTTGAATTCCTTATATATTCTGGAAATTAACCCCTTGTCAGATGCATAGTTTGCCAATATTTTCTTCCATTTTGTAGGTTGTCTTTTCACTCTGTTTCTTGTTTCTTTTGCTATACGGAAGCTCTTTGGTTTGACATAATCCCATTTGTCTATTTTTGGTTTTGTGGCCTGTGCTTTTGAGGTCTTACCCAAAAAATTCTTGACCAGATCAATGTCATAAAGTATTCCCCTGATGTTTTACTCTACAGTAGTAGTTTTATCATTTCAGCTTTTCCATTTAAGTCCTTCGTTCATTTTGAGTTGATTTTTGTATATGGGCTCTAGCTTCATTCTTCTGCATGTGGATATCATCTTCCCAGCAACATTTGTTGAAAAGACTATCCTTTCCCCAATGTGTGTTTGTGGCATTTTTGTCAGAAAACAGTTGGCTACAAATGTGTGAATTTATTTCTGGGCCCTCTTTTCTGTTCCATTGGTCTATGTGTCTGTTTCTATGCCAATACCATGCTATTTTGATGACTATAGCTCTGTAGTATATTTTGAAGTTCAGTGGTGTAATGCCTCCAGCTTTGTTCTTTTTGCTCAAAATTGCTTTGGCTATTCAGGGTCTTGTGTAGTTCCATATAAATTTTAGGATTTTTTTTTCTATTTCTGTGAAGAATGTCATTGGTATTTTGATAGGGTTGGGTTGATTCTGTAGATTCTTTGGGTAGTATGGACATTTTAATAATGTTAATTTTTACAATCTGTGAACACGGATATTTTTCTATTTGTGTCTTCTTTCATTTCTCTCATCAGCATTTTATAGTTTTCATTGTAGAGATCTTTCACTTTCTTGGTTAAACTTATTCCTAGGTATCTTTTTTGTAGCTGTTGTAAATGTATTTTTAATCTTAACCCCCCTCTAAGGAAGCAATTTATAATTGAAGACAATTCAGAGGTATTTTCCTTCTAGTCCTGCAAAACTCAATCTTAGGTTCTGTAAGCCTCTTGTAGGATACAGTCCACACCAAATAATATCTGAAGTTATCCATCTTAGTAGAGATATCACTTTGCTGAACCTCAAGACACAGATGTACTAAGGCTTAGCCACAGTGAACAGTTGCCCAGATCTTTCATCTAACTCCAAGGAGATTTTTATCCATCTCCTTTTGGCTGAGGAGGACTAACAACTCCCTTTACATTTCTAATCAGTTCCAGAGACATGGGGTCTTTGTTAGTGTTTTTTAAAAATATCGATCACTTTGAGCAATTGAGGAAATATTCATTACCAAGGCAACAAATATAAGTGCTCCTCTCGAAGCCAAAAATATTCCAAAGGTCTGTAGGCTGAAGTACATAAGGCTGTAGGTCTGCAGGCTGTTTTCATATATCAAATATACCAAAGGTCTGTAGGCTGTTTTCATTCAAAATTATGTAAAGCATCCTATCAATAAAATGCAGAACTGCACATGGGAATGACTGTCAATCCTGGTACATGTCGCACGTTATGAAATCTGCCAGTGGCCAAATAAAGACTGTGAAATGCTTTGAGCTTCTCAGAAGAAAGCCACTAAAATTACCAGGAGTAAATCGGGGACATTATGCAGTTAAAGGGGACTTTTTGTTTCCATAATGCTTTGCAGCTATGAACTGTTCTTCTCATATTGTGATCCTGGGTAGTAGCTCCACTTGGAGTTTCACTGCTTAAACAGAAGATAATAAAATTGGAGAACAAAATGACACCCCAAGGACATACATATGGTGAGTTCTATGTTAACACAAACCAGAGCTAAAAAAGGGGTCTGGGACTGGGAGGTACCAAAGAAGTTTGATTAATGTAGAAAGCCCACCTGCATAATTAAAGCAAACAAACTGAAGAAGCAAACAAACCCCCCACCACTTCACATCTATAGGATTGAACTTTGCCAGATTTTCATTTCACTTTGTGGTTGGTAGGAACTCAGATGGAGGCTCATCTTTTTAAAGCAAAAATCAAACACCCAGGAGAGTTATGTGACGTGCGAGGCTTAGCAGACAAGCAGTAGAGGTATACTTAAACACTTGCAGGCCTGGAAAGTCTAAGATGGAAAAAAAGGAAAGCAACACTGCGGGGCTTCTTGTCCTGCAGCTCTCATTGAACAGGCTGAGCAAAAACAAAACAAAACAAACAAAACAAAACAAAATCCCTGACCTGGAGGAAAAAGACTTTGGAGTGTTCAGGCAGGAGTCAGAGATGAACACGCACTTTGCTTGAGCTCTGCAGTGCCAAGTGGCCCCAAGGAAATTAGGGTCAGGAGGAAAGATATCTCTGACTCTGGAGTTTAGACTGTAATGCCAGCTCTCTGTAGGCCTGGGAGGCAGGGGGCTGAGCAGAGACAGAAGAATGGTCACTGAACCCACAATCCCTTTCCCTTTATTTCCCAACATCTTTTCTGTGTTATACCCAAAGCCATAAAGAAATGGGTCCTTCACTAGCCAAACTATGACCTGAGACTTATTTTCATTCTTAGTGAGTTAGCTTAAGATTGATAGCCAACATTTCCTCTGTGTAAGCAGCACATTCCATAACAAATCCAAGAATAGCAAAACAACAATACAACATCCTTTGGGTGGGAATAGATGACAAAAGTACTTTTGTAAACTTGAGAAAAAAACTTGAAAAACATGATTGTCATCATATTAAAAAGAAAAAGAAAGAGAAAAAAACTCCTGTAATGTTCATATAATCTAAATTTCTAAATTTTAAAATATAAACAAATACATTAGAGGGGAAGTTCCTCAAATTGATAAAAAACATCTACAAACATCTATATCTAATATACTTACTTGTGAAAAACTGAATGCTTCCCCCTGAGACCAGGAGAAGGCAAGGATATCCACTCTCATCACTTCTTCTCAACATAGTGCTGGAAGTTCTAGTCATACAACAAGGCAAGAAAAAGAAGTGAAAGGGATACAGATTAGAAAGAAAAAAAAACTACCTCTATTTTCGGAGGAAATGATTACATAAAAATCCCAAAGAATCTACTACCAAAAAAACTCCTAGAACTAATAAATGAGATCAGCAAGCTTACAAGATACAAGATAAACATACAAAATGTAATTGCTATCAATGAATGCAATGAATATGCAGACATGGAAATTAAAAATACAGTAACATTTACAATTGCTCAAAAATGAAATACCTAGGTATAAATCTAACAAAACTTGTATGGGACTTTGTATGCTGAAACTACAAAATGCTGATGAAGGACATCAAGTAAGACCTAAGTAAATGGAGATATATATACTATGTCCATGGATTGGAAGTAATGAATATAGTAAAGATGTCAATTCTGCCCAAATTGATATACAAGTCTAATGCAATTTCTATCAAAATTCCTGCAAAATTTTTTGTAGATATAGACAAAATTATTATAAAATTCCTGTGGGAAGGTAAAGGAACTAAAACAGCCAAAACAATTTTGGAAAAGAAGAAAAAAGGCAGAGGAATCTATCTATTCAATTTCAGGACTTACTATAGAGCTACAGTAATTAAGACTGTGTGTATTGGTGGAAGGACAGACACATAAATCAAAGGAACTGAGTTAACAACCCAGAAAAAGAACGATTCAAATATAACCAACTAATTTTTGATGAAGGTGCAAAAACAATTCATTGGAGCAAGAACCACTTTTTTTCAACAAATTGAAAAACAAAGCAATTGGACATCCATAGGCAAAAACTGAACCCTAAACCTAAGTCTCACATTTTATACAAAAATTAACTCAAAATGGATCATAGATTTAAATTTGAAGTGTAAAACTGTAAACTTTTAGGAAAAAATCTTCAGGGCCTAGGGCTAAACAAAGAGTTGGACTTGACACATAATGCATGATCTATCAAATTAAAAGTTGATAAATTTCTCTGCATCTAAACTAAAAACTCTTGCTCCATGAAAGACTCTATTACAAAGATAAAATGGCAAGCTACAGAGTGGTAGAAAGTATTTACAAACCACACGTCTGGCAAAGCACGAGTATCTAGAATACACAAAGAATTTTTAAAACTCAACAGTAGAAAAGCAAACCATCCGGCCAGGTGTGGTGGCTCATGCCTGTAATCCCAGCACTTTGGGAGGCCAAGGCAGGTGGGTCACTAGGTCAGGAGATAGAGACCATCCTGGTGAAACTCCGTCTCTACTAAAAATAAAAAAAAAGTAAAAAAATTTAAAAAATTAAAAAAAATTAGCCGGGCATGGTGGTGGGCACCTGTAGTCCCAGCTACTCGGGAGGCTGAGGCAGGAGAATGGCATGAACCCAGGAGGTGGAGCTTGCAGTGAGCCGAGATCCTACCACTGCACTCCAGCCTGGGCGACAAAGCAAGACTCCATCTCAAAAAAAAAAGTAAACCATCCAATTACAACATGGCAAAACATATACACAGACATTTCACTACATAATATATAAAGCTGGAAAACAGGCCAATGAAAAGATGTTCAACAGTATTAGCCATTAGGGAAATACAAACTAAAACCACAGTGAGCTATCACTATACTCCAATCAGAATGGTTAAAAATTTTAAAAAGTGACACCACCAAATGCTGGCAAGGATGCAGGAAAACCGCATCACTCATACATTGCTGGTGGGAATGTAAACTCATATGGCCACTCTGGAAAACAGCGTGGTAGTTTCTTAACCATCTAAACAAGTAACTACCACACAACCCAGTAACTGCATTCTGGGCATTTATCCCAGAGAAATGAAGACTTGAGTGCACACAAAAGCCTGTGCACAAATGTTTATAGCAGCTTTATTCATAATAACCAAAAACTAGCAAGAACCCAGATAACCTTCAGTGGATGAGTGACTAAACAATCCGGGATACATTCATACTATGAAATACTACTGAGCAATAAAAAGAAATGTGCTGGCCACGTGCGGTGGCTCACGCCTGTAATCCCAGCAATTTGGGAGGCCGAGATGGGTGGGACACCTGAGGTCAGGAGTTCGAAATCAGCCTGACCAACATGGTGAAACCCCATCTCTACTAAAAATACAAAAAATTAGCTGGGCGTGATTGTGCACACCTGTAGTCTCAGCTACTCAGGAGGCTGAGGCAGGAGAATCACATGAAGCTGGGAGGCAGAGGTTGCAGTGAGCCAAGATCGTGCCATTGCACTCCAGCCTGGATGACAGAGCAAAACTCCATCTCAAAAAAAAAAAAAAAAAAAGAAAAAAAAAAGGAATGTGCTGTTGATACACACTGCAACCTGGATGAATCTGGAGAATCATGCTGACTGGCATAGATCAGTCCTAAAAAATTACATACTGAATGATTCCATTTATATAACATTCTAGAAAGGACAAAATTATGGAACTGGAAAACACATTTGTGGTTGTTGGGGGTTAAGGCAAATGGGATCTCACTGAACTACTGCTTAAACTGCATGTGAATCTACAATTGTCTCAAAATGAAAAGTTTAATTTAAAAAACTGTCACGGAAGAAAAACCTCTCTGTGAAGCTTACAGCACTATCTCCTTTCCCAATTATCTTCAAAACTATAAGTTGCATTTTGGGGACAGAGTGTTCATCAAGATAAATTTGTTAATAGCATTCTATTAACAAATTTAATAGCATTGAACTTTTGTTTAAAGGAACAGTCTTTTCCAACTGCAAATACATTGTCCTTGCTCCTAAACAGTTCTTTTATTTATTTATTTATTTATTTATTTTTATTTTATTTTATTTTTGAGGCAGGGTCTCAATCAGTCACCCAGGCTGGAGAGCAGTGGCACGATCATGGCTCACTGCAGCCTCAACTTCCCGGGCTCAAGCAATCCTCCTGCCTCAGTCTCACAGGTAGCTGGGACTGCAAGCATGCCACCACGTCGGGCTAATTTTTGTATTTTTTGTAGAGACAGGGTTTCACCTTGCTGCCCAGGCTGGTCTTGAATTCTTGGGCTCAAACTCTCTGCCTGCCTCAAGCATCTCAAAGTACTGGTATTACGTGAGTCACTGAACCTGGCCTCTTAAACATTTCTTTAGGTGAATTTTGAAATGATACACTTCAAAATGAGTTGTATCTGACAATGATTGAAATAACATTTTTTTAATCATAGGGAAAAAAGAAACAACAGTTATCCTCCAAGCAAGTTAGTTTTAATAGGAAATGTGCAAATATTAAGTAGTGTGCTCTTGGCACGACATTTTACATTAATTCTTCATTTTATGTATGTAGGAATTTGCATACCAGAGTTTTACCCTGGAAGCGTTGCCAAAATTTCCTTCTTGTCTGAGGTCCAAAGTTTCTGGCTGGAATTTTATAACAAAACATGCATTGTTTCCACTGGGGTTTATACCAGAAATAATTAGGTAAAATGGTGGTATAATAAAAACAATGCAGCTTTTGTAAATCATTGTTGCTAAACTTCACAACTTGCAGTGTTTGAAGAACTGAACTAAGTTAGCTGCTGCCGATTACCAGGAGAAACCACGACTGACATATAAGCACCTTTATTTGGTTTGATTACCAGTTTTAGAAACCTGTGACCCAAAACACTGTCGATTCTCCACATTTAATTTTTTATTTACTATCCTCCCTGGAGTAGATCTGAGGGTTAACAAAATGCTTGCAAAGCACTTTCAGGTGATCAAAGGAAAGTACCTAAGTAAAATTCCACTTAGCCAGAATAACAACAAATCAGTTAAAATTAAAAATTTAAATACATATACACGTGTTGCTTAACGACAGACACATTCTGAGAACGTCATCATTAGGTGATTTTGTCATTGTGGGAACATCATAAAGTGCACGTCTGTAAACCTGGATGGCGCAGCCTACTCCACGCCTAGGCTACACGGTGTAGCCTATTGTTACCAGGCTACAAACCTTTACAGCGGGTGATTATACTGAATACTGTAGGCAATTAGAACACAATGGTAAGTATTTGCATTTCTAAACATAGAAAAGTTGCAGTAAAAGTATGAAAAAAGATGAATAGACTGGACATGGTGGCTCACGCCTATAATCCCAGCATTTTGGGAGGCCGAGGTGGGCAGATCACATGAGGTCAGGAGTTCAAGACCAGCCTGACCAACATGGAGAAACCGCGTCTCTACTAAAAAAAAAAAAAAAAATGGAAATTAGCGGGTGTGGTGGCGCATGCCTGTAATCCCAGCTACTCGGGAGGCAGAGGCAGGAGAATCGCTTGAACCTGGGAGGCGGAGGTTGCGGCGAGCCGAGATCACACCATTGCACTCCAGCCTGGGCAACAAGAGCGAAACTCCATCTCAAAAAATAAAAATAAAAAAAGATAAATAATGGTCCACCTATATAGGACACTTAAACATGAATGCAGGTTGCAGGACTGGAAGTCACTCTGGGTGAGCCAGTGAATGAGTGAATGTGAAGGCCTCGGACATTCCTGTACATGACTGTAGATTTCATAAACACAGCACACTTAGGCTACGCTAAGGGTATTTTTAAAAATTTCTCTTTCTTCAGCAATACATTAACCTTAGCATCACACAAGCACACGAGTAATGCATTGCACTTTGACATTATGACAGCTATGATCACTAGGGGATAGGAATTTTCAGCTCTGTTATAATCTTATGGGACCACCCTAGCATATCTATCTATTACCAAAATGTCATTATGCAGCATGATTGCATATAATTTAAAAATAAATGATGCTTAAAAATTTTATAAATATGAAACATCTTCAGAACAGCTGAATTTTTTAAAAGATTAACTTTAGATTATCTTATGATATTTTACTTTTTTGAAAATTGGTTACCCAAATTTATTGTCTAATTTGGTGCTACTCAAAGTATGGCCCATGGACTGGCAGTATCAGCATCGAGAAGCTTCCTAGAAATGAAAACCCTTGGGTGAAACTATTGAATCAGATTCAGAGCAACCGAATAAGAATCCACGAAGGCCCAAGACTCTGGGTTTCATCAATTCCTCCAGGTGATTTTTATGCACGCTGAAGTTTGAGAATTAGTAATATTAGATCAGTGCTGCTCAAAAGCAATGTACAAGCTAAGGACTGAATTGTTTCCCACTCCCAAATTGATATGTGTAAGCCCTATTCTCCAAGGGGACATCTGGAGACAAGGTCTTTAGGAACTAATTAAGGTCAAATGAAGTCAGAAGAGTGGGGACCTAATCCAATAAGACTATGGCCTTATAAGAAGAGGAAAAGAGAGAGAAATCTCTCTCTCTCTCTCTCTCTCTGCCATGTGAGGGCACAGTCAGAAGGTGAACTTCTCCAAGCCAGGGAGAGGGCCCTCCCCAGCCCCTGACCATGCTAGCACCCTTATCTTGAAGTTCCAGCCTACAGAAGTGTGAGAAGATAAATGTCTGCTGTCTGAGCCACCCGGTCTATGGTATTTTGTTATGACACCCTGAGCAGATCATTACAGTACATGAGAACCATCTAGGGACCTGGTTAAAACAGATTATTGGCCAGGTGCGGTGACTCACGCCAGTAATCTCAACACTTTGGGAGGCCAAGGCGGGCGGATCACAAGGTCAAGAGATGGAGACCATCCTGGCCAACATGGGGAAACCCCATCTCTACTAAAAATACAAAAATTAGCTGGCGTGGTCGTGCGTGCCTGTAGTTCCAGCTATTCAGGAGGCTGAGGCAGGAGAATCGCTTGAACCCAGGAGGCAGAGGTTGCAGTGAGCCAAAAGCACGCCCTTGCACTCCAGCCTGGCAACAGTGCAAGACTCTGTCTCAAAAAAAATAAAAACAAGAAAAACAAACAAACAAACAAAAAACCAGATTCTTATATTCTTATTCAGTAAGTCAGGGGATGGGGTGGACCTCCCAGGCATTGCCATTTTCCCAGTCTGAGTCCATGAACCAGGAAAATGGCATTGCCTAGGGGACTTTCCATTTCACCTAGAACCAAATTCAAACTGTTCATTTGACCTTCAAGGCCCCACAGATCAGGAGCTCACCATCTCTCTGACTTCATCTTGTCCCACCCTCTCTCTCACCACACTTCGGCTTTCCACCCTCCTGTCTTCTCCCCAAAAAGGCTGGGCTTCCTTTCCTGTTCTTCCTGCCTCAAAACCTTGGCACTTGCCTTGTCTTCTGCCTCTGCCCCTCGCTCTTTGAATGATGGGTCCCTTCTCATTGTTCTTGCTCAGCCCCAATATCTCCTCAGAAAGAACACAACCACCTTGTATAAAGGGACACATCTCCTGTCCCAGATCTGCCACCCCTCCCTCAGCCTTTCCTAGCCTTTGTCTCGATCAGAAACAATTTGGTACTATTATAAATGGTCTGTTATCTGTCTCCTCCACAAGAATGCAGCCTCCACAAAAGCAAACTCTTGTCTCTCTTGTTCATCTAAAAATATTTGTTGGTTGAATAAATTAGGTGATAATCTAACTCCTCATAAGGGTGAAATATTGTAATAATAGGAATACTCCATTCCCTCATTTGTGGGTAAATGAAGACATCAGATTCATGTGCTGGGTGTTTACTGAAGTCCTTATCTTGCCTGGCCCCTGGTTTCGGGCTCCCTGCTGTTCTCTCCCTCATAACCCTTGTTTGTATCTGAGCCAGGTCTGAGCAGGGGAGAACAGACATCCAGAGCTTCAAGGACATCAATTGCTAGATCATGACATCAGTTTTGAAACTGGCCAGGGAAGAGTGCTGGGCCCCACTGCAGCCCCTCAATCAGTCTTCCTCCCCCACTGTCATGACTGAAACTTGCCCCAGCTTTTCAACTTAGCACCATGTCTTCCTGCCTCTAAGCCAAGCCCCGATTCCAGCGTGTGGGGCTGGTGCTTGGACACACTGTCTGCTTTGTGCTCCTGGCCTCCCATGGGATGCTAAATTCCGCCCCCACTGGCTCCTGCCTCAAGAACTACTTGTGGTCCTGCCATGAATGAAAGAATAAATGAATAGATTGCACAGAAACAAGATGCGGTCAGCTCACACCAACTCACTAGAGCCCATGGCACGCATCTCTTTCCACTTGCACATTCAGTGACTTCCTTCACAGTGGGGGCTTGCAATACTCCACACTGGGAGTATTTATACCACGGAAATCAGCAAATGCTTCAAACCAGGACTATGCTTCCCCAGAGACCCAGTTGTTAAACATTTACCAGCACCCCACTGGCTGAAGTCCATCTAACGTGAAAAAGCTTCTGCTCTCTAGAGGCCTCCTGCTGCTCTGCAGAACGATCCAGAGGAATGTATCACGGGGAGGCCTCCATCCATCCCCCACCACCCAGGCCTGCATTACCTTGGGCAACTGCCCGCTCAAATTTCTGTTCCTGATTCCTGCAGCCAGGTTATTTAACCGCACTCCTCGCCCCTTGAATCCTCGCACCGTACGCGCTTGCCTTAGTTCACGCTGCCCTCACAAAATACCTTAGACTGGATAATTTATAATAATAGAAATTTATTTTGCACAGTTCTGGAGGCTGGGAAGTCCAAGAGCAAGGCACTGGCAGGTTCAGTGTCTGGTAAGGGCTTGCCTTCTGCTTCCATGCCGAGCTCTCAGGTGGCTGAAGACATGAGTGCTGTGTCAGCCTATACCAAAACAGCAAAAAGGCCCAACAGGCTTCCTTGAGCTTTATGAGGGCACTAATTCCACTCAGGAGGACAGAGCCCTCATGATCAAATCCTAAAACCTCCATCTCCTAACACAATTGCATTTGGTGGGTTTTTCCTTTCTTTCTTTTTTTAAATTTTTTTTTTATTTGATACGGGGTCTCGCTCTGTTGCCCAGGCTGGAGTGCAGTAGCACAATCATAGCTCACTGCAGACTCAATCTCCCAGGCTCAAGTGATCCTCCCACCTCAGCCTCCCAAGTAACTGGGACTACAGGCACACACCACCATGCCCAGCTAATTTTTTAAATTTTTAGTACAGACAGGGGTCTCACTATGTTGCCCAGGCTGGCCTTGAACTCCAGGCTTTAAGCAATCTTTCCACCTCGTCCTCCCAAAGCACTGGAATTACAGGTGTGAGCCATCGTGCTTGGCCAGGATTATGTTATAACATAAATTTTGGAGAGACACAAACATTCATGCCACAGCAGCACCCCACAGATAACCAGGTCTCATTGGCTTTGAGTCTTTAAACCGCATCACAAATTCTGACAAATGTGCTGGGTACTCTACAAGATACTAAGAGAGACACAAAGACCAGCAAAACCCTCAGTGCTTAAACACAACACAATATAATTTCAAGGATACAAAAAAGAAAATCATTAGAGTTAATGTTCACTCTCTTTCCTCCAAAATTCTTTTCAAGATACTTTTCTAACTTTTCACAAACCATAAATAAACAGTTTAGATCACTGATATTATCAAAGGTACTGGCACAGGTATGCAGTCTGTCGACCAGAAAAGAGAAAATGTCTCCAGGTGTCAGAAGGGGAGGCCCAAGTATCACATATTAATTACACACCACTTGGAGACACTCTTTATTCCTGTCCAGTTACATTGAGACCTCTGGTTACCAACTAAGGGAGGGGAAGAGTGATGATCAATAGCATCTAAGGGGCTTTTCATTTTTGTTTATTTATGTATTTATTTTTGAGACAGGGTCTTGCACTTTTGCCCTGGCTGGAGTGCAGTGGCGCGATCTCAGCTCACTGAAGCCTCAATCTCCCAGGCCCAAGCAATCCTCCCACCTCAGCCTCCCAAGTAGCTGGGACTACAGACGCACACCATGAGCCATGGTGCCCAGCCAAAGGGGCTTTTTAGTACTCTGGGCAAGCCTATCTCCTGGTGGCTACTCCCTTTCTTTGTGAAAAGCTGCTGCTTTAAGATATTGCATTGTTTATTCTACATGCGTTTATCTCTTATTTCCACAATTGGATTGTAGGTTCCTTAAAGACAGAGATAGCAGCTTACACATTTTTTTACTTTTTTCGGGCTTCAGCAATGTTGATAACATTAAAATTGGACGGGTGCGGTGGCTCACACCTGTAATCCCAGCACTCTGGGAGGCCGAGCTGGGCGGATCACGAGGTCAGGAGATGGAGACCATCCTGGCCAACGCGGTGAAACGCCGTCTCCACTAAAAATACAAAAAATTAGCCAGCCATAGTGGCGGGCACCTGTAGTCCCAGCTTCTCGGGAGGCTGAAGCAGGAGAATGGCGTGAACCCAGGAGGCAGAGCTTGCAGTGAGCCGAGATTACGCCACTGCACTCCAGCCTGGGTGACAGAGCGAGAGTCCATCTCAAAAAAAAAAAAAAAAGCATTAAAATTAAAATTGTCTATATGTCAAAAAAGAAAAAATAACTTTAAATACATTTTGGTTTTTTAGAGACAGGGTCTCACTCTGTCACCCAGGCTGGAGTGTAGTATAAATACAATTTAAAGGCAGATGACAACATGTTAAATTTATTTGCAACATATCACATCGATAATATAGTCTTAAGACCTCTTATAAGTAATTGGAAAAAAAATGCTTCAGGCACATGCTGCTATAAAGACACACGCACACGTATGTTTATTGCGGCATTATTCACAATAGCAAAGACGTGGAACCAACCCAAATGTCCAACAATGATAGACTGGATTAAGAAAATGTGGCACATATACACCACGGAATACTATGCAGCCATAAAAAATGATGAGTTCATGTCCTTTGTAGGGACATGGATGAAACTGGAAATCATCATTCTCAGTAAACTATCGCAAGAACAAAAAACCAAACACCGCATATTCTCACTCATAGGTGGGAATTGAACAATGAGAACACATGGACACAGGAAGGGGAACATCACACTCTGAGGCCTGTTGTGGGGTGGGGGGAGGGGGGAGGGATAGCATTGGGAGATATACCTAATGCTAGATGACGAATTAGTGGGTGCAGCGCACCAGCATGGCACATGTATACATATGTAACTAACCTGCACATTGTAAACATGTACCCTAAAACTTAAAGTATAATAATAATAAATTAATTTAAAAAAAATGCTTCAGGAGAAGAGCAAAAGGTAAAATTTACAAAAAATATACAAATGGCCAATAAATATTTGAAAATCTGGTGAGCCCTACAAACGTTACCGAAAGGATGCAGCAATGAGATGCCTACTAAATTGATTTAAGTTTTAAAAAAATGATTATACCCTTTGTAGTTGATCTTTGGGGAAATAGATACTATCTTACATTTCTGGGAGAAGTATACATCGGTGTGGTATTGCTAAAAAAGATAACTTGGAAACAGCATAAATAGGGGACAACAGGAAATCAATTAATTAATTGGATTATGTAACATATATGGAATGAAATATAATAAAACCATTAAAAATATTGTTATAGAAAAATATTTAATGGCACAGAAAATGAAATGAGCTATTAGTAATAAAGTGTACTATCAACAAAAAAAAAACATGAGCTATTAATAATAAATAATTGAAGGCCAGGTGCAGTGGCTCATGCCTGTAATCCCAGCAATTTGGGAGGCTGAGGTGGGTGGATCACCTGAGATCAGGAGTTCGAGACCAGCCTGGCCAACATGGTGAAACTCTGTCTCTACTAAAAATACAAAAAAATTAGCCAGGGGTGGTGGTGCATGCCTGTAATCCCAGCTACCCAGAAGGGTGAGGCAGAAGAATCGCTTGAACCCAGGAGGTGGAGGTTGCAGTGAGCCGAGATCGCGCCACTGCACTCCAGCCTGGGCAACAAGAGAGAAACTCTGTCTCAATAATAATAATAATAAATAATTGTAGGAAAAAGTACAGTTATGCATTACTTAATGACAGATATATTCTGAGAAATGCATTGTTAGATGATTCCTTCATTGTGCAAATGAAATATGTCATCTAGGTTTGTGTGTAATAATAATAAATTGTGCTATTAATAATAATAAATGAGCTATGAATAATACATAACTGTAAGAAAAAATACAATTGTACATTAGTTAATGTCAGAGATACATTTGAGAAATGCATTGTTAGATGATTCCCTCATTGTGCAAATAAAATATACCATCTAGGTTTGTGTGTACTTAACAAAAACCTAGATAGCAGAGCCTACCGCACACCCAGGCTATACGGTACAGCCTTTTGCTTCTAGGCTATATACCTGTGTAGCATGCTACAGTACTGGATACTCTAGGCAACTGGAGCACAATGGTAAGTATCTGTGTATCTAAACGTATCTAAACACAGAAAGGTAATGCATCACACATTAACACGACTACGTGATAGGAATTTTCCAGCTCCATTACAATCTTATGGAACCACCATCATACATACAGTCCGTTGTTGACCAGAAAGAACATTGTCATGCAGGGCATGACTGTATAGAAATATACGTAAATTTCATAAAAGATATATTGCCTTTGTGATCGGAACAAAAGCCAAGTGTTTCATATTTTTCATGTTTAAAATAAAAACAGGCCGCGCACAGTGGCGCACAGTGGCTCACGCATGTAATCCCAGCACTTTGGGAGGCCGAGGCAGGTGGATAATGAGGTCAGGAGTTTCGAGACCAGCCTGACCAACATGGTGAAACCCTGTCTCTACTAAAAATAAAAAAATTATCCAGGCATGGTAGCGCACGCCTGTAATCCCAGCTACTCAGGAGGCTGAGGCGGGAGAATCACTTGAACCTGGGAGGCGGAGGTTGTGGTGAGCCGAGATCGCGCCACTGGACTCCAGCCTGGGCGACAGAGCAGACTCTGTCTCAAAATAAAATATAAAATAAAATAAAATAAAATAAAATAAAATAAAATAAAATAAAATAAAATAAAATAAAATAAAATAAAATAAAATAAAATAAATAAAATAAAATAAATAAATAAATAAAATAAAATAAATAAAATAAAATAAAATATAAAATAAAATAAAATAATAAAATAAAAAAATAAAATAAAATAAAATAAAATAAAATATAAAATAAAATAAGATAAAATAAGATAAAATAAAATAAATAAAATAAAATAAATAAATAAAATAAAAACAGTGTATTATATTTGTGGATCTTTCATGAGGCCTTTTTTTGGAAACAGAAAATAACAAAGTCTCCTCTTTCAGTACTTTAGTACTAATTAGGAATAATTCTTCAGGCAATGAGTGGCAATTTTCTTGGGTGACTTGTATCAATAGGCAGATAAACTATATTACCTGCCAGTAGATCAGAAAATGCCTTTGACCAAGGAGGCAAGTTCTCAGTCATGGTGGCATGGCAGTCATAAAAGTACCCATTAGAGTCTGCCAGTCTTTGGCCTTGGATTTAGTTATAGAAAACATTCTCTGGGGTGTTGAGTAAAGGGTCTTAGGTCAGGGAAGGGAAAATGTGCACAAGAAAAGGGAAAGGTGGAGGCCGTGTGGCTATCAGCGTGGCCCCTGCCGCCCGCATGAGAGCTGACATTCTCCGTCCTCTGCACCTCTACATGAAGAAGGCAAGCACTGAAGACCTCAAGCAGCACCAGTCACCGGGAATGGCTTGCTAGAAAGTTCTTATGCTCATTGTACATGAGCCTGCTTAGAAAGATGCTTCCTCGGGCAGCTAGGCTGTAACTGACATGATGTGTTTCTGCGCTGCCAATTCGAGAGCTCAGCCTGAGTGTTCAGCCGCAGGATCTGGAACGTGTTGAGTCCATGCGGTCCCAGCTTCCTCGGCGCAGCTGCCCAAGGATGCTGGAAGGGCTGAGAGGGTGCTTTCATGTTGGTTTAGATTTTACTTGCTCAGAGCCTGGAAGCATGAGTTTAGCTACATTCCTGAAAGCACTGACATCTTTTTCCCAGCCCCGCCTAAAAAGAGAGCCCGTCTGCCTTTCTCCCCACCCAAAGTCCCCTTCGCCTGCCACGCCAGAGACTGAACCTGGACTCTAACTCTATGATGTTTCTCCATAGAGCTGCAGAGTCCGCACCTGGTAATCTGCTCATTTTAACCTGCCTAACCACCTACTTAACCAAACTGAGGATGCCTCAGTTCATCTGAGAGCCTAAATTGAAGTGTGTGCGGAAACCAGGCATGCGCACGTCCATCCTCAAAGTGTAGCAACATCTTGTTGACCCACATCCCAGGACCTGAAACTAAGCTGAAAAAAATCTCTAGGAGCAAATGCCAAATGTGGAAAACAGCCTCATTCCCTTGCATTGTGTGCTTCTGGTGATGGGAGCAGTCAGAATCTACAGTGAAAACCGCTCTCCTCAGTGCTACTGATATGGGGAAATTAGGCTAAGGCAGGAGGACTGCTTGAGGCGAGGAGTTCAAGACCAGTCTGAGCAACATAGTGAGTCCCCATATCTACAAAAAAATAATAAATTAGTAAATTAGTTGGGTATGGTGGTGCGGGCCTGTAGTCTCAGCTACTCAGGGCACTGAGGCTAGAGGATTGCTTGAGCCCAGGAGTTCAAGGCTGCAGTGAGCCAGCATGGTACCACTGCACTCTGCCTGGGTGGAAATTTAATTAACAAGTAAATAAAATAAAATAAAATACTGAGGGTCTGGAGGGACCAGAGGCATGTTTTTTTCCTACTTCCCTCCTAATGTTGGCACCTTCCTTCTGCTATCCCTGAAAATATGATGCAGCCTCTCATTTGCAGAGCTCTACTAACTGTGTGCTCATCACCTTTCAAAGTGGCTCTGTCCACAGGCAGCTCTGATGGTTTGAAAGGGCGCCTCTCTGTTTAATTGAAATCTGGCTTTCCAAATCTCACCCACTGCTTCTAGCTCTGCCTTCCTGGAAGACTGAAAGGTAGAAAATCAAATTTCCATTCATGGTATTAATTATAATATTGGTGTGGCTTTAGAGATGGCAAAGGTAAGAAAATACAGAAGTGATAGAGCAATTGCAAGATGACCCACTGAAAATCCTTATCAAGCTGTTTGGAAGCAAATGCTCACAGCTGATAAATAACTGGGAGGTGGCCATGAGAACTGGGCATTGACCGTAAGGTAAAGAATTGAAAACCTCACTAATCATCAGAAAGATGTAAA
This sequence comes from Homo sapiens, assembly GCF_000001405.40. Classification (NCBI taxonomy): domain Eukaryota; kingdom Metazoa; phylum Chordata; class Mammalia; order Primates; family Hominidae; genus Homo; species Homo sapiens. The sequence goes on along the minus strand of NC_000010.11, from coordinate 29,001,082 downwards.
TTAAAACCACAAGGAGGTATCACCTCACATCAGTCAGAATGGCTACTATTAAAAAGTCAAAAAATGACAGATGTTGGTGAGGTTTTGGAGGAAAGGGAATGTGTATACACTGTTGGTGGGAATGTAAATTAGTTACCCCTGTGGAAAGCAGTTTTGATATTTCTAAAAGAACTAAAAACAGAACTATCATTCAACCCAGCAATCTCAGGAAAATAAATTGTTCTATCAAAAAGAAACATGCACACGTATGTTCATTGCAGCACTATTGACAATAGCAAAGACATGGAATCAACTTAGATGCCCATCAATGGTGGACTGAATAGAGAAAATGTGGTACATATACACCATGGAATACTATGCAGCCATAAAAATGAATAAAATCATGTCCTTTGCAGCAACATGGATGCAGCTAGAGGCCATAATCCTAAGTGAATTAACACAGGAACAGAAATTAAATACTGCGTGTTCTCACTTAAAAGTGGGAGATAAATCTTGGGTTCACACAGAGATAAATATGGGAACTCCACAAGGGGGGGTGGGGGGCAAGGGCTGAAAACCTTCCTTTGGGGTACTGTGCTCGCTATCCGGGTGACAGGAGCAATAAAAGCCCAAACCTCAGTGTCACACAATATGCCCACATAACAAACGTGCACGTGTACCCCTGAATTTAAATTAAAATGGCAATTAAAAAAAGAAACCTACAACGCTCTAAGCAAGTTGCATTGCTTTGCTCAGCAGCCATTCCTTAGGATGGAAAGGCCCATAAAAAATTCATTAGTATAAATATTGTTTTCAGACTTTTTCCTCTCAAACAGTAGAAACATTATGGCTTGTAAATGTTAACATGATTAATGAACTATTACAAGGAGGTATGTATGTCACTGCCTCACATTTACTGCCTCAAAGTTATTTCTAAAAATAAATGTGAACAGACGGGTTACTTATCCACATTGACTTCATCTTACACTTCTTATAGGTACGGAGGAAAAACAATAGAGAGAAACCCACAAATGCTAGAGAAAGCTGCATTTCTGCCTGGAGAGAATGCAGCCATCAACTGGGTGAGAGCAAGACAGTTTGGTTCCTTCCTTCTTTGATAACTTTTGCTAAAGGTCAAGGTGATCATTTCTGTATTTCTGACTAGTCTTCAAAACAAAACTACACAGAGGTCAAGGAAGCTCTAGCCAAGACTGATCTCTTTATTTCCAGGGCTTATGACTCCAGTTCCTTAGAAAATTCAAGAGAAGAATGGAGGCAAGTAAGTAGGTGTGATGGTTAATACTGAGTGTCAACTTGATTGGATTGAAGGATGCAAAGTGTTGTTCCTGGGTGTGTGTGAGGGTGTTGCCAAAGGAGATTAACATTTGAGTCAGTTGACTGGGAGAGGCAGACCCACCCTCAATCTGGGTGGGCACAATCTAATCAGCTGCCAGTGCAGCTAGGATAAAAGTGGGCAGAAGAACGTGGGAAGACTAGACTGGTTTAGTCTTCAGGCCTCCATCTTTCTCCCCTGCTGGATGCTTTCTGCCCTTGAACATCGGACTCCAAGTTCTTCAGCTTTGGGGCTCGGCCTGGCTTCCTTGCTCCTCAGCTTGCAGGCGGCCTGTTGTGGGACCTCACCTCGTGATTGTGTGGGTCAATACTCCCTAATAAACTCCCCTTTATATATACATCTATCCTATTAGTTCTGTCCCTCTAGAGAACCCTAATACAGTAGGGTACACCCTGGCTTCGCTTTGGCTGCATTTTCAAGGTTCAAAAAGTAGCTAAAAGAAAATTAACCTCCTTAGGGAAAGGAAAAGGCTCAGAGGTTTCTGTGAGTGTAGACTAGTAGAAGGCATTCTAGCAGCACTCACATTTTTGTTATAACCCATGTAAACTGTAAATGAGGTTCTTCTAATCCAGTATTTTGTGGTGAAATCATGTATCCAGCCTTAGCAGCGGCATGAAGCCTTCAGGGCTGGAAAGTTGTTTATTATTATCTTAGCGCCTTCATTATTACATCTGCAAACCTTGGAGCTTAGTGTTTGTATGCAAATAGCCCCACCATTACATTGTTTTTTTTCTTTTTCTCCTTTAACAACTTTGCAAGCTCTTTAAGGATGCAGCCGACTATAGACGCCTGTGTGCCCAGGGCAAGAATAATGTTTCCCAGAGAGTGGACAATCAATAAATATTTGTAGAGTGAACAAATTCTTTTTTTTTTTTTTTTTGCCGAATGTCCCACATTTATTTACATATGAAATGTGTTTCATGCAGTTATGATGGATGGAGTGCATAACACCTGACAGCAGCAAGACCTTTTGAGGAACCGAACGTTGACTACAGTATATCATGCAAGTATCTATGTATACACAAAAGAATTCCTTTTCTTAAAAAAAAAAGAAATACAAAACATGTTCAGGATAAATACAAGATATAAAATGCGAAAGAAAACACAAAACAAAACAAAAAAATAGAACTCTCTCAGAGAACTGTAAACGGAAGGGACAAAAGAGTACCTCTGCGGCATTTTAATAAAGCAGAACTACCGACGTTAAATATACTTCTTGAAATGGCTGAACTAAACCCTGGTGGCTCAGTGCTTAAGGTAACGGCCAATTGCAATACACAGGCAGCTGCACTGATAAGTCGGTGGTTGAAGTCGTGCATCCTGACTCTAAGTACCAGAACGTTTGGCAGTAGCACCCACAACAGGAAACGCCAACTCTTTTGACAGCAAAGGGTTAAGTCAACTGATTTTTTGTCAAGAGCCAGAGAAATGCTTGATATTCTTAGTTGTGTTTCTGTAATAGTTAATAAATTACATGACAAAAACCTGACTATATAAATCTATTGGTCTAACTACGTATTTGTAACTTTTATAGTAGTCCAGCCCTCTCGTTACTTTCCCTCCTTGTGCTCTTAAAGCCAGTCTTGCAGATGTGCCGAGAAAACAAGTCCCATTTTTTTTCTTTAGAATAGCCTTCCCCATTCCTCAAAATGGAACTGAGGAAATCAGCATTCCTTATTAGATTCCTGGCTTCAGTTTTTATTCACGGCTGGGAAAGGAGCGACCGGCAAGACTGCTTTAAACACTCTTCGGCGTGGCCTGAAGACAAAGGCACGCCCACACTGGAGTGCAGTTGTCTCAAATGTGAACTCTGAGTGAACAAATTCTTGAGGAAGGGAGCATTTACACAATGCAGTTATGGGAAGGGAGATCTACAAATGCTTTCAAATGAAATGTGTACTTGCAAATTCTTCTTGAGTGAACAAACATGTACAAGGCCACAGTGCTCCCAAGATGTACAGCTCCCAGGGACCTCATTCTCATAGACTATAAATGATTAGCCCTCCTTATTTTTTTTTTTAAGTCTTAATGGGTTGAAATGAGAAGAAAATGGAGAATTGTTTTCATTTCTCAGTAGAGAAGTCCTTTGGCCACTACAACTGTAACAACAACGCACTCAAGTTGCTCAATCTATGCCTTTGTTTCATGAAATATCAAAGCAAATATCTGTTTCTAGAAATCTCTAGGGCTTAGTAGAAAAGATGATCGCTGAAGATCCAGAAACTATTGACTTTGCCAGAGCACAGTATATTCACTGGGCAACCATTGTCAATACTTGAAAATGCACACAGGCGGAAAATATTAAAGGGTGACATGATTTCAGCAAGTTTCTTTTAGAGTCAACACAAAGAGGCAATGGAAACAATGCAGGAAAGAATCAATGCAGGACAGTGTCTCCAAGTAGATTACAGACAAAGGGCACCTGTTTGGGAACTGAGACTCGCAACCTGTAGGAACACAACCTCAACCAGGCTGCATGGACGGATTGAAACAAAGCACAATAGACCCATCTGAGGAAAGGTAAGTGGCCGCATGCAGAGGGTATCCAGAAATGAACCTTGCTTAGCAAGGGACAGAAATAACATAGGCAAGCCTGAGTCACCTCTTACTCAGATAAAATAAGCATCCCATTAAGAGGTGACTATGTAGACCTTCAGGCTTGCCTATGCTATTTGTATCTCTTGCTACGCTAGGTTCATTTTTGGAGAGTTTGTGCATGTGGCCACTTACCTTTGCAAAGATGGGTCTGTTGTGCTTTGTTTCAGTACATCCATGCAGCCTGATTGAGGTTGTGTTCCTCAGATAAAATAAGCATCCCAGGGCTGGGTGTGGTGGCTCATGCCTATAATCCCAGCGCTTTAGGAGGCCGAGACAGGTGGATCACCTGAGGTCAGGAGTTCGAGACCAGCCTGGCCAACATGGTGAAAACTCGTCTCTACAAAAATACAAAAATTAGCTGGGCGTGGTGGCAGGCACCTGTAATCTCAGCTACTTGGGAGGCTGAGGCAGGAGAATCGCTTGAACCTGAAGGTGGAAGTTGCAGTGAGCCGAGATTTCGCCATTGCCCTCTTGCCTGGGTGACAAAGAGAGGCTCGGTCTCAAAAAAAAAAAAAAAGCATCCCAGGCCTCACTCATGCTTCTTAAAACCACCATGAATATAGACTATTCATCCAAAGAAAAGAAATTATAACACACGAAAAACCACATGAAAGTCACTCATAGAGAAAACAAGTATCTTTGAGATGAAACAAGAAGAGAATGCAAAGAATGTAGTAGGAGCATGAAATGGAATCGTTTTACCAAAAAGATAGAATAATGTCTTTGAAGAGTTTTACAACAAACTGCAAAACATTTTCCTCTTTCTAGTTAGGGGCTTGTCAAAGTATCTGATAAGAACTACCTGGAGTTTCAACTGAAGAATTCCCCCAAGTTGCTAAAGCTAGGACCTTCTTGTGAGACAGTCTTCACCAAATACTCCACATAAAACATGCAGAACACACAAGTGCAAAGGGAAGTGAAGTCAATGTACTTTTTAGAAATGGAAATATGCTAATTAGCCAATTTCTATTTCAACAAACCTCTTATGCTTAGACTCAGAGTAAGAAATGTCAATAGGAATGGTCCCACCTTTGTATCTGATTACACGACAAAGCCAGCAATATATTTAGAATCTTAGGCTTCTAAAGCTGAAAGGAAACTTAGAAAGCAACTCGGGCATTGTTGCAAAGAGTTTTGCTTTAATTTTCATATTCTGCAGAGTACAGAATGGCTTCAGTTGTTTGTCCAGGAATACAGTCTGCGGTTCTCCAGCCCAAGTCCTTCCCACCACAAGGCAGCAGGACTTTGTAGTATGCTTGTGTCACCCCAGCTGCAGGTTGCTCCATCTCATGAAGCAGCTTAAGAAAGTAATCTATCTATATTTGCAAGCTCACTAAATCAAGAAATAAATCAACCTGTGGAAAGGTAGAGAAGTGGGTCTCAATCTATGTGAAACCTTTGTTTTCGTAAGTCCAAGAAGACGATAAAATCTAGTATGGTGGTCATCACTCAAGAATGAAGGCTGATGAGAGATGGTTTCCCAGAACTGCTTTTGTTGAGATTTTCTTTCTCCTCAGTTCCCTTCGTACTTTTCAGATCCTTTTGTGAAATAAAGATTTTCCGCAATGGCTTAACATTGAGGTTTCTGTATCTGAAAATCATAGGAACTTTTTTTCACAGTATTTGAATATTTATTTCAGATTGGATCTTTCCATGTCCTGTACACCAGAAGGGAGGGAGTGGTGGAAAAAATGTAAATATTGAAGAAGCATGGGAAATAATTGATAAATCGAGATTCCAGGAAGATAGAAGGACAAAGCATCGAAACACAAATTGTAGCAATTCCACTCCTAGGTCTGTACCCAAAGAACAAAAGACTGCTACTCACACGAATGCAGACAGATGAATGCAGCACCATTCACAATAAGCAAAAGGTGGGATCAGCCAAATGTCCATTGATGGATGAATGGATAAATCAACTGTGGTACAGTACATGGTTTCTTTTCTCGCATTTATTAAAAATCAGATATCTGTTTGCTTGTTTAGCTGAATCTCCCCATAGCCAACAGGATTCTTGAGGGCAATACCTTTACCATTTTAATTATCAACTACTTACTCAGCACTGAACACTTATGGGTACTCACTAACATTGTGTTAGTTCCTTTGGTGATTGTAGTCATTCCTATTTCACAATCAACAGGAGAGAGACAAAAAAGCACTACTTGGGCCGGGTGCGGTGACTCACACCTGTAATCCGAGCACTTTGGGAGGTTGGGGCAGGAGGATTGCTTGAGGTCAGGAGTTTGAGACCAGCCCGGCCAACATGGTGAAACCCTGTCTCTACTAAAAAAAATACAAAAACTAGCCAGGCGTGGTGGTGGGCACCTGTAATCCCAGCTACTCAGGAGGCTGAGGCAGGAGAATTGCTTGAACCCAGGAGGCAGAGGTTGCAGTAAGCCAAGATCGAGCCACTGCACTCCAGCCTGGACAACAGAGCAAGACTCTCTCTGAAAAAAATTTAAAAAAATAAAAAAGCCTTCCTTGGTGTGGAAGGGTAGTGAAGAGGGCAGTCAAAGGAATTAACCAAAAAGTATGAGGAAGGAGGAAGATTAAGGGGATATGTACAGAGAGATGAGAAAAGGTAGAATTCATCAAAAGCTGAGTGATAAAGACAGAGGAAAAGTTAGCGGACCCCCAAATCAGCATCTGCCTACTCCCTGCCTGAACGCTCAGGGGTCCTCCCTTGGGAACCCTGTGGACAGCAGAAGAGCTCTCTATGACCTGGCCTGGGGGCCTTGATCACTTCCATGCCCTCAGTTGCAATATCCCACTTTCCTCTACAGAAGGGCTCTCATAGGCCTCTTGACTTTTCCTCTCTGCCTGGAAATTCCCTTGCTCACTTTGCCCTTGGCCAACTCATAAGGTTCCTCCATCTCTTGGCACCCACACTGACCCTCCATGAAGCCCCACTGGTCCTCCCCAGGACACACTTAGGGTCTCTTTCCCAGGCCTGATCCAAGTTGTATAGAGTCTGAAGTATGAAAGAAAAGAATCCAGAATTACAAATGAAAAATTAGGCATGAAAATGAACATTTATTTAGAATGAGTATAAAATCATAACATATCACAATAACATCTGACAAATTCCACAGATATTACAAAATCCACAGAAATAGTGACTGCCTCATATGCCTCTAGAATAGTTCTCTTTCCTCTACTTTTTAGCTGCAAACGCTGATCTCTTCTTCATAAAACAATTTTCTACCTTTTTTTTCTATACAGAGGATTAAAAAAGATCCACTCTCTTTGCTCTAACACTTTATGGTGATTTGCTTTAGCCTATAGATTGTTTGAAAACATGTCTTCCAGCTTCAAAACTCAGTAGTGATGTCATTGAAGACTGGGTCGGATGCGGTGGCTCACACCTGTAATCCCAGCACTTTGGGAGGCTGAGGTGGGCGGATCACCTGAGGTCAGGAGTTCGAGACCAGCCTGGCCAACATGGTGAAACCCCATCTCTACTAAAAATACAAAAATTAGCCGAGCGTGGTGGCAGGCACCTGTAATCCCAGCTACTTGGGAGGCTGAGGCAGGGGAATTGCTTGAACTTAGGAGGCAGAGGCTGCAGTGAGCCAAAATCGTGCCATTGCACTCCAACCTGGGGGACAAGAGTGAGACTTCGTCTCAAAAAAAAAAAAAAGTGTTGAAAACTGCTCCCACATCTGCAGAAGCCTCTCTCAAGTTTTCCCACAACCAAATCCTCTGCTTACAAAGTGACACGTCTGATAATTTGAAGAACATTCCGCAGACTAGCTTCTGGCTCCATCTATCTAAATCACGTTTCTCCTCCATTGTTCACCTAGCTCTGGTGTCCGGAGCTAGCAGACATGTTTAAATTGTGATGTAGCCTCTGATCATGAAGCTTTATGTCACAGCGTTGCTGAGTCAGAAAGGTGGGTGATAGAAGTATTTCTGGAAGCTGCTCCTACACAAGGAAGCCTGACAATAGCTTAACTATGAACCCATAAAAATATCTCACTAAACCCAGGGGCCGGGCATGGTGGCTCATGCCTGTATTCCCAGCACTTTGAGAGGCTGAGGTGGGCCGATCATCTGAGGTCAAGAGTTCGAGACCAGCCTGACCAACATGGAGAAACCCCGTCTCTACTAAAAATACAAAATTCGCCGGGTGTGGTGGCGCATGCCTGTAATCCTAGCTACTCGGGAGGCTGAGGCAGGAGAATCACTTGAACTCGGGAGGGGCAGGTTGCAGAGAGCTGAGATCGCGCCATTGCACTCCAGCCTGGGCAACAAGAGCAAAACTCCATCTCAAAAAAAGAAAAAAAAAAAACAAACAACAACAACAACAACAAAAAACCTCACTAAACCCAAATGAATTCTATCCCCAACTCAACCCTCCCTAAGCCAGTTCCAAAGACAACTTTTCCTGCTTCCATGTCCCCCAATAACAGGAGAAATATGACAGTAAGTGTTAGTGCAGAAGACAAGTGTAATCTTAACTGATTCCTTCAAAATGGGTTACTCCTGTAAATTTTATAAAAATCTATGACCATAGGCCAGGGATGGTGGCTAAGACCTATAATTCCAGCAATTTGGGAGGCTGAGGAGGAAGGATCACTTGAGGCCAGGAGTTTGAGACCAGTCTTGGCAACATAGCAAAACCCAGTCTGTACAAAAAATACAAAAATTAGCCAGGTGTGGTGGTGTGTACCTGTTATCCCAGCTACTCCGGAGGCTGAAACGAGAGGATCGCTTGACCCCAGGAGTTTGAGGCTGCAGTGAGCTGTGATCGCTACCGCACTCCAGCCTGGGTGACAGACCAAGACCCTGTCTGAAAAAAATATGTGTGTGTGTGTGTGTGTGTGTGTGTGTGTGTGTGTGTGTGTGTTATATGCACATGTGATATGGCCTCAGAAGGGGACCATGCAAATGAGAAGGCCCTGAAGTTGTGGCCTTCTTAGCTTCAATATCAACATGCCTTAGGTTCCTTTCCTGCTCCTCCCCCATGCTCTTGTACATACTTTTGTTATGACACAGTCATTGTGTAATTATAATCACTTGTTTGTCTGTTTCCTCACAGAATTGTGACCCCATGAAGGCAGGAACCCTATTTGTTCTATTGGTATCTCCAGCATCTAGCAAGATGCCTTGTGCATAGTAGTTAACCAATAAAAAGTGGTTGAATAAATGAATGAAGCACATTCATACTGAAGGTAAAGGTGTGTGATCAGAGAATCTCTCTCCGCAATGGCCACCAGGAGGAGCTGTTGGATGGCTCTGGATGGTTGGTGGGTGGGGTGGGGAAGAAAGGGGTAGAGAGAGAGTATGCAATTGGTAATTCTTCAAAAGGATACTTGAAATCAGGTTTGTGTAGTTCTGGACACAAGAAAGGCAACATGGGCCTTGTACCATCAAGCAATGGAAGTTGGAAAAAAAAAGAAAAAACAATCATCTCTGCTTTGGGGAATCACTGAATTGGCAAACCACCCCCATTTCCAACTTTTCTATGACCTGAGCCTTTGATGACAGCTAACATCAAATTGGGAGTATTCTGGAAACACCACGCCCAGGTCTGCGCCTTATATTTATAGAGCTTTTAGCACAAAGGCATTTTCTTCAAAGCACTTTAAGAGCTGGGCACACCCTGTCACACACATGAGCTCCATGAAAGGAATTGCAGCTTCACAGCAGCCCTGAGGCCTGAGCTGGCGAACAGGAATGCTTTGGAATACACTCCCTGGCCACAGGCGAGCAGCCCAGTTTGAAACTAGTGGGAAGAATGACATCAGGTGGGACCAGCCAAATCCCTGCTGAGGGGCCCGACCTGTATTTCTGCAAGAAAACCTTCGTCTTGATGATCATTGACCATGTACTAGACCCATACTTTATCTCCTTTAATCCTAACATTACCCCTATTGTGCAAATGAAGAAACTCCGAGGCAAAGAGAGGCAAAATAACTGACTTCAGGACCATCACCAGTAAGAGCCAAAGCTCTTTAACCTTGGTTAAAGCTCATCCCTCTCTACAATCATGTGCCTTTTGCTGCCGTTCTAATACATGATCTAAATGTATCAGAGAGAGGCTGACTCTAAGATCAGATGAGCCCAACATGGTTCTGGGTTGACTGTATTGCTTGACTTTGAGACCACCGTGACGGCCTTGGCATCATTCAAAAGCAGGCCCAAGTCCAGGAGTGGTGGCTCACACCTGTAGTCCCAGCATTTTGGGAAGCCAAGGTGGGAGGGTGGCTTCAGTCCAGAAGTTCAAGACCAGCCTGGGCAACACAACCCTTTCTCTATAAAAAATACAAAAACTAGCTGGGCATTGTGGCACGTGCCTGTAGTCCCAGTTACTTGAGAGGCTAAGGTGGGAGGATCACCTGAACCTGGGGAGATCAAGGCTGCAGTGAGCCGTGATCATGCCACTGCACTCCAGCCTGCAAAAACAGTGAGACCCTATCTCAGAAAAAACAAACAATCAAACAAACAACAACAACAACAATAAAAAACAAAAGCAGGGCCAAAAGAAGGAGGCCATCAAAGCCCACATTTTAGTCCATCAGTCAAGCCTTCTGGGGTCCCCATGAATCCCTGTTCTGGTTGTGGAGGGGATGATGTGTGTCATGTGTTGTCACAGCCAACCACAGCAAGAAGGGCTACAATTCCTTGTTGTCATTTTCCCCAACTTCAGTCCCCTCACTGAGAAAAACCAAGGCAAATCACTTCCAAGAGGCCAGCCCAACAGGATAGCACTAATTCCCCTAGTTACAAATGTCTCACACCCAGAAAGCCTCTTGTGCACATTGGGATTCTGGAAAAATGTCAAAACACCACATACAGTCTCTTTACCTGGAAAACAAGAGTATCCAAGTCAGGGCATTCATGGTGCCACCAGAGCAGTCTCCAATACCATGTATAGTTCCCAACACAATTCAATTTACCATGGAAACCTCGGTCATTTTCCTCCAGTAATTCCTCCTCTTAGAAAGAGCACAGATTCAAGTTCCAGCTCTGCCTCCTACTAGCCGTCTGACCTGGCAAGTTTCTTAACTTTGTCATCTGTAAAGTTCAGATAATATTGCTTACCTCACAGATGGTTATGCAAATGAGTGAAACAAATGACAGAAAGGTTAGGTCCATCAGATGATAATGATATTTAAATCTGTTTTCACTACTCTTAGTAACATTATCTTGGGCCAGGTCTCTAGTCCTGCATCAGTGATTTGTCTTTTGTTTTTGTTGTTGCTTTTTGGAGACAGAGTCTTGCTCGGTTGCCCAGTCTGGAGTGCCGTGACATGCTCACTGCACACTGCAGCTTCAACCACCCAGGCTCAAGCGATCCTCCTACTTCAGCCTCTCAAGTAGCTGGGGCTGCGGGCATGCACCACCATGCCCAGCTAATTTTTGTAGACAGGGCTTCACCATGTTGCCCAGGCTGGTCACGAACTCCTGAGCTCAAGTGATCCACCCATGTCAGCCCTCCAAAGTGCTGGGATTACAGGCATGAGCCACCGTGCCCAGCCCCTGATATGCCTTTATTGAGCACCTAATGTGTATGGACTCTGTCTATGAACTTACAGTAAAGTCAGAGACATTGAGGAACAGGTTAGTGTGAGACTGTGTATATGAAATAAAAAGAATTGGAAAACAGGAAGACCAGATAAATAAAATAGAAGGAAAGTTCCACTAGAGAGGTGAGACTTTAGCTGGGCTTCCAGGTGTAGTATTTCAGTAGGATAAACTTACCAGACTAGGGAAGAAGGTGTATGTTGGGAATTGCGGGGAGGCTTCAGGCCTGGTGAGTTCTTCAGAAGATGGGGACTTTTGTTCATTCAGAGTGAAACGGCCAGTGAGCATTTATAAAGTGTTGACCACTACTGATTTGTAGTGTTTGGTGATTTCTGTGGTGTTCATACTTCCACCATAGCTGATTTCCACCAATAAAGCTGAAAACAGGCAGGCCATGGTGGCTCACACTGGTAATCCCAGTGCTTTGGGACGCCGAGGTGGGAGGACTGCTTGAGCCCGGGAGTTCAAGACCAGCCTGGGCAACATAGTGAGATCCCATTTCTACAAAATACAAAATAAAAAGTAATCAGGCATGGTGGCATGCACCTGTGGTGCTAGCTACCTGAAAGGCTGAGGCGGGAGGATCACTTGAACCCGGGAGTTTGAGGCTGTAGTGAGCCATGATTGTACCACTGCACTCTAACAGCCTGGAGACAGAGCAAGACCTTATCTCCAAATAAATAAATAGATCAATAAAAAGAATAAAAGCAGAGTTGGGGAGAGATGTGCAGCAGCCTGGCATCGTACAGTATTCCTACCATGTGAATACAATACAGATCAACGGCCTCCGTAAAATGGAGTAAAATCAGGAAGCGTTGACTTCTAAATATTTATTACCTTGGTTTTTAATATAATTTAATAATAAGTTTATATTGTTTAATTTTTAGTAATGGTTGCATTTAACAACTAACTTGCAGAATTCCTGGAAACTTCATATTCGGCTCAGGTGATTTAACAAGCTGGCTCTGGCACACCAGTGGGGCAGCTGCAAAAATCCAGGAAAGAGATGCTCATGGCATGCACCAGGATGTGAGTTGGGAGGTGATGAAAAAAGGAAGGATTTGGGATATGTGTGTGTGTGTGTGTGTGTGTGTGTGTGTGTGTGTGTGTTTTGTTTTTTGAGACAGAGTCTTGCTCTGTTGCCCAGGCTGGAGTGCAGTGGTGCAATCTCAGCTCACTGCAACCTCCGCCTCCCGGGTTCAAGCAATTCTCGTGCCTCAGCCTCCAGAGTAGCTGGCGTTACAGCTGCCCACCACCACGCCCGGCTAATTTTTGTATTTTTAGTAGAAATGGGATTTTGTTATGTTGGCCAGGCTGGTCTCAAACTCCTGACCTCAAGTGATCCGCCCACCTCGGCCTCCCAAATCACTGGGATTACAGGCATGAGCCACCGTGCCCGGCCAGATTTTGGATATGTTATGAAGATAGAGCAGGGAGGATTTGCTGGTAGCCTGCATTTGGGATGGGGAGGAGGAGAGAGCTCAAAGGTGACTCACGGGGTTTTATTTTGTCTCACTCCCTGTCTTGGCTCCCCACGTCTCGTGGCGAACGAGCTTCTCTTTTCCTTCATGTGTGTCAAATCCTCCTTCTTCCTAAAATTAGCTCCAGCTCTACACTACAGGAGGCTTTGTGTCGTTTTCCTTTATATAAGAAAGGTTTTGAAAAAATTCTTGCTTTCCACCAAGGCATGTTTCTAAAACTATTTTTTTATTTGTGTAAAACAACATCCTTATTTTATTTAAATACATATGGGAGAAGAAAGAGAGATGTGAGGGGAAAGAAAGTGAAGGGGAAAAGGAGAAGTAGGAAGAAGAAGGGGAAGAGGAGAAGGAAGGAGAAAGGAGGAGAAGGAGGAAAGGGAAGAGGATGACGAGGAAAAAAGGAAGAGGAGGAGGAAAGACATACTGGAAGGGAGGGAAAGCAGACATTCCCTGGTGGCCCAGGACAGCAGCCAGGATGTATAAGCTCCAAGCCAGGAATGGGCCCTTTCACACTGGGCTCTATATTCTCATACATAATTTAAATCCGTTACAACAACGACGTATTGGTATTTGAATAATAAAAATCTATGGCCGGGCATGGTGGCTCACGCCTGTAATCCCAGCACTTTGGGAGGCCGAGGCAGGCAGATCACCTGAGATCAGGAGTTTGAGACCAGCCTGGGCAACATGGGGAAACCCCATCTCTTACTAAAAATATAAAAAATTAGCCAGGTGTGGGGGCAGGTGCCTGTAGTCCCAGCTACTTGGGAGACTGAGGCATGAGAATTGCTTGAACCCGGGAGGCGGAGGTTGTGGTGAGCCGAGATCATGCCACTGCACTCCAGTCTGAGCGACAGAGCAAGACTCTGTCTGAAATTTAAAAAACAAAAACCAAAAAACTAAAGAAACAGTGGGAGTCAAAAATAAAATATATTGTCACTAAATTCAGCTTTAAAGGAGGGAGAGATAAAGTCTTCTGAGGAGGAGGAGGGCCTGGCAGTGAAAGATGGGTCAGCAATGGTCCCTGAGCAGGCAGCATGGTGTCAGGTGTCAGGCATGGGACAGGAAGTTGGAAGACCCAAGTTCTACTCCAAAAGTCTCCCAGGCCGGAGAAACCTGGATCAACCCTTTAACAGTCTCTGCTTTGGGTGAGGAAATGCTCCTACGTAAAGTGGGAATAAAAATGCCACTTCCAGCAGGGCATGGTGTTGTGTACCTATAGTCCCAGCACTTTGGGAGGCTGATGCGGGAGGATCACTTGAGCTCAGGAGTTTGAAACCAGCCTGGGCAACAGAGCAAGACCATGTCTTAAAAAAAAAAAAAAAAAAAACCACTTTCATGCCTCAGATCATTGTATTGTGATGAGGATCACACGAGAGGACAAAAATAAAAATTGTGGAAGTCTTTTGAGAAGGATTTTGCACTTTACGCACATGAGCTTTTATGATAAATTGCTCGGGAGGTTGCCAAGAATTCATACAAAGAAACATGAACATCTTTCTAAGAAACTGGAAAATCCCAATGATAGTTCTTCATGTAATAGGGGTAGGACTGTTCCTCAGACTGGATGGAACCACCTAGACACGTCAGTGGCCTTCGGATAAGTCTTGAATCAATGTGATCTTTAGTCATTCTGACTCAGCGGACTTGACTTGGTACTTGACACACATGATGGAAAATAATTAGAGGGGACTTACCCATGGTCTAATGGGGAAAAGGAAGCTAAAATGATAATTTGAAGCTGGAAAACATTGATTGGCTTCCTCTCCCTTTCCAAAGCCTCCTCCCCAGAGCTCACTTCTTGGAGGACTGGATGGCAGGTGGAGATGGTGAACGGGGTCCTGGCCTACCTGGCAGAGCACTTAAATGGTCAGGGAGCATCAGCCCCCTTTGCTGGAGTCAGTCGAGTGTCCTTCAGCTCTGAGCGCTGCTGTGGGTTTTGAGCAGCCACGTGGCTCTCAGACGAGACATCTATTGACAACCTCAAAGGGCTCCTGCACTGATCAATAACAGCATGCCTCCCCTGCCTTCAGCTAAAAGCTAAAGAGACGGGCTGGTGCATATATGATCACTAGAATTTAATTATATATCACATTGATTTTTAATTAGAACTGTAGTGAGGACCTCCTCTATTAAAAAAAAATTCCAACTGGCAAATGGGTTTTACTCAATTTATCAAATAACTTGAAATGCACTGCTCCTTCTCACTTTTAAGCCTCTTGATGAGAAGGAAACCTGCTACGCAACCCCTGTCACGAGGGTGAAGACCTTGAAACCTGCTAGCATGTCTCGAACATTTTTATTCAAGTTCTGTGTTTTGGCATGTAAGCCAGACACCCAGAGGAGCAATGACAAGAGGCTTCCGTGTTATTTATAACTAAGTCCAATTAACACTGGAAAAGGTCCCATTGGCTCTGATCCTGTCTAATCTCTTTGAGAAGTAGGTCCAGTGACACAGCCTGGCTCTACAATCAGATCTAGCACCACACAGCTTGCCTCATCTGACCCCTGTTTTCCTGCAGAGCTAGGATGCCTCAAAGCTCTCCATGCACTTTCGCTTGGTTTTTCAAGGCTGCAAGGCAAGAGCTTTGCAAGCTGGAGGTAGACTACAGATCCAGAGCCACAACTTCATCCTTAGTAAAGGCCCTATCGGTGCTCACATTTGCAGAGAGTGCCTGAGAAACATGGGCGTTGTCCTCCAGAATCACCAGGTTTCTCTTCAAAGTTGCTCTGGGACCTAATGGAGTCACACAAGCTGGCTAGTTGCTCACTGTGCAAGGAAGAAGAGGCTCAGATGTCAGCACCAGTCAATACTGCTGACCAAGGCACATCCAGTCACACAGCGTAGCCAGGATTCCCTCCAGTGAGGAGCCTAATGGATGTGATCTATAGTCACAATAATATTAGTGTTACCTACATCCCAGGCACTGCACAAAACTCTTTGCACAGTTTGTCTTCTTTATCCGTAGTTCAGAACTGTGAGATGGATCTTCATTTTGCAAATAAGAAAACTATGACTTAGGCCGGGCGCAGTGGCTCACGCCTGTAATCCCAGCACTTTAGGAGGCCAAGGCAGGTGGATCACCTGAGGTTGAGAGTTTCAGACCAGCCTGACCAACACGGTGAAACTCTGTCTCTACTAAAAATACAAAATTAGCAGGGCGTGGTGGCGCATGCCTGTAATCCCAGCTACTCAGAAGGCTGAGGCAGGAGAATTGCTTGAACCCGGGAGGCAGAGGTTGCGGTGAGCCGAGATGGCGCCATTGCACTCCAGCCTGGGTGGCAAGAGAGAAACTCCATCTCAAAGAAAAGAAAAGAAAAAAAAGAAAAGAAAAGAAAACCATGACTTAGAGGGTGTGAGCAGTCTGCCCAAGCTCACACAGGTGGCAGCGCTAGGACTCAAGCTGCAAGGCTCTTGCTCTTATCCCCTCTTCTGTACCACCTCCTGCATCAATGGGTGTGTTCTGCCAGGCACGGCCCGCCACCTCCTCACACCTGCCAAGAACAGCCACGGGAACATGGCCAGCAGTGGTGAGAACAGAGCAGCCATTTCCTCACTTCCTCTCTGCTCACCCATCCCCCGAGCCCAGTCCGGTTCACTGCCCCACTTTCCTCATGGTGACTCATACTATACTGACATGAGAAAAATTGCCCTGCCTCCAAGCATTTTCTTGAGCTAGCTCTCTGCCCAAAATTTCCTTCTCTCTCCTCTCCACTAATTCATTCAACTCAGCCCATATTTATTGAGCTTCTACTGCATGCCAGGCGCCATGCTACATGCTGGGAATCTCGGACTAAAACATGATAAGCCATTGTCCTCACCCTAGCCAGGTAAACAGACTACTAGAAACAACGAGAGAAGCCTTATGACGACATAAGCAAAGGTAGATACTAAATAATATGGGAGAGATGGGCATGGATGGTTTCCTAAAAGACACCCATCCTTCTGAGCCCAGCCCAAATCCCATCTCTTGCTGTTATCATCTGTTTTTCTTCACTTCTCGTTCACCTCTCCTGGCCTTCCCCATGCTATGTTGCATCTCCTTTCGCATCCATCTGTCTTACTTAGCATCACAGGCAGACTAGTTCCAGACAAAAGAA
Organism: Homo sapiens; assembly: GCF_000001405.40. Classification (NCBI taxonomy): domain Eukaryota; kingdom Metazoa; phylum Chordata; class Mammalia; order Primates; family Hominidae; genus Homo; species Homo sapiens. The sequence continues at coordinate 28,984,039 of NC_000010.11, read as the reverse complement.
ACATTTCATAATTCTAAATCCTTCCAAGTACACAGAGTATTGCTTCATATGCAGGAGACTGAAAGAAGACTTTAAGTATAATTAACACACCCTCTCCAGACCAAATCTTAGTCTCGGAAATCCCAGTACAGATCATCACATACTGTAATCCCTCCATTCTGGCCTGGACAACTACTAACCTGTGTCCATCATTCTTTGGAATGAGCTCCTCTGCAGAGAAACCATGAACACATCCACTTCCCTGGAATCTGAGTACCAGAGAAACAACAGGTGTTACGGAGGCCAAATCCTGGCTTCCCAAGAGGGCCACGTGCTAATCCCTGGAATCTGTGAATGCATCTTAAAAGGCAAAGTCTGTAGATGTGATAAAGTCGACATCATAAAACGGAGAGATTATTCCAGATTATCTGGGTGGGCCCTACATGCAATAAAAAGTGTTCTAAGGGCTGGGTGCAGTGGCTCACGCCTGTAATCCCAGCACTTTGGAAGGCCGAGGCAGGCAGATCACCTGAGGTCAGGAGTTCGAGACCAGCCTGACCAACATGGGGAAACCCCATCTCTACTAAAAATACAAAATTAGCCAGGCTTGGTAGTGCATGCCTATAGTCCCAGCTACTTCAGAGGCTGAATCAGGAGAATCGCTTGAACCCGGGAGGCAGAGGTTGCAGTGAGCCAGGATCCCATCATTGCACTCCAGCATGGGCAACAAGAGCAAAACTCCTCCCCCCCCCCCCAAAAAAAAAGTGTTCTAAGAAGGAGGCAGAGGGAGATTTCCGACAGAAGAGGACAAGGAGGTGCGACCATGGAGACAGAGATTGGAGTAATGCGTTCACATGCCAAGGAATTCCAGCAGCCTTGCCAACTTTGATTTTGGCCAACAAGGACAGATTTTGGACTTCTGACCTCCTAAGCTACAAGAGAATAAACTTGGGTTGTTCTAAGCCACCAGGTGTGTGGTGGTGTGTTACAGCGGTCGTAGAAAACAATGCAATTGCTTTCAAGTGTCGTGAAAGACAGCAGCAGGTACATGAGCTCATGCTGGAAGATCCCAGGTGGCTTCCCCTCCTGCACTCGGGGAAGAAGGGAGCCTCTTCTTAGACTGGAGATTTGCCCTTCATGTGCTCCAAGGGACAGATTGTGGCTTTTTTTATGGGAAATGGCAAGGCTTTGGGTTGTGGGTCACTCTTTTCTTTCCTCCTCCTCCTCCTTCTTCTTCTTCTTTGTGAAATGGGGTCTTGTTAAGTTGCCCAGCCTGGTCTTGAACTCCTGGGTTCCCATGATCCTCTCATCTCAGCCTTCCAAGTAGGTGGGACTACAGGTGTGCACTACCATGCCCAATTTCTTCCTTACCTTCTTCCCCATATTTCCAGAAGTCTTTGATATAACAGAGTTTCTGAATTTTTTCACTGTATTTAAAGATAGTTCACCTAGTCAGAAAAAAATAAGCGTAAATCCTCTACCCAGAACTAAAGGAAATCAAAGCTCACTGAATGGAACCAAGCAAGAAAATGTGTTGAAAAACATGACCCACAACTTTTTCAATGTATACTTTGTGCTTCATCTCTTCATGCCCCTTTCTCCTGTCATGGATGTTGTCTGAGAAGGAGCTCTACAGTTTAGTGCTAAGACTTATTTGTGTACGGTCCAGTTGCTATAGGCTAATGCAGTAGAAGGAGTTGGAAAGAAGACAATATTGATGAAAATTCAGCAGGGTCTACGCAATTCTGTGCAAGTAGGATTTAAGGATTTTTACACCCTTAAAACAAAGGTAGTCTTAGTGCAATTTCTCCTGAAGTGGGTTCCTTCATTCCTTAGCCAGAGGTGATCTGATGCTCACTCTCGTGTTGTTGAAGAAACACTTAAAACATATGAGCCAAAAAATGCAATAGAATATATTCCTCCTATCGGGAGCATGGGAACTCTGTAATGGAGTGCTCTGCCAAGATCTTAATGAGACAAAAAAACCCTTAAGTGTTATAAAAATAAGAAATAAGAGGGCAGTGAATTTAGTTAATCCCATTGATTTCCTAATTCTTTGCCCTTATTCCCAAAGTATACATTTAGAAATGAGATGTAATTCTGGGAGTGATTTTCAACAGCCTCATAAAGGTGGGTAACTTGCACATTCTCTCTCCAGGTCTACCACCTACCACTGTAAAATATGGACAGAAGTGCATGTGGCTCTAGGGGAAACTTCCCAGGCACATATTTAATAAATGCAGTATTATGCTGTTGCGGGGGTGAGGGGTGGATAGAGCAACTGGAATGGGAGGTGTGGGGTAAAACTCTAAAGCTTCCATGCTTGGTTCCTTATCGCTGTCCTAGGCAATGAGTTAGCCAAGGGGAACTAGATGTGGTATCCTTAGTTATTCGATGGCATGGCAGCATAAAGCCACCATCAGTTTGCACCAACCCAATGTTTTTGAAAATATTAAAAATGCACACTTAGAATGTTCAAATCTGGTGTTATAGTAAAGTGGAGAGCGATTCCATTCAGATGAAAGTTACCCTAAAATTCATTGCAGGAGCTTCTGATGTGCACTATGTTATCAAGGCAGCAGGAGACGACACCAGTGTTCTTTTGTAACCCTCTTGCCTACAAGAAATATTAACTTTGTGTGTGTCTACTTTTCATGTTAAGCACCTTTCAATTTAGTCCATTTTCAGATACTACAAATAGCATTGTCATTGTCATCTTTGTGCATAGGAGCTGCTCTCCTGACTTTTCCTCTGCTTGTAGAGTATTTGAAACCAGATTTCAATGTCTAGCCCTTTCTCTGACTTCTGGTATCCCTCTTAGAAGTCATTTCTTTTCGGAGTACTTCTACTTTCTTATATGAGTTTAAAGGAACTGAAACTTCTTGCTCCCCTGGTCAAAGAAATTGCACAGATATCTAGAGTTATATACAGAAAACACCTAAATCGTCTCAAAAGATTAAGTACATCTCAAGGCATTTTTCCTTTTTCACTCAAGGTTCATAAATGTGAAGCTGGTTTTCATTTTACCAACTTTCGTCTACAATTAAGATGAAAAAAGGAAAATATCAACATCCCATAGGAAATGCTGAATTCCTGGATGTTGATCCTAAATATTCCCAGACAAGAATCTAGAAGAAAAGCAGTATATGAGTAGATCTTCACAGTCGAAACTCAGGCGATCTGGAGAGGTCCAGATAAAAACAGGCAGTATCAAGTCAATATCAAAAAAGCTGCAAAATCTTGAAGATTTCACAGTGACTAATGATTTAGGCAATTGTCAATATCAGCGGAATCTATTTGTCTCTAGAATAGGCCTAATTTTCATTCTTTTAAAAGAACTACTCTACTCCTCATTTATTCTCCACATTGATATACAGTAAACAAAATTTAGATATTACCCACATTGATGTTAGCCCTCTGTTTGTGGGTTTTCTCCTTGTTTTCAAATGTCTAAGCAGGTCTCTACCCTCTGATCCCAACAAACATCTTTTTGTTGGGAGATATCAAGAGAGTTTTACCTGCAACCAGGTAATGACTACTGGGAGGCTGTGGGTGGGAGATGAGTTATGAGCCCTCCTATGACATCTCCTGGGACACATATGATTGGTGGTGGGAGAAGCCAATCAATTACAACTCCAATCCATCATTTGAAGCCAGTTTAATACACAGGTACCTCATTTGTAACAATGCTGAACAATATATATTTTCAATTTTGAAAGAGCTTGTTCTCCCAGGAACATTGAACGCATTGCATGTGCTTTTTCTTGCTTGTTTGTTTGCCATTTTTTGCAATTCGTCTTTTAAAAAGGTGCATGTAGATCTTATTGTGATTTCCTTCCATACCAGACATGCATCACAAATTACTAATTTCATTAGTTTTCCAAAAATGAGGACAAATCCTTCATTGTATAGTAAGTACTAAAATCTTTAGGTCTATAAAGGGAATCTGGCCAAATTTCTTCCCCCAAGAACAGCTACTTTAAACCACAAGCTTCAGCTAAGAAACTTCCTGGCATCATTAGCACATTAATTAATAACCAAGAAGACATAAGAAGATTTATATATGATGTTTGCTCTTAAGTGTAATGTAATTCCCTGACTTCATAACCAAGATTTTTTCAAACCTGCGTATTGAAAGCAACAAAGAAAATACTATTCCTTTCTCCATTTACAAAGGAAAGCCTAGTTTTTCCTTTGTTTAACTATTAATGTTACTGACTGTAACCATGGCAACAATATAAAAAATAATTGAGATAATAATAAAAGGATGTTTTGTAAACTTTATTTTAATGAAGGACCATGAATTTCACAATAATACAGCTTATATGTTTATAAATGTGATCAGCCCTCAAATACAAACAAAACCCACCATTACAATCACTATCAGTGGGGGAATTTTAAATGACTGGAATGTTTTGCTAGATCTTACTTTGATTTCAAAGAAGCAAATCAGAAGGAAACAGTTTACTTTTGAGATTTTAAAGAAACCATATAAAATATGTCCACTTAATACACATTCATTTCATCTCTACTTCCCATATCTAGAGATCTATGGAGCAAGAAAGGACCTTTCAGGCCTTGTCAGTGCTTGAGTCATAAAAATAGATTCAGAAATGTTTATTTCTACTGACTTTTCCACTCTGGACTTTGGTGGGATTATTATGGTTCATGTAATTGTATTATTTTCAAAAAATTGTTAAACGTGATTGGCCTTTTGTAAGACTTTTTAATTAAATAAATTGACAATTTATGAAACATTCCCTTGTCAGAATACGAAAATTGGTTAATATGGTTATCACGGCAACAACAGGTGAGATAATTCAGGACAGGATAGCATTTACTCTAAGTCAAAAAGTAATCAAGGTTGTGGCCGGGCACAGTGGCTCATGCCTGTAATCCCAGCACTTTGGGAGGCCCAGGCGGGCAGATCACTTGAGTTCAGGAGTTTGAGACTAGCCTGGCCAACATGGTGAAACCCTGTCTCTACTAAAAATACTAAAATTAGCCGGCCATGGTGGTACACACCTGTGATCCCAGCTACTCGAGAGGCTGAGGCAGGAGAATCGCTTGCATCTGGGAGGCAGAGGTTGCAGTGAGCTAAGATAGCGCCACTATACTCCAGCCTGGGCAACAGAATGAGATTTCATCTCAAAAAAAAAGCAATCAAGATTGTGAGTTCAGCACGCACTAAAATTTCTCTGTCTGCTTCTACTGTATATAAATGCTTTCTATGCCAAATACGTAGACATTTTAGAAAATTATTAAATTGTCCCAAAGAAGAAAAAAAGTTGTACATTGTATTCAAAAGCAAGAAATAACCACCGCTATGGAGGAAGAATACAAATGCATTAACTCATGAACTAAACACAGCTAAAGTAGAAATGAGTGAATTAAAATGTGGAACAGAGGAAATACCCAGAACATAGCATAGAGAGATAAAAACATGAAAATTGTTTTTAAAATTAGTTAAAACACATGGAAAACAGGAGAATTTGATGAACAGACTTTCAGTAGGAGAGTATAGAAAGAATAAGGAGAGAAAACATTCAAATTTTTTGGGAAATTTCTAGGAAAAATGAAAGCTATAAATCAGAATGAAAATATCCACCAGGATTAATGAAGTTAAAATCTCCGTACATACCATGTTAAACTGCAAAATTTGCAGAATTTAAAACTGAAAATACTGTAAGTGATCAGAGAAAAAATTAGATTGCCCACAAAAGAAATATCACTAATAGACTTTTCATGAACAATAAAACAAAACCAAACCAAAAAAATGCCAGAAGAAAGCTAAGTACTATCTTAAAAACAGTTGAGGCAAAATAGCTATTAACTTGGAGTTCTGTTCCCGGACCATCTTTTAAGAATGAGAGCAAAATGGAAACATTTTCAGAGACATCAGGACCTAGGAAATATACTCTCTCAGATGTTTGCTGGAAGGACAGCTAAAGAATATACCTCCACAAGAAGACTGAATCCACAATAAAGAAATGTTTCTTTTTAAACATTTTTTTATTTAACTTTTATTTTAAGTTCAGGCGTACATGTGCAGGTCTGTTATATAGGTAAGCTTGTGTCACGGGGGTTTGTCGTACAGATTATTTCATCACCCAGGTATTAAGCCTTGTACTCATTAGTTATTATTTTTCCCCATCCTCTCCCTCCTACACTTCACCCTCTGAAAAAACCCCAGTGTGTGTTGTTTCCCTCTTTGTGTCCATGTGTTCTCATCATTTTGCTTGCATTTGTAAGTGAGAACATGCAGTATTTAGTTTTCTATTCCTCTGTTAGTTTGCTAAGGATAATGCCTCCAGCTCCACCCATGTTCCTGCAAAGGGCATAATCTTGTCATTTTTCCTGGCTGCGTAGTATTCCATGTTGTATATGTACAACATTTTCTTTATCCAGTCTACCACTGATGGGCATTTAGGTCGATTCCATGTCTTTGCTGTTGTAAATAGTGCTGCAATGAACATATGTGTGCATGTGTCTTTATGATAGAACAATTTCTACTCCTTTTGGTATATACCCAGTAATGGGATTGCTGGGTCGAGTGGTGTTTCTGTTTTAGGTCCTTGAGGAACAGAGGGCATAAGTTTCAAGGATCAAGACACAAATGCGGCAGAAACAGGATTCTAGTATTTCTTCCAACAGAGTTGTGAGTCGGGAAGTATTCCAAGATAACCCCAAATGTCCTTGCAATCCTATCATAATTAATAAATCCTAAAGCAGTAACAGAAAGAGGAAGACAAAAAAGAAAAGAAGAAAAGAAAGAGAAAAAATGTTGTGATTAAAATAAGCTTGAACTGAGACGTAGGTGTTAACATGGTGTTCAGATAAGGAGAGTGTTTGAAAATAGCACAGAATGTAACTATATTGCCATGTTACAGAGAATATAGACATTGGTGAATTTTAAGTTTTGAAAAAATATATAAGTATACACATTAAAACTTTATTAACACTAATAGACTAGAAATGCAATAAATAAATTTCATATCAGTAGAAAGAAATAAAAGAAATGAACGGACCGCATAGCTATACACCATCCTATGATGATAGTGGCCCTTGGGGTGCGGACTGGGAACACTAGGGTTGGAGGCTAAAGAGGATTTTAGTTTTAACTCTAATGCTTTATTGCCTTAAAAAAATACTTCAAGCACATATGACAAAATTTGAAAAGTTAATATTTCTAGGTGTTAACATTTCTAGGAATATAGGTTTTTGTTACATCATCCTTTATACTTTCTCAAATTAAAATACCACAAGCAAATAGGACAAAATTTGAAAAGTTAATATTTCTAGGTGTTACCATTTCTAGGAATATGGGTTTTTGTTACATTATCCTTTATACTTTCCCATATTTTTATTTTATTTCCCATTACCCTTTATACTTTCCCATATTTATTCAAAACAAAAAAATGGAAAGCTTCTGTGCTTATTCTGAGCTGTTATCCAAGTGTGGGTAGAACATGAATGAACTCCAAAGCAGTCCAGGTTCAAGTCCATGAAGTCTAGCAGATGAGCTCAGCTCCCGTCCGGAGCAGACACAGGGCTGTAATGCATCCCCCATCTGTTGTGTACAGGTGAGAAAAATTCTTAATGGAAGAGAACTCCAGTGAACTTAAAGGGTCATTGCCTTTTAAACACTAGTAGTTTATAAAAGCCCCATTATCTTATGCTCTCTGTTGGTTTGAATTACTCGTTCCTGGCTTCAGTGTGCAAGCAGTGGAACAAAGATATCAATATAGAAACTGCCATAGCCGGGGGTCAGCAGGGGGTTACCCAATTAGAGAACCCTTAAGAAACCACAGAAAAGAAAATAACTTCTCTGTCATAATAAGGACCCTCTCCACGGGAGATGGAACAATCACTCTGTGTGTTAGTTTTCTCTTGCAGTGGGTGAATCATGGAGCACAATGAGAAACAGTAGATTGTCTTCTGTGAATGATGGACCCTGGCGGCGGGTTGCCCATGGGATTAGTTGTTCCCTGGTACAGCTGTTAGCACTCCACCCACGCATAAGGGAAAAGGAGTTAGAAAAGACAACACAAAGGGCAAATCAGTGAATGGGCTGTGTTTGCATTTCTCTCAACGGACATTTACATGAGAAGCATTCTCAAATGAGCTGCATGCTCTTGGAATATAGCAAGATCACGCTTATTGGCTTAAGGAAGTCCTGTAAATATCCTCCTCATTCTTCAATGGTGGATCTTAGTCTCACTGGTCAGAAGGCTTCCTCTTTATTGCAGAGTCAGGAATGGCTCAGGGCAGGCACTAGATATGGATATTGATGCTACAGTCTCTACCAAAGATGGCAAAAGCCCAACTCAGGCAGTGGCAGTGGGGATAGAGAATAGGCTATAGATCTCAGAGAAGTTTTAGGGGTAGAATCATAGGAATTCGTGGCTGGTTACCTGCGCAGGAGTTGTGAGTCGGGAAGTATTCCAAGATAACCCCAAACTTTCTTGCAATCCTATCAATTGACTTAGGAAATAAGAAATAGAAGTGCTAAAGGAGAGATGGGGGTGGCAGGCAGGACAATTAGATGAAGTCTTGGAGACGTTGAGGAACATATGGACCTTTGTGGGGTAGATCCGGTAAGGAACTGGAAATGTGCAACCGGAGGTTACGTAGAGATCAGGAGATGGCAATTTAGAAATCACAGGTGCAGTGCTGGCAGCTGATTCGCAGGTGTGGGCGGGACTGGCAAAGGTAGCATATGATGTGAGAGTCCTCCAGTCAAAGACTTCTCACAGCCATGGGGGTTTCACGGAGTAGCTTCCTGAAAGGGACTGTGAGAATGGTAAGCAGGTGAGACCCCAGCCCCCATTTAAGTATAGATCAGCACTTTCTCATTTCCAAAGTAAGATCTCTACAATAGGTTTCAAATGAAGAGAGGATCCTATGGCTCAAAAATTTTTCTGAAAACCCTTGCTCTTGTTCACAGATTGGCTGAGGCTCATTAAACTTCTCCAGTGAGGAAAGGAAACACTTATACACTGCTGGTGGGAATGTGAATTAGTTCAGCGACTGTGGAAAGCAGTCAGGAGATTTTTCAAAGAACGTAAAATAGAGCTACCATTTGACCCAACAATCCCATTGCCAGGTATATACTCAAAGGAATATAAATCACTCTACCATAAAGACACAGGCACACATATGATCACTGCGGCTCTATTCACAACAGCAAAGACACAGAATCAACCTAGGTGCCCATTAATGGTGGATTGGATAAAGAAAATGTGGTACAGGCCGGGCTTGGTGGCTCACACCTGTAATCTCAGTACTTTGGGAGGCCAAGGTGGGCAGATCACAAGGTCAGGAGATCCAGACCATCCTGGCTAACATAGTGAAACCCCGTCTCTACTAAAAATACAAAAAGAAATTAGCCAGGCGTGGTGGCGGGTGCCTGTAGTCCCAGCTACTCGGGAGGCTGAGGCAGGAGAATGGTGTGAACCCGGGAGGCGGAGCTTGCAGTGAGCCGAGATCACGCCACTGTACTCCAGCCTGGGCAACAGAGTGAGACTGCATCTAAAAAAAACAGAAAACGTGGTACCTATACACCATGGAATACTATGCAGCCATAAAGAATGAGATCATGGCCTTTGCAGCAACATGGTTGGTACTGGAAACCCTAATCCTGAGTGAATTAACACAGAAACAGAAAACCAAATACTGCGTGTTTTCACTTATAAGTGGGAGCTAAACAGGGAGTACCCATGGACATAAAGAAGGGAACAATAGACACTGGGGCTTATCTGAGGGTGCAGAATGGGAGAAGAGTGAAGATCAAAAAACTACCTGTCAGTTATTATGCTGATTACCTGGGTGACCAAATTATATATACGCCAAACCCCTACAACATGCAATCTACCCATGTAACAAACCTGCACATGTACCCCTTGAACCTGAAGGTTGGGAAGAAAAAAAAACTCCAGTGGAACAGGCTTTGGGGTTGGCAGCTCTAGCCCTGGTGGAGCGCAGCTGGTAGGACCCCAGGGGCCAAGGTAGGCAGGGAGGTGAGGTCGTCACAGGTGGTCTATCAGTAAGCCCACACTGGGATGGGGAGGATGAGGAGGCTTAGAGGAAGTCGGGTCCTGGCCAGGAAGATCTCGGGGTGAGATCGGTTAAGCAGGCTAAAGGCGTAGTGAAGCACAAGCAGCCACGTCCATTTCGGGGAAAGTCCGATTGAGAACATCCCAAAGTATGAGGCTTGATAAATGGGTGGGTGGAAGTTTGTCCTCAAACAGGAAGCATGTGCCATGTTTGGCACTGTTTGAGGAGACAGGGACAGCAGCTTTAAGACCGAGCTATGTAACGGAGTCCTTTCTTACTCCACGGCTGAGGGGGTCATTGCCCAGGGTTGCATCATTTAAAGGACTCTGAGAATGTCACTTGGACAGGAGATTAAGCTTTTACCCACTGCCTCTAATCATGAAACAAAAGTGCAAATACCCCTCCCTTACACTTAACTTACATTTGAAATAAAAATACCTGAGGCCAGCATGGTGGCTCATACCTGTAATCCCAACGCTTTGGGAGGCTGAGGAGGGAGGACTGCTTGAGGCCAAAAGTTCAAGACCAGCCTGGGCAACAGAGTGAGATCTCATCTTTACAAAAAAAAATGTTAAAATTAGCCAGGCGTGGTGGCAGGCACCTGTAGTCCCAGCAACATGGGAGGATGAGGTGGGAGGAAGGCTTGAGCCCAGAAGTTGGAGGCTGCAGTGAGCTGTGATTGTGCCACTGCACTCCAGCCTCGGTAACAGGGCAAGACCCTATCTCTAAAACAAATAAATAAAAAAATAAAAATGGCCAATTATGAAAGGGACAGGAAAACTAAAGCGAGTTAGAATCAAACCTTGTCATAAAATTGCAGAACTCATGGGATCGTCTTTGATCTGGGAACATTCAAGGGTGCTAGAAGTTAAAAGGCGGGAGAGCTGAGACTGCTGAAAGGCCAGTGGATTGGGGCTGGAGTTGGGAAGACAAACTGTTTCTGCTGCGTTTGTGTTCTGACCCAGCCCAATAGCACCAACTTCATAATTGGGACTACAAACCTCTTCTAAGTCAGAGTCCCAGAGTTCAGTGTGAAACCTCCCTTCCCACTCACATTTCCTGACCCTCTTCCTTTCCTGTTTGGAAAGCTCTGAGGTTAGCAAACATGCCTTTCAGTCTGTTGCATGCAGTTGCCCCCTGCATTCCTCCATCTGCTCCCACCTCTCTACCTGGCCACTCACCTGAGCTCTCTGCAATTTCCACCACAAAGATGGCTCCAGTGCTCCAGGCAATGAGAACCCCATTCTTTCTGGACTGAACTTCAAACATCTCTTTTTTAATCTTCCTCTGCCCAGGATGATTTATTTTCCCTATCCTTTGTCTTTTATGAACCCCTCTTAAGAATATCCCTGTAAGCTAGGTCTTGGCATTTTTAAATCCTTTTTCTAAAAGAATAGGTGGGGGGAAGGACTTTACAAGCCACGAATATGATACCTTCAATGTCATCAAAACACCAGATTCATCAACCTTTCAAGTCTCCTAGAAAGAAATACCCGGGCAACCTTAATATTCCATTCCAAAGCTTAACAACTTTTATCCTAATCTGTCTCTCTTTTCATTATTTCTACATTTCAACTTTTCTGATATTGTTGGGATCCAATTCGTGTACCCCCAAAACCATTATCATTTTGGTCTTTAAAGTCTTTGTCTCAATACTTTATACTAAAAAATGCAATATAAAAATTAATTACCTTGTGTCATGGGAAGCCAGCCATTTAAAGTGTTGTCAACCTGCATTATTACCATGAGCATGACAATAAAGTTTAAGATGAATCATGTAAAGCAAAATTGGAAATGTACTCAGATGAAAGAGCCAGCAGGAGTTACAACCAAGCCTTGCAATGAAGGCATTGAACAGATGACGACATTCTAAAATTCCCATTTGTTTTTGACCAGATGCAATTGGAAATAATGATAGGTCTATGTAAATTCAACCCGAGTTCTTTTTTCATTTCAGCTTACATGATGATAGATCCTAAGATGCACATATCTTCTGCCTCTGCAAATATTCAAGAAGCAAGAAAGAACATTCGAAAGTGGCCTTTGCACCCTAATGATACATCTCTCCCCAGCATCTGTCATCAAGAATGATACTTGCCAACTCCTTTTCGTAGACATCAGAAAGGAGCATTTTGCTAATGAGAATATGTTATATGACTGCAAAGGAAATATACTCTTCATGACTGTTGGAAGAAATACTAGAATCAAAGTCAGGAAATCCGAGTCTTAATCCTGGCTCTGTCGTAAGAAGACTTTGGTCAAATCACGTAAGCCAGTCTGTGTTCACTTTCTTCATCTGACAAAAGGTAATATTTTAAAAAGCAAACAAGACAAAACAAAACAAAAAATACTTGCCCATCTATCTTATGGATTTACTGCGAACATGTCTTGAGAAGTATAAGGTATCCTAGCTGATTCTTACTCTCATTATTGTTTATAGCTTTCCGGCCTTATTCACCTAAACAGATTACATGAAGTTGCCTCACCTCCTCCCCTAAAAAGGGCAGTGCCATAAATTTAATATATGTAAAAACAATCTGCCCTGACATGACTGAACAGGAATTAGACGTTGAACTGATTTAGAATTCACTGTTCTCTCTGACTGTAAACCCTGTAATTAGAGTGAGCTATAAACCATGGTGCAGTGTAATTCCTAGGAGCATTCTAGCAAATAGTATAGAATTTTAGGGGGAAGAGTCATCGGAGATCATCGCGTCCAACCTTTCATTTTACAGATAGCAAAACTAAGGCCTGGGAAGGTTAAGAAGCAGCAGTTAACGATGATGTTGGACTTGGATCCAGATTCCTGATTCCTTGCCTTGTGGACTTTCTTGTTGAAAAGCTACCCATTGACCTCCCATAATTCAGTTGAACTGATGTGTTGCGTCAAATACCCATTTAGAGATTTCTATCACAGCTAGTGTTTCTTTCTGCCAACACAGGCCTGTCACATAATAGTGGCAGGAATTCCTCTTTTGTTATTGGCTTCCATTATAAAACTAGAGAAATGTTTTCCTGGAAAGGTCTTCCTGGTACGTTGAGTTGCTGATGTCTCCCCAGTGATACTATCTGTTCCTTGGAGGCAGACACAGTGGTGCATGGAAAAGACCACAGGTTTGGACTTAGAAGAAAAGCCTTGGAACTGGGTCTTGGTTCTAAGTCTTTGTAGTCGAGATCTTCGGGGAAAACTTGGTCTTATTCGGAGCAAATTTTCTCCTCTGGGGAATGAAATAACAATTCTGAAAACACTTTGTAAATTATAAAGTATGGTATAAATACTGGTGATTATTGCCTTCGAAGCCCAACAAAACACAGTGTGTGGCAAGCTGCAAAATTGACACTTGTTTAAAAAAAATTTGGTCCCAAATTACACAACTCGATGGTTTGGTAGGCATTGTGGGAAACCAGCAGACTATTGGTATCCACGTAAGAGTTTTTTTCTCCTTTCTTATATTTTGAATCTCTCCTCGGATTCTAACTTACCCCATTTCCATCTCTGACTCACTAGAATTTTTTCTGTGCCCTGCCATGACCTGGCTTCCTATTTTCAGTAACCAAGATTTGCTCGTTACTCAAAGCTCACTTGAGGAGGTCCTGCACATATAGAACAATATACTAAGGGAATGGTGCCATGTTGGACTGTTCGTTTTTCTTTGGCTTGGCAGTAACAGAAACTTAATTCAAACCCTCTTAAGCAAAATGGATGACTCACTAAAATGATACTAAGACAGCTCACAAAATTTAAAGTAAAACCGAATAACCAGGAATGGGGACTAATATGTCTCCTGTCCCAGGGTTCACCTAGCTTCTCTCACTGAGTTGGCCTAATTCTCTCTCACTGCGGGCAAGTCCCCTCCACATCATAGGAGATGGCCATGGCATGTCACTTTGTGACTGCAGAAACATCAGCTATGGTTTGAGAAATTTTAGAGCAGGACTCAAATTAGCCTAGCTGAGGTCTGATGTTGAGGGAATAAGCTCAGGTTCTATGAAACAAGCCTGGGCATGCAACTCAAGTGGACCTTTTTAACCTCCAACCAAAATAATTGGTTCAAAGAAGGGTCAGACATGGTTGCTCACACCTGTAATCCCAGCACTTTGGGAGGCAGAGGTGGGTGGATCACGAGGTCAAGAGATTCAGACCATCCTGGCCAACATGGTGAAACCCCATCTCTACTAAAAATACAAAAACTAGCTGGGTGTGGTGGCACACGCCTATAGTCCCAGCTACTCGGGAGGCTATGGCAGAAGAATTGCTTGAACATAGGAGGCAGATGTTGCAGTGAGCTGAGATTGTGCCACTGAACTCCAGCCTGGCGACAGAGTGAGACTCCATCTCAAAAAATAAAAAGGCTGTATCCTTTCAAAAGAAGTGCACAATTTCTGCTGACCTGTCAGAAAAAAAGATTGATGTATACCACAATTTCTATGGCCTCATTTTTCGCCTCTAAAAACAGAGCTCTTTACTAAACAAATAACATATAATCACTAAAGATCAATACCTCCAATCTGATGATTGAAAAAAATAAAAGTACCTACTTATAATAAATTATTTTTGAATGAATCTTCTATCATATCAATAACTCTTAGCAATCTAACAGCTATGCTGTACAACCATATTGGGGTACATTGCTTTGGAAGAGTCATGGCACGTGTAATACTTTTTCTTCCACCTCGTTTGCCTCTTGCATACCTGAGTCCTCCTGCATCCAGTGAATCCAACAGACATCTGAAGGTTTAGTTATAGTTCTAAGGCTGCTCATAGAGCTATAACTGAAGTCCTTGCAGGCAGTTTCTCCTTGTACTAACAGAGTTGACTTTGACTTTTCTCCAGAGCAGAGACTCTCGAGCTTTCACACGCATAAAAATTACCCGGACAATGTGCTGAAATATGGGTCCCCTCACCAGTGGTTCCCAAGCCTTTCTGTTCATCAGAATTAACTAGGAAACTGTGAAGTATTTTGGAGGCCAAGCTGCATCCCAGATTCATGAAATCCCAGTCTCTGGGGTTGGCGCACAGGCGCCAGGAGTTTCTGATGTTCACCAGGCACTTCCAATGTTCAGACAAGTTTGGGAACCTGGTATGGTTTGGCTCTGTGTCCCCACCCAAATCTCACCTCGAATTGTAATCCCTAAGTGTCAGGGACCTGGTAGGAGGTGATGGGACCATGGGTATAATTTCCCCCATGCTGTTCTTGTGATAGTGAGTGAGTTCTCATGAGAGTTGATGGTTTTAAAATGTTTGGCAGTTCCCCCTTTGCTCTCTCTCTCCTGCCACCATGTGAAGAAGATGCTTGCTTCCCTCCAACTTCCACCACGATCGTAAGTTTCTTGAGGCCTCCCCAGCCATGCAGAACTGTGAGTCAATTAAATTCCTTTCTTTATAAATTACCCAGTCTCAGGTAGTATCTTTATATAATAGCAGTGTGAAAACGGACTAATACAGACCTCCTGCCCTAGCTCTGACTGACTGTACATTGGAGCCACCTGAACAGTTTAATGAAACGAAAGTGCCTGGGACACAGCCTAAACCTAAAGCTTAATTCCAATCTGGGTGGAGGGAGAATGGGGTTATTTATTGGACATGAACATTGTTTTAAGCTCCACAGCTGATTAGTCTTCACCCTCCACTAGAGACTATGATTGGGTCTGGGGTAGAGCCCAGATAGCTGCATTTTATTAAGCACTCCCCTCTGTCCCCCCCGTGATTCTGACTCAGGGGTCTACACCTCACTTTGAGTATCATTTCACTTAGACTATGGCTGCACAAGCAAACAAACAGCACTAGCGTCTCCCTGGAGTTCATCACAAATGCAGAACCTCAGGCCCCACCCCAGCCCCCACCACCTGAATCAGAATCTGTATCCAATTTGAGCTTAAATATCCGGTCTAGAGGTGTTCCTGAATACCGGTTGCACATTGGAATTATCTGGAGCTTTAAAAAATGTGGAAGCAGGATCCCACTGTGACAGGCTTTGATCTAATAGGTTGGCGGCATTGCACCTGGATTTTTTTTTTTTTTTTGAGACAGAGTCTCACTCTGTCTCCCAGGATGGAGTGCAGTGGTACGATCTCAGCTCACTACATGCAACCTCCTCCTCCTGGGTTCAAGCGATTCTCCTGCCTCAGTCTCCCAAGTAATTGGGATTATAGACGCACACATCCATGCCCAGCTAATTTTTGTATTTTTAGGAGAGATGGAGTTTCACCATGTTGGCCAGGCTGGTCTCGAACTTATGACCTCAAGTGATCCACCCGCCTCGGCCTCCCAAAGTGCTGAGATTACAGGCGTGAGCCACTGCGCCCAGTCGGCACCTGGATTTTTTAAAGCAGCCAAAGTTGAGAACACTTCTAGAAACTCTGCTGTCGTTCATTTAATGATTATTCAGTTCTTTTCGTTGGGCTTAAAGATTTCAGTTACATCATTGACCCCTTTAGATCACATTGGAAAATTTCAGATCAGTCACGATAAGTCAGTGTCACGGCTTGAACTTGTCTGAGTTCATAACAGCAAAGCGTGCAGCTAATGCTAATGAAAAAAAATGTTTCAACTAAGGGTTTTTCTGTTCACGTACAGTTATTCCCTCATTTCTGACCTGTTTTAAAGATTATTTCCTTTTTTCATTACATACACATGTAAAAGTCTTAAGTAATAAAGCATAAAAGGCCCTAAGTACAAAAGTTTATGGGGATTTTTTTGTAATATATTCCGAAGTTCAAATTCAGTCTCCTGAAAAATGACATAAGGGCCTACTCATGAGACAGAACTAATGAGAAGGGCTTATCTTGTCTCCTGTTTACTTTGTAATAGTAATGTAATTTGTAATGATGATAAGATTCCTGAAGGATGCCATTAGAGCTGAACAAGGGTTGAGATCTGAAACTGGACACATCAGTCCAATGCCCAGCATGTAGTAGGTGCTCAGTGAATGAACATTTATTTCTTCTCAAAACCCTCTCAGCCCTATGCCCGTGTCTCTTATGATATATATCCTTTTCAGCCTGAATCTCTGTCTTGGCATCATCTTATTCTGCCCTTCTAGACTTAGATTGTAGGTTTCTTTTTTGCTGTTTGGATGGGTTTTTTTGGGAGGGAGGAGGGGACAGGGTCTCACTTTGTCTCTCAGGCTGGAGTGAAGTGCTGTGATTATAGCTCACTGCAGCCTTAACCTCCTGGGCTCAAGCAATCCTTCTGCCTCAGCCTCCCAAGTATCTGGGACTACATATTTGCCCCACCATGCCAGCTTATTTATTTATTTATTTATTTAAAGAATCTTGCTCTATCACCCAGGCTGGGGTGCAGTGGCACAAGCTTAGCTCACTGCAACCTCTGCCTCCTGGTTCAAGCGATTCTCCTGCCTCAGCCTCCCAAGTAGCTTGAATTACAGGTGCCTGCCACCACGCTCAGCTAATTTTTTTGTATTTTTAGTAGAGACCAGGTTTCACCATGTTGGTCAGGCTGGTTTTGAATTCCTGACCTCAAGTGATCTGCTTGCCTCGGCCTCCCAAAGGGCCAGGGTTACAGGTGTGAGCCACCACACCTGGCCAATTTTTTTAAATGTTTTTGTAGAGATGGGATCTTGCCCTGTTGCCCAGGCTAGTCTGAAACTCCTGGGCTCAAGACAGCCTTCCACCTTGGCCTTCCAAAGTGCTGGGATTAGAGGTGTGAGCCACCATGCCCAGCTGAGATTGTAGATTTCTTTTGAATGGAGAACATGTCTTATTTATCAATCCCACCTTTTATGCCAGAATACTACATAGCATAGAAATCAACCAATTGCATGTGTGGATAGGTCATAAGTGGATGAGATATTCCTTTGCACGATTTTCCTTGACAGGTAAGCTGTCATCTTCCTCATAGAGGTATTCAGACTGAGTTTTCTCAATTTATCTTCATCAGTCCCTGCTGAGTCAATCTTATTGAGCATCTCTTTAACTTGTCAATTCTGATCTAAGCCAGGGAATTCTGCTATGTGTGCAGCTACAGCCAGACTTCAGACATCTGAATGGCCTTGGTCTTTTTATAGTTTTTCGCATGGCAAATAGACTCAGGCTTCCGCAGACTTGCTGATACGGAGCGAGGTAAATCAATTTCCACCATGCCAGGTACTGAGGCTGAGGCTTCAGGACCACACTGCTGGACACAGAAACTTCCTCATCTTTTCTCTCATTCCAAACTTAGAATAACACTGGCTGTCTTACAGGACACCAGGAAGACTGCAAAGATCTTAACCCTGGTCTCAGGACAGACTATAGAATAAGCATCTGAGAGAAGAAATGGAGAGAGTGGGATTATTTTCCCTCTAAGAAAAGAAAGGATGATGTAGAAAGCAGGTAGTATAGGAAGAAGCAATCTCAGATAACAGAAATACAGTCACGTTTGTGTTGAAATAACTTTTCTAAGCTTATTGGGATCCTCTAGAATAATGAACTTTTTGTGACCTCCCCATCTATCATGTAGGTGGTGATTATACCACATCCCCTAACAGGAAGATGTTGACTCTGCTTCCAAGGCAAACCAGTTATGAAATACCGCCATAGCCACATTCTTGGTCCATTCTACAGTGCAATTCAACAACTGGGTTCAAACCCTTGGTGTGACAAAAAAAAAAAAAAAAAAAAAATAAAGATAAGTGGAAAAGAAAGATCGTTGATTTTTTAGACCAAAAGGAAACTAAGTTAGCTATTTCTAATTTCTCTGTGAAACACTGGTTTCCTCTTACTCCCTCAAAAACAATTGGTGTTTCTCTAGATAATGCAATTATTTATAGGCTTCTACTGAATCTTTTATATTATCCTTTTCTTAGACTTCCAGGGCAGGCACAACTGGGCAAATAGTAAAAAAGTTTATTTTATTTTTTTTTTACCTTGATTAAGTAGATTGTATGCATACATGTATTTAAAACAAAAATAAGTAAGAGAATGATAAAATGCATGACTTGAATCCTGGCTACTCTTGATGGGGGAGGCAAGAGGAGGGGAGAGAGGAGGGGCATACAGGCAAACAAAAGTTACAGATATTACTCCGGGCTTGAGTATGAGCAGGCAGTTCACGGGGCTTCACCATATTACTATAAATAAATAACCTGTAATCCCAACACTGTGGGAGGCTAAGGCAGGAGGATCTCTTGAGCCCAGGAGTTCCAGATCAGCCTGGGCAACATGGCAAAACCCCATCTCTACTAAAAATACAAACAAAGAAAAAACTTAGCCTGGTGTGGTGGTGCCCGCCTGTAGTCCAACTACTTGGGAGGCTGAGGAGGGAGAATCGCTTGAGCCCAGGAGGTTGAGGCTGCAGTGAGCTGTGATTGCACCACTGCACTTCAGCCTGGATGACAGAGCAAGACCCTGTCTCAAAAGTAAATAAATAAATAACAAAAACAAGTATTACAAAAACTATATTTCTCATTGTTCTACTTCTGCCTTGTAGGCAGTTGCATTGGTAAGTTTATTCTGTAAGCTATTTAACTTCTGACATTTTCCCCATTGATCTTCTTCCACAAGTCCAAGTGAGTAAATGGAGTCAAAGCCCACTTGGAGGCCCAGCAGCCCTCTGCTTTCTCACCCATGCCTGAATGTGTGATGACCCCTGAACTGGGCTCCTGTGCTATGAAGCTTGCCCGACAGTGGGAAAATCTCCAAGTGTGGTTCTTATGCCAGCTCTCCTTTACCAGTGAGCCAAGCTGCTAGGAGGAAGTTATGCTACTCTTTCTTATGTATATTGCACATCAGGCTCACTATGCGCTGGTTACTTGCCCAAGTCTGCTGAGACAGAACACTCACACACGCAAGTTACATGAAGTGAATTTATTACTTAGGCAGCAAGGGACAACAGAACCCTGGAATTCACGATGAGCCTGTGCCTCCCTAAGTCTCAGGAAAATTGCCCATGGCAGATGGAGTTTCATCTGTGTATGCCCCAATTGCATCGCAGCTGAGGGACCCGAAAAAGCATCCTGCCCTGAGTTTTATACCCTGTGGTTACAGGACTCATTAAGCTAAACCATTGAAGGGACATCCTTTTTCTAGGAGAGGCTGGAACAGAGCCCAGGCTGTTCCAGTCAGCTCCCCCTTATCTCAAGATATTGCATTCCCAGCACACTCATCAGTTATTATTGAGAACAAGTAAGAAATGGGAAGAAATGGGTTAGTCCAAGGCCCCCAGAGAACTGTCTTACATATATCTTTTTAAGAAATCTTTCACAAAGGAGTGGTTCTATAGGTGGATATGGGCATTCCTGGGGCTAGCTGTAATACCATGAAACACTGTAGAAGCCTTCTCAACCAACCTGTTTGATCAACTCCAGAAACATATCTGGTGCCCTGTAAGACAAACAGAACAATGGCCTGGGCTCCCAGAATGCTAAAGGTGATGCCTGGCCTCTTCTCCTGCTAACTGTTGACTTATTTGCTTACTCGGAGTTACTTAATACCTTGTGATAACAGTCATAGTCATATAATTATGAGATTTAATTTTGAGTTAAGTAAATTGATGAAAACAAATATCAGAAGAGGGTTGTTTCTATAAACCTAGGTTGAGTGTTTTGGAAAGCTAGATAAATGTGAGTTGCAAAAATGAATCAAATTAGGCAAGGGTTAGACAACTAAAAATTACTGGGTAGGAAATTCTTCAAATCTATGAGGAGTCTGCACTCTAGTTTCTTTGTGCTTGTCCTCAGTTTTATTCTAGTTTAAAGAGAGCAAAACTAGAGATAAAGCATGCTGCTTTACAGGAATGGGTTTTGTGAGGAAGAGAAAAAGGAACCCTAAGTAGAGGCCCTATAATTGGAGTAAAAGCCCTCAATCTGGCATCAAAAGCTTGGCAAATGAATATATATTTATACATGTCAAGTTCAAATTGTCTTAAAATATATATATGTGTTCATCCATTTTCATGCTGCTGATAAAGACATACCCAAGACTGGGAAATTTACAAAAGAAAGAGATTTCTTGGACTCACAGCTCCACGTGGCTACAGAGGCCTCACAATCATGGTGGAAGGCAAAGAGGAGAAAGTCATGTTTTACATGGATGGCAGCAGGCAAAGAGAGAGCTTGCACAGGAAGACTCCCATTTTTAAAACCATCAGATCTCGGGAGACTCATTCACTGTCACGAGAACAGCTAGGGAAAAACTTGCCCCCATAATTCAATCACCTCCCATTGGGTTCCACCCACGATGTGTGGGAATTGTGGGAATTACAATTCAAGATGAGATTTGGGTGAGGACACAGCCAAACCATATGAATATGTAACATTTTTAATGTTTCTTTGTTCCATATTATTATCCTTATTTTTAGTAACTGACCCACTTATAGTTTCAATTATATTGGCTAAGAAGCTTTCTCCTGTGCTACCAAAACTCACCCCCAGGACATAAAATTGTTAAATATCTGGGAAGGTAAGCAACAACAATGAAACACAAGTTTTCATCATTCTCTCCTTTGTCCTTTATTAATTTGTTTGAGTGAAGACTTAAGAGGCAGGACAGTACTTATTTAAGTACTGACCTTACCAAGAGCAGCCCTTGATCAAATTACACATGATACTCATCAAAACTTTTAATAAAGTTTTTTTTATTAACTCTACAAAATAGGAATGCTTCATTATATGACTATATTTAAAAAAAAAAAAAGGCAAAGAATACAGATAAAGCTAAGTTCCTGTGATCACACCAAACCCCATCCTAGTTCGCTTATAATCAATTTGGTAAGTACCCTTTCTGACCTCTTCCTATACTTTTACATATTTACATATATGTCTGTCTTAGTCGATTCAGGCTGCTACAGTAAAATACCTTAGACTGGATAATTTATAAAAGAAACAAAGATGTATTGCTCATAGTCTGGAGTCTGAGAAGTCCAAGGTCAAGGTGCCAGCAGATGGAGTCTGGTGAGGGTCCATTTGTCGTAGACGACAACTTTCTGCTTTATTCTCACATGGCGGAAGAGGTGAACAAGCTCCCTGAAGCCTCTTTTATAAGGGCACTAATCTCTTTCATGAAGGTGAGACTTTCAGGACCTAATAACTTCCCAAAGGCCGCACTTTCTAACACCATCACATTGGTGATTAAGTTTTAACATATACATTTCAGGGGACCCAAACATTCCAACTGTAGCACTGTCTATGTAAATGTATACTCATGTTTTATGCTTTCTGTTTTATTTTACATAAATAGTTTCTTATTACTTATTGTTCTTCAACTTAATGTTTTACACTCATCAACATATGTTGGGGATATTTTTGTAGCATTAGTTTATTTCCACAGTGGCCGTTTTTGTTGCTGTCAATCTTTTATTAATATAAACAATGCTGCAGTGAGCTTCTTTGTGATTCCTTGTGCACGTGTGTAGAAATTTCTTAGGGTAGGATACTAATGAGTGGAATTGTTAAGCCTTGAGTATGCACATATTACATTTTAATTGATAATGCCAAATAATTCTCCTAAGAGGCTGTACTAGTTTGCACTCCCATTGCTTCGCACATCTGTTCCAGTTTAATATAGAAATGACTTTTCAACTTTAACCAAACTTAGTATATGAAAAATTGTATCTCATTAGTTTAATCATTTACATAATTGGCTTTCAGATTCCCATATCTTCCTAAAATTGCCTCATCCTCCTCTTTTCATTTTTATACTGATTTTATTCTCATTTTGTTCTTATTGACATGTCAAAATTCTTGGAAGTAATACTTTGTCTATTGTATATGTTGCAAATATTTTTTGCTATGCTCTTGCTTGTCTCTTTAACTTTGTTAATAGTGTCTTTTATCATTTAAAAATATTGTTATTGTTTTCTTTTCTTGTATTTGATGCAGATGAGTTTCTCATTCTTTGTCCTTTCTGGCTTTATAAATCCTATTTAAGAATGCCTTCCCCATTTTAAGTATTAGAGACATATTTATCTATATTTTCTTTTAATGCTTTTATATTTTCATTTTCTTTACATTTAGCTGGTTAATCTATATGGGGTTTATTTTTCTAGTTAGGTTGATTACAAATAAAATTTTATTTTATTTTATTTTTACTAAATGGATAGCTGTTTTCACATGAAAGTTCTTGGAATTTTTATTGGAATTACATCGAATTTATAGATTCATATGATGATAAATTATATCTTTATAATAATGAATCTTCTCACTGATAAACAAGATATATTTATCATTTATGCAGTTTTTTAATTCTTCAGAAAAATCAGACATTATTATTTTTAAAGATCTAAGATTTTGAGCATCTCTTGTTAGATTCATTTTTAAGGTTATAGTAATTTTTTTTTTTTTTTTTTTTGAGACAGAGTTTCACTCTGTTGCCCAGGCTGGAGTGCAGTGGCATGAATACAATTCACTGCAGCCTCGACCTCCTGGGCTCAAGCAATTCTCATGCCTCACCCTCCCGAGTAGCTGGGACCACAGGTGTGTGCCACCATGCCCAGCTAATTTTTTTATTTTTATTTTTTGTAGAAAGCCTCATTTTGTTGTCCAGGCTGGTCTCAAACTGCTGGGCTCAAGTGATCCTACTGCCTCAGGCTCCCAAAATGCTGGAATTACAGGTATAAGCCACCACGCCTGGCCCTAGTTTCAATTACTTTTAATCACTATTATGAATGGGAGTCTCTTTCTCTCTCTCTTCCTACTCTGCCCTCACTTACCCTCTTCTCCACACCCCATTTATAGTTTTAAACTGTTAGTGGCAGTGCATAGCAGAATTAGTAGGTTATTTTTAGCGATGACATCATATCCTTCCACACCACCACACTCCCATATTAGCTCTAATACCTTGTCTTTTAATTTTTTTTTAAATCTAAGTTAGGGATTCCCTACCTGCTGGTCACGGACCGGTACCAATCCCTGGTCTGTTAGGAACCAGGCCGTACAGCAGGATGTGAGC
Source organism: Homo sapiens (assembly GCF_000001405.40). Lineage (NCBI taxonomy): Eukaryota > Metazoa > Chordata > Mammalia > Primates > Hominidae > Homo > Homo sapiens. The sequence goes on along the minus strand of NC_000010.11, from coordinate 28,960,117 downwards.
AGCTAGCAAGTGAGCATTACTGCCTGAGCTCTGCCTCCTGTGAGATCAGCCATGCCATTAGATTCTCCTAGGAGTGAACCCTATTGTGAACTGCGCATGCCAGGAATCTAGGTTGCACACTCCTTATGAGAATCTAATGATAAATGTAATGTGCTTAAGTCATCCCAAAACCATCCACCTCCCTCGGTCCCTGGAAAAAATTGTCTTCCATGAAATCAGTCCTTGGCATCCAAAAGGTTGGGAATTGCTGATCTAAGTAGGTAATTTTTGTCTACATATAATAGCTTAGCATTTACTCTTTAGTTTTTTTACTCTTAATTTGTGTGTGTATGTGTGTGTGTGTGTGGTGTGATTTCGTTGGTTGGCATTGCTTCTAAAAAGTAGGATAAAAGTGACTGGTGGCAAATATTCCAGAACTTTTTCTGATTTTAGTGGGAGTTATTATAATGCTTTGTTACTAAATATAGTGTTTGCTGTCGAATTCTAATTGATATATTTTATTAGGTTAAGCCAGCATCCTTTTATAACTGATCTGGTAAGGGATTTTTTTTTTAATTTTAGGAATTCTTTAAAATCATGATTAGATGTTGAATTTTATAAAAATTGGTTTCAATAGGCCGAGTGCAGTGGCTCACACCTATAATCCCAGCACTTTGGGAGGCTGAGGCTGGCGGATCACCTGAGGTCAGGAGTTCAAGACCAGCCTGACCAACATGGTGAAACCCCGTCTCTACTAAAAAATACAAAAAATTAGCCAGGCGTGATGGCGGGAGCCTGTAATCCCAGCTACTTGGGAGGCTGGGGCAGGAGAATCACTTGAACCCAGGAGGCAGAGGTTGCAGTGAGCCGAGATCGTGCCACTGCACTCCAGCCTGAGCATGACAGAGCAAGACTCCATCTCCAAAAAAAAAAAAAAAAAAAAATGGTTTCAATATATAATAATAGGATTGCATTTTCAGTTTTAGTTTGGTTTTTTAATTGACATAATAACTATACATTTTTATGGCGGTACAGTGTGATGTTTCAATACACGTGTACATTGTGCAATGATCAAATACCCTAATTTAGCATATCCATCACTTCATATATTTATCATTTCTTTGTGGTGACAACATTCAAAATTCTCTCTTCTAGTTATCTTGAAATACACAATAGATTATCCTTAGCAATAGTCTCCCTACTGTGCAAGAGAACACCAGGACTTATTCCTCATAACTGTAACTTTGTACCCATTAACCAAGGTCCCCTTAACCTCCTTCTCCCTACCTTCTGCAGCCTCTGATAACTACTGTTCTACTTTCTACTTCTATGAGGTCAACTTTTTAAAATTCTATATATGAGTAAGACCATGCAGAATTTATCTTTCTGTGCTTGTCTTATTTCATGAAACATAATATTCACTAGGTTCATTCATGTTGTCACAAATGACAGGATCTCATTCTTTTTTATGGCTGAATAGTATTCCATTATGTATATATACCACATTTTCTTTATCCATTCATCCACTGATGGATACTCAGGTTGATTTCATGTCTTGGCTATAGTGAATAGTGTGGCAATAAACCTGAAAGTGCAGATATCTTTTTGACATACTGATTTCATTGCCTCTGGATATATACACAGAAGTGGTATTGTTGAATCATATGATAGTTCTATTTTTAATATTATGAGGAACCTCCACATTGTTTTCCATGATGGCTATACTAATTTATCTTTCCACCAACAGTGTAGAAGAATTCCCCTTTCTCCGCATCCTCACTAACATTTGTTATTTTTTGACTTTCTGATAATAGCCATTCTAACTGGGATGAAGTGATGTCTCATTGTAGTTTTGATTTGCACTTCCTTAATGATTAGTGATGTCGAGAATTTTTTCATATAACTGTTGGCTGGCCATTTGTATGTCTGCTTTTGAGAAATGTCTACTCAAGTCTTTTGCCCATTTTAAAATCGGATATCTGGTTTTTTGCTACTGAGTTGAGTTCCTTATACATTCTGGATATTAATCCCTGTCAGATGTGTAGTTTGCAAATATTTTCTCCCATTCTATAGGTTGTCTTCTCACTATGTTGATTGTTTCTTTTGCTGTGCAGAAGCATTTTAGTTTGATATAATCCTGCTTGTTTATTTTTGCTTTTGTTGCAATGTCATGAAGCATTTCTTCTATGTTTTCTTCTGGTAGTTGCATAGCTTCAGGTCTTACATTTAAGTCTTTAATCCATTTTGGGTTGATCTTTGCATATGGTGAGAGATAATGGTCTAGTTTTATTCTTTTGCATGTGGATATCCAGTTTTGCCAGCACCACCTATTGAAGAGGCTGTCCTTTCCCCAATGTGTGTGTCATTTTTGTCAAAAATCAGGAAGCTGCAAATGCATGGATTTATTTTTGGGTTCTCTGTTCTGTGCCATTGGCCTGTCTGTTTTTAATGCCAAAACCATGCTGTTTTCGTTACTACAGCTTTGTAATATATTTTGAAGTCAGGGAGTGGATTGTATGTCTTTATCTTAATTTGTTAATGTAAAGAATTATATGGCTATATTTTCTAATGTTTATTTATTATCTTAAGCATGTTTACATTAATGAGATAAATCCTATTTAGTCATGATGATGTTAATATGCTGCCAGGTTTGATTCTAATATATCTTTTTTTTTTCCTTTAACTTTTAAGTTCAGGGGTACATGTGCAGGATGTGCAGGTTTGTTACATAGGTAAATGTGGGCCATAGTGGTTTGCTGCCCAGATCATATCATCACCTAGGTATTAAGCCCAGCATCCATTAACTATTCTTCCTGATGCTCTCCCTCCCCCCACTCCCACCCCTGACAGGCCCCAGTGTGCGTTGTTCCCCCATGTGTCCATGTGTTCTGGTTGTTCAGCTCCCACTTATGAGTGAGAACATGCAGCATTTGGTTTTCTGTTTCTGCATTAGTTTGATGAAGATAATGGCTTCCAACTCCATCCACATCCCTGCAAAAAACATGATCTCATTCCTTTTTATGATGGCATAGTATTCCATGGTGTATGTATGTCGCATTTGCTTTATCCAATCTATGATTGATGAGCATTTAGGCAAATTCCATGTCTTTGCTATTGTGAATAGTGCTGCAATGAACATACAAATGCATGTATCTTTATAATGGAATGATTTCTATTCCTTTGGGTATATACCCAGTAACAGGATTGCTGGGTCGACTGGCATTTCTGCCTCTACATCTTTGTGGAATCACCACACTGTCTTCCACAATGGTTGAACTAATTTATGCTACCACCAACAGTGTAAAAGCATTTTATACTGTCCTATAATTTTTATCTAATTTCACATGGTCTCATAAAATAAGTTAACTATCTTTCCATTTAAAAAAAATTTAAAAATGGAAAGTTTGTTAAAGATGGAAATTATCTTCTTTGAATATTTGTGGAATTTCCCCTTAAAGCCAATTGGATGCAGGGAGATTCTTACTTTTCTATTTTAACGTATTTTTATTACTCTCTTCTAGCTTCTAAAACTTGTCTCTGTACTTATATTTCTCCCTTTTATTTATTTATTTTTGTTTTGAGATGGGAGTCTCGCTCTGTCACCCAGGCTGGAGTGCAATGGCATGATCTCGGCTCACTGCAAGCTCTGCCTCCCAGATTCACGCCATACTCCTGCCTCAGCCTCCCGAGTAGCTAGGACTACAGGTGCCCACCACCACACCCGGCTAATTTCTTTTTGTATTTTTAGTAGAGACGGGGTTTCACCATAGCCAGGATGGTCTCGATCTCCTGACCTCGTGATCTGCCTGCCTCAGCCTCCCAAAGGGCTGGGATTACAAGCGTGAACCACCGCACCCAGCCATATTCCCCCTTTCTTGCTTAATATTATTTACTGAAACATCTCTATTATTTCTTTGCTAACAATTACCATATGTTTTTTGATGTTATTGGTATTTTCAAAGAAGTGTCTTGTTATTTTGTAATCATTATTAAAATCAAGTGTTATCTAAAATATATTTTTTAAGTTTCATTTTTGCTTTATTTTCTTTCTTAATCACTACCTTCTTTGAATTTATTTTGGTTTTATTTTTCTGACACTTTGATTGGAAGCTTGGTTTATTCATTTTACATCCTTCTCATTTTCAAGTAGAGGTATTAAAAGTTATAATTTTTTTCAATTGGAACACTTTCAATTGCATCACAGAAATTTTGATATGTAATCTCAGCATTAATGTCAAAATATTTTATAATTTTCACTAATTTTCTATTCAGTCTAAGAGTAATTATGTGTTTTTTTTTTCATTTTTAAGCATACAGTTTCTTGTGGTAGTATTCTATTATTAATCTGCAATTGTATTGCACTGTGCTTATTATAAGTGGACAATATGATAACTTTTGGGGACTTGATGAAATTTCCTTTGTTGCCTAACACATTGTTAATATTATACATGTTCCATGTATGTTTAGAACAATTACCTATTTGCCTTCATTGGAAACAAAAGTTTTGATTTTGTTGGTCAAATCCTGTCTTCTCTATTCTTATATATTTTTTGTCTATTGTAACTGCAGATTTCAGAAAAAGGTTGTTGGGGTCTTCCACTATAACTGGATTTCTTAATTACTCCTTGTTTTTCTATCAGTATTTTATCTATATGCTTTGAGTTCATATTCTTCAATGCATAAATATTTAAAACTAAAACTTCTTAGAACAAGTTTCTTTTATGAGCATGAAATAGGGCTGCCATTTTTCACACTTTTTATTCAAACTGTTTTGTCTGTAATAAGTTGATGGCCAGGACTATTTTTTTTTTCCTCTTTAAGCCTCCTATTAAAAGAATATAAAGAGATAAAGATATTATTTTTAAGTTCGTTATTGTTATTTTTAAAGTCCACAATTCAGTGGTTTCTTTAAGTACAATTGTTTCAGAACCATTTATTGAAAAGCACTATTCATTTCCCATTGTTGTCTTGGCACCCTTGCCTAACTCAGTTGATCATAAATGTGAGAGTTTATTTCTGGGCTTTCAGTTCTAGTCCCCTAATCCATAATCTATCCTTATGCCTATAGCTTTGTAGTAAGCTTTGAAATCAAGAAGTACGTTTTTCAATTTTTTTTCTCCTTTTTAAGATTGTTTTGCTATTTTGGGGCCCCTTGCATTTTCATATAAATTTTAGGACCAGCCTGACAATATCTGCAAAAACAAAACCCCAAAAAACAAAACTTTAAAAAACAGACAGCTGGTATTTTGGTATTTTGTTAAGGATTGTGTTGAATCTGTAGATCAATCTGGGTATTGCCATCTTAATAATATTATCTTCCAATTCATGAACATGGGATATCTTTCCATTTCTTCAGGGTTTCTTTAAGTTATTTCAACAATACTTACAGTTTTTAATGTACAAGTCTTGTACTTCTTTTCTCAAATTTACTCCTAATTGTTTTATTCTTTTTTTATGTTGTTGTAATGGAATTTTCTTAATTTTGTTTTTAGATTACTCATTATTAGCGTGGAGGATCCAGCTGATTTTTGTATATTGATCTGATACCCTGCAATCTTATTGACCTTATTTGCTAGTTCTAATAGTTTAACTTCTTCCTTTTCTATCTGGATGCCTTTTATTTCTTTTTCTCGTCTAGTTTCCCTGGCTAGAACATTTAACACAATGTTGAATAGAAGTAGTGAAGGCAAACATTCTTGTCATATTTCTTACCTCAGGGAAAAGTATTCAGTCTTTCACCATTAAGTACAATCTAACTGTTTGGTTTTTGTAGATACCCTTAATCAGCTTAGGGAAATTCCCTTTCATTCCTTCTTTGTTAAGTGTTTTATCATAAAAGGGTGTTAGATATTATTAAATGCTGTTTCTGTCTATTAAGTTAATCGTATAATTTTTGTCTTTTATTCTATTGTTATGATGCATTACATTGATTGGTTTTGTATGTTAAACCATTCCTGGGATGAATCCCACTTGGCCCTGGTGTATATGTTCCTGGATTGGGCCCTGGTGTATATGTTCCTGGATTTGGTTTGCTAGTATTTTGCCAAGGACTTTTGCCTCTATATTTACAAGAGGTATTGGTCTGTAGTTCTTTTCTTGTGCTGTCTTAGATTTTTTTTTTTTAACATAGTAATACTGACCTCATAGAATGAGTTTGAAAGGGTTCTCTTTTCTTGTATGTGGCATTTGGTTTTTTTTGTGGTTTTTTTTTTTTTTTGGAAGAGTTTGTGAAGGACTATACTTTTTTTCTTTTTGCGAGAGTTTGTGTGTGTGTATTCTATCACCATATTTTCTGTTACTCTCTCCCCTGCCACCTGTTAGAGGGTTTTTACATTTTCTTTTGCTTGTTTTCTTTCTCTTCTTCATCTCCTCTCTTTCCCTTCTCTTCTCTCCCTCACCTCTCACCTCCAAAGGTATAAAATTTTTACACTCTCCTTCCCTCCTTTTATAGATTACTCTTACATTTTAACACACATACTTAAATGTGTACTACTACAAACAACTAGACTTAGTGTCTAGAGCCTCCCCCTAAACAAGAACTGAGAACATTTCTGATCTCTTACTCTCCACATCTCCGGTAACCTCACTCCTTCACTGGCTTTTCCACCACCACCAATTCCAATTACATTATCTGGCCTTTTAGGTCTATAATTCCAATAATTTTTTAAAATACTGATATTTTGTTATTTTTAAGAGTAAGTTTTATCGATTTTCTTTACTCCCCATTGCTTCTTACTTCCCTCTTCTTCTTTCTCAGAGATGATAATAAATTTTCTGTGTCTTTGTACATCTGAAAATGTCTTTATTTTTAAATTAGGCATACTTAGAAAAATATACTGTAACCACCCTCTGTATTCAGCACCTGTATTTAACAACATTTAGAACTTTCAGCCATAGTTGAGATATTTTATTTTTGCAAGTGAATTAAAACATTGCATTACATACACAGTTAAAGAATCCCTCATCTTCTCTTACCCTTCCAGAGGTAACCATTTTTCTAAAGTTCCCATGCATATTTGGGAACTTTCTTAAGTTCCCATGCATATGAAAATAATTCCCATGCATAATTTTGAACTAGATACAGAAAGAAAGAGAGATATAAAAATAATAAATATAACAAATAAAGCTGATTCCTCTGTTTTTTAAATACACATAAATGGTATCACATGGTGTTAGTATCACCCTGAACTCACATTATCAACCGACACTAGATTTATCCTGGCTCTCATATGTTACTTTGCTTCTTTCTTATTGACATTATATATATTCCACTGTTCATTTTTTTTCCATTTTCCTATGATGAGTTATTTCTACATTTTTTTTTGCACCTTTAGGTGACCTCATTGTGTAAAAATTCAAAAACATTGCCCCAGTATCTTCCTGCACTGGTTTTAGCTATGCCCATGCAGATGCCAGTCTTATTCTTCCTGCTTGGGAGTTATCTGGTGTTTTTCTCTAGATACTTACAGAACTTTTTTCTTCATTTGAGCATTCTGGAATTTCCCTATGATGCATCTTTTCATTTATTCTACATGGAACTTAAGCACATTCAACCTCAGTACCATTATCTTTTTGCCAGATATGAGAAATGTTCTTATGTGATTGTTTTGAAAATTATCTCTTCATTCTTTCTCTTTTTTCTTCCTCTAATTTGCTATATTTGGAGCTTCTGAAACTATCTTCCTTATCTCTTCACTTTTCTTCCATTTTTTTCATCTCTTTGTTATTTTCCTGCTATACTCTTGGAGAACTCCTCAGCTTGATTTTCTAGCCCTGTAAGTGTTTTATTCTGCTATTTACACAACATCTAGCAAATATTTATTGAGCACCTAGTGTGTGCTAGGTACTCTTTTGGATATGGGAATACAGCAGTAAACAAATAAAGTTACTGTCTTCAAGACTTCCTATTGATGGGAGCCAAAAAATAAACAATATATCAAGTAGTGGAACATGTGTGAAGAAAAATAATGCAAGAACAGGAGATAGAGTATAACAAGGAATGGAATAGAAAAGATGGTCAGGAAGATCTCTTGAATGACATGGCCTCTGAGAAGAGGACTACAATTCCCTGAAATTCTGCAAAATTATCTCAAAGAAGGTTTCCCCAGGATAGGAGGGTCTCTGCTAGCCCCTACTCTTCTAGCCTGACAGATCTCATTTCTGATTTAACTTTTTGACATCGTGTAAAATGAGTTGGCTGTTCTATTCTGCATCTGCTTCTCACCCTCCACTGTTCCTGCTTCGGGTGGGGAAGGCTGAGGACAGGGCCAGCCTGGTGTCACCAGGGCACTACAAAGACTCCAGGACCGCAATGGGGTGTGATTTATCACACTGAGAGTTGAGGCGGAGTCCTCTCCTGAGACAACAGAAGATGCTGCTGTCAGAGGAAAGAATGAAAACAGTGCTGGAGCGCCAGAGTCCAAAATGGTAAGGGGAAGTGAAAATGAGGAGAGGTATAGAGCAGACACTTTAATGTTTGCAAAATGTGCGAGCACCGGTGAAAAGGGCAAGCCCCAACACAGTGATATTAATTTAGGGATCCTGTTCAGGCACTTATAATCTGCCTTAACACTTGTGGCTTTTCTCTGTGGGCTGGCTGAAATGTGGTTCATTGAGGGCAAGGGAAATGTTGGTTAGAAGCGTGGCTTAATGGCTCAAGTGTACAGAAGACACCATCTAATATGTAGTTCACTATAACTAAAAGTAAAACTACTATTTGATCTAGCAATCCCCCTCCTGGATATCCACCCAGAGGAAAAGAAACCATTATATTATACGAAAAAGATACTTGCACATGCACGTTTACAACAGCGCAATTTGCAATTGCAAAAATATGGAACTACCCCAAATGCCCATCAATCAATGAGTGGATAAACAATGCCCATCAATCAATGAGTGGATATATACACCATGGAATACTACCCAACCATAAAAAGAAACAAAATAATGGCGTTCACAGCAACCTGGATGGAATTGGAGACCATTATTCTAAGTGAAGTAATTCAGGGATGGAAAACCAAACATTGTATGTTCTCATTTGTAAGTGGGGGCTGGGCTATGAGGACGCAAAGGCATAAGAATTATACAGTGGATTCTGGGGACTTGGGGGAAACAGTGGGAGGGTGGCAAGGGATAAAAGAGTACACATTGGGTACAGTGTACACTGCTCAGGTGATGGGTGCACCAAAATCTCAGAAACCACCACTAAAGAACTTATTCATGTAACAAAACACCACCTGTTCCCCAAAAACCTATTGAAATAAAATAATAATAATAATGTAGTTCACTGTAAAGGGAACCTATAAAAGCCAGTGCTACTCTAAACGGCTGTTATAGAGGATGTAATCTCCTTGACTAAGATCTAGTAGAGGACAGTCAAGCATCAGATGGATGGATGGACTACAGAGTTTTAAAGTTTCAATAAAAAGTCAAGATTCTATGAGGCTCAAGTTGAAATACAGAGCATAAGCTCATATGAAAAGAAGAATGCATTATTCAGAATAGACTTGGCTATTATACGATGATCAAAAAAACAGAAGTCTCTGTGGCTTGCCAAAGAAAGGTTTTATTCTCACTCACATAAAGTCTAATGGGAAAGATGACTCTGCAGAGCATCTCTCCTCCATCTGGTAACCCAGGGATTCAGGCTGCCTTCATCTTTTGATGAGGTGAACTGAACACATGGCTTCCATGGTTACTGAGTCAAGGAAACCAAGGCCGTGTGTTCAGATGCGATATTTCTAAGGATCAGATCTGGAAATGGGTTACAATGCTCACACCCCATTGATGAGAACCAGTCCCATGGTCCTAATCTAACTGAAAGGGAGGCTAGGAAATGTAGTCATTCTACTTGCTTTGGAAGAGGAAGATTCAATGGGATTTCGTGAACATGTAGCATTGTCTTTGCCACAGACAGATGTGAATTACATTGTATATAATAAGGAAAACCTATAAGAACCGATTTTTTAATTACTCCATGCATAAGAAGCTAATAATAATTTCTCTGTGTCCCGAGTGAAAGCTTTGTTACTCCAACTTCTCAAAAAGTGAAGGCATGTCCACCTGGAAAGTTTCACTCCATGAGCACCTGGACTCCAGATACCTTGGGAGCAATTCAAGCAGAGAAAGCTCTCTCTCAAATGGATTTTTGTCAGTTCATTTGGAAAACACTTTGGGTCCCTTGGGAGACAACAAAGATAAAAATGTCTTTATGACATTCCTCCTCCTAGGCACATTCTACGACTTTTTCAGGGTCAGGAAAATGAGTGGCCTGTCTACAGTCATCAGCCCGGTCACTGTGTCAGAATCAGGATGACAGTCAGCACACAGCTGCTTGTGCTCTTCCTACGCACACATGAGGTCAAGAGATATTTCCATTAGACAATGAGTCCCTTGCAGGTATGCTCTGGATTGGGGTTAGGGGTGCCTAAATCAGGTCAAGCAATTTGACTAAATCTCCTAACCCAGAATTCTTCCCTAAGTAAAATCAACAAAACAGATGTGGTTCTCCCATTAGTCTTTACTTGTTGTAATTACCCGCTAATGTGCCTTTTAAGGATTTAGAGGAACATTAGCCTTGAGTCTTGCAACAAAACCAACAAGTCTGCCAGGTTGCTGTGCTCGCTGGATCTTGAAGACTCACATTTCCAGCCTGCATTTTATAAGACAAACTAATTGGAATGCATGCATTTTAGAAGACAAACTAATTGGAAATTAATTGAGGAGAAACCCTGTAGTGGATTTACACCTTATCGATTTAGAGAAATATTCTTAATTTCTAAAATCCAATCTTCTTTAATCCTGACTTTCAGGAAGCAGTTTTACATTGTGGGGGGAAAAAAAATGATGCAAGCTCTAGAAATACACAGATCTTCATTTTGCTCCTCTTCCTGTGACTTATTAACTAAGGAACTTTCAGAAATCGCCACACCTCTCAAAACTTGTGCTTCCCCACCTGTACAACAGGCTGATGAAATAACTGGCCTCACGGGTTGTTTTGGGGATTAAGTGAGATGACAATATAAGATATCTGGCACCTAAGAAGTGCTCAGAAAATATTACTGTCACTGCTCCTCCTTCTAACAAGTGATCTTTTAATTATTTACAGTGCCCAAAAGAATTGCTGCTTCTAAATTTCTTCCAACCTGCAGCAGATGAGATCTGTGGAACATCAGACATCTCAATGAGAAGTGAAAATATCATCAATCATAGCTTCAGCTCTCAAAGGTGAATTTTATCCTAAAACTATTTGATTCTTATTAACATATGCTCATGTGTAGAAAATTTTTATGTCCCTTAATTTCAGGACATCTACCTTAAACACGAATTTAAAATGTGGGAATATTAGTAATCATGTTCCATTTGTTAAGCTTTTATGCCTAAGGCAATGTACCAGAGATTCCCAAAAAGTAGATACTTTGATTGGGGTAAATAATTTGAGAAAACTATCATCATAATCTCCCCAATAGCCCTTAGATATATGTGACCGAAAGAGTCAATGATGAAGGAAATGGATAAATCCTACGGCTGCCTAAGAACTCAAGCAGCTGTGATTAATAGGGCTTGTATACAGCAGGTGCCAATCAATCTCCTTATTTATAGAACATCTTCAACTTACCAAAATATTTAGAAATAAAATTTTCTAGTTAATTTCTAATAAATTTCATTGTTTAATTGAGAGTCAACCAGAAAAACCTTATTTTTTGTTTTACCTTTATTGTTCAAAGTCTCCCTAAAATGTGAATAAGAGGGATTTCTAAACAGCATTGTAGCCTTGGTCTCCTAAGAACACTTTTTTCTGAGAAGAGAAAGGCAGCACAGCATAGTAGCAAGACACCTAGACTAGATGTTGCCAGGCCTGAAGTTTACCCTTAGAATTTTCCACAATTGAGTCACATGCCTTTGGGTGTATCACTTGGCTCTATGAACCTCGGTTGCCTCTGAGATATATTCAGTTATTTGTTATATGATATTCAGGCATAAGAATTCTGCAAAAGTATAGCAAAATGAATGCATTTTCTCAACTGACAGCTGTTGAGGTTCTATATGTCCTATGAGCAATTGTGATTTGTATTGTCATTATTATTACCTGTGAAAGTCACTCATGTCCATGTGGATGTGAAAGACTAGTGCAAAGATGAGCCACAGGGCTGTTTTTCACATTAGTAAAAACTTGAAATCAACCCAAATGTTCTGCTTTTTGTTTGTTTGTTTTGAGAAAAAAAAGGGGCTAAAGCGTAGTAGTGCAATCATGGCTCACTGCAGCCTCAAACTCCCAGCCTCAAGCAGTCCTCCCATCTCAGCCTCCCAATTACCTGGGACTGTAGACACACGCCACAACATCCAGCTATTTTTTTTTATTTTTAGTAGAGACAGGGTCTTGCTATGTTGCCCAGGCTGATTTTGAACTCTTAGGCTCAAGTAATCCTCCCACCTCAACCTCCCAAAGTGCTGGGATTACAGGCATGGGCCACTGCACCTGGCACCAAATGTTCTAAATATTTGAAATATACAGGCCTGGGTTTCCCAGTGTATCTCCCCTCCCACAACTCTTTCATGAGACATTGACCACAGGTAGTTTTTTTCCATGTAAAATGTAGTATATAGTGTTATATGAACGTTGCTACTGTGTTCACAATGTGTGAGACTTGGGCCTGAGCCATAAGAGACCAGCGTGAACTTGTGTAACGTGGTCATACGGGAAACTAGCTTCCTATCATGTGGCTTGGCTCAAGACTCTGCCCAGTACACATGCTCCGTATTAAGTGATGTGAAAACTGATCCAAACAAAGTCTCTCTGTTAGGAACAGTAAGAGAGTAGCAGGGACCAATGGATCTCTGTGTCAAGGGGATGAAATGGCCCAATCACTAGTGGTGGAGGTCCCCTGAGCTTGCCTTGCCTCTTGAAAATGAGACATTCTTCCAGTCTTTCTTAAAGTCTGGTACCTGGAATGTCTGAACAACGATAAAGACAGCTTTCTTGATTTCTTCATATTCTAATCTTAGCTTTCCTCACTTAAGTAACTTAGCAATGTGTCTTCTTTGCAAACTAAAAATGTCTACGTTTAAGATACATTAGCGTATACGTATACAAAACTTGATAACTTTTTCCAAAACTACACATACAGAGGAGATCAGAAAGGAAATCCATCAATGTGTTAACAATCTGAGAATACTGGTATCTACTTTTACTTTCTCCATGTTGCTTATCTTTATTTTCTGATTTTTTTAAACACACAAGATTGTTCTTATTGGAGGGAATGAATTTTTTGTTGTAAAAATAATAAGTTCTATCCAGCTCAGGGACAAGATGACACAGAGTTACTTCTCTCTGCTCTTCCTCTCTAAAAATAGCTAAATATCCTGGAACTAATTCAGCAGACAATCATAAAAGAATTTGAAAAAGTGAGAAGAAGGCTAGAAATGTCAAGCCTTAAGGGATGATGTCAGAGTGAGTTCCTTGCGTTTTTTTGCTATGGTTCATATATCACAGACTGGACATCAAAAAGGCAGCCTTTTGGCAGCCTTGAACCACCTACAGGAATAGACAAATAAAAATACTTGCTCCTCTGCTGAAGAACTGAGAAAGGGGTGGTCCAGCGGAGACCTAATGAAGTGATCTACCCCAAACCCAAGGCAGTGGCAGGCCAATCAGCTGCAGCAGCAACTAAAACCCAGTGCTTCCAAAACTACCCCTCCATTCACACTGAAAGCTCTTCAGGGATTGATTGAGTGAGAGCCCAGCAGAAGCAGAAGAACAAAGTCAGCTAGAACAATATGCAAGGGCTCTGAAATTAAATGGTCATTGAACCAATAGCTCACAAAAATAGGCAAGACCTAAACTTAAACAGAAGTTGAAATAGAATCAAAAGCTGCCAAGCATAATATTCAAAATATCCAAGACACAACAGAAAGCCATTAATGATAGGAAGAACCATAAAAAACACAAAAGTGAGAAAAGACCATCAGCTGACAGCAGCACTGAGATGAATCATGACTTGGGATTATCAGATAAAGAACATTAAGTAGCCATCATTAAAATGCTTCTACACTTACATATTTTCTAGGAAGAAATAAAATAGAAAATCTTGGCAAAGAAACAGAAACGTTTTTTTAAAAAAAACTATAATTTATAGTGAAATTATAGAAATGAATAATACAAGTGAAAATTATAGAACTGAAAAATACAATTACTAAAACTAAAAAAACCCCACTGTATGAATTCAGTGGTAAAGTGGAGACAACAAAGAATAGAATTGGTGAACTTTAGTTTATTCAAAAAGAAAATAAACTAAAAAAAAATTTAATGAATGAATTCTTAGCATTTATGGAACAAAAATGTAAGTTTAAAAAAATTATATTATTGAACTGCCAGAATGAGAGGGAAAAGAATGTGAAGCTGAAAAGGGAGTCAAATAAATAATGGCTGAAAATGTCTCCAGTTAGCAAAAGACTTAATCCAACAAATCCAAGAGGTTGGGCAAACCCAAACAGCATAAACTAAAAGAAATTCCCACCAAAACACATCATAATGAAACTTCTGAAAACGAAAGACAAAGAAAAATGTCTTAATAATAGCAAGAGAGAAATAACATATTACCTGTAGCGGAACACCAATTTAAATGAAAGCAGATTTCTCTTTGAAACCTAGGAGGCCAGAAGGAAGTGACACAACACTTACAAGTGCTAAAAGAAAAGAAAAAAAAATTTAAAACACATAAAACTGAATGAAAATAAAAATACAATGCATCAAAATTTTGGAGAGACATCTAAAGTAGGGCAGAGAGGCAAATTTATAGCACTAAATGCTTACATTAGAGAAGAAGAAAGGTCTCAAGTCAAAGATAATAGCTTCTACCTCAATAAACCAGAAAGAGAAGAGCAAAATAAGCCCAAATCAAGCAGAAAGAAGGAAATAATAAAGAGAAGAGCAGAAAGAAATGAAATTAAAAACAAGAAAACAATATAAAAAGTTAATGCAACAAAAATCTGGTCCTATGAGGAAAACCCAATCTCTAGCAAGACTGAGAAAGATAAAAAAAGAGAAGATACAAACCACCAGTATCAGATAAAATGGGGAACCACAACAGATCCTGCAACCATTAAAAAGATAATAAAGAAATACTATGAACAATGTTATGCTCATAAATTCAACAACAGAAAAGAAATGAACCAATTCCTCAAAACCACAAACTAACAAAACTCAGCCCAGATGAAGTAGATAACTTGAATAGTCCTATAACAATGAAAGGAATTGAATTTATAATTTAACAGCTCTTGGAAAACGGTTTCACTGAAGACTCTTACCAAACATTAAAAGAAGAATTCACACCAATTTTAAACAATCTCGTCCAAAAAATTGAAGAGGATGGAATAGGTCCTAACTCATTTTATGAGGCACATATTATCCTGATATCAAAAGCAGACAAACACAGAACAAAAAATTAAAACTACAGCTCAATATCTCTTACAAATTTAAACATAAAATTTCTCCACAAAAGATTAGCAAATCAAATTCAGCAATGTTATAAAAAGAATAGTACACTATTCTTTAGTACAAGGGGGATTTCTTTCAGGTATGCAACCCTAGTTCAACACTTGAAAATCTATCAATGTTTAATCCACAGTAGTAACAAGCTAAAGGAGAAAACTCCCATGATCATATCAATTGTTGCAGAAAGAAAATCTGATGAAATTCAAAACCCAGTTATGACAAATACTATCAACAAACTGGGAATAAAGATCTTCCTCAACCACATAAAGAGCATCTATACAAATTCTATATTTCTACTCCCAGTCGTATATGACCATTAAGCTAGCACCATGCCTAATGTTCAAAGATTGAACACTTTCCCTCTAAGATCAGGAACAAGGTAAGGATGTCTGCTCTCACCACTGTTATTGGAAGTTCTAGCCAGTGGTAATAGGGCAAGAAAAGAATTAAAGAGCATACAGGCTGGAATGGAAGAAATAAAACTGCCTCCATTTGTAGATGAAATTATTATCCACATGCAGTACCCTAAGGAATCTATAAAAGGTTTTCTAGGACAAATAAGTCAGTTATTGAGGCCACAGGATACAAGATCAATACATAAAAATCAATTTTATTTCTGTATACTAACAACAAACAAGTTCAAACTGAAATAATTGCAATACTGCTTGCAATTACTTCAAAGAAAATGAAATACTTAGGTATAAGTCTAACGAAACAGATAAAAGATCTATATGCTGAAAATTACAAAGTATTGATCTTTTAAAATCATAAAAGACTTAAATAATTGAAGGGCCATATTGCGTTAGTGGATTGGAAGACTCAACATAGTAAACTTTTCAATTCTCCCCAGATCTACAAGTATAATGCAATTCTTGTCAAAATCTCAGAAAAAAAAATTTAGATAGAAAATCATATTCTAAAATTTATATGGAAAGAAAAAGTCCCTATAATAGCCAAAACAATTTTTTAAAAGAATAAAGGGGTAGGAGTCACTCTTCCTGATATTAAGTCTTACTACTTAGCTATAGTAATCAAGACGGTGTGATAGTGGTGGAGATACAGTCACACATATCAATGGAACAATAAAGAGCTCAGAAATAGACCCACAAAAACATGTTCATTTAATTTTTGGCAAAGAAGCAAAAGTGATTCAATGAAAGAAAGACAGCCTTTCTAAAAAATGGTGCTGGAAAATTGGACATTCATAGAGAAAAAAATAAACCTCAGTCTAAATCTCGTTTCTTATTTTAAAAATTAAAATGTATGATAAAATGTATAATAAAATGTATCAATGGAAAACAAGAAAATAGAAAAATTTTAGAAAAAAAAATAGAGGAAATCTTTAGGATGAAGACCAGGCAAAGAGTTATTAGGCTTGATGCCAAAAGGAAAATGTATAAATTGGGCCTCATCAAAATCTTAAAACGTTTGCTCTGTGAAAGACCCTGTTAAGAAGATGGAAAGGCCGGGCGCAGTGGCTCACGCCTGTAACTCCAGCACTTTGGAAGGCCGAGGTGGGCGGATCACGCCATCCTGGCTAACATGGTGAACCACCGTCTCTACTAAAAAATACGAAAAAAAATTAGCCAGGCATGGTGGCGGCAGCCTGTAGTCCCAGCTAATCGGAAGGCTGAGGCAAGAGAATGGCGTGAACCCAGGAGGCAGAGCTTGCAGTGGCCCGAGATCGCGCCACTGCACTGCAGCCTGGGCGACAGAGAGACACTCCGTCTCAAAAACAGAGCGAGAATCTGTCTTAAAAAAAAAAAAAGAAGAAGAAGAAGAAGAAGATAGAAAGAAAGACAAATTACAGACTTGGAGAAAATACTGCAAATCGCATATTTAACAGAGGGTTTATATCTAAAATAGAAAACAAGTTTTCAAAACTCAATATTTTAAAATATTCAGTTGGAAAATGGACAAAAGACATGCACAGATTTTTCACTGAGGAGGATATATAGATAGCAAATAGGCCTATGAAAACATGCTCAACATCATTAACCATTAGGGAAATGCAAATTAAAGTCACAATAATTGTCTCTATATACCTATTAAGATGGATAAAATAATAAATACAACACTCAGTGCTGGCAAGGATGTGGAGAAACTGGATTACTCGTACATTACTGATGAGACTGCAAATGGCACAACCACTTTGAAAATTGGTTTGCACTTTCTTTTGAAGCTAAAAATGGACTTACCATACAACCCAGCAATTGCATTACTGGGCATTTATCCCAGAAAAATAAAAACTTATTTTCATGAAAAACTTCTACAGGAAGATTTACAGCAGTTTTATTCATGCAAGTAAAAAACTAAAAACTACCTAAATGGCCTTCAATAGGTGAATGGTAGAACAAACTGTGATACTTCTATACTATGGAATACTACTCAGCAATAAGAAGGAATACACTATTGACTGATGCAACAAGTTGGATCAATTTCAAGGAAATTATGCTGAGTGAAAAAGCCAATCTCAAAAGAATACATACTGCATCGTCCCATTTATACAATAGTGAAATCATATAATTATAGAGATGAAGAATCAATTCATGTTTGCTGGGGGGTCAGGAATGGGGTTATTTGGAAAGGGAGTAAACATGACCATGAAAAGGAAGCATGAGAAAGCCTTGTGGTGATTATAGATCCTGTTTGTGACAGTAACTACACAAAGCTATACACATGATCAAATTACACAGAGCTACACACACACACATATACACACACACACACATAAATGCATGCAAAACTTTTGAAATTTGAATAAACTCTTCGGAATGTACCAATGCCAATTTCCTGATTTTGATATTATGCTGTGGTCTTGCAGGTTGTTAACGTTAGAAGATACTGGATGAAGAGGCACCAGAACTCCTTGTACATTTCTTTGCAACTTCCTTTGCAACTTCCTTTGAATCTATAATTATCACAAAATAAAAAGTTAAAAATAATAGTAAGTGCTGTTTACTTTTGGAGACCAAGGCAGGGGGTTCATTTGAAGCCAGGAGTTTGAGACCAGCCTGGACAACATAGTGAGACCTCATCTCTACAAAAAAACTTGTAATTAGCCAGGTGTAGTGTGGCATGGCTGTAGTCCCAGCTACTTGGGAGGCTGAGGTGGGAGGATCACTGGAGCCCAGGAGCCCGAGGCTGCGATGAGCTGTGATCACACCACTGCACTCCAGCCCAGGTACAGAGCAAGACCCTGTCTCTAAAACATATAAAAATAAATACATAGTAAGTGCTGTTTAAAATATTTACTTCAAAAAATACATATCCTTTTGCACTTATGTTCATTATTTTTATCCATAATTTTCCAGAAAAAAAGTTTGTGTGTAAGATAAAAACAGGAAATAAAAGCACACTAAAAAGGAAGATATTTTGAAATTATCTGAATGATTTTGAAATTATCTGGTGATAAGTGTACCCTTGCTACACTTATCAATCAATCACTCAATCTAGAATAATTGATCTGGGCCATGAGCAATTTTTAAAAACATAAAAATAAAAAACTCTTCAAGATATTTCATGGCTCCTTCTCCCCCCTGGCTGGATTTTAAGGACAGGACAAACTGCTGTTGAGAGAAGTACGATTTGAATTTAAAGAAACATGGACCAGTGTCTTCGGAGCAAACAGGAGAAAAGTAAGAAAGACCTCAACTCAGCCATCTGAAATGAACTGTTTATGAGGACAACAACCAGCTCTTCGGGCCTACTTTATATAAAACCCAGATCAGATTCTATTGGGAGGAAAAGAAAAGGTGGGAGGAGGAAGAAGCTGAGAACATCTCCAGGAGTCAGAGCTCAGAAAACAGGAGAAATCTACAAATCAGGAAAACACAAAGAATAATTATGAGGAAAGCTGTGTCAAGCACCCAGGTACAAGTCATAACAACTGTTACTATCTTACCCGGTGCAATATTTTTCTTCCAGTCCGAGACAGAAATAAACATAAACTATTCTAGAAACCTGGATTATATTACCATGTAATTGTTTGCATAGAATTAAATGGCTTGGGAAACAGGAGAGCCCAGAACCTTGCTCCCTTTGTACTCACTGTCTTAAATAAATTGTCCTGTTTGCCAATTTGCTTTTCCACAAAGAGAGGCTCCATCCTGTCTCTGAATTTTTTTTCAAAAGCTTATTTCTGCGTTTTAAAATTCATTTTCAAGAATCTATTTAGCTGAGAGTAAAACCATTTAATGACTAAAGTTTTGAATCTAAGTAGATGAAATTATTTATGTAGATCATTAGAAATACATGAGTGGCCTCTCTCGTTTCCTGTCTAGGGAAAACTTATCGTTAAATACGCTTTTGCACGGTTACTGAAACTGAAGCAACACCCAGTTCAAATCGTCTGCAGACCTTAAATTATATTTCCAAAAGCAACAGCTCTTTTCTATGAACAATGGCAATACTTGTTATGGGTTTAAATAGGAATTCTTCATTTGGAATTTTTGAATATGGGGACATTCTGGGAAATGTCCAGAAAAAAAAAAAATCCCGCCAAGGGTTCAGCAAACAGTTGCATAACCCTCTTTTTATCTCGGGTGTTGACCCAGTCATTCATTCCATGTTTGCTGTGGTGAGTTCAGCAAAGCTGGTTGCCAAGACAACCATAATCCGTGAACAGAGCCGGCTCCATTGGTGGTCGGTTACAACACGCTTTGTCCCGTCGGGTGTCCTGTAACCGAATGAATGGAGAGACAGAAAACAAGCACCTTCAGTAAACATGACCTAATGAGAGCGGCGTCCTCCAACTGCCTGGGAGGCACCGGAAGAAACCTACCAGGAGCCAGGACTCTCACACGGACAGAGGCATCACCTCCCAAAAGAAGTCCGTGTCATAAAGGGTCCCTTGGTTGTGGGGTTTAATGACATGAAACTATTCTATTCACCTCCAGGGCTAAGGAAGTATCTTTTGATTTATTGCACTGTTCTAAACACTATGTAATTAGATGAGCTTGGAACTCTGCAAGGGGGGCAGTTTGTAGTGCAGATCCGTTTCCCACTGAAGTGCATGGAGGCTGCAGGAGCGGAGGTGAAGGGGATGGAGGTGAGTAAGAGAGGGGAGTTCCCCTGCGGGGCCTTCAGACTCCAGCTGGGATAAGGCGTGGTTGTGCTGGGCAGGGACCCTGCGCCTGTGCCCCGTCCTGCAGGCCAGCAAGTCGCCCTTCCTAGGAGGCAGTCTTCAGTCTACACTCTGCAAACAGCGCCCCCTGGAACCGTGCAACATGAGGGTCCTGGCACTTTCGTGTACGAGTGTTTCTGAAAGGTCAGAGCTCCGTGGCAATTGCAATCTTACTTAAATTATTTCTGCTTCTCCTTTTCGATTAATATCGATCGAGTGTGTTGTAATGTTCTGGGACACTTGTGAATTCTACTGTCATTAACGTGTGAATCCAGGTTGATAGCAACAAAGAGTCATGTATGAAATGCCTAACCAAGAGGCTTAGATTTCCATAATCACTTAATACTTGATTCCTTTAGGATTTAGTTTGCCAAATATATCTTTCCAGAGATAGCAGCAAGTCATTAATCTCATAATGAAAGATACTAACAGGAAGAACCCTGTTCAATATAAATGTATCTTTAGTGGTACTTTATTCAGCTCTGCTTAACTAAAGCAGTATTATGGGCTGTGTACTCATTTGGAGTTTTGTGCTCCGAATCACCTGAGAAACTTTTATTAGACATACAGATGCCCAGACCACATCACAGATCTGGAGTGGTGCCCAGATACTGGTATTTATATTAAGTTCTTTTGCTATTTCAGACACAGAGCTAAATTTAAGAGTCACTAATTTGTTTGATAAATCAGAATAACTCTTGCCTTTCCAAATTCACTAGATGAATATGGAGATCTAAATTTTCTCCCACATTAGCTGTATTAACCTGGCCTGAGATAGGATTTCACTGTCCTGAAGGAAGAAGAGGCGCATAGGGCTTTTTCAACCAACATTCGTTTAATTGCTTGTTTCTTATGAAGGGCATAAGGCTGTGAACTGATCATTTTAATTGGTAAACCCAGCAAGTGCAACTCCCTCAGGCAAAATATTAGGACCTAATACAGATTCAATAGGTGTGAGAGAGACGGAAATAGGTGTATCTATTTGAGGTTCTGGACTAAGAAGGAATAATTGTAGCATTTATCAAGTATTTACTATGTGCCAGGCACTGTTTCGGTGTTTTCTGCATAATATACGCACGTAACCCTTACAGTAACTTAGCCCTCACCATGTTACCGGTGGAGGATGTCCAGGTTCTTGGCATTTTGAACAAAGAATTGGACAAAACTCACAAAGCAAGGAAAGAATGAAGCAACAAAAGCAGAGATTTATTGAAGACGAAAGTACACTCCACAGAGAGGGAGCAACTGGAGCATAGGGGCTCAAGAGCCCAGTTACAGAATCTTCTGGGCTCCGAATACCCACTGGAGCTTTCCCGTTTGCCACTTGGTGTTCATCTCATGCAAATGAAGCAGTATCCCGCAATCAGTCTGATTGCAGTCTGGTTGCAGAAAGCAACCAATCAGAGGCTAAAGTGAAGTTACAAAGTTGCACTCCTATGCAAACAAAGACTTATCCCGCAATCAGAGGTACTTTCAATTTTCCATCTGCCGCGCAGAAAAGAGGGGGTTTGCTAAGGGAGAAGCCTCTGGTCCTTCTGTTACTTAAGCTTGGAAAGTTGGGGTTTTCCTTTCAATTTAGTTCTAAGAGGTCAGCTTGAGCTGGCCTTAGGTTCCCTGCCTCCAGAGCCTATTCTCCTGCCTCAACAACAACCTATGGTAACTTTATCATCATGTCCATTTCCCAGATACAGAAATGGAGGCACTCAAAGGTTCAGCACTTTGCCTAAAGTCACACAGCTAGTAAACAGCAGAGCTGGGAATGG
Organism: Homo sapiens; assembly: GCF_000001405.40. Classification (NCBI taxonomy): domain Eukaryota; kingdom Metazoa; phylum Chordata; class Mammalia; order Primates; family Hominidae; genus Homo; species Homo sapiens. The sequence goes on along the minus strand of NC_000010.11, from coordinate 28,937,757 downwards.
GAGGTGGGAGAATCGTTCTGGAATCCTCTGTCAGCCACTGCACTCTACTGAGGCAGGTAGCATTGTGTTTGTCCTGAAAAATCAGCCCTTTATGACTCTAGTAAGAACTTTTTCATTCAACCATCCTCAGTCTCCCATTTGTCATGAGTAGCTTATAAACTCATCATACAATCTTGCTACAGAAAAACCCACCAGAATTAGAATTAATTCTTTCCCAGAAATATAGAGAAGGAAAATCACTCTTCTTCTTCCACATAACTAGAGTCTTGGAGGACAATCTCAATGTGTATTTGTCAGCGAAAATGGGTGAGTGGATAGAGGTTGGAGAATAATTAGATTTCCCTGACCCTAATTCCTTATTCTACATCTAATATTGTGTCTGGCTAAGCCAGAGAAAGTCCCAGCCTCTAGGTTATATGGCAGCCTAAGTAAAAGCATGACCTCAAGGCTGACTCTAAAGAGCTATTGCAGGAGATCTTTGGCAGCTCCAATTCTATCCTTAACATATGCTGGCCACGTCTACTTTCATACTCACCTGTCAAAACTCATTTCCACCATCACCAAGGGGCCATACTAATTATTCTGTAGTCACTTTGGCATATTATAAGTTTTGTATTATTACTTCCAATAAGCATCTCACTGGCTACAGCTTAGAATATCTTTTTCATTGTTGGGATTTATAAAAGATAAACAGGATATAGAAATATATAGTATGGCTGGGTGCAGTGGCTCACGCCTGTAATCCCAGCACTTTGGGAGACCCAGGTGGGCAGATCACTTGAGGTCAGGAGTTCAAGACCAGCCTGGCCAACATGGCAAAATCCCATCTTTACTAAAAATACAAAGATTAGCCGGGCATGGTGGCGTGCACCTGTAATCCCAGCTACTCGGGTGGCTGAGGAGGAGAACCGATTGAATGAACCTAGGAGGCAGAGGTTGCAGTGAGCCAAGATCACACCACTGCACTCAAGCTTGGGCAACAGAGCGAGACTCCGTCTCAAAAATAAAACAAAGTACAGTATGCAAGTCCACAGCCTCAAGAATAGCCACTCTCAACTGAGTGGCTGTCAGTTACCGCCACAGTGTGCCCATGAGCACCCCTTCCTTGAAGTAGTTGAGAGTTGGCCACCACCAGTTCTCCCCTTGTCAAAAGTCACACCTCTGCTCTCAAAGGAGTCCCAAACAGGGATGTCTGGGTACCACTTTCTCTCCAATCTTGACATGCCAAAAGGATAAAGAATAAATAAACCGGCTTGCCACATTTGAGATGCTGCCAACCTCTGGCTTTACAGAAGTGGTCACTGAATGGTCTTTGGGACAAGTGGTGTGGGTCCCAATGGCCTCACACAAAGCCCCATCACTGATGGAGAGGAATGACAGATGTCCTTCTCCTCAGCCCCGGGCCATGCCACAGGGACACTCTGTGGCACTCCCCTGTCCACAGTGCTTTTGCTAGAGCACCATCATTGTTAATTTCAGAACAGGAGAAACCAGAAAACAGTCAAGCTCCTTACTTCTGAGCATGCATACCCGGGCCCAGCCCCACCCAGGCTCATACAGCACCTTGGCTAGAACCTGAGTCCCACCCTTACTGTGGCTGTATAAATTTACATGTGATTTTAATAAAAAATAGATGCACAAGCCCCACTCCTTGCCCAGGCTTGCTTTGTATGGCGCCCAGAACAATGCGTTCCCAGTGTGGATGTTGAATAAAGCACCATTTGATGATGATCTTCCTTCAAGGCTCAGAGCCCCCACTTTCCTCTTTAACAATAAAAGCCTTTGGCTGTTCAGCTTCCTTCTTACCCCAAAGCAGAGATCCCGGCTGAAGATCACATTCCAGAGCTTTCTGTGCCCACTGCCCCTTGGCCTCCCCTGCAAGGGTCCTCAGTGTAATTGCAGGCTCAGGTTTGACTTCCTTGGGAAATGTCTTTAAAATCAGAGAAATCTAAGCGGAGTTCGGAATCATTCTGAAAATTGTCGCCGACCCCAACCCCCAGCGTATCTTCATGCCCTGCATGGGGGAACCCATGGTACATTTGAAGGCCCCAGGCTGGGCTAGCCTGTGTTCACCGCAACGGCCTTGATCCAATCACTTGCTGAGGAAGAACTCCCGGGGAGATGAATGCCATTACAAATCTTACCCTCAACATGAAACGCCAGTGATTGTTTATTAAATTGCTCTTCAAAGAGAAAACACTGGCAGGCATGTATCATTAAAATGGAAGCAAAGGGAAACGCTGTAACCTTCAACACCGAGTTTTTCTCCATTAACCCCAGACCAATACAACTGAAATAGCCGGGAGGAACTTCTGGCCCTGAGCCCCATCAATTACCTTAATCTCAGCCCAGGGAGGGGTAATACAATCCATCCAATTTAAGTATTTCCAAACACTGCCATAAGAAAGAAAGAAAAGAAAAGACAAAGAAAAGCCCTCAACCCTAACTCCACTGTCTCAAGTCCAGTTCAGGACAAATTGCAATACACATGAGTAACATGAAAACATAAAAGACATACCCTCCAGTGAAAACCTTGCACAACTTTCCCAAGTAAGCAGAATTAATCACAGGGAACAATTACCATTTCCAGTCTGAATATTTATGACATAACAGAAAACCCCTTTAAAATACTCAGTGGCTCATAATTTTTTTTTCCACTCTTTAAATTTTTTTTTAAATTGTGGTAAAATACACGGAACATTAACGTTGCCATCTTAACCTTTTTTTCTCACACTGTCGCCCGGGCTGGAGTGCAATGGCGCGATCTCGGCTCACTGCAACCTCCGCCTCCCGGGTTCAAGCGATTCTCCTGCCTCAGCCTCCCAAGTAGCTGGGACTACAGGCATGCATCACCACACCCAGCTATTTTTTGTATTTCTTTTTTTTTTTTTTTTTTTTTTTATTGATCATTCTTGGGTGTTTCTCACAGAGGGGGATTTGGCAGGGTCATAGGACAATAGTGGAGGGAAGGTCAGCAGATAAACAAGTGAACAAAGGTCTCTGGTTTTCCTAGGCAGAGGATCCTGCGGCCTTCCACAGTGTTTGTGTCCCTGGGTACTTGAGATTAGCGATGGGCGGCCAGGCAGAGACGCCCCTCACTTCCCAGACGGGGTGGCGGCCGGGCAGAGGCTGCACTCTGGGCACTTTGGGAGGCCAAGGCAGGCGGCTGGGAGGTGGAGGTTGTAGCGAGCCGAGATCACGCCACTGCACTCCAGCCTGGGCACCATTGAGCACTGAGTGAACCAGACACCGTCTGCAATCCCGGCACCTCCGGAGGCCGAGGCTGAGTGGCTCATAATTTTTAAAAGAGCTACAGAAAAAGAAAAGGCACTCTAAATTTATGATGGAAAGTTGGGGGGAAGTCTTGATGCCCCGCCCACTCTATTTGGTATGTCCCACACATCATTTTTATTCCTCTCCCTTCCAGAATCCCAGTAATTTTTTTTTTTTTTTTGAGATGGAGTCTTGCTGTCGCCCAGGCAGGAGTGCAGTGGCATGATCTCAGCTCACTGCAACCTCCACCTCCTGGATTCAAGCAATTCCCCTGCCTTAGCCTCCTAAGTAGCCGGATTTACAGGCGGGTGCCACCATGCCCGGCTAATTTTTGTATTTTTAGTAGAGACGGGATTTCACCATGTTGGCCAGGCTGGTCTCAAACTCCTGACCTCAGGTGATCTGCCCGCCTCGGCCTCTCAAAGTGCTGGGATTACAGCCATGAGCCACTGCACCTGGCCCAGAATCCCTGTAACTTTCACTCCCACCTTTGCTGATAGGTCAGCTGAGTGGCAATGGGAAGATGGGATGTGCTGAAGGCACTAGTGTCCTCTGTTCCCAGCACTTCTCTTTTCCACTCCAGGTGTTTCCACCTTCCCCAACCTCCTCCCTCTCCAGCAGCCATAGAGTAGGCATTGGCACGCAGAAACGGAAATAACACAGGACCAAGAGTCATGGTCCCTGCTCTACCACACCTGTGTGTGATCCTATGCATGGCTCATAGTCTGCTGATCTGAAAAATGGAGGCCTTTAATTGGAGCACTTCTGGTTTCCTTCTGCTTCTATCAATATAAGAATTCTGCGATTCAAGTATTGCTTCAAGAGATGGATCCATCATTCGCTCATTCACTGAAAAAGCACAGATTGAGTAATGAGTATGTGTCAGGCACTGTTCTAGGTTCTAGAATGAAAGCAGTGAACAGAAGTGTCCCTCTGTCCCTCATGGAACTTACACTCAAGTGGAAAAAACTGGACAACAGCCAAGTACACAAGTAAAAATAGTATAATTTCAGATCACAAGTAAGAAGAAGGTATGTCCAGGGTGAGGCTATGGCTTTTTTAGGTAGCATAGTAGGGGGCCTGAATGAAGTACGGGAATGACCAATTTCTGGGCTATTACTCAAATATAGTAATGGGAGAACCTTCCAGTTATTTCAATATTTCAGAAAGTTCCATAGAAACTGTGTATTCAGCCTATATGTTAACTAAAATGATTCTTAGCTTTTGGCTAGAAATATTGCCATTTGAAATGGTATTACTGATCATCTCATTCCTCTAATCAGCCAAATTAGGGATCCTGAGAATCTTAATCTGATTGAAATATGGAAAAATCAATTATTATATTACTTATAAAGTTATTAGATGGTTGTGAGTAGCAAATATTTGAGACCATTGGCTGTAAGACTAGACACCTCTACCTCTAGAATGGACATTGCAAGCCTTCCTCTTATACAAAACAGAAATAACACCCTTGTTTTGAACATACCTAATTTTCAACCATGATTGTGTGGCCTGTGGATTAACCAGATTCCTTCTCTCTCCAAAGACTATTTTTCTGTAATTTACTATGATTCCACTTCAGACTGCAGGGAGAGAGAAAATACATCTAGTGAAATTTTACTCTTAAAAGCTGTTCTTTTGAAAGCAATGCTAAGAGAAGGAGCTGAAACTATTAGCTTAAAATTTAGGAGAAACATTGAATTTCAGTTACTCATTCTCTTCATATTTTCCAGTCTCTTCAGGTATCCAAGCATTCATACAATAATTTTAGTTAAGAAACACCTGGCCGGGCGTGGTGGCTCACGCCTGTAATCCCAGCACTTTGGGAGGCCAAGGCGGGCGGATCAGGGGTCAGGAGATCGAGACCATCCTGGCTAACACGGTGAAACCCTGTCTCTACTAAAAATACAAAAAAATTAGCCAGGCATGGTGGTGGGCACCTGTAGTCCCAGCTACTAGGAAGGCTGAGGTAGGAGAATGGCGTGAACCCGGGAGGCGGAGCTTGCAGTGAGCCGAGATCAGATCATGACACTGCACTCCAGCCTGGGGGACAGAGCGAGACTCCATCTCAAAAAAAAAAAAAAAAAAGAAAAGAAACATCTTGTGTCTCTGCTAGATGCCAGGAATACAAAATGAATAGAACACCACCTCTGTCCTTAAGGTGCTTATAGTATATAGTGGCTCAAAGCATATACTAAATTATATAGATGAAGTTTGTACTTGAAATATAGGTTATCTCTTACATTGTGTCAGTAAGAATTATGCTGTAGTAACAAACAATTCCTTTTTTTATTTTTTTATTGAGACACAGTCTCACTTTTTTGCCCAGGCTGGAGTGCAGTGGCACAATCTTGGCTCACTGCAACCTCCACTTCCCAGGTTCAAGCAATTCTCCTGCCTCAGCCTCCTGAGTAGCTGAGATTACAGGTGTGTGCCAGCATGCCTGGCTAATTTTTGTATTTTTGGTAGAGACAGGGTTTCCCCATGTTGGCGAGGCTGGTCTCGAACTTGTGACCTCAGGTGATCCACTTGCCTCAGCCTCCCGAAGTGTTGAGATTACAGGCGTGAGCCATCGTGCCCAGCCCCAAATTTTTGGTGGCTTAAAGCTACCAAAGTTGATTTTTCACTTGTACTACATGTCTATTGAGAGTTAGCAGGAGCCCAGAGGAGTTGGGGATGGGAGTGGAGTCTATTCTTCCTAAATATTTAGGTATTCATGTTGATAAAGCAGCCACCATCGTGCATATTACTGGTTGTCATGCCAAACAGAAAGGAAAGCTCTGGAGGATCTCAAGTCGGAAACTCAATCTTCTAGCACAGAAATGACACATGTTTTACATCATAACTCATTGGCCAGACTGATCTCAAGAACCCACCTACCCACAAAGCAATCAGGAAGTGGGATCCTACCATGTGCCCAGAAAAGGAAAGAACTGAAAATATTTCACGAACAGCAATCACGATTATGATAGATATAAGAGAGCCAAAAGACCTGGTCTCTGGCCTCCAAAAGCTTGCCTGCTAACAAAATTTGTTTCATCAAGAAAGAAACTAAAAGTCCTTAAAAGACAAGTTTAACAATGCCTCAGGGAAGTATAATTATTTCGTTGTTTACATCATCATGTTGAAACCTCCTGTTTAATTGGGAAGCATGCCCTCTACTTGCCCTCCACTTCTCTGTAGAGTGTTTCCAGATTAAGAAGAAGGAGGGGTAAGAAGAAGTGTAGATGTTCCTACCCCCTAGAAGCACGCAATCCAAAAAGTCATGAAAATCAGACCCTCAGATTCCATCAAGACTCTGCAAATAAGTATGTGTATTAGCTCAGTCTCCAGTCTCTCTCATTAATCCCATCCTAAGGAAGAGGAAAAGTGGCCATTGCTACCCTTTTCCCATTACCAACTGGGCAGCCTCCCAGGGCTCAAGAGCAGAGTTGAGAGTATCAAGAGAATGCTAACCTTTCAGAAGCCCCAGAGGAGAGCTGGCATTTACACTGAAGCAATTAGCCAGCAATTTTGGCATTTGTGATTGGCTCACAGAGCCAGCAACTCAGCCAGAATGCTTTTCTAATAAACATTAAGTCTGGTTCAACTTGAAAGTGTTCCCCAGAAAAGTCCACTGTACAACAGCAATCTCACATATGTAAATAATCGTTGGGCAAGTTTGTGACAGACTTTCAATTTTGATTAGATATTGTCCATTTAATTAGGATGCTCATCCCAAATCTATTGGACGGGATGGAAGAGAGGTTGTCATTCCAAGTTCTACTGTGGCCAGCAGCTGACGTGACTTCCCAGTCTAACCAGACTTAGAATTGCTAAATCTTTCTGCTTAGAATTTGATATGAAATACTAGAGGTCTTCAAACATTCATGGAAATGCATATTATGAAAAAAATTCATGAATTTCAAATTTTTTTGCACCAACATAAATTTGTACTAACTTATTATAACATGTCTGAGCAGGATCTAGTCTGAGGCATTCTGAAGGATAAGACGTCTGTTGGAAAAGAATCCCTGTCACAGCAACATGAATTCTGCTAAAGTAAAACAAGAACAAACACCAAATTTGTGGTGACACTTGGGTGAAAGAATGGTGAAATCATTAATGCTTTACAAAAAGTTAATGGGGACAATGCCCCAAAGAAAGCACTAGTTTACAAATGGCTCATTTATTTTAAGAAGGGGTGAGATGATGTAGAAGATGAAGCCCATAGCGGCAATCTACATCAATTTGCAAGGAATAAATTAATTTTGTTCATGCCCTAATTGAAAAGAACCAACAAATAAGAGCAGAAACAATAACTAACATCATCTCAATTAACTAACTAACTAACTAACAATCAACTAACTAACAATGACATCATTTCAATTGGTTCAGCTCACACAATTCTGACGGAAAAATTGAAGTGGAGCAAACTTTCCACCTGATGGGTGCCAAAACCATTGCGCCCAGATCAAGAGCACAGGAAATAGAAAGCACTGAGCTTTGGGAATTCTAAACAAGTGGCATCAAGATCCTGAAGCATTTCTTCAGGAGAAGAAACATGTAACTGGGGATGAAATATGGCTTTACTTGTATGATCCTGAAGACAAAGCACAATCAAAGCAATGGCTACCAAGAGGTAGGAAATGGTCCAGTCAAAACAAACATGGACCAGTCAAAAGCAAAGGTCATGGCACCAGTTTTTTGGGATGCTCAAGGTATTTTGTTTATTGACTTTCTGGAGGGCCAAAGAACAATAACATCTGCTTATTATAACAGGGTTTTGAGAAAGTTAATCAAAGCATTAGCAGAAAAACACCCAGGAAAGCTTCACCAGAGAGTCCTTCTGCACCACGACAATGCTCCTGCTCATTCTTCTCATCAAACAAGGGCAATTTTGTGAAAGTTTTTATGGGAAATCATTAGGCATCCACCTTACAGTGTTGATTTCAGTCCTTCTGATTTATTTTTGTTTCCCAATCTTAAAAAATCTCTAAAGAACACTCATTTTTCTTGGTTTATAATGTAAAAATGATTGTATTGACATGGTTAAATTCCCAGGACCCTCATTTCTTTAGGAATGGACTAAATGGCTGATATCATCACTTATACAAGTATCTGAAACTTGAAGAGCTTATGTAGAGAAATAAAGTTTATATTTTTAACATTTATCTTTTCATTCTATTTTCCATGAGCTTTTTAAGTCCCCTTGTAAGAGAAAAATTTGTTTTGAGGATTGAAAATATTTTGATTTCTAAGTGACACCAGGGTAAACTTTTCTACCTGTAATCCTCAAACCACTATAATTATGACTAATAAATATAATAGTAATTCTTATGATACCCAATGGAAAAAAAATATCTTTTATGACCTTGTCTACCTCTAGGCTAAAACACTCTATCTCCATGTTCTAGGTTTCTTCAAAGGCTGGTTCCCTAGCCACCTCCCCTCTCTCCTTCTACTTCCATACGCCAGCAAGTCATTTACCTGAAACTTCTCTCACCAATGACTTCTTAATTGCCCAATGCAACAGCTTCTTTTCCTACTTGACATTCTGCATCGTGGTATATCAGGAGAGTATCCTGTGGATAAATAAACAGGCTTCAGGAGCAGTAAGACCTTGAATCCAGGATCTACTCTTATGAGCACTGTGATATGAAGTCTTGGAAATCTAGGTTTCCTCATCAGGAAATGAAGATAATATGAGCTCCTATGTCATGGGTTTCTCATGATGATTAAATAGAATAATATGTGTAAACAGTCTGACAGTGCTTGGCACAAGGCCAGCTCTCAATGTTTGGTTATTGATTTTAGTATTGAGCTGGGTGTGGTTCATGCCTGTGATCCCAGCACTTTGGGAGGCCAAGGCAGGAAGATCACTTGAGGCCAGCCGGGACAACATAGAGAGACCTCATCTCTACAAAAAATTAAAACGTTAGCCAACCATGGTGGCACATGCCTATAGTCTCAGCTACTCAGGAGGCTAAGACAAGAGACTCACTTAAGCCCAGGAGTTCAAGGATACGGTGAGCCATGATTGCACCATGCACTCCAGCCTGAGTAACAGAGCAAGACCCTGTCTCTTAAAATATAAAAATCATAATTTTTTTAAAAAAGATATTAGTATTCGTGGTGGTGATCACTGTTTTCTTCTTCACACTGTCTTCTCCCCTTATTTGGTTTCTATGATACATAATTTCCTGGTATTCATTTAAAAAATTTGACGATATTCTCACTTAATGCACCAAACCTCCAAATCTCCCTCTCCTGTGTTCCCACATTAGTTCAGAGGCACACCATTTCTCACCTGGACTGTTACAACAGTCTTTGAGAAACATTCCCCATAATGGAATCTTTGCTCACTCCAGTCCATGCTCCACACGCATACATAATTCAGAAGCAAAAAACTCTTTAAAAACCTTCAAACATGGCCCTCTCCTGATCCAAACATTTTACAGCCTTCCTGGAAGTAAAGTGACCACAGTTCCCTTGGTAACCCTCTCCTTGGAAGAGCATCCCTGGAGACTCCCTTCAATTTGTTACCCTAAATGTTACCTAAGCCTCCTCCCTGGATTTCATCCTAATTTTCCTCTGTTTAGCAAAAATGTCTTCCCAACCCCCAGGCCATAAGCCAGTAGTGGTCTGTGGCCTTTTAGGAGCCAGGTCACACAGGAGGAGGTGAGCAGTCGGTGAGCTAGCATTACCGCCTGAGCTCCGCCTCCTGTCAGATCAGTGGTGGCATTAGATTCTCATAGGAGCACAAACCCTGCTGTGACCTATGCATGCGAGGGATCTAGGGTGCACGCTTCTTATGAGAATCTAACACCCGATGATGTGAGGTGGAACAGCTTCATCCCGAAACCATCCCCCCAACCCTACCCCTGTCCTGGGTCTGTGGAAAAATTGTATTCCACAAAACAGTTCTCTGGTGCCAAAAAGGTTGGGGACTGCTGGTCTACACCACTTGTGGCTTTGGTTGGTAAAACGCTTTTAATTTTGTTTAAGATAAAGTTATTTTATGAGTTAGGAAATTTTCAGCTACAAGTAACAGAAAAAAACCACCAGTTCAACTGGCTTGAACCAATAAGAGGTCATATTATGTTCTGTATCGAGAAGTCTGAAAATTGAGTGGCTTTTCAAGGTTTGTTAATCCAGTGGTTCAACCATGTCATCAGGGACCTGAGTTCTTTGCATGCTTCTATTCCGTCATCTTCAGAATGCCTGTTTGATCCTGATGGTTTCAAGAAATCACAACCTGACATGGCACTACCCAGTGGGCAGTATGCGGTCCCAACCAGCCATGAGTCAAGCATCTTTATCTCCATTTCATAAATAAAAAAAATACAGGCTCAGATAGGTTAAGTGACTTGCCCCAGGTCACACAGCTATTAGTGGTAGAAACAGGATTTGGACTTCTGTTTACCTGACTCCAAAGTCCATGCTCATAAACACTTGGTTCTACTCCTTCCAAGCATGACAGCAAATGACTTTGCCCTGGAAAAAGTAGGATTAAACGTAGTTTAAAAGTAGGATTCACCAGGCTAATATTTCATGCACACTTCATAAGACCTGGATTTCTATCATCAATCATCAGCTATAGTCACCATTCTCAAAAAATATTAATAGTGTGCTTACACTACACAAATGCGTGTAATGTCTTAATCTTTAATTTCTAATCAGAACACACATTCAGACAATGTTTTCATATAATGGTTGCAACTGGCTTCTATGTGTGTGATATGTGAGTATACATAGATGTATGTATATTCATATATACGTCTGCATATGCGTATATGTGTACGATTCCATTTCATTGATAAACTAACCAAGGGCCTAAAAAGTTAGGAACTCCGTCCAATTTATACGGCTAGTAAGACATTGAGGGGTTTTAGGAGACATCCCGATGACCTCCTGATACAATATTCTTTCCTGGAAGACGCTTAAGCTAACAAATTCCTTCCATTCAAAGTAGAGGGAATTGTAGCAGAATTTCAGTGAGCTTTTCTAAGTGACATGATGGCAATGTCCTATCAGATAAAGGGACTCAGTGCAGGGAGCACGTGTCATACCCAGCGGTGGTGCAGCAGGAGAACTAGCACATCAATCTCTCATGTCACATTTTCTCACAGACCTCTGTGAACCACAACCACCCTCTCCATTGCTTGCCTTTATTTTCTTTTTTTTCTTTTCTTTTTTTGAGATGCAGTCTTGCTCTGTCGCACAGGCTGGAGTGCAGTGGCGCAATCTCGGCTCACTGCAACCTCTGCCTCCCAGGTTCAAGCGATTCTCCTGCCTCAGCCTCCTGAGTAGCTGGGATTACAGATGCCCACCACCACGCCCCGCTTTTTCTTTCTTTTTTTTTTTTTGTATTTTTAGTAGAGATGGGGTTTCGCCATGCTGGCCAGGCTGGTCTCGAACTCTGACCTCAAATGATCCATCTGCCTCGGCCTCCCAAATTGCCGAGATTACAGGCGTGAGCCACCGCACCCGGCCTCTTTTTTTCTAATACGAGAAAAGGCATACAGATCTATTTAATATGTACACACAGAGAGAAACACCTTTCCTCCGGTCCATATTTCTATCTAGGTGAGTACCAGACACACTTGATAAGTAAGCAAGCAAATCCCTCCTTGATTAGTGGAAAACAGAGGAAATGTGGGTTATTTATTTGCCCTATTTACCTTCCAAGAGAATCACAAAACAAGTAAAGTTAGTGAATACTCCTCCCAAAACTCACACGCCAATTTTCATCCTGCCAGCCTGAACCACTTGCCCCAGGGCTTGTAAAGCAAAAGGAGGACTATAAATAATTCAGGTCTAATCCTCAGGGCAGGTGACAGGGTCCTCAGAGTGCTTCACATGTGTGTCCTGATACCTGACTCCCCGGGAACACAGCAACACCGGTCCCAGGTCATCGAGCCCTGCCGCTGAGCCTCTGCACCAAATTGGCTTTGAGAAACCACACAGCTCCCATGGCAGGCTTTTCCTCTCCTTCTGCGCCTCAGAAGCTCAGGATGATCTGTCCCAGACCACATTAAGCCAATCAGATCTGGAGCCTGAGCACTGGCCCGGCGTCTTCCTCGCTTGCGCCCAGTGGCCGCAGGCCGACCCCCTCGGCGGCCCTGATTTACGCATCTAAGTATCAGGACAGCCTTGCTATGCTGATTTTGGAGTCTGGCAGCATTTCCTGAAACGAAATGGTGGTTGGGCTAAGGCCTGGCAGCGACCTCCCGGTGACACGAGCTCATGAATACGCGGGTCTGTTGCTGCTTCTGCGGCGTAATTCTCCGTGCGGAAACCTTCGGTTAGGGGCCGCCGCCTCCCTCTGGTGCGCAGCCAGCCCCGCCGCCTTATTTCTCTTGGCCGAGCTGACATTACCGTATGTTAGCTTTGCTCTACAAGCTCCCGTGGTACAGAGGGGTGCTTCCACACATGGGGAGGATGCGGGGAGACGGAAGGAGGTGGGTGCATGTGGCTCTCCAGTGGCACCCCAGTGCTGCGCTCAGACCCGTGCCCTGAAGGATCCCTATTCCAGAGACAATCAGGGCGTTCCCCCGGAACCTCAGTAATACCTTTCTCTGAAGCACTGTGGGCAGGCATGTTTTAGCAGCAGGGGCCAGTAGCCTGTTCTTGCCAAAATCTCCTTTACCTCTTCCCCGTCTAGCTCTGGGTGGCCAAGGGAAATGGCTTGGCGGGCTGGAACTGCCTCAGGTTCAACTGAAGGGAGCCTGTGCTGCCTGGAATCCAGAAGGCAGCACAGTTTTCTTCGGGAGCCCTCAGGAGCCTCCTGAGAGCTGGAGCCAGGGAGCGTTCCCCTTTGTGATTACACTGACACCCTTCCCACCTCCCCTGCACGTGCTTCTGCTTTGATTCAGAACACCAGAACAAAATCAGATCCACCCCAAAAGAACACATGCCTTAAAAGCAGAGGAGAAAAAGGTTGTGGAGCCACAGTTGCTTCTGCTTCCCGACTCATCAAATTCTACAGCGCCTTTCAAATTACATAGAAAATAGGGCCGGGCGCAGTGGCTTAAGCCAAAAATCTCAGCACTTTGGGAGGCCGAGGCAAGCGGATCACTTGAGGTCAAGAGTTCGAGATCAGCCTGGGCAACATGATGAAACCCCGTCTCTACTGAAAATACAAAAATTAGCCGGGCGTGATGGCGCCCGCCTGTAATCCCAGCTACTCAAGAAGCTGCAGCACGAGAATTGCTTGAACCCAGAAGGCGGAGGTTGCAGTAAGCCGAGATCTACCCATCACCCCCGACTCAAAAAAAAAAAAAAAAAAAAGAAAAAGAAAAAAGAAAGAAAAGAGGGTGGCTCATGGCAAACACGTTAAGTAAGTTTCATCTCGTGTGCCAGCTCCATTTAATTGGTAGTGGTGTTCTAGAGCACTGTGCTAAGAAACCTTCTGAGGCAGAATTCAACCAGCAGGAAGGAATGCTAGTATCCTTTACTAATTTCCTTTTTTTTCCCTTTTTTCTTTTTTTTTTTTTTTTTTTTTTGGTAGAGGTGGAGTCTTTCTATGTTGCCCAGGCTGGTCTCAAACTTCTGACTTCAAGTGATCCTCCTGCGTTGGCCTCCCGAAGTGCTGGGATTACAGTCGTAAACCACCACTCCTGGATTATCCTTTACTAATTTCATTCATAGATGAGAGATTGGGAGAAGAAAGAGGAAACTGCCACTTATTTTCCACATAAGTGTCATCTTCAAGGTAGGAGACAGGGCCAAACCATCAAGTATTGAAACCCAGGCTTTACCACTTTCTAGCTGTATGATTTGGGGCAAGCTACTTAACCTCTCTGAATCTCACAAAGCCTTATCATTATATGGAAATCATATTTAAAATTATTGGGAAGGAGACAAGATTTGACATTTTAAAAGCATCACTTCCCCCTGTCCTGAGAGGTAAAGGTTGTGTCCATAGGCCTGGAATCAGATGGGCATGGGCCTGAGCCTTGGCTGTGACTGCAATGCGGGGTGAATGGAGGAGATCTAGCAGAGTAATGCCTTTATAGAGGGAAGATTTACAGAGGATAAGCCATCTAAATAGAGCTGGATACAGAGAGGAAATCATAGAAGAGTCAGGGACAAGGACAACCAATCCAGTTCCAAGTGGATGGTGCAGGAGCTAAGCCTCAAGTGCTTCCCAGACAGGTTGGAAACTGCTGTGGCAAATTTTTTCCTAAGGTCCCAGGAAGATGCCAATAGCACTTAGATGTGAGTTCCCAGACCTAAGGATCTGGCACTGGAGGGCAAAGGAGGCACATCTTAAATATTTGATCTCTCCTCTCCTTTTCCCACCTGCTAGTTCCTTCAGTCATGTGCCAGCCAGGTGTCCATGACAGAGAAAGGCCACTGAGATGAAAGGGCAACGCTGTTCAACTGGAAGCTCTTTGATTTTGCTAAACACGCTAGTGGCTTTGGGTGTGTACACCAGTTATGAAGCTATTGTCTGTCAGCTCCATGTCTTCCTTCTGTATTCTGCTCAGTGATGCTGATGTCAGACCTGCAAACCACACTTCTATATGGCCACCTGCTCTATTAGGTTCCACCAAGAAGGGATTCAAGAGGGAGACTGCAGGGCTGGAAGAGGAGAAGGGAACATATTTCTTCTTATCTGTTTCCTACTCTTTTGAGCATCATGGTAGCAATACTACTTCACTGCGCAGAGGCAGTTCCTTTCCACATCAGCCACAGAATCCAGGTGCCAGCTTTTCTAGCACTTGCACAGCCAGCTTCTTCACACCTCAGCCTTAGAAACACCAGCACCAGATAGACAATATTTCCTCTGTGGAAATCTGGGTCCCAGACCCTCACACTTCTTCTCCCAGCTCAGAGACACTAGCTCTGACTAAGAAGTACACTTTCATCCTAGGTGAGAATCCCATCTTCACAGGGCCCATCCTCAAGCATTTATGTTTTCATAGCTCCAAACTCTTCCCATAGTTCTTTCAGCCCTTGGGGTGGTAGCTGCCTTCTGCAATTGCTACCTCTGGGATACCTTACTATACATTCTGCCATTTCAGTTAACTGGTCAGTAACCTAATTCTAGTTAGCAATTCTGTATATTAAATTCTTTCTGTGAAAGTCACTGGTGTGGTTTCTGTTTCCTGCCTGGACCCTGGACTCTGAGTCAAACCTGAGAATTCTAGTAGAAGAGCATGGAATTGCTCTGCATCACAGAAGGAAAAGAATGTGAGCCTGCCAGAACAATCCAGGAGGGAGGGTGAGAGGCAGTCATGGAAGCAGCGAAGGGGGCACCCAGCAGACAGGCAGCCTAGAGAGGACACAGGGAGTGGGGAAAGGGGGGTCAAAGGGCTATAAGAGCATTTTAAGAACTGCTTGGCTGGGTGCAGTGGCTCACGCCTGTAATCCCAGCACTTTGGGAGGCCAAGGCAGGCGGATCACCTGAGGTCAGGAGTTCGAGACCAGCCTGACCAACACGAGAAACCTCGTCGCTACTAAAAATACAAAATTAGCCAGGCATGGTGGCAGGCTCCTGTAATCCCAGCTACTCAGGAGGCTGAGGCAGGAGAATCGCTTGAACCTGGGAGGCGGAGGTTGTGGTGAGCCAAGATCGCCCCATTGCACTCCAGCCTGGGCAACAAGAGCGAAACTCTGTCTCAAAACAAACAAACAAACAAAAAACCGCCCTGCCTGCTAGTCCCTCCTCTCCCTTTTTTTCCAAACCTTCAATGAAGTCTACTCCATCCATAGGTAGTGTGAAGAGAGTTAATCGTTTGTTTTAAAGACCTTTTAAGAAGCTTAGAGATGGACTTGATGCCAAGTATTATCTTGTTAACTTGTACACTTTTAAGAACTGATCATAATCCTTCTCATTACAACTGTTGAGAAAAAGCTAAGAGTCTTTGATGGGCAACATGAGTTTTTGGTCAAACAAGTCTTCAAAGCAATGACTGCCCAAGGATTCTTAGAAATCATATAACTTTTCTACTAGTGAAAAAATGATTTTCTTATCACTCTGTTCACTTCAAGGTGGAGCGAAAGATGACATTGCTGGTGAGATGTTCAGCACTCTTTGGTCACGTTGGAAAAAAATTGTATTCGGTTGTCAGAGATGAAGAATTGTTAAAAACAAAATCTTTTTTATTCCTCCTAAAGACATTACAGCTCACAAAATCTCTGATAGCTTCCTGTAGCATGTATTTTACTATTCAAGGAGACAATTGAATGGGTTTATTTCTTCTTATGTTACATCTCAGCTTTAATAAGTAATGTCTGGCTGGGTGCGGCGGCTCATGCCTGTAATCCCGGCACTTTGGGAGGCAGAGGCGGGAAGATCACCAGAGGTCCGGAGTTCAAGACTAGCCTGGCCAACATGGTGAAACCCCGTTTCTACTAAAAATACAAAAATAAAATTAAAATAAAAATAGGTGATGTCTTTGAGCTAATTTATGCTCTCCATACCTTATGATCATCTAGCTGTGTGTTGGCAAGTCCAGGATGGTGGCTTTTGACGAACTGTGCTTTAAGGCAAACCATGGAGTAGAGAAAGATGGACAGCAGAGGATTTGGGGCTTTAATGGGCACACAGCCTGCTTAGGAGGAAGCTCATTAGTCTGGAGCTCCTGCCCCTTGTCTTTGTGAAGCCATTACTGGTCCCCTGGTATGCTGCTCATAGGCAAGGCAAAAGAAATTTATAGGAATCAAAGCTTATAGAAACAGCAACAACTTTAAGAGTCAGTTTGTTTAACCAAATTAAAATTGTTCTTTTTTTCTTCCTCCATTCCCAGAAGTGCATTTCTATTTCCACTGAGTTAATAAAGAAATGCGATGCAAACAGACCTTCTAAGTTCTCTGAAGCCCATGTCCCGGTCAGGCTAATAACTACAGCCCAACACACTGCAGCCACTGTGATTATGTGGCAGGTGTTGTGTTAAGCACTTTATACATTATTGCTCATTTAATCCTCTCAAGAACACCATGAACTAGATGTTATTTTCCACATTACACAAATGAGAAGATTGTGGTTGAAGGTGAAGGAGGTTAGAGAACTTCCCAAGGGTTCTTAGCTTCCAATTAGGATAGCCAGCATTTCACTCAGGTCTGCTCTATCAGGGGTCCCCAAGCCCCCGGGTCAGTGGTTTGTGGCCCATTAGGAACCAGCCCGCACAGCAGGAGGTGAGTGATGGGTGGGCCAGTAAAGCTTCCTCTGTACTTGCAGCCACTCCCCATTGCTCACATTACCACTTGAGCTCTGCCTCCTGTCAGATCAGCAGTGGCACTGGATTCTCATAGGAGCACAAACCCTACTGTGAACTGCCCATGCGAGGGGTCTAGGTTGTGAGCTCCTTATGAGAATGTAACACCTGATGATCTGTCACTGTCTCCCATCACCCCAGATGGGACTGTCTAGTTGCTGGAAACCAAGCTCCACACTCCCACTGATTCTACAATACGGTGAGTTGTATAATTATTTCATTATATATTACAAAGTAATAATAATAGAAATAAAGTGCACAATAACTGCAATGCGCATGAATCGTCCCAAAACCATCCCCTGCCCCAGTCCGTGGAAAAACTGTCTTCCACAAAACTGGTCCCTGGTTCCAAAAAGGTTGGGGACCATTGTGCTACATTCTGTAGCCCGTGTTTTTACCCACAGTGGCATACAGACAATCTGTTTCTGGTTATATGATCACATAACTAGTTGTATGTTGGGCACAATTTGGTCTCAAACTTCGTTTTGGAAGGAGAAACCTGTGAAGACAAAGTCTGTTTGGCTTGATGTGTTGGATATCACCTCAGAGATTCAATCCATGGATCTGTGTGCTGGACAGTGGGGAGGGCACTACTGAAAAGAGGTAGAAGAAATGCCTCAGAACTACACAGACCCTGTGCTCTGCTCTACCCTACAATGGAATGGTACCTGGATCTGACATGGTGCCATTATAAATTGACAAAGTGGATTTTTTTTTAATGATAAAAAGTAGCTGGTGAAAACATAAGAAGTACAGGCATTCATTCAACAAATCTTTATTGTGCATCTGCTATGTGCCAGGGACTGTGCTAAAGACATAACAGTGAACCATGCGGACCCTTGGCCTTCGGGGAGCTTCCTGCAGGTCACTGTGCCCTGTCATGCACTGGGGTGAAAGTGTGCATTGCTAATGCCTTTGTGAAAGTGATAGCTCAATGCATAATTTTTAAAAGGCTTTAAAATGTGCTGATGCTCTTCCTATTTTTCTTCTTTTTCTTTCTCTTTCTGAACAATTTTGTCTTCATGCCATAGGTGGTATAGAACAAGGTACGTGGGGGTAGGGGAGGGGCTTGTGAGGCGCCATGGTGGCCCAGAATGGGCTGTCAGGACCATCAAGAGGTGAGGGGCTGTGTGTGCAGGGGGAGGGCTGGCCTGGTGAGGAGTCAGGGCCTGGGTGAGGCAAGAGCTTTCACATGGAGGGCAGCGGGGTGAGGAAGATGTAGAGACATGGAGGGAAAATAGCAAAAACAAAATGTGTTTACTCTTCAATGTAGCAAAATTGCATCCAGAAATTACTTTGTGGCAATTAAATAGCAAACTAGATGGGCCAAATATGGACACATAGAGATGTGGGTCACATCATCATTCATAATAGCAAAAATTTGAAGACAACTGAAATGACCAACCAGAAGACACATGACTCCAGAGCCCAAACAGAGGTACACAAATGGATATTCATTAAAACCATGGGTGACAGTGCAGATCCGGGGTGGTAAGAAGGACAGATGAAGCTGGGAGAGTTGATTATCCCTATGGGCAAAGAGAAAATTGGACCCCAACTTCACACCATGAAAAAAAAAGAATCACCTCCTGGTGGCTAAATGGGGAAGACAAAACTTCAAAATTATTTAGAAGAAATTAAGGAGAAAGATCTTTATGGCTTCAACATGGTGAATTTCTTAAAACACAAAAGTTTTCCAACTTTAAAGACAAATACTGATAAGCTTCACTACATTAACATTAAGAACTTCTTTTTATCAAAAAGGCCCCATAAAGAGAGTGAAAAAATAAGCCACACACTGGAAGATAAATTTGCAATTTTGGAACTGACAAAGAATTTCTCCAAAAAGCTGAAAAAAAAAAAAAAAGACAAACAAGTCAACAAGCAAATAGGTAAAAGATATAAACATACATTTTAAGAAGAAAAAACAAATTAGTAGTAACCAGGGAAATGCAAATTACGCCATACAGATGTACCACTTTACACACAGCAGATTAGCAATTTAAAAAGAAAATTTGACAGTACCAATTACTAGTTAAGACATGGAGCAACAGGAACTCGTACACACTGTTCGTGGGAGTATAATTTGTCACAATTTACTGGAAGAGCCATTGGATATAATCCTACAAAGATGCACACACCCTATGACCCAGTGGCATGGAGTGGTGACATGGGAGGGTGGCCCACAGGCACTTTGCTCAGATTCAAGAATGTTCACAGCCATATGTGCTGGGCTGAATAATGTTCCCCCCAAAATTAATATCCTCACCAGAGCCTTGGAATGTGGCTTCACTTGGATACAGATCACTGCAGATATAATTATTTCAGTTAAGAGGAGTTAATAGGGTGGGCTCTTGATCCCATAAGACTGGTGTCCTTGTAAGAAAAGGAGGAAAGATAAAATACAAGTAGGGAGACCCCCATGACTATGGAGGCAGAGACAATGGAGGATGTGTCTAGAAGCCAAGGACCATCAAAGATTGCCAGCGATGTCAGAGGCTAAGAGAAGGATATGGAATTGCTTCTTCACGGCAGCCTTCAAAGAGAGCATACCCCTCCAGAAACCTTGACTTCAGACTAGCCCCTGTATAAGAATGCACTTCTGTTGTTTCAATCCATCCTATTTGCAGTCTTTTCTTATGGTAGCCTTCAAAAATGAGTACATCATGTTGTTCATAATGGCTGGAAGATGCAAACAACCAAATATCCATCCTCCAGAGAACACGCAAATAAATGGGAGGATATTCATACAATGAAAAACTATGCAACTATGAAAATGAATGAACTATAGTTTGACACATCGACATGGAAGATGCCTTTACTCTTTCTCACCACTTATTGAAATTCTGATCACTCACTGAGGACACCCATTTCCAGTCCTTCCTCCTGCATAAAGGCCATGAGAGCTACCATTTACTTATTTATTTGTTTATTTATTTATTTATTTATTTTTGAGATGGAGTCTCACTCTGTTGCCCAGGCTGGAGTGCAGTGGCACCATCTCAGATCACCACAACCTCCACCTCCCGGATTCAAATGATTCTCCTGCATCAGCCTCTCGAGTAGCTGGGATTACAGGCACACACCACCATGCCCAGCTAATTTTTGTATTTTCAGTAGAGACGGGGTTTCACCATGTTGGCCAGACTGGTCTCGACCTCAAGTGATCTGCCTTCCTCTCCTCAGCCTCCCAAAGTGTAGGGATTGCAGGCGTGAGCCACCACGCCTGGCCAGAGCTACCATCTATTGACTCCTTCTCGGCAGTCGATGTCATGCACGCCCTTACTGACCTTATCCCTAATCCCTACAACAATCCTTTAAGTTAGAGATTGTTAGCCGTCTTGAAAAGAGTTAGACAGAAGTATTCAGTGCCATTAAATGACTAACCTAGGTTGCCCAGCCCAGGTGTCAGGCCCTATTCTCTTCTGCAGCTCAGCTCCAGGAAACATGTTTCCCTCCCCAGCCCCACCAAAAAATGCAGCCAACCAGACACATAATATTATTTTGGGGTCTGTAACATTACCATGACTCATGATTCTCTTCAATTCACTTGCCTTTCATCTTGCATGTCTTCTTTCTAAATGCCTTATGTCTAATTATTTCTTTTACCTCCATCATCTTCTAGAAAAAGGCATAAGCCTTATATTCCTCTAGATAACACAGGAATAGGAACCAAAAAAATGCATCGCATTCAAATATTTACTGAGCTTCCATTATGGCAAGCCTTGTCCTTGGTAGCTGAGTGGAATCGAATCTCCTGCAGCCTGTCACAGCTAGTCATACAGGCAGTAAAGGACGAAAAATGTACAGTGAATGCTTCCTTATCTGTTTGTTTTCCCTTCCTGGGAAATTCTGTCTACACAGCTGACCAAAGCTCAAGCAGAATGACGGGACACACCATCGACAGTAGTAACAGATCCACGTACCTACTAGCCATAAACAAGCTAGGTTTCCATGCTTTCTTTTTGGTATTTCTCTATGTCGCGTGTCTAGCAACAGAGTAGAATTAGCAGCTTCCAGGTTGCTGGGGTTTAGAGGCAGTGACAGATGCAGAATGAGGAAGCAAACAGATTAATATGTATTAAATGACTGCATTAGTGCTCATTACTCTTAAGCTCAGTACTTGTGTGTACATGTGAAAGTGGTATTTTTCCATGACTCTCGCCATGGGAGCTGATTAAAACAGAAGCACTCAGAATTAGCCCAGCAGTCCAAGCCAGCATCCAAACTATTTATTCCCTCTCTCCCACCCCCACCGTTTCAAGTGCCAGTCATAATTGTTATTTGATATAATGGCTCCTCAACCTACAGCTCTCACCCAACCCAAAAAGAGTTTGGTGGCTTAAGGTTTCGACCAAAGCTCCATTTCATCCTGTATAAAAGTGACTTGGAAATCCTTTTTATCCTCGATTTCTGACAAGAAAATCCAGCTAACAAGGTCATCTGAGATGCCACCAAAACAATATGCAAGGCTGGGTATGGTGGCTGATGCCTGTAATTCCAGCATTTGGGAAAGCTGAGGTAGGAGGATTGGTTGAGCTCAGTTCAAGACTAGCCTGAGCAACATAGCAAGACTCCATCTCTACAAAAAGTAGAAAAATTAGCTGAACGTGCTGGCAGCTGGTTTTTAGCATTTACAGGCCCAGCTACTCAGGAGGCTGAGGCAGGAGGATCACCTGAGCCCAGGAAGTCAGGGCTGCAGTGAGCTATAATTGCACCACTGCACTCCAGCGTGGGTGACAGACAAAGACCTTATCTCTTATAGTAAAATTAAAATATATATATATACACTATGTATCTCTTATAATAAAATTCAAAAAATATATATATATTTGCTTTATTGACTACTGCGTTCCAAGCTCTGCTGGGAGTAACTGGAGGCAAATTTTAATGCAACCCAAAGTCCCAATGCTTTATACTTGAGGATGCCTTCTCCAGTGCTTGCTGAGGAGACCTGTGAATCAGGAAAATGGCACCAGCATGCACAATCCCAAACTAAGACACTTCTGAAGATGCCAGGCCCAAAGCCATAAACATGGACCACCTTTGGTACCAAGTCATCCAGTCTTTCTTGGCATAAGCAAATGATGAGGCTTTGAATACAACTGAGCTGGCCATAAATGCTGGCTCTGCCAATGTCTAGTGATATGGACTTTGACAGTTGATTTAATACTGCTCGGAGCATCTGTGAAATGGTGACAATAATCCCTGTCCCTGTGGAGTTGTATGCAGATGAAAGGAAAGAGGATGTGAAGAGCTGCCACACAGTAGGCAAGCAGCGCTAGTTCTCCTTGCTTTCCTGTTTCACTTACTCATCATTAGACATCTGGGACAAGCAGTGACTTCTGCTGTCTTGAAGTTCACTTACTATTAATTCAAACAAGACTTCCTGACTGCAGTCTGCCCTCATTACTGGCAATGTCCTGCCTGATCTCTAAGGCAACAATCACTCATTTTGTAAATACAACCTTCTCATCTATTAGAAATTAATGAAAATTCCATGAAAACGATTTTCAGGCACTGTAGTGACATGAAACTTCAGGAACTCATTACCTTAAATGTCTCACCCAAGGAGTTGAAATATTTCAAAATCCACATGCATATAATATTAATGCAAGAGTGTATAATACGCATAGTCTTCTCCAGGGCAAGTAAGCTTTTAAAATATACTACCCCTAACTTTGTTAGAGTTTTCTTACTTGACAAGTTATTCTCTTTGCTTATTACTTTCTACCCGTGTCTTTTATCACTACTCTAGAAAAATCAAGAACAAACTATATTGGGTTGAACCCTATGAAATTCCTTATATTTGGTCATTTTTGACCTATGGGAATGACAATCTCATAAAGGTTTAACCTGCTAGAGCCAGGCCAAGGATAAAGGAAATCAGAGCAGTTCCTGAGAAAATGTGGTTGGGCTGCTCCCCTGCCCAAGGAGACCTTCGCTTTCCAAACACAAGGTCATCACATCATTGGTGATGTCTGCATTGGTTAGGTTGGGTAAACTTGACATTATTATTTGGGTTCTCTCTCCCCACTGGTAGGGCAGGTGCTAACTGAACAGATGAGTAATTATGACTGCAATAAAAGTCACTGTTGGAGGGGGTAAAACCATTATCTCCACACCCAGACTGAGGACAGCTCGCTTGGTTTGCACAGTTCTTACAACCCACAACACTGTGGGTGCCATACCCTCTTGGGGAGTTGCCATCGCATTCCGAAGCTAATGACATTAATCATTAGCCAACTCAGAAAGGTTAATGGGCGGCTCGAGGGAGAGGAATGTTTTTATGGAGTTGATGTTCCTGGGAATTGGATCAGAAGAGCATAAGGGGGCCCTGGATGGGACATGAGCATTAACAAGTCCCTCCACCCACCTCATCCCACACAGCAGGACTCTTTAGGCTCAGCAAAGTGCTTCATCCAACACTTCATGAATGAGCCAGAGGACGGGAACCAGGCACGATTCCAGATCCAGCTTCATAATCCCTTCCCAGAATATAGTTTTCTCAAAGAGTGTCTTGTAAATTAAAAATGTGTTTGCATTATTTTTATTTATTTATGTATGTATTTATTTATCGAAGACAGGGTCTTGCAATGTCACTCAGGCTGGAGTGTTGTGGTGTAATCATAGCTCACTACAGCCCTGACCTCCTGGGCTCAAGTGATCCCATCTCAGCTTCCCAAGTAGCTGGAACCACAGGCGTGCATTACCACGCCTGGCTAATTTTTCTACTTTTTGTAGAGAAAGGGTCTCACTCTGTTGCCTGGGTCAGTCTCGCACTCCTGGGCTCAAGCAATCCTCCCACCTCGGCCTCCCAAAGTGCTGGGATTACAGGTGTAAGCCACCATACTGGCAGATTTGAGAAATCTTTAACTCACCAATGGATTAGCTGTTGGGGAGTGAGGAATATCAAGGTCAGAGTAAGAGGGATTATAGCAGAGAAAATCAAACCACTGGCTGAAAACTAAACATTTCAGTTACATTGTGATTATTTCACCTACGTACATAATGAGAACCTCTAAAGACATGTAAAATATGGAATTGTTTCAACTTTTAAGTTTGCTTTTTAAAAAATGGAAGGTATCTTATAGACATAGTAATGCTTTGCACTTATCCCAGTTAGAACTAGTAAGTCCCCAGACCTCACTCACCTGTAATTACCAAAAAGATCGTGGGGCTTCGAGGTGGGGAGAGGAGTTGTTTTGTTTTTTTGAGACAGGGTCTTGCTCTATTGCCCGGCTGGTGTGCAGTGGTATAATCATAGCTCACTGCACTGCAGCCTTGAACTCCTGGGCTCAAGCAATCCTCCTTTTTTCAGCCTCACGTGTAGCTGTGACTACATGCGAGCCACCACTCCTGGTTCATTTTAAAAACAATTTTTTATGTAAAAACTGAGTCTTACCATGTGGCCCAGGCTGGTCTCAAACTCCTGGGCTCAAGCAATCCTCCTGCCTCAGCCTCCCAAAGTGCTGGGATTACAGCTGTGAGCTACTGTACCCAGCCTGTGTTTTCTTATTATCCAAATAATCATGACTTTGAGGCCCAATTCCATAACTCAAGAAAGTTATTCTTCTCCCTGCTTCTCCTTCATGAACATGTTGGAGAATTCTGGAGAGATGCTGGATGTGCCGCCCACCCATCCCAGTAGTCACTCATCCCTCCAGCCACCCTGACTCCAAGGCCGGTGCTGCAAAGCCCTGCAAGGAAATTCCCTTGAACAGGCTCAACACTGGCTTCCTCAGGCTGCTCGGCCATCCCCATGCAAGACACTCCAAGTGCAGACACAAGCTCTGCCTGTACTTCCACAATGCACAGAGAGGAGCAGCCCAACTGTTTAATAAAACTGTACTGAAGGCATGGGGCTGACACAATTACAACTCCGAGAAACATTCCCATGCTTATCAAAAGGGGTTCCTCTAGAGGGTCCCGGCTCTGAACGCCAGCCTTGGGCCTTTGGCCTAGCTCCTGGCTACCTTTTGCCTGGCTAAGCCAAGTCAGCCTCCTCTCCACCAGGCTCCAGGTCTCTTTCCCACCTCCGAATCCAGCTGGAGCCTCTCAGTCCCAGAACTAAGTGGCAGCCTTGCTCATTCCCATCCCAAGATGACTGGGAGCTTCTCCTTCCTAAAAGGGGGACCCTTCAACCACCCACCAGCTGCAATGCAGCCTCCTTGGCCCCAAACACCAGCCCCAATCACCAGTGATTCATTTCCATCTGCTGGTCTTCATAACACCACGCCTGGTGCTGTCGCCCAGATAGCCAGGGTCAAACCTGATTCCATTTCTTTTTATTTTATTTTATTTTATTTTATTTTATTTTATTTTATTTTATTTTATTTTATTTTTTGAGACAGAGTTTCACTCTTGTTGCCCAGGCTGGAGTGCAATGGCATGATCTCAGCTCACTGCAACCTCCGCCTCCTGGGTTCAAGCGATTCTCCTGCCTCAGTCTCCCAAGTAGCTGGGACTACAGGCCCCCACCACAATGCCCAGCTGATTGTTTTTGTATTTTTAGTAGAGACGGGGTTTTGCCATATTGGCCTGTCTGGACTTGAACTTCTGACCTCAAGTGATCCGCCTTTCGCGGCCTCCTAAAGTGCTGGGATTACAGGCATGAGCCACTGTGCCCGGGCAAACCTGATTCAATTTCCTTTCCCAGTCTTTCATCCAGTGTGGAGTAAAGAGAGGGTCGAGATACTTTCTGGGTTAGCTCAGGGTTTGCACTGTCCTAAAACAAATATAATCAGACAAATAGACAAAATATACATGCATTTATACATACAAACAGATATGTACACACATGTGCATGCACACACACACACACACACACACCTTCCCAAGACAGTTTCAGAGACAGTCACTAAAATCTAAATCCATATTCAAAGATGCAGCAAGGACAATGTCCCACTAAAAATGGACTCTATTTATGTTAAACAGAACACATTACTTCTCAGCCTACATTTAAAGTAACATTGAGGATGACGCTCATTACACAAATTATTGTTCTTGGACAAACTGAAGTGTTTATTCTGCTAACTTTTCCCAAAACAAAGGAAGTCACAATCGTGAATTGGTTGCTCAGCCTCTCGTAACTATGAGTAACTTTTAAGGAACAGTTCTACTGCTTTAAAAAATATTTTTCCACTGGGCATCACTACACAATGATGCAGTCATAGCTCAAAATATTTTGGAAATTCCTCCTTTGGAATTGCCTCCAGAGCCAAGAGCACATTCCTTTAGAATAGTCTCAATGGTTATAAACCTTTATACCAAGAAGAAGGTGTATTTGATTCTTAAAATAAACCAAAAATTATTTTAAAATGGAGCTGGTGAATGTAGGTGACCAAATTGGGTGACACTGCTTTGGTATACAAAATGTGGCCCTAAAACATTAGGCAAGTTTTCCTGTGCGAGTCATAAATTATCTGTGAAGGCCATTCACTAAACACACTTTAAAAATTTTTTAACGCAATACATTTTTACTCTGTACCAATCCTTGATGGGGCACAAACCCCGAAAACAACTAATTTCAATGTTAAATGGAAATATTTACAATAGTAGTATGTATGAAACCTCAAGCATCTCAGAAGAGCGGTGCACAGGAGGAGAAGAAGGGTTGGGAAGGGTCTCAGAAAAGGCTTAAGAAACATATGTCATAATAATTAGAGTTTTCGCCATGGCCATCTTGAAGGCCACAGCATTTATTTAGATATATTCATTCAGATATATTTGTTGAAGCCGTTACTCCATTGCTTTATAATCATGCTTCAGAATAAAGGAGCATGAACTTCATTTCACCCCCAGAGTTATTGTAGCAGGACCCAACAAGACATTAATTTTGCCCGTGGTTTTTGACCTTTTTTTGCTTCCTAACACACTTTCAGTTATGATCTTGGGCTTTCTTTGAGCAAAAACCTCTTGGATTCCATACACCATCGTTATTTAGGAAATCCCTTATGACTTCCAAAACATTCACATGTTTTTCCCGGAATAACATTGCACACATTTATATGCGATCACGTTTTCCTGCCCCATGTATGTTTATGAACCCCAGAGCATGTTGCTTAAGGCCAGCCCTTACCGTGTAGTGATATTGCAGCAGCTGCTGAACAGCACCCTGCTATTACAGCCCTGCATCCTGGTGAGGAAGGGAAGAACCCCAAGGATGGGCTGGGGACGTGGAGGCACACAGGCAAAGTGGGGTTCCTCCAGATGGCGTTCCATCCCAGCTCTATGACTGCCTGAGTAAAGAGTGCCTTGGGGCTTTGGGTGGCAGGTTTTACTAGTCAGGCCTCCATTTATATCTCCCCTAAAAGCCTGAAACACCAATGGCTCCTCTTGAGTTTCTCAGTCACAGTGGAGAGTGGCTCCAAGGCCCTTTCCCAGGAAAATTCAGAAGGGGTAATGACCTCAGAGTTTTCACCTGTGGCACCGGCCTGAGTTTCTCATGAGGCACCGGACTGTCATTTCTCATCAAAATCGTCTCTTGAACTTCTAAAGTAAACACCAGGAGGAAAAGGAATGAAATGGCTTTGCAACTGTGGAAATTGTACTATGTCCGGTCTACAGGGTGAAATGAGTTGCTATTTCACTAGGCCAGGTACCTATACCCTTATGAATCAAACAGCAAAAGAGGTGAAAAGGAACTTTAGCCACGTCTAAATTTCACCTAGACCCACTGTTTTATACTTTTCTTTGACTTGCTCTATAAATATTTTACTACAACTTTCAAAGTTTATAGGGTCCTTAAGACTTGTAAAAGGGTTGAGTAACTAGAAACCAATGACTGATACCTACCACAGGGATCTTGATTTTTTTTCTTCTTCTTCTTAAGATTCCATGGAACAGATTTCATTCTACCCAGGATTCCTTGAAAGGTGGCTTGAAACTCATCTCTCAATTGAAGTCATGAATCTGCAGGGGACAAAGAAAAATGGCATCCACATATCAACTCTAATTGATTTGGGGGCACTCTCCAGAGAGTCAGGAATCTGGTTTAGGTCCCAGACCTATAGCTTCCAGGGCTCAGACTCCTCAGAAGCTAAGGGTATGTGCCCCGATGACCTGGATCCCTGGTGCTGGCATCACATCCAGATTCCCCAAAGCAGAGAGGGCCCAGTCACCTGGTCCTACTGCATTCTGGGAATGACAGACATGCCACTGGTTTTAAAAGGATGTATTTCCAATGGACCCTTCACCAAGTTGCAAATTTTAATTGTATAATAGAGAAATATGCATGAGTGTCTTCTGGTTTCCAGCGACTTGAGTTTTGTTGGTTATTGAACTAATTATCCTGATTCCTAAATCCCATAAAAGTACATAGGACTATAGTTATCAGTCTAGGCAAAATTAATTCACTTGTACATTTGGATACATTTGTTCTAATGACTGAATCGTGTATCTCTTTTCTTCAAAAATACAGAGTTTGGCCAGTGCACGGCAGCTCACACCTGTAATCCTGGCACTTTAGGAGGCTGAACTGAGAGGATCACTTGTGTCAAGGTGTTCCAGACCAGCCTGGGCAACATATCAAGACCTCGTCTCTGCAAAACGTTTTAAACTTAGCTGGGCATGGTGGCACACACTTGTAGTCTTATCTACTCTAGAGGCTAAGGCTGGAGGAACAGTTGAGCCCAGGAGGTTGAGGCTGCAATGAGCTATGATACCCCAATATGATTGCCCCACTGGGTGACAGAATGAAAGTCTGTCTAAAAAATTTTTTAGAAATAAGAATAATACAGGTTTATAGATCAAAATGTGGCTCCTGAAATATTAGTTTTGAGCTTCAATTCAATAAGAAAGCCATCGTATTAGTCCATTCTCGCACTGCTATAAAGAAGTACCTGAGACTGTGTAATTTATAAAGGAAAGAGGTTTGATTGACTCACAGTTCCAAAAGGCTGGGGAGGCCTCAGGAAACTTACAATCATGGTGGAAGGTGAAGGGAAAGCAAGGACCTTCTTCACATGGCAGCAGGAGAGAGAAGTCCAAGCTGAGGAGATGCCATATGCTTATAAAACCATCAGATCTCGTGAAGAGTCACTCCTGTCATAAGAACAGCATGGGGAAAACCACCCCCATGATCCAATCACCTCCTACCAGACCCCGCCCTCCACACATGGGGATTATGGGAATTACAATTCTAGATGAGATTTGGGTGGGGACACGGGGCCAAACTATATCAGCCATACAGGAAGGGAGCGTGAGAAGCTGAAGGTTATGGTTCTTATGCTTTCTAAGTGTCTTCCAGGCCCTGAGCCCACTGTCTCACCTCCACAGTGCAGATATGCCTTAAACACAATTAAAACTGAAACCAACATTAAACAGAACTAAATGTAAGAAATTAACAGAAATTAATTACCACATATCAGAGAGACAATCGCCTGTTTAAAGCTTTAATATGAAAGATACTTCTTTGAACATAAAAACCCCAACTCTCACATATTTTCAAGGTAGTTTTGTACATTAGAAAATAATTCTCTGTATTCCGTGATGAACGATTCATCGTGGAATGCCTTTTAAAAAACAAAGACATTGAAAATGTGGTTGCAGGCTGGGCACAGTGGCTCACGCCCATAATCCCAGCACTTTGGGAGACTGAGGCAGGCAGATCACTTGAGCCCAGGAGTTCGAGATCAGCCCGGGCAACATGGCAAAACCCTGTCTCTACAAAGAAAATTTTAAAAAAATTAGCTGGTCATGTTGGTACATACCTGTAGTCCTAGCTACTTGGTGAGGCTGAGGCCAGAGGATTGCTTGAGTCTGGGAGGGAGGCAGAGGTTGCAGTGAACTATGATCATGCCACTACACTCCTCACCCTGGTCAACAGAGTGAGACCCTGTCTCCAAAAACAAAAAAGAAAAACTGTGATTGCAGACACAAACACTTAAACATAACTCTGCAAACTTTTCTGTTACCTTTGAAAACCTATTTCCGTACAGGGAGGAAAAAAACCCTTAGCCTTGTTTTGATAGGGAAATTTGATTACTCATTTGAATAGACTGAGTATGATAGTTATTTGACTTTTGAAAATGTTTCAGGTCTCCTTCCTCTCTGCTATCTTAGGATCTGAGCTTCCTGAAATTTTGAACCAAGGGCCATGAAATACATTTTCTTAGCCTTTGCTATAACATTCAGCATTAAACAGAAGACAAGAAGTGTGGCCGGACATGGTGACTCATGCCTGTAATCCCAGCACTTTGGGAAGCCAAGGAAGGCAGATCACTATAGGCCAGGAGTTCCAGACCAGTCTGGGCAACATGAGGAAATACTGTCTCTACCAAAAGTGCAAAACATTAGCCAGGTGTGGTGGTGCGCGCCTGTGGTCCCAGCTACTCAGGAGGCTGAGGTGGGATGATTGCTTGAGCCTGGGAGGTGGAGGCTACAGTGAGCCAAGATTGATCGCCACTGCACTCCAGCCTGGGTGACAAAGTGAGACTCCATCTCAAGAAAAAGAAAAAAAAGAAGAAGAAGAAGGCATGAGGTGAGAGGCAGGGAATATTCTTACAAATCCAGGATGGTTTCTTGGAGGAAATGGTCTTTCTGTTTTCAGTCCTTTATTTTATTCTTATTATGACTCAGGGACATGCTTTCCTTTGTATATTTGATCATCAAAAGATCCTTTCCATATTTGGAAAATTCTGTGCTTATGTTTGACTTTCTTGTTTTACATGGAGTGGGGGCGGGCGGGGAGGCAATTCCTGAAGTACAACGGGCCTCATCACAGAGGTTATACTTGCTCAGTGGAGTGTGATATTCATGTCTTTCTGTGCTGGATGCGTTTTTTCTTTTTAATATAGACATAAGCACTTTGCATTTCCATATGCATTTTGACTAGGTAAGTAAGACATAAGATTGGCCACTTTCACATTTTTTCTGCTTCAAGCAACTAAATTGTACACGCTATACTGACGACAGGCACAGCTTGGCACCAAACTGGATGTGAGGGGAAGATTTGGGGTGTGCCAGAGAAGCATCCGCAGACTTCAGAGCCTGCTGGTTCTTTTGAAAATAATCGCCGAGTTTCATCTGCTATCACCTGCTTTGCCTGCGTTCCTTTTGATAACTGCCTTCCTTTCAGGGCTGACTGAATAAGAGTTATTGATTTAGTGCTTCAAGATCTCACAAGATTCAGTCATGAAAATGAGATCTGGCCTCGGGGGAGAAAACCGCTTCCTGCCCAGCACAGAGCCCAAGCAGGGACAGTGGCCGGATCTGTTCAGTGCTCATTAACGAGGTAACTTTGCCATTTATCAAAGCGCAGGACCAGTCTGGTGAGCCAAAACCAGAATATGAAAATAGATCTTTCTTCTGAAGTTCAGATGTGAAATATTTTCCGTGTTTCCAAGAATTTTTTTTTAAAGCCTCAACTTTTGTCCATACCATAATTTTCTGGGAGTTTTCCTAATTAAAAATGCTGATGGGTATGGACTGTGTCCTTTCATAGAGAAGGCATTTAAGGGCATCTACAACTCACAAGTTCAATAAGATCACCCAGCATTAACATGCCTTTGATGAGGCATTCGTTTATTATCTCTAGTTATTTCTCAATAATCACACAACTGGCCTAATGACACAATGGGCTTTATAATAATGAATTTTCAAAAGAAAGCAAACATTTCCTTTGAGGCTATATTCTCCAATGAATTTGGCATGCCCTGGTTTGAAGACTTTCATCTCCAAATAGGCTGGGGTTTCTCTTTTATCTAGCGGCCTGCCTTGCTGAAACCTTCTCCGACACACAAAGGAAAGTCTAAAAAATGTCCAGTTCTATCCAAGACTTCAAAAGTGCTCAGGGAGCCAGATAAAATCTGTCCCAGGATTTTTTCTCTCCCCGATAAACGTTTAGGAAAACCTTACTTCTGAGTCCAGGGCTACTTGGCTAGGACTGAAGATGCTAATGAAAAAGTGTTTCACTTAGGAACCTTGAGTGAGTCAAAATTAGAGAAGGCTTGTTACCCAAAGGCCTGTGGTTTTATTATACAAGGCCCATATACTTCACCAAGGCTGGTAAAGTCATTCAAACAACGACGTGTCAAAAGACAGAATATAGGCAAAAGTTCTGACCCATCTGGTTGGTTGTGGCATCTCCTAACTCAAACACCTTTGAAAAAACCCTCGTAAAAGGTGAATATAAGGCCTGTTAGGCCTCAGAACACAGTGGTTGTAGGACAGAAACCTTCGATCACAGGACACTAGAAACACTCTCCAGATCAAAGTCATTCTAGTAATTGTCATTGTGCATTATGGAAAACCGAGTCCTGGGTTTGTGCCTTCCTTCCCCAGAACATGATTATTACTGAAACAGATGCATGTTGGATTTCCAGATTGTGAAGCTAAGCTGTAAGGGTCTGCCTTGTCATGACCTTACTGGCTGTGCATGGTCTAAACTCAACTACCTCCCAGTCTCCAGACTGAACATCTTAATGTATTAACTTAGAATATACTTCTTGTAAGCTTTCTTCCAACCCGGGTTCTACTCATTTTGTTGGTCAAACAAACAAACAAAAAATTCAATCTAAAATCCACAGTTACACAAGGATATGAATGTAAGAAAGGCTGAACGTGAATGATTCCAGGATAGAAGAAGTTAATAAACCAATTAACAAAATCTGTGAGCATTGCTAACCTTCAAAAGAGGAGGATAAGGTTACATTTTGTTTAAAGACAAAAAAAAAATCCTAATTAGTATCATGCTCTAAAATATACCTTTTATTGAAAGCTAAGTTTTTATTTTTAATTAGTTCAATAAATGGCAATGGGCAGCCTTCTCCTACTTAGCGAACTCACCAGGCTGTAGAATTGTTGTAGGAAATTAGCTCCATTTCAGTCTTTGATCCTTGAAGACCAAAGTGTGCAATTTTGCTGGAGTAGTGTCGGTCGTTTGTAAGACCTTAGTGAAAGAAAAGTCTTAGTGTCCCTTAAAACTCCTTTAAATATGTAAAAATGCACAATGTCAGGGACCAGGACCCCGTCTACATTAAACAAAGAACAAAGTCGATCACTTCCCATAAAGGGAAGGATTTACATTAAACTTTCCCCAGCAGAAAAAGAAAACAGAAATTAAAAAGATCAGACTGTGTTTTCTAGGGAAATCTCTGCATCTCCTTTTGTGCCTAATAATCTTCATTTACTGGGACACCTAAGCTTCTTTGTGACTTTTCATCTAAATATATATCCAAAGTTGTCTTCACTGCCTCATTAAAGTAAAATAATATCACAAGGTAACAAGTGTTTACGTTAAAAAAAGTTTGTTTGTTTTTTAATCCCAGGCAATGACTTTTTTTCAAGCTATGCAATAATAAGACACTCCCTGAAAGTTTGTTTTATTTGCCTCTGGGCTTGTCGTTTTCATTTTCCTGCCCTTTGCTTACTTTTCTGTTGCTACTAAAAGGTAAACTTATTCAGGCATCTGTGTGTGTGTGTGTGTGTGCACGCACGCGTGTGTTTATATTATTTATTGATATACATCTTAAATAACGAACTTTGCAAAATAAAATCACATTATGATGAGTTTTTTTAATCCTATTCTTAATTCTCTAATGGAGTTTCCTTGCTTTGCTTAAAATAAGTGGACCACTGTTTGCCTTTGAATTTCTTTTCCATGAAAATATTCTTTTAAATATATGCTTGCTTTAATAGCATTTAACCTGGTAATTTTGTTGTGACTGGTGCTAGCTAAAATTTGAGAACAGCCTCATGTCCACAAATGTTATATACCTTTATGCAGCTAGAATGGTTTGCCAAACATTTGCTCTATATTCCAGATTTATGATCTACCTTCATTCCTCTGTGGCCCCTAGTTTTCAGCCATATTTTCACATCATCCTTCTCTCCTCCCCACACAGGTTCAAAGTTCCATTTTCCCAGGATTCTTCTCAAAGCTCAGCAAGTATATCAAATTTCCACTTCAGCATAGTGGGACTATCTCATACAATCTGCAACTTTCAATCTCATATACAATGATATTTTAATTGTGTGTCTTACTTGCAAGATATCTGATCATGCGGTATTAAGCAAGTCCCTATATTTACTTTGGAGCAATATTTCTTTCCTAGGGCTCATTTGGCCGGCTTCACATGCTAGTGTAATAATATATCATACACAAACTTAGGGAAGAAATTAGAAAAACAGTCTATTCAGAAGAAGTATTTAAGAAGTCTACTGGGTTGGAAGACTTTCTCCCCTAGTTGAGATCATTTTATTTTTCTTAAAAAAAATTAATCTATAAATTATGTCCTAGGAGAAAACCTCACAGTGGATATTGTAAGCACCAAATCCCTTTGTACCCTTTATTTGTGTAGCAAACCATCTCCATGCCTTGTGAGAACCATATTGTTCTTCAAGATGGCAGGCTCTGGAGCAGAATTCCCTGCCTCTCAATGGCTGGGCCCTTCTCTGAGTTGGGACTAAGCCACCCTGCCTCCTGTAGTTCCATGGGCCTCACCTGGCCTGCACGCGGTATTCCTGGTTTGAATTCATCTGTGCCATTCTCCTCCCCTGCCAGATACTCGAGGATACCCATTCCCACAGTCTAGAAAACAGTTCTTAGCTGTTAGCTAAGAAACTGATCTCTATCTCTGCGTTTACAAAAACAGAATCCCCATCCCTGAACCTTCAGCTTTTATAAAGGTACTTTTGTTGAGGTGGCCACTGATTTGCTGGCATTGTATTTATGTTCAGTCTCCCATAAATGGCTGCTTGGAGCAGCCGACCACAAGAATTCCTCCCTATCTCCTTCTCCTTCCATTGTAGCTGCATAAAGGAATATAACATTGGTGGATGTGAGGTGATTCTCCAGTTGCTTTTTTTCTTGGAGACGGGGTCTTGCTATGTTGCCCAGGCTGGTCTTGAACTCTTGGCTTCAAGCGATCCTCCTGCCTCAGCCTCCCAAGTGGCTGTGATCACAGATGTGAGCCACCATGACTGGCTGCAATTAGTTAACACCAATCACAAGAAAACTACCAGGTTAAATACATATCTTTATATTTAATATATATATTTATATACATATAAATATATAGATATTTCTATATATAAATATAGATACATTTATATATAAAAATATAGATATTTCTATATATATAGATATATTTATATATAAATATAGATATTTCTATATATATAGATATATTTATATATAAATATAGATATTTCTATATATAGATATATTTATATATAAAAATATATAGATATTTCTATATATAAATATAGATATATTTATATATAAAAATATATAGATATTTCTCTATATAAATATAGATATATTTATATATAAAAATATATGCATATATAAAATATAAAGATATATACATATAAATATATATGTATATTTAACCTGGTAGTTTTGTTGTGACTGGTGTTAAATATATATATATATATATACATATATATATATATATGTATATATATATATACATATATATATATATGTATATATATATATACATATATATATATATGTATATATATGTATTGGTATATATATACATATTGGTATATATATACGAAATTGATGCTGAGGCTAATTCTAAACCCTTATTCCCAATCTGTTTACCTTGCACCAGGGTTTGTAAAGGGCAAAAACAGCAACAACAGAACACTTGGTACCAAAGGAAAAGGGAGAGTAACTAACACCTCATGCTGGCTCTTGCTCTCTGCCTCCCCGTATCCCTCTCTCCACATCTCATTGTTCCACTTAACTATTGCTGTGGAACAAATCACCCCCAAAAGTTAGCCACTTCATACAGACAGCTCTTTATGCTTGCAAATTTGGTGGGTCAGGGTTTTGGTCAGAGTACAGGGAAAATGGCTTGCTCAGCTACACCTGGAACCTCAAATGGAAAAACTCTACAGCTAGGGGTGACGAAATGGCTACAGACTGGAATCTTCTGGAAGCACTTTCACTTGTATGCCTTGTGGTTGATGCCGGCTGTCAGTTGGGACCTCAGTCAGAGCACTTACATGCGCCATCTCCACGTGGTCTGGACTTCGTCACAAGATGGCCGGCTCAGGGTCCTGTTGCAGGTATCCCAGTGAACAAGGTGAAAACTGTGTCACTTTTTCCAACTGAGTCGTGAAAGTCATGCAGTATTCTATTGGCTAGAAGAAAGTAATGAGCCCACCTAGATTTAAGGGGAGAGGATATAGACCCAGCCTCTTAATGGGAGTAGTGTCAAAAAATTTGCACTCATTTTTTTAAACTACCACGCTTATCAACATTTTCCCTTAACGGCAATATTTTTAGTGCTTTCAAAACTATCTCTTCATAAGTTTTCCCCCAGCACACACACACACATTCTACAATGCACTTTAACATAGGATATTTATGTTTCATTTTTCTCTGAATATACCTGACATTTCGTCCTTTATCTGTACAAGATAACCAAAAAAAATGTGGCTGAAAAAAATTAAACTTATGGGGAAAGACCAAAGAAAAGAATCTAGATTCAAAGGCAGGAGAACCGGGAGAGCCCAGTGGTCTGAGTTGCAGTCTGGGACCGAAAGCAGAAGGATACAGATATCCCCACTCAAGGCCATCAAGCAGAGAGAGCAACTTCTCCATTCCCCACCTTCTGTTCTACTCAGGCCTCCAAAGGATTGAACGGGCCTCACCCACATTGAAGAGAGCAACCTGCTTCACTCAATCCACTCGTTCAAATGTGAATTTCACCCAGAGACACCCTCCCAGACACACCCAGAAGAATGTCTAACCAAATATCTGGGACTTCATGTCTCAGTCACGTTGACACATAACATTAACCATTACATTCACAAAGATATAGGAACCTATTCTCAAATTCATACATTTGTTCATTCACTAAACAAATATTTATTAATGTTTAATGTGCCAGGTATGGTGATATAAGCTGAGAATACAATGAGAAAAAAAAAAGCAAAGAAGTAATACAAGGACATATTTCCTATCTATATCAACCTATTTCATCTCTGATAAGTCTAGATTATAAAATAGTATAATAATAGTACAGTAATTAAAAGTAAAATTTTGTTCCTTTAACCTGAAAATTGGGCCATCCTCTAAGTTGAAGAAAATATTTTTCTACCCCATGTTATCTCAGAAGTTACACAGCAGCTTCTATTTTGTACTGTTAATCTGAAATTGGGAAAAATGTACACAAAATTCCCAAGTACATATTCATATTTAATTCATTCTCCACATGCCTATGTGCCATTAATGTCAAAGGTTTCATTTCATTTCAACTGGTAATAATTTAAAGCCCACCAAGAGATGGAATGGTTTGAGAAATACCATAAACAATGTACAATTATGACTGCCTATTTTTCCCCAATTTTATCATGCCATAATTGGCTAAAGACTTTTTTTTTTTGAGACGGAGTCTCGCTCTGTTGCCCAGGCTGGAGTGCAGTGGTGTGATCTCGGCTCACTGCAAGCTCTGCCTCCATGGTTCACGCCATTCTCCTGCCTCAGCCTCCCGAGTAGCTGGGACTACAGGCACCCACCACTACACCTGGCTAATCTTTTTGTATTTTTAGTAGAAACGGGGTTTCACCATGTTGGCCAGGATGGTCTTCATCTCCTGACCTCATGATCCGCCCACTTTGGCCCCCCAAAGTGCTGGGATTACAGGCGTGAGCCACCAAGCCCAGCCGCTAAAGACTTTTTAAGAATCAAATCTACAGTGAAAATTAAAATAAATGGGAATTTTTCTATTTTAAAAGCTCTCCTGTCACAGTTATTTTAACACATATAAAATGCAAGATAGAAATTTCTGCCTTTTGGCCGGCACCGCCATCTTCCAGTAATTCGCCAAAGTGACGAACACAAAGAGAAAGAGGAGGGGCACCCGATATATGTTCTTTAGGCCTTTTAGAAAACATGGAGTTGTTCCTTTGGCCACATATATGCGAATCTATAAGAAAGGTGATATTGTAGACATCAAGGGAATGGGTACTGTTCAAAAAGGAATGCCCCACAAGTGTTACCATGGCAAAACTGGAAGAGTCTACAATGTTACCCAGCATGCTGTTGGCATTGTTGTAAACACACAAGTTAAGGGCAAGATTCTTGCCAAGAGAATTAATGTGTTTATTGAGCACATTAAGCACTCTAAGAGCCGAGACAGCTTCCTGAAACGCATGAAGGAAAATGATCAGAAAAAGAAAGAAGCCAAAGAGAAAGGTACCTGGGTTCAACTAAAGCGCCAGCCTGCTCCACCCAGAGAAGCACACTTTGTGAGA
The DNA here is from genome assembly GCF_000001405.40 of Homo sapiens. NCBI lineage: Eukaryota > Metazoa > Chordata > Mammalia > Primates > Hominidae > Homo > Homo sapiens. The sequence goes on along the minus strand of NC_000010.11, from coordinate 28,899,058 downwards.
ACCAATGGGAAGGAGCCTGAGCTGCTGGAACCTATTCCCTATGAATTCATGGCATAATAGGTGTTAAAAAAAAATAATAAAGGATCTCTGGGCTACAAAAAAAAAAAAAGAAATTTCTGCCTTTTAGATACCTCTTTAATGGTGTTACAGTCATCATCACAGTTATAAGTATGTTGATATCAATAACAATCATTATTTGGATATTTATATGTATGGTGCTAAGTAACTATTTCCATTCTCATTCAATTCAGAAACATGAGTCAGGTTTTAAATGCATCTATATTTCTAACTGGTATGAGTATATAGGAAAAATATCTAATGCATCAATGTGTCCATAGAGCTTTATCATCTATCATATATTTATAAACATATAAATATCAATATATATGTACAGAGAGAAGGAAAGGATTTTTAAGAACATAACTATATATATTACAATGCTTTGTAAAGGACATGATCCATCTGTTCATACATATTTGGGGTTGAATAACATTCTAAAGATTATATGAAGAATGTTCCCAATTTACAGTCAAGGCAGCTGAGGCCTTTAAAAGTTAAATTTCTACCCATGTTTTTTCTCATCTGCTGCTTTCCCCAACACTCCTCAATGTTTCTTTACAACTGTATGTTTTCATAAAAGCAAATAAAAATATAAAATTTACATTTGCTTTAATCACAGTGTACAGTATACACAGTGAACGGTATTCTTCTAGCACTGAGTAACTTGGACATCACCTTGCATCATTTCTAATTTCCCCAAATAGGCAAAGTCAACGTCAAGGTTAAAACTATCACGTGTTGAACTTCCTTTCTGTGTTCAGTGAGTGCAAAACATGCTCCTTTTTGAGAATTCCCAGAGGTTATTCAGGGTTATTGAGGCATAAAGAAAACAGGGCTCACAACCCAAAGCCATTGTTTCCTTCCCTGAGCTTCATTAAGACTTTGCTGCCCATCAGCCCGGTACCAGAGAGCCAAACTCGAGAGCTCAGGCTCATAGATTTGGTATCAGTCCGGAAAGCACGAGTGTGAAATGGAAGCCACATTCACTTAGTTCCCCTTACAGAAGTGTCAGCTCCACTCAGAAACCGACTGTCTTCCCTGCCAGCGAAGGAGAGGAGAGTGCTTTGTCTCGTTCATTCCATCACACAAAACCATTTGATGAGCTTGACAGCATTGCTTGCTAATTACGGGGCAAGCTTCTCAGCACGAGGTTTGTTGCATCAACAGGTCCCCGAACAATCCAGCAATTGTCTGGGGGAAGCTCGGCCACTCGGGGTTGAGCACTTTTACGTCAATTATCCCCACCGGTTGTCATGACTTGGAGCCGCTCTAGTGGAATGAAGGGAACAAAACGATACGGAACGCTGAGGCCTGCACACAGCAAATTGGCTCCAGAAAACATTCCGGTTGTATCTATGTTTCTGGCTGTTGACGATATGATGAGAGGTCGCTGTCCCACACCACCCCTGCTCCAGGAAAACATGAAAGAGCGCCCATTTGGGAGAGTCTAGCATTTAGATAGAAAGGGCTCATTCCATAGAAATGTAATCATTTTCAACCCAGTCTATGTCTGCTAGGAGTTTGTGATTTTTGAAATATGAACAAAAAGGTTGAAAAAATAAATTCTCTTTCATTCTTGGCTTTTCTGTTTTTTGTTTGTTTCTTTTTGGAAAGAGAGGGAGGTAGAAGTAGGGGAAGATGGGAAACAATATACTATTGAGAGGTGACAGCGTGCTGGCAGTCCTCACAGCCCTCGCTCGCTCTCGGCACCTCCTCTGCCTGGGCTCCCACTTTGGCGGCACTTCAGGAGCCCTTCAGCCCGTCGCTGCACTGTGGGAGCCCCTTTCTGTGCTGGCCAAGGCCGGAGCCAGCTCCCTCAGCTTGCGAGGAGGTGTGGAGGGAGAGGCGCGGGCGGGAACCGGAGCTGCGCGCCGTGCTTGCGGGCCAGCGCGAGTTCCGGGTGGGCGTGGGCTCGGCGGACCCTGCACTCGGAGCGGCCGGCCGGCCCCACCGGCCCGGGCAGTGAGGGGCTTAGCACCTGGGCCAGCAGCTGCTGTGCTCAATTTCTTGCTGGGCCTTAGCTGCCTTCCCGTGGGGCAGGGCTCGGGACCTGCAGCCTGCCATGCCTGAGCCTCCCCGCCCCTCCGTGGGCTCCTGTGCAGCCCGAGCCTCCGCGACGAGCGCCGCCCCCTGCTCCACAGCGCCCAGTCCCATCGACCACCCAAGGGCTGAGGAGTGCGGGTGGATGGCGCGGGACTGGCAGGCAGCCCCATCTGCAGCTCCGGTGCGGGATCCACTGGGTGAAGCCAGCTGGGCTCCTGAGTCTGGTGGGGACGTGGAGAACCTTTGTGTCTAGCTCAGGGATTGTAAATACACCAATCGGCACTCTGTATCTAGCTCAAGGTTTGTAAACACACCAATCAGCACCCTGTGTCTAGCTCAGGGTTTGTGAATGCACCAATCCACACTCCGTATCTAGCTACTCTGGTGGGGCCTTGGAGAACCCTTGTGTCTAGCTCAGGGATTGTAATTACACCAATGGGCACTCTGTATCTAGCTCAAGGTTTGTAAACACACCAATCAGCACCCTGTGTCTAGCTCAGGGTTTGTGAATGCACCAATGGACACTCTAGCTACTATGGTGGGGCCTTGGAGAACCTTTGTGTGGACACTCTGTGTCTAGCTAATCTGGTGGGGAGGTGGAGAACCTTTATGTGGACACTCTGTGTCTAGCTAATCTGGTGGGGAGGTGGAGAACCTTTGTGTCTTCCTCAGGGATTGTAAACGCACCAGTCAGCGCCCTGTCAAAACAGACCACTCAGCTCTACCAATCAGCAGGATGTGGGTGGGGCCAGATAAGAGAATAAAAGCAGGCTGCCTGAGCCGGCACTGGCAACTCGCTCGGGTCCCCTTCCACACCGTGGAAGCTTTGTTCTTTCGCTGTTTGCAATAAATCTTGCAGCTGCTCACTCTTTGGGTCCACACTGCCTTTATGAGCTGTGACACTCACTGGGAAGGTCTGCAGCTTCACTCCTGAAGCCAACGAGACCACAAACCCACGGGGAGGAATGAACAACTCCAGACACGCCACCTTAAGAGCTGTAACACTCACCGCGAAGGTCCGCAGCTTCACTCCTGAGCCAGAGATACCACGAACCCCCTCAGAAGGAAGAAACTCTGAACACGTCCAAACACCAGAAGGAACAAACTCCGGACACGCCGCCTTTAAGAACTGTAACACTCATCTTGAGGGTCCGCGGCTTCATTCTTGAAGTCAGTGAGACCAAGAACCCACCAATTCCGGACACACTATCTTGATGGATATGGAGTCATAGCGTTTGAAAAGAAAAAAAATATTGAGAACTGAGAAAAGGCACTTTGGGAGGTCGAGGTGGGCAGATCACCTGAGGTCAGGAGTTCAAGACCAGCCTGGACAACACGGTAAAACCCCGTCTCTATTAAAAATACAAAAATTAGATGGGCGTGGTGGCAGGTGACTGTAATCCCAGCTACTTGGGAGGCTGAGACAGGAGGATGGCTGAAACCCAGGAGGCAGAGGTTGCAGTGAGCCGAGACCATGCCATTGCTCTGCAGCCTGGCAACAAGGCATGCCATTGCCCTGCAACAAGAGAGAAATCCCCCCGCCCCCCCCAAAAAAAAAAAAACTAGAAAAGGAAAGGAAGGTATAGTGGAGAGTGCCGTTAGTTCACTGAAATTCATTTTCCATTTCTTCCTGAGCACAGTCTAGACTACATTTTCCAGCGACTTTTGCAATTAGGTATGGCGTCCAGTCCAGTGGATCATGAGCAAGCAATGAGGAACCCAGGCCTTCAGGGAGTGGGCATGTCTCGTCCATGCTCTTTCCCCTTCTCACAATGGAAACTCAGACATGCCTCTATAATCAGCTTCAGCCATGCAGAAGACAATTCTCCCAGAGAACGGGGCAGGGGAGGACAGAGCAACGACTCAAAAGAAACCTGTGTCCTTAAATAGTGGTGGAACAGAACAGGCTGCACCTGGAACATTTATTTTGGATGGTTATACAAAAGAAACTTCTTCATCTTTTAAACTTCTATACTGTTGAGACTGTGTTATGGCAGCTCAGCCTTTTACCCTACCTAATATAAAAATGATTCTCAAATCAGATCAGAAAGAGATTCTCCAGGTCCCATCTTTCCTTTACCAGCTCTCCATATGTCACATGTTGGCTGGGCAGGGTGGCTCACATCTATATCGCAACACTTTGGGAGGCAGGTATGAGAGGATCACTTGAGTTCAGGAGGTTGAGACCAGCCTGGGCAACGTGGCGAAGCCCTGTCTCTACAAAAAATAAAAAAAAATTAGCCAGGTATGAGGAGGTGCACCTGTAGTCCCAGCTACTCAGGAGGCTGAGGTGGGCTGCACTCCAGCCTGGGCAACAGAATGAGACCCTGTCTCAAAAAAAAAAAAAAAAAAAAAAAAAAAAAAGTCACACATCACTGTGCGGAAAGCCAAACCTTGGCCAAGACGAGGGCCAATGATTCCCCCAGCCCCTCAACTCTTTCCTCAGGCAAGCAGCTCACTCGAGCAGCAGTGATGATCTTCAGCTCTCCCTTTGGAAGAGTTTGTTGCTGTCATCTTAAGGCAGCAGGCAGCCAAAGGTTCTCAGGCTCGCGAGGGCTGGGTGACTTTCCTTCTGAGCAGGGGCAACCCAGTCCATAGTTCACAGAATCTCTTTCCTACCCAGAGGCCAGCAAGGAATTGTGAATGCAGGAGTCAAGTGAAATATGTGGAAATAGCCCGAATGCCTGCGTCTTTTAAGACTCACATATGAGAAGGAAATAATCATTTTTCCAGAGAGAATTCTGTATGGAGGATTATTCAGAGTGAGGTGTTACCCTACTGCTCAGAAGCAGGCAATGAGTTTAACTCATTCCCTGAAGTGATTTTTACCTTTGATTTTAAAAAGTGATGGAGATCAAAGAACATGATATGTTTGGGTTGTGAGTAGATTTATACACAAGATTAATGTGTTACTGATTAATACATTAGATTTTCATTCATATGTAGGTTTAAAGTGAACTTTCTGTAATGGTGGGTATGTTCTGTATCTGTGCTGACCTATATGGTAGCCACTATCCACATGTAGCTAATAAGCACCTGAAATGTAGCTAGTACAAATGAAGAAATGTGTGTGTGTGTGTGTGTGTGTGTATATATATATATATATATATAAAATATATATAAATTTTTTCTGTTGCCCGGGCTAGAGTGCAGTGCCATGATCTTGGCTCACTACAATCTCCGTCTCCCAGGTTCAAGCAATTCTCCCACCTCAGCCTCCCGAGTAGCTGTGATTACAGGCGCCTGCCACTATGCCTGGCTAATTTTTTGTATTTTTAGTAGCGACAGGGTTTCAGCATGTTGGCCAGGTTGGTCTCAAACACCTGACCTCAGGTGATCTGCCCACCTTGGCCTCCAAAGTGCTGGGATTACATGTGTGAGCCACCGTGCCCGGCTGAAGAAACGTATTTTTAATTATATTTAATTTTAAGACATTTACATTTGAATAGCCACATGACACTAGTGGCTGCTGTACTGGATAGCATAACTATAGACAAAGGATCAGCAACTTTTTTTCTCTAGAGGACCAGATAATAAACATCTTAGGCCTTCTGAGAAGTGTGGTCTTCATCACGATGAGTCAGTCCTGCCGTTGTAGTGCCAACAGCAGCCATAGAAAATATATAAATGAATGGACATGGCTGTGTTCCAAAAAAAACTTTATTCACTAGAGTCACTGACAAATTTGTAAATACTTTCCACAATATTTTCAGCTACTAAGGCTAAGTAGATTTCCACCAGAGTGTTAGTGACAATATAATTCAGTATCTGGATTTTTTTTTTCCTTCTTCGGTAAGAACCCAAGGAAAAGAGTGTTTTACGTGGAAGATTGAATCTCACATGTTAGCATTTCAGACCCTGTTGGACTTGATGGGAGAAAACTTTGGGGCAGGATGGTTTTCGTTCCTCGTGCTCCCACAAACCGCATTCCAGAATGAACGGGTCCTTGTTCTGCCTCCTTGAGGAGCTCTGCTCTGTGCCCCAGGCCTTGTCATGAGTGTCAGCTCCTATCAGACCTGCATCTTTACACAGCTCAGAAATGTAGGAAAAATCGCCCTGGCCAGTTTCTCTTCCACAACCAAATCTGTCCTTTCAAAGCTCATTTTTCATGCCACCTTTATTTTGTGCCAAGATTTGAAGATTAAAAGGTAAATAAATCAAAAACCCTTTTTACCACATGGTAAAGACAAATCAATACACTCAATTTCTCAGAGTCTCAGAGAAGCCATGCATCATTTTTTTTACATTTCACCTCAAAAACCATTACTGGCAAATATAGGATACATTATTTCCTGCACACTAGGGCTCAGCAAGGAAGAGAAATGGAAAAAAGAGAGTTTTGAGATGAAAGAGTCACAGCAATTAAGGAATCTGGATTAGCCTCGAAATGCTTTGCACAATCAGACATGTGGTTTAATATTAGTTAAACGTTTAATTTTAGTAAACATTTGTGCCCTAAAACATTGCTGTGTACCTTAGAGAAAGACCTTCTTCCCCTGGCCCAAGAGTGGTGGAGATGATCATAGCCCTGAGAATAAATGCTGCTCGATCATTAGGAAAGCACGTGGTTAGATGTATAATATCATCAAAGTTATATCACTAATTGTTTCCAATTGTGGTCATTCTGCAGGAAAATGAGTTTTTCTATGCAGCCATAATATTGTCAACATTAAGTAGGAAATGCTTCCATACATATGACACCCAGCACGGAATACATAACAAAGTTGGGCAGGGCGCAGTGGCTCATACCTGTAATCCCAGCACTTTGGAAGGCTGCGGCAAGAGGATGGCTTGAGCCTAGGAGTTCAAGACCAGTCTGGGCAACACAGGGAGACCTCACCTTTACAACAAAATTTTTAAAAATTAGCCAGGCATCGTGATGCTTGCCTGTAGTTCCAGCTACTTGGAAGGCTAAGGTGGGAGGATTGCTTGAGCCCAGAACGTTGAGGTTGCAGTGAGCCATCATCGCGTTACTGCACTCCAGCCTGGGCCACAGAGCAAGACCCCATCTCAAAAAATAAATAAATAAATACAATTAAAAATCAAAAACAATAATCCCAGCACTTTGGGAAGCCAAGGCGGGCTGATCACCTGAGGTCAGGAGTTCAAGACCAGCCTGGCCAACATGGTGAAACCCCGTCTCTATTAAAAATACAAAAATTAGCTAGGTGTGGTGGCTAGCGCCTGTAATCCTAGCTACTCAGGAGGCTAAGACAGGAGAATTGTTTGAACGCGGGAGGTGGAGTTTGCAGTGAGCCAAGACTGCGCCACTGCACTCCAGCCTGGGTGGCAGAGTGAGACCCTGTCTCAAAAAAAAATTTTAAAAAAACAAAATAACCAATGTTGATGGAGGCAACTGTGTATATGCTTTTGCCTTTTCTCTGGTTTGTTGCATCACCTTCTAAACTTAGCACTAAGTGTCAGCAGAGCATGGCCTAGTTGTGGTGCTTCTCGGAACACACGCAGAAGGGCCTGAGGATGACAGAACAGAGTTTAAATGAGGAACTGCTCATGTCTGCTTCTTCAGATTGTTTCCTAGTTCTTTGCCTCTGTTTCTCGGTACCTCTGGCTTTCCAATGCTCCACACTAGCAATAGCAAAGGCCCTGCTAGCATCTACACCCCAAGCTTCACCTAGCCTTAGTCAGCAGCTGCCAGGCTCTATGCACCATGTGGCTAATGACTGGGCTTGTCTAGTAGGAGGGCCAGCTTCGGTGTCAGCCAGCCAGGGTGCACTAGAAGCCAACTGTGTAACTCTCCAGGATGAGTCAATAGGTGCAGGTAGAAGGGAGGGGTGGGGAAAAGAGAGCCCTGAAGACACCACTCCCTTCTAACATTCTGGCAAAGAGAAAGAAGAGGAAGACCACAGAGGAAGGAAAGGAGAAACACCACGAAGAGGAGAATCCAGTGCCCAAAGGAGACCCAGATGGTTTTCTGCCCCCTGCAGACCCTCAGCTCTCAGGGCCCTGCCTCAGGAACTATCTGGGAATGTGGTCTCCAATGCAGGTCTCCTGTCAGGAGATTTGTCTGGAATATCCCACAAAGATTTTGAATGCACAGTTAAAACCATACCACCTCTGTGTGATGTAGGCAAGAGACTGCTCAAGCCCTCACTCCGAGGGTGAAGAAGGCTCTGGAAGTTTCTCATGCCCTGGTTATGACAGCTGCAAGGGCCTCTCCCAGAGCCACAATGTGCCCAACTGCATTCTGTAACCTGAGCAACAAAACATTTTCCCCAGCCCCCAGCCAGGGGAAACACATTCCCCACCTCAGGCTCCACAAGGGCTGCCTGGGGCTCTTGGCAAATCCTTAGGGTTGTCTTCAGGAGGAGAGTCCCAGTCCCCCGATTCTAGAGGATATGAGGAGTGAGAGAGTCCTATAAACTCAGGCCTGACTCTCAACTGGAGTGACCAAAACCTCATTCGATATCTACCTACTCTTAAGGCCTATGACAGCCTTTTACTCATTTAGAGTTTACAGTGTGTGATAATCCCCATTCCCCTCATCCAAACCCCACCCACCAAAAAAACCCAGCTGAGATAATATCCACATTTACTCAACACTGACCAAAAAAGAACCTGCATCTCCTTTTATGGTAACTGTTCTCCAATTTCTGACTCAGAAACTTAGGTCACCATAAGTGAAGTGGGGCAGCACTGGCCTTGAATAAGGTGATCTGAGTTCTAATCCATCCTCAGGAGATTCATTTAATCACATAGTGACATGGTTTGGCTATGCGTCCCCACCCAAATCTCATCTCCAACTGTAATCCCCACATGTCGAGGGAAGGATGTGGTGGGGAATGATTGGATGATGGGGGCACTTTCCCCCAGGCTGTTCTTGTGATACGAAGTGAATTCTCATGAGATCTGATGGTTTTATAAGGGGCTCTTCCCGCTTCGCTCCTGTCTCTCCTGCCACCTTGTGAAGAAGGTGCTTCCTTCCTTCACCTTCCGCCATGATTGCAAGTTTCCTGAGGCCTCCCCAGCCACGTGGAATTGTGAATCGATTACACTTCTTTCCTTTATACATTACCCAGTCTTGGGTATCATCATTAGAGTAGTGTGAAAATGGACTAATACACACAGGTTTTTTAATGTATATTAAATGACAGCTGAAAGAATGACCATCTCTCAAATTCTATGGTTCTCTAAAATAAATGACCAAATCTAGGATGCTAGAAAGTATTTTACATAGATTGACAAAGCCCTGAGGAAGAGGGATAAAAGCAAATGAAACCATCCTAATTACAACTGAGGACAAATGGCCAAATTTGCTACTTTATTAGTATTCCTGATAATTAAAGGAGTTAAAGATACCTAAGAAAGTCAAGGGTCTTAACAAGGAGTTCTAGACACCTGGAAGGATAGGATGTTAACCTCTGCAGTTAACTCAGATCTACCATATAAAGAAGTCTAGCTTATTCTTTATAGTGATATAAGAAAAGTGTTTTAGAAAACTACTTTAATAAAGGGTCCAGCTAGGGGGAAAATCGTTCATTGGATGAGAGATAAAATTTTAGCAAAAGTTGAAAATATGAAGAATTTCTGGTGTGAAGCTGTGGAGCCGAAACCCATGATTTTCCACAGAAATGTGAATCCAAAGGAAGCCAAAGATCTTAATGCACATTTCAGTGAAACCACAGGTAGAGAAACCACTGATGCTGCTACTGAACTATTCACAAACTGGATGGGGAAGATTAAAAACCAGTTTTCTTAGCATAATGTAAAATATCTACAAGAGAGCCGGGCATGGTGACTCGCATCTGTAATACCAGCACTGAGGGAGGCCAAGGCAGCAGATCACTTGAGGTCAGGAGTTTGAGACCAGCCTGGGCAACACAGGGAGACCCCATATCTACAAGAATTACAAAAAAAAAAAAAAATATATATATATATATATATGTATATTAGCTGAGCAGGGTGGCAAGCATCTGAAGTCCCAGCTGCTTATGAGGCCAAGGTGGGAGGATTGCTTAAGTCTGAAAGTTCAAGGCTGCAGTGAGCCATGATCACACCACTGCATTCTCTCTCTCTCTCTCTATATATATATATTTGATTATATATAATTAATTATATATATTTAATTATATATAAATATATAATTAATTATATATTTAATTATATATAAATATATAATTAATTATATATTTAATTATATAAATATATAATTAATTATATAAATATTAAAATATATATTTAATTATATATTTCTATATAATTAAATATATAAATATATTATTAAATATATAATTAATTATATAGAGAGAGATATATATCTAGATATATAAGATCACAGAGTGAGACCCTGTCTCTCTCTTTATATATGGATCACACCACTATAGATAGATAGATAGATATAGATATGCCTATATCTGTCACACCACTATAGACAGACCACTAAATATATATATATATGGTGGTATAATCTATATAGAGAGAGAGCTATATATCTCTATATATAGATATAGATATAATGGTATGATCTCTCTCTCTCTCTATATATATATATATAAAGAGGGAGAGACAGGGTCTCACCGTGTGTGTGTGTGTGTGTGTGTGTGTGTGTGTGTGTGTGTGTGTGTGTATACATCCACAGGAAGCAAGGAAGCAATCGGGTTTTTCTCTCTAGCCGCAATGGTTCACATAGGAAGAAGGTCGCTGGCCAGTGTTCAGGGGTGACTAAAACTGGAATATTAAAGGAAATTTCCTTCCCAGGTCATTTTTCTCCTCAAAGCAAAAGAAACCAGTGAGCATTTTATCAAGGAAGAGGGACTTGCCCTCACTGGGGTGATATGACCTCACATTGGGCCAGATGCGCTGTATCCTCCAATGAACCCCAGGACATTAAGGGGCAAGCATTTTTTAAAAAAATCAAACACCACCTGTATAGGCAATTTTCTTTGTTTTGTTTTGTTTTGTTTTTGAGATGGAGTCTTGCTCTGTCACCCAGGCTGGAGTGCAGTGGTGCAATCTCAGCTCACCACAACCTCCACCCCACTGGGTTCAAGTGATTCTCCTGCCTCAGCCTCCTAAGTAGCTGAGATTACAGGCATGTGCCACCACGTCTGGCTAATTTTTTGTATTTTTAGTGGAGACAGGGTTTCACCGTGTTAGCCAGGATGGTCTTGATCTCCTGATCTTGTGATCCGCCTGCCTTGGCCTCCCAAAGTGCTGGGATTACAGGCGTGAGCCACCACGCCCAGCCTTGTATAGGCAATTTTCTAAAGTTCTAATTGTGTTTCTCTAATCCTGGAAGTTGAGAACAGGCGAAACAGACATCAATCAGTTTGTACTACAAAAAAATCTAATCACGATAGGACACCAGCGAGATGATTGAATATTATAGGGTACATCCATAATATAGGATACCATGCAACCGTTTTGAAAGAATAAAGCACAACCTTTGTATTGAACTGAAAAAAGTCTCTAAAATATATTGTTATATTTTTCTTAAAATGTTAGTTACAGATTAAAACATATGATGTGATATGGTTTATATTTTTATATTTTTCAAATCTCACAGAAGGAAATCATGTTATATATACACATACCACAAATGCATAAAAACAAAGATCTGGGAATCTCCTAAGAACTTTGGGAGATGACTGATATAAGACAGGGGAGTTAAGGGGGTTATCAGCTGCATTTCTATCGCATGAACATTTTTCCAACTAGGATACATTGTGCATTACATATGATAAAATGATTAAGATCAGGATCTTTGATATAAGACTTGCTGTTTCAAATTTCAGTTTCACTGCTTAGTAACTGAGGTAAATGACTTACACTCTTTTAGCCTCACTTTCCTCATCAATAAAATGGAGAAAACAATAGTTCCTAACTCACAGAGTTGTTATAAGAGTTAAATGGCCAGTACACTTACTAGTTACCCACAAAGTTAAAAATTTAAAATTAGAAAAAAGACAACAGGCGTGGTGGCTCACACCTGTAATCCCAGCACTTTGGGAGGCTAAGGCAGGCAGATCATGAGGTCAGGAGTTTGAGACCAGCCTGGCCAACATGGTGAAACCCCATCTCTACTAAAAACACAAAAATTAGCCAGGCCTGGTGGAGAGCACCTGTAATCCCAGCTATTAGGGAGGCTGAGGCAGGAGAATTGCTTGAGCCCAGGAGGCAGAGGTTGTAGTGAGTTGAAATCGCACCACTGCACTCCAGCCTGGGCAACAGAGCAAGACTCCGTCTCAAAAAAAAAAAATTAAAAAAATTAGAAAAAAGAATTAAATGACCATATGATATGCACTTAATACTATGGCACGTAACACAAATTAAATGCTCAATTAATGTTAACTATTATTATTATTGCTATTACTACTTCTAAGATTATGCTTAACTAAGTACTGATCAGGAGAGCATGCCACCAGTGATCACGCCCCCATTTCAGAAACTTACTGAAAATGAGCAAATGGGATATAAGTTCCCACTAATGAATTAACAGTCACTAGAGGGGTGTCCCCTCTCCCCACAAGGAACAAGCTTACTCTCAATCAAAACTAGAGGCTATGAGTGGAGAAACACACGGCCAAGAAATCACAAAGAAGGCAGAACCCCAGTCAAAGGGTAGGGCCACTTTGATGCATATCTTGAATGCTCAAATTAATTTCTAGAACCTAACTCATTCCTGAACAATTTTTTCTTTTTCTTTTTTCTTTTTTTAGCATTGGAGTTGGGGTCTTACTCTGTCACCCAGGCTAGAGTGCAGTGGTACAATCACCGCTCACTGCAGCCTCAAACTCCTGGGCTCAAGCTATCCTCCCACCTCAGCCTCCCAATAGCTGCAACTACAGGCATATTCCACCATGCTCAGCTAAGTTGCTGGGGGTTTTGTTGGTTTTGTTTTACTTTTAGAGAAGGGATCTAAACAAAGGATTTAAAATGTGTGCTCGGGACAGACAATTCACAGCCCAAAGGGCACAGACACCTCAAGTGTCAAGGCCCCTCCATCCTAGGGAAGAAATGCTCAGGCCGTAAGAATAGGGAGGGCTGGGAGACAGGGGTGAATCAGGATTTTTCCTTCTTTTTTTCTTATACATAGGCCTCACTTCTGTTTTAAGGAACCTGGAGCTCAGCATGCTTCATTAGGTTACATAAATTAATCTTTAATATCTCAAACAAATCCAGAAGCTGTTATACAACAAAGTCATTTATTTTAACATGTTGAAACACATACCCACACTGCACCCAGAAGAACCACAATTTTTTCAAGCTATCAATTATAGCCATTAGAAACCAGATAATTCAGAGTTAGTCCTTGATGCAAGCAAGCCAAGTGGTTTAAAGTCTATTCAGAGATGTAATATACACTTTCATTACTTATAAAACAAACTTTTAGGGTTTTTTTTTGTTTTTTGTTTGTTTGTTTGTTTTTGAGATAGAGTCTTGGTCTGTCGCCCAGGCTGGAGTGCAGTGGCGCAATCTCGGCTCACTGCAACCTCTGCCTCCTGGGTTCAAGTGATTCTCCTGCCTCAGCCTCCTGAGTAGCTGGGATTACAGGTGTGCGCCCCCACCCCTGGCTAATTTGTTTGTATTTTTAGTAGAGACAGGGTTTCACCATGTTGGCCAGGCTGGTCTCCAACTCTTGACCTCAAGTGCCTTGGCTTCTCAAAGTGCTGGGATTACACGCATGAGCCACCGTGCCCAGCCAAACTTTTAGGTTTTTTGTTTTTTGTTTTCAAAGCTCATGTGTGGCAGGCAGCACTCTTCCTAACTGGCTCAAGACTGACTTTGGCCGGGCGCAGTGGCTCATGCCTATAATCCCAGCACTCTGGGAGACCAAGGTGGGAGGATTGCTTGGGCCCACAAGTTTGAGACCAGCCTGGACTACATAGTGAGACCCTAACTCTACAAAACAAAAACACAAAAATTAGCCGAATGTGGTGGCACATGCCCATAGTCCCTGCTCCTCGGGAGGCTGAGGCAAGAGGATGGCTTGAGCTCAGGAGATCGAGGCTACAGTGAGCCAAGATTGCGCCACTGCACTCCAGCCTGGGCTACAGAGCAAGACTGTCTCAAAAAAAAAAGAGAGAGAGAGAGACTGATTTTGTGCTATAGTAATAATGTTACTAAACTTAGATTTTTGAAAGTCTTCAGACAGATCCTTGAGACAACCAGGGACCAAGGGCCTACTTGAGTCAAGGTGTTAAGTGTTAGAAGAGGTTCAAACTAAACACTTATTAACTAAATTGTTAACTTGGGGGATAAGATCCCACTTAAAGAGGCAGTACTTTGACTGTTTGAGCACCAACAAGGAAATGCTGTAATACCTTAGTCATATTTGCTCTCTGGGAAAATAATAACTGAATATATGTTTACTGATAGAAGTAAGTTCTCTGAAGAATGACAGAGTGAGTGTCATTTTCTAAATATTAAACTCCTTCGGCCTGGGGGAGTGTTTCTCATGACAAAGGACTTGCTGTTTGTTTAGGTATTAGTATGTATTAATAATGAGTTTTCAAAGAGTGGAAGGGTTGAGGACTGTTTGACTAAACTCTTTCAGAGAGTTCAGTGTACATAAACTGTTCATTAACAAGAGCAGAAAGATCCCTGGAGGTAAAATTTGGATTTCAGAAATGTGATTTTTATTATATTTGGAACCAAAGCACAGTAGGAATGCATATCAGATTATAATAGAGAGATAAGATTTGAAATTCAATTACTTGCCATAAACAGTTCATGGGTACACGCTCCAAGGATCAATCAAACGAATAAAATGACGACAACTTGGAATCATGCTATTATCAGAACAGGATATCTGAGGAACATTGCACTCTAACTGAGTGCTTCAATGGAAGATTAATTATTCTGAATATAAGTAATTCTAGAAATAGTGTTTAAAGAAAGCTGGGCCTATGGTGGAAGACGGCTTGTCATTCCCGACCACTCTGAATGTTTCTCAAACTCCCCTTTGTACAACAATGTAGCAAACACTGAAGAAATATGGCCAGGAAGTTTTATAATTTATACTCTCAAGGAGTCTGCGTTAGTAATGGAAAACAGGACAAACAGACATAGAGATGACACATAGATGAGTGATATACACAGAGAGACCTCACTGCCTGGAGCACAGCGAGGATGCCAAAATTATAAGAACTCTCAAGAAACTTACAATCATGCTCAGAAAATAAAATATACATAGGCGATAACTAGTTTTCTAATAATCAAAGAACAATATATCAGAATCTAAGCATCTTAGAGGCAGTTGAGAAATTAGAGTTGATAGACTAACTCTTTGATAGATGAAGAAGAAATAAAGATATGAAAAAAATAAGGCAGAAACCAATAATTAATGAGTGACTATGGGTAAGACAGACCCCAGGCTGGTCGCCTTATACATTATCTCATGGAATACTCATGACAGCTCTGTGAGGCATGGGGATTACCCTCCTTTGACAAAGGAAAGGACAGAGGATTTGAGAGTTGAAGGAAAATCACACGGCTAAGAAGATGGATCAGGGACCAGACCCAGGTTATTTTGTCTATGTCTGTGGTCTTTCCCCAGACAATGCAGGGAGGGGCTAAGTGCCAGATCTAATGCCTGGTAACAACATGGATATGTATATTTGAACCCAGAGGAGACAAATCTGGGAAATCTTCACAAGAAAGCTGGAATTGAACTAAGATGTAAAAAGAACATAAACCAGAAACGTCTAAAGAACAAAGTAGCTCAGATGGTTTCTACCTCCAGTGTGCGTCTTTCTCACCCATAAAAGAGAAATCTTCGCCAGGGCTAGGCATAGGTCTTACTCTCCATGAAATTTTCAGTGCCAGCCCTCATATCTGGACCTCGGTACCCTGAGTAAGTGTGTGTTGAACTATTAAACGCGGAGAGACTTGGGGATGATAGTGGTAATAGGCTGTGAATTGTAAATTCACAATTGTGAATAGGCTGAGAAACAGAGAGCAGATGTTGCCTAAATGAACAGCAAATAAATGGGGAATATGAAAATTTAACAGATTTATCCAATTATGGTGTCCATTCTGCTGCCCTCCTGTCCCCCATGGGTAGCTGACCTCTGACCTTGGCTAGAAGAGTATTTGCGGTTTTAGAGTCGCTGAGCAAGGGTCACATCATTAGCCCCAAGGTTGAGGGTATTTCTCCCTCCTAAGTCCTAAGAAAGTCAGTGTGAAGGTGGACCCAGGGTCTGAGTCCACACTAGCGGGCGGGAGCAGAAAAATACCCCAGACCCACCATTACCAACAAACCTGTCAATTGCAGAACTTTGGCTGGCAACATTCTTGGCTTGCGGGTGAGGAGAGAGTTGGAAGGGACAGACAGAAAGGTGCCAGTGAATCAATTTTAGTTTTGGCAAACACTGGATGGAGACACATCAATAACGGTAGGGCTGGAGATTAATTAAGAAAAAACTTTAAATGGAAGAGATAATCTATTATATCAGATAATCTATTATAGCAGAGGCATGATCTTAGCTCACTGCAATCTCTGCCTCCCAGGTTCAGGCAATTCTCCTGCCTCAGCCTCCCAAGTAGCTGGGATTACAGGCATGTGCCACCATGCCCAGCTAATTTTTGTATTTTTAGTAGAAACATTCATTTAGTGCATAAATTAATATAAATGAAATATATCAATAGAACAGTGCTAGATATAATCTAAGTTCCAGATTTTGCCCTTTTCTCTTTTTTTCTCAAATATGTTTAGTTGTGTAATATCTCAGCAATTCAGAAGAAATGAAAACAATGACAATGACCAAGGGGTTCATCCACTAGATCTAAGAAGTATTATCCTTAACACTATCTTTCCTTTAGTTACCTTTTTATTTTTTGAGAAAGAAAATATTTTAGTGCCAGCTAAAGCATCCCCATTTCATTGTTTACTCTCCATCACCAGAGATAGACAGTAATTGACTATATTTTTATATTTTACAGACATAAAACTGTAAGCAATATATAGTAACATTTGAACATCTTTAAACGTACAGATGTGGTGAATTACATTAAAAAGATTTCCTAATGTAAACCATCCTGCCACATTAGGATAAACACTAACTGGTCAAAAATGTATTATTTAAATATTTTGATAGATTTGGTTTACTAATATTTTATTTAAGATCATTACACTCATTTCATAATTAACAATGACCTATAATTTTGCTACACTCTATTTTATTTGTTCAGTTTTATTATCAAGGTTATGCATACAAAATGATGTGGGAAGTTGTCCTTTTTCTATTCTTTGAAAAAGTTTATACAAAGTAGTGCTTATCTGTTCTTTGAAGATTTTGTAAACTTGGCTGTGTCTGGCCTGTTTTTTGGAGAGGGAGGCATCCGGGGAAGGAAGGCTGTAGATTATTAACTTGATTCACTTCTTTTGTTGATTATAGGTATATTCCAGCTTTTTCTTTCATCAGTTTTTGTAATTAATATTTTTCTAGGAGATTGTCTGATTTCTCTGTTTCCAAATGTATTGTCAGGAACTTGTCCATAGTATTCTCTTACAGGCTTTAAAATCTCCATCAGTAGTTATGCTCTGTTTCTTTTTCATGCTTTTTCTTCTCTCGTCCTTGGTCATTCTTGCCAGAGATGGCTTTATCACTCTTTTCAAGGAACCGGCTTTTAGTTGGGTTGATTTCTGCATTATTACTTTGTTTTCTAGCTCATTAATTGCTCTCCTTATCTTTATGGTTTCCTTCCTTCTTCTGCCTTCTTTCTGCTTGCTTTGCTGTTGTTTTTCTGTTGTACTGTGTCAAGCAAGTAGCTGGCAAATTTTTCAGTCTTTTTCATTTTCTAATATATGTGACTGAGGCTGTAAATGTTTATTTGAACCAGAGGTGGCCAGTCTTTTGGCTTCCCTGGGCCACATCAGAAGAAGAAGAATTGTCTTGGGCCACACGTAAAATACACTAACACTAATGATAGCTGATGAACTAAAAAAAAAAAAAAAGTCTCACAATATTTTAAGAAAGTTTACGAATTTGTGTTGGGCCGCATTCAAATATGTCCTAGGCCACATTGTGGCCTACAAGACACGGGTTGGATAAGCTTGATTTAAAGTATCATTTATTTAGGCTGCATCCTACAGGTTTTTTCTCTGCTTCATTTTAATTACTTCATAATCCGTATTATTATTTATTTTGCTCTTACAGTTTTTCAATTTTGTTATGGAGCATTTCAAACATACAAATGCAAACACTGCTTCACGTGGAATCCTTCTGGAATGTTCCCAGTTCAACATCACTGCAAGTGAGCTAATATATGCTCTTGGGTAATAACATTCTCTCGTTATTTTTACTCTAAAAATCCATGCGTGTGTCTTATTTCTTCTCTTTGAAGACAAAACTATACCTTAAATAACCTCATGTCATACAATGCAAGGGCTTTGCAAAATCCAGCTGAATTAAATCTTTTTTTAAATCCCACATGACCAGATTAAAAGCAGCCCATTTTGCCAAAATGTAGACTTGCTTCATAGACAGTTAAAAGTAATTTTTAAAACACAGCTCTCATTTCATCACTACAATTTCCAAGTTTGAACTTCTACAAAAGTTCAGGATAGTTGAACAAGCACCGTTTTTGGAACTGTAAATAAAGCAGTTGCCTATGGAACCCGGGTCCTGCTTTTTTTGCCTCTTTGCCTGCCACTGATCCTTGTCCTGCTGCTGCCTTTCCAAAGGGCTCAGTGTGTGCACTCCCAGGGAATGAGCCATCCAAGCCGCAATCCTGAGCCCAAGAAAAGCACCACCGAGCCTCCGCAGGAAAAATAAGTTGCTGCCACACGAAGGAAAAGATTCCAGAGCCTTCAGACTCCACCGCCACTGGCTCAACTGTTTCTAAGAATAGCGTGAACTGTGGGAAAAAAAAAAAAATACTGGCACCAGACATTGGTCTTTAATTGTCTCCAGGCATTAAAATAGAAACAAGCTGAAACGGAAGTGCCCCTGGAAACCCTCTCCCAGCCTCACTCAGTGTGGACCAGGAAGCGGGATGTGGATGCGGCTTCCAGAGACATGGACTCCAGAAGGCCAACCCTGCGCCGTGGTGTCACCACGGAGCACGTTTCCAGGACAGGATGGTCTCTTCCAAAGTGGAAGAAGGCCAGGGGCCAGGAGCAGTCTCCAGTGGCCCAGGCCTCACCCACTTTCAGGCTTCCTAGCGATTCTCTCGAGGCCTCTGATTGGAGGCCCCATGGGATGTGAGGGGTCCGCCTCCCAATAGCCGAAGTTGTTTATCAGAGGCTTCTCTTTCTGGTTCATTTTCATAATCTTAAATTTAGCTAATTGGTTCCTAAATCAAATTTTGCAAATAGTTTCTTGTCATAAAAAACAACATCAGCCTTATAACTGGGAGGCCTCTCAGCATAAAGGGGTGTGTGCAGTTAGATCCTATATTCATAGGCTGGAGAGCCCATCACATCCCCTACAACATAGAGGGAACTCTTCAGTTCAGAAGGCACAAAATTGTGTTTTGTTTTGTTTAATGAAGATGTGACAGTCATCTGAATACTGGGTTTCATAACCTAAACAGATTTCCAAACTTTGGGGATTGCTTCCAAATAAAAAAAAGTGCTGCATGCAGAAAAAGATCAAGGAGCCCAATTCTAGTTTCCACTCATTCAAATTTCTCTTGCCTAGTGCCTCATTCAAATTTCCCTTGCCTAGTGCATTAATCATTTTATGAAAATAGGTTTTTTCCCTGCAAGGTTTCTAGTATTTATGAAATTACTCTTAGTTGGAAACATAAGATAAACCAACACTCAAGCTTTTCTCAATTCCTAGACAAACACACTAAATAAAAGAGGTGGTTAGGACTAAGTTTTCCAGAAACCCAGTGCCAATTCCTGATGGGATTATTTCAGCTCTACTTTTTCTAACATGGTTAATTGTTGATGAAGTATGGAAAAAAACAGAAAATAAAATGAAGCTCTTTTCTCTTATGTGCATAATATTCCATAATATATGGAAGTCAAAAGCTGCTTCACAGGTGGGGAACAGGGCTGGTGCAAGGGGAGATACACACTTCAAAAGAATGCAACTTAATAGGGCTGGCAGGCCCCACGTGGCTCCAAACCCTACACAGCATGGCCCTCCCAACTCAAACTCCAGTTGAAGACCTCAGAGGGAATTGACCGGATTCTGTTTTAGAAACACATAAAACCAAAAAAATCTAGCACCAGAGGGAGACAGATACAAATGGGAACAGCCCAACAAGATGGAACATTTACAACGTAGGTCTCTCAGAAGCCCTGTCTTTGGTTGCAACCATCAGCACATGCAGAAATGTGTCACCCCCCACTCTACACCCTCCCCCAACACAGTGCTCACTGTGATCCTTATCTACCCAAACCAGATTACTCAAGCCAGAGCAGAGATTGATTGTCTTTGCCCAAGGTCGGCAATCAGCCATCAATTATACTTGCCACATGCTAGGCTGTTCCTAACTCAGAAATCTTAGAGCATTTAGTTGCACATAGAAAGGACTCCATAAATGTTTGTTGAATTGAATGGAATGATTGTGCTCAACTAATAGCCATTGCTCAACTGTTTCCCAATATCCACTGGTCCTTAACATCAACTCTCATCACTTGGACCTTCTCTTGCCTGTGTTTGTCAACAAGGTTTATATTTCAGGACACCAGACCAACTCACCTTCTAGACCCTGAACCTACCTATGTTCTCCACCAACACCTCACCCTCATCTCCGCCTTAACTCAAGATTCACCTGTCTCCACTGTCTGACATCTCTTGATCTATTCACAGCTACCAGTACTCAGCTGTGACATTTAGAAGTGGAATCAAGGAGGAGAAGGATTGTGAGGAAAGAGGAAAGAGTTTACATTTGCTCTCCCCACTGCTGTGTGCCAGGCACTGCATATATTATCTCTTGTAATTCTGTTTTTAAAGAATGCTGGAGACTAGGGAAATGATACTTCCACTGTCTGAGCCTTTGGGTCAGGAAACTAACTCAAATGCCAAGATCCCAAATGCCTTCCACAATGGAGACATTAAACCCTTTTAAGTTAGTGATTTTTAATTTACGATTTTAAATTATGAGAATTGATGAACACCCATAATGAAATTTTCATCCACCCACTATAAAATGAAGTACTAAAATGTGATTCCCTAAGGCTGAAATATACTATTCAAAGAACTATCCTTTGTTCTGAGACTATAGGGGAATCCTATCTTAGGAAGGAGTAAAATAATCTCTCATTGCAAAAATTCACATGCTCAAAATTGCTCTTCAAAATCTTTCAAGGAGGTACCAAAATCAAGTCCAATAAACCATTACTTCTTCTTTTTTTTTTTTTTTTTTTTTGAGATGGAGTTTTGCTCTTGTTGCCCAGGCTGGCATGCAATGGCACGATCTTGGCTCACTGCAACCTCCACCTCCTGGGTTCCAGCAATTCTCCTGCCTCAGCCTCCCGAGTAGCTGGGATTACAGGTATGCGCGACCACGCCAGCTAATTTGGCATTTTTAGTAGAGATGGGGTTTCACCATGTTGGCCAGGCTGGTCTCAAACTCCTGACCTCAGGTAATCTACCTGCCTCGGCCTCCCAAAGTGCTGGGATTACAGGCGTGAGCCACTGTGCCCAGCCCCAGTAAACCATTATTACTTAACAAGTTTAATCACAGCCTATTTTTCTTACAGCATTGGACAAGATCACTAGTTCTACAGCTGACTATACCTGGTGAAATATTTGGCCCACTTTAAGTGCCAGGCTGTTAAAAAGAAAAAAAAAAAAACAAGCAGAACAAAAACCTTCTCTTAAAGACTAGAATCGCACTCAGCTGAGGAACACGGAACTGTGTGGTAGTCACGTGGTTGTAAGCATATGTATAAAAGTCATCACATTTTTTGCCTTAGATTTTTTCACTTTACTATGTTTAAATTTACCTCCATAAAGTGTTGTAAGAAAGTCTTATAGTGATTATCAAATGATTTTGCAGGGAATTCTCAAACAAGAATTCTCCCTTCTCTCACAACTGAATTTTAATCAATGCACTTAAATCCTTAAGTTTTTGAGTTTTAAGCTCCCTCCTTGGGAGGAAGTTCAGTACCTAAGGAACCTTCGTAATTCTTTCATATATTGAGTAAAGATGCCAAAGTCACTGATTAAAGCTCCCTAACCTCTTAACTCATTACCACAAAACCACCCTGGGGGCCAGGGATCCTGGGTTTTCACTGCCTTCTTTATGAAACTTTCTTTCATCTTAGCGGAAATAATAACTCAAAATCAGTATGTTAGTCGGTCAAAGCATTGTTAATCCAATAGCAAATGTCTTGACTTTTTAGATTACAGGCAACTAGGGAAATACTTATAATAGTTAAGGTTTTTTTAAAAACAAACAAACAAATCTTCCATGAAGTCTATATGAATTATTTTTTTTTGTTGCTTTACAGAGCAAAAATTGTCTTAAATCTTCTCGATTTAAAAAAAAAATCAAAGTGATGCTTCCTTGTTAGCTTGCAAAACCCAGAAAATGATACTGTCGGAAAACACTAGTGATTTAATTAGCTATTAAATAGACAACTTCCTTTCACCCTCTCGATTCATAGCTCCCATGGGAGAATTTATTAACTTTAGTGGCTAAGTTCACATTAATTAAGCCTAACTGCCCTTGACCAGTTAAATAGCTAATCTGTAAAAATGTAGCTGATTTTGGATGTGTGTGTGTATAAAATTATTGATAATTTTTTATGTATTTTAATATCGCCATTGCTTCAGGATACTGCTTTACAAGCATGCATCATTAGAAGATAAATCCATAATGATAAAGCATTTCCATTCACACATGCGATCTTTCGCATCAGCCTTGTAAATTTCAGCATTGCCCCCGAACATTTCTTCACGTGTTTTCCAAAGCTAAGTCTCTGGAATCCCTGACTTTAAACTGTTGAGTAAGTTCAAGTTGAGTTTCATGCTGGCAAAGAGAGTGCCTAACTACAAAGAAATACCTACCGTGTAATCGCTGTTTCATGTCCGCTCGGACCGCCCATTCTGTTTCATTATTGCTCTTTCAGCCACCTCCAGGCCGAACACTCAGACAAAATCACTCTGGCAACTTGTGAATGCCTTCTGCTCATGTAGGATGGCTGTTTTGCCCCCTGTGCTTTCTTTACTGAGCTGTTTAATAAACAGCAGGGTAGCTGGGAATTTCTTGGAAGGAGCCTGGCAGGGAGAGGGCACCGTGGTGCCGACTTTCCAGGCTGACTCGCCGTTGCATTTGCAAACCTGGGGCTCCCCAGCCATCCCCACAGAGCTGCTGAATAGGTTGCTAAGGGCTTGGCAATGTTCTGCACAGCCACTGCTGATACTAAAGAGGCCGCAACAGGCTGGATCCCAGAAGAAAGGAACTGCTAACAGGTTGAGTCACCATGAATGCGGGACTCCTTCGTTTAATAATCTCAGACAATTCTTTCTGGGCTTAAACGCCCCACAGTCCTGTGACAATGTCCCAGAGATTCAAAGGTAAGTTACCTGATGCCTTCAGAACACATTTCCTTTTATTCACAGGATAGTAAAGCTTCTCCCTCATGCATATTCACTGGGGTTTTTTTTGTTTTGTTTTGTTTTGTTTTGTTTTGACGGAGTCTCACTCTGTCACCCAGGCTGGAGAACAATGGCACGATCTCTGCTCACTGCAACATCCATCTCCCAGGTTCAAGTGATTCTCCTGCCTCAGCCTCCCCAGTAGCTGGGACTACAGGTGCCTGCCACCACGCCTGGCTAATTTTTGTATTTTTAGTAGAGACAGGGTTTCGCCATGTGGTCAAGGCTGGTCTCGAATCCCTGACCTCAGGTGATCCTCCTGCCTCGGCCTCCCAAAGTGCTGGGATTACAGGCATAAGCCACTGTGCCACATATTCACTGTTAACCAGCCCTCTTCATTCATGGCATCTGGCCTTAAACAAGGGAATGAAAGTTTTTTGTTTTTGTTTTTGTTTTTACATCAAAAAGGGAGGGGAATAGATGAGAAGGAACATTAATATCAGCTTAACTGACCTGAAACAGCAAGTGCAAAGTTGAGGGGGATGTTGGGGTCCAAAGGTGTGTGGAGGTTCAGCAGGCAATCTTTCCCCCCCCACACACATCCTCCAAGTAGGGGAAGTGGAGATCGGAAGGAGACATTGCTCTTATTTTGGTTGTTAACTGGACACAGGTATGTAGTCATGCCTCGATGACAGTCACAAAGTCCTGGACAAGGTAACATTGGAGTCCAGAATAGATGCCCATTTTATTTCCACCTGCTATAGAATGCTGAGCGCTTAGGAAACAGGAGAGCTTTTGTAGTAGTATTTATCTCCACCCATCTCATTTTTCTGTCACTCTAGGGTGGTTGAACCATGGCATTATGTTCTCTATCTCATTCCTACTATGGGATGAGGCAATGCTTGACAGAGAAAAACTGGGATTTGGACAAGATCTATTCAATGTCCCTGCACATTGTGTAGAAGCTAGAATTGATGGTGCAAATATTACATCTTGAAGATAATGCACCTGATCTCATCCAAACTCAGAAGCTAAGCAGGTTTGGGCCTGGTTAGTATTTGGATGGGAGACCACCTGGAAATACTGGGTGCTGTAGGCTTGGCCGGGCACAGTGGCTGATATGGTTTGGCTGTGTCCCTACCCAAATCCCATCTTCAATTGTAGTTCTCATCATCCCCACATGTCATGGGAGGGACCTGATGGGAGGTAATTGAATAATGGGGATGGGTTTTTCTCATACTGTTCTTGTGATAGTGAACAAGTCTCATGAGATCTGATGGTTTTATAAAGGGGAGTTCCCCTGCACCCCCTCTCCTGCCTGCTGCCATGTAAGACATGACTTTGCTCCTCTTTCACCTTCCCCCATGATTATGAGGCCTCCCCAGCCATGTGGAGCTGTGAGTCCATTAAACCTCTTTTTTTTCCTGTGAATTACCCAGTCTCAGGTATTTCTTCATAGCAGTATGAAAAAGGATTAGTACAGTGGCCCATGCCTGTCGTCCCAGCTACTGTCATCTCAGCCTGAGGATCACTTGAGACTAGGGGATCATTTGAGCCCAGGAGGTCGAGGCCAGCCTGCACAACACAGGGAAACTTCCTTTCAAGAAGTAATAATTAACTTAAAATTTAAAAGGTGAGACTGCTCCAGGACCTAGCCAGTCTCTGCAGTTACCCTGGGTACGTCACAAGCCACAGGCACACAAGTGTAAACTCCCCCGGGGGACAAGGCCACCTCCTTCCTTGGTGACTTCCTAGCATGTACAGGGTGTTAGCTTAAACTATAACCTGTCCTCCCCAGGCCACAGGACCTTTGTCCTGGCCCCTCCCTAAGACTCACCAATCACCTCCCTAGGGAAGCAGAAGAAACACATAGGGTGCAAAGTGCCAGAGTGGCACACACCACAGTCCCAAATAATTCACCCGGGTGGCCAGGGGCTCATCTGTTCCCAGTTAAAAATACATCTACAAGCCAGAAATCTTGATTTCAAACAGATCCAAGGGTGCAAAAAGGCACTTTGAGCACATAAGGTATAGTATATAATAAGGAACATAAAGTTTCGTTAGAATAAGTAAGTGTTAAGTACACGTGTGTGTGTATGTGTGTGTGTATATATATATATATATACTAGAAAACTTTTTCAGTTAATAAAAATATATCATATATCATGCAAATACACTGTGGTGTGTAATAAGTACTTACCGTCATTGAGTTCCAATCGTACAATTCTAGGCTTACCTGAAAATGAAAAAAAAAAATCACGACATTAATTAAACCTTAAATAATAGAGACTAAACATAATTCAAGCTGTGTACTTATCCAGCATAACCTGAAAGGAATAGAAATTTCCATTACACATTCATTGCCTTAAAAGATCTTCAAAACCATCATTCATAATCATAAATAAAAATGATTGTAAATCAAAATTTCTCTGATCTACAGGGAGCAGTATGACAAAATCATGTAGAAGGATTTGTTGTGATATCATCCAGTTAAACCCCAGGAAACAGTGATGCAACAGCTCTTGGGAAAGATCCTGCGGTGTTATCAGTTCTTTCTTTCAAATTCTCTTCAAGCTTGTACATCTAGAGTATCTCCTGCTAAATGGCAAATAAGCATTGTTTCATAATGCTTATAAGGCATTCACAAAATAAAATACTGACATTTTTTGACTCTTTTTCTTGTCCATATAATGTGGATTAGTCTCCATGACAACACCAACTGTCGCATCACATTATCACGGACACCTCCCAACAACTGCTGTGCTGCTGTGACCCACAGTAACCCATTGTTCGATTTTTATTTTATTTTTCGAGACAGGGGCTCACTCCATCACTCAGGCTAGAGTGCAGTGGCACAATCATAGCTCACTGCAGCCTCAAAGTCCTGGGCTCAGGCTATCCTCCCACAACAGCCTCCCATGTAGCAGCGACTACAGGCACACACCACCATGTCTAGCTATTTTTTTTTTTATCTTTAGCAGAGATGGGGTCTTGCTATATTACCCAGGCTATTCTCGAACTCCTAGGCTCAAGCGATCTTCCCGCCATGAGTGCTGAGATTACAGGTGTGAGCTAGCACACCCGGTCCATCATTCCATTTTTAAATAGATGACCATG
Organism: Homo sapiens; assembly: GCF_000001405.40. Taxonomy (NCBI): domain Eukaryota; kingdom Metazoa; phylum Chordata; class Mammalia; order Primates; family Hominidae; genus Homo; species Homo sapiens. The sequence continues at coordinate 28,872,374 of NC_000010.11, read as the reverse complement.
TATTGAAAAATCTTGGGGAAATTATTTGGCTGCTTATGTGTGTCTAGTATTTAAATACCCGGAGAAATGGGTTTCTCCTATATGTTGTAATTTAGTGTGGATGAGTGTGATTAGGAGGCTGTGGGCCCTGGAAGTCATTCCTAGTGTCTTGGTGACATCAATTCCACTGGAGCTGGCTCCCTGGGAACTTCTCCACACACAATGGGACTTTCCCAGCCTCCAGAGTCTTCATGTCCACACAAATTTAGACACATTCATCACAGAGAGAACATTCTTGAGGCTGTGTGGCAATGAAAACTTCATTTGTTAAAGGTTAATCTATGGGGGCAGCAGAAATACTCAATAAGGGGTTATTAAATTTTCTTATTAAATGTGATCAGGGAGCTTTGTTGTCTGGATGTCAAGTTAAAGCCACAACTGGGCAAAATTCTTCTGAAGACAGTCAAGCACAGTGTAATGCCCCTAACTGTAGGTCAACATACTCTGTCACTTGCACTTGAGAGTCCTTTCATCGTAATGAAATGTATCAAGTGTTGAGTGTGTGTTTTACAGCTTACACGGAGCCATAAGCCAAAGGAGTGGGTTTCAGTATTTCAGAAATTCCCTAGGCTTCAGGTTTGACAGGAGGGAAATAGGCCATTATCCCCCACGTCAGGCAAAGGTCCTGCTAGATAGAGTACGCTCCCCACCAGCCCTGTACCCTTCAACTAAGGGACACATAACATGCAGACACGTCTCAGAATAAATTCACAATAACCACATACAGTCCACGACCTCACAACTCATCTGTCCAGATAATGTATTTTACAAATAAGGACGCTGACACTCTGAAAAGTGAGAAGAATTAAGAAAAGTGAGAGACTTCAAAAGAAGGCTGAGCTCTAATCAGAAACCAGGTTTCCAAATTTTGGCTTGTTGCAGGAAACAAGGAGGCATTTGGGCACCAAAGGACAAATGTATAATGGAGCTTTTGATCCCCAAACTAGGGCAGTGATGGCTTCTGACACAGTCCACAGAGGCCTGGACCATGAACACGTAAGAGCAGAGCACTGGAAGTTCTGGAACAATCCCAAAGCTAAGGCTGAGTGCACCACGCAGGTAACAGAAAGGCTGGCCGAAGAATGAGTCAAACTGAGAACCCCCAGAAGGAGGGACCCTAGTGGGCCCCAACTGGCTATTGCTCTTTGGGAATGAGCCCAATGACGTCAAAAGAAGCCAGAAATCCAGATGATTTAATATAAAATCTCCCAATTTCTTAATGCCGGCAACCTGTTCAAAACATTTTTTAGGCTGGGCGCAGTGGCTCACGCCTGTAATCCTAACACTCTGGGAGGCCAACGCAGGCGGATCACTTGAGGTCAGGAGTTCGAGACCAGCCTGGCCAACATGGTGAAGCCTCATCTCTACTAAAAATACAAAAATTAGCCAGGCGTGGTGGCGGGCACCTGTAATCCCAGCTACTCGGGAGGCTGAGGCAGGAGAATCACTTGAACCCAGGAGGCGGAGGTTGCAGTGAGCTGAGACTGCACCACTGCACTCCAGCCTGGGCAACAGAGTGAAAAAAACAAAAAACAAAAAAACATTTTTTTAGAAAACTTGCCTGCAGGCATAATTCACTTCCCAGGCCTCCAGCTTTCCATTTCTGTCCTGAAGCAGTTCATACCGAATTTTTTTTACAGACAACCATGCATATACTGCTGGGTTGCCCTATTCATTCCTCCATCAAATTGTAGTGCATGTCTTCTGTATCCAGCTCAAAGGTCAAAGGCTGTGCAACCCAAAGATGCAGAGATATCAGGAATATCCAGGAAACCAGAAGAATGAGAGCACCATATTGCTTATGTTTGTAAGGAAGGAACTTGGAAGGATCTTGGACGGGACTTAACCTACAAGGAGAGAGTGCTGAGGAATAAGACTGTCTTGTAGCAGAGGAGTGGGAAGTCTCAGGATAGCACCGTTAGAATGTCTTGGCAAGAATCCAGTGAAGGTATTATAAGGGGGTAAACAAAGGCAGCCTCTCTGGGAATGGAGAGAAAAGATTCAAGAGATATTCAAAAACTAGTTTCAAAATGTGATCCATCAAGAGTGACACTGCCTTCAACATTAGTGGCTTCACACAACCTGCCTCTACCCTGAGGCCCGAGGCCACAGAGCAAACCTCTCCCCGGTACCCTCCCCACAGCATCAGTCACATGTAGCCAGCAAATACTTACTGGGCCCCTGATACACACAACACCTCAAAAGTTGATCAGACTAATTTTAACAAAAAGTCTTACTGACAAACACACTCATTATACCAAATGGCATTTAGATTTACTGAAACGTAAGTATTTATTATTTAAGGATGTATTGCAACATATTGTGACATCTTTTCAAGGTGTGCATGTACACAGCTTTCTGAAGAGCAATGTTTCAGGACTTATCAGTATCAGTAGGATGTTTTCAGGTGCGAGTAACAGGAAATCACAACTAAAAGTGGCTGTAAAGTAAGGAAATTTGTTAGCTCACATCACAAAAAGCCTAAAGAGAAGGTTTGCCTTAGGCGTGATATGTCAGGCTCCGGGTCCACTTCTTTGCATTTCTTTCTACTTTGATCTCCATGTGTATTAGCCTCGGTCACAGACTGGAGATAAGATGGCTGAATCAGCACCAGGCCTCACAATTAAAAGCATCTAGAGAAAGAAGAGGAGGAATCATCTCTTCTTCAATGGTTTGTAAAGGAATTTAGAACTTTTCCCTGAAGTCTCCTTCAAGCCAGCTCTCCACCTTTGTGTTAGAATTCTTTTCATATCCATCAGCTAAAGTGAGGTCACTCATGTATTCCAAAACCCATCGTTGGCATGAGTTGCACAGTCACCATGATTGGCTTAGGTTAATCCATTGTAGTGGAGTGAATATTGAGGAGTTGATGACATTAGCCACAATAATATCAAAAACCTTGGCCGAGCAGTAGCTCACACCTGTAATCCCAGCACTTTGAGAGTCGTGGCAGATGGATCGCTTGAGCCCAGGAGTTCAAGCTCAGCCTGGGCAATGTAGTGAGATCCTGTCTCAAAAAACATATATATAGAAAAGATTAGCTGGGCATGGTGGTGTGCACCTATGGTCCCAGCTATTCAGGGAGCTAAGGTGGGAGGATCGGTTAAGTGAAGGCATTCAAGGCTGCAGTGAGCTACGGTCCCACCACTGCACTCTAGCCTGGGTGAGAAAGAGAGCCCCTGTCTCTAAAAAAAACAAAACAAAACCAGAAAAACAGGCTGCAACTTTTTACCATCTTTAAAAAAAAAAAAAATCCCTTAACTCCAAGTCCCTCAATGCACCTCCTATATTCCGTTCCCTTTTGTAATAAAACTTCTCTAAAGAATTATCTGTGTTGACCATCTTTCTTTTCTCCTTTCTTATCCTTTCATGAAAATACTCCATTTAGGCAGGGCGCAATGGCTCATGCCTATAATCCCAGCACTTTGGTAGGCCCAGGAGACAGGATCACTTGAGCCCAGGAGGTGGAGGCTACAGTGGGCTGCATTCGTGCCACTGCACTCCAGTCTGGGTGACAGAGTGAGACCTTGTCTCAAAATATAAAAATTAAAAAATATATACTCCATTTAGACTTTCATCTTCACTAATCCGCAGAAACCGCCCTTGTCAAGATCAAAACGACCTCCCCATTCACAAAATGAATGGCCAATGTTGTGTTACTTGTTGCATCCGCTGTGCTTGGCACTGCTGAACAATCTCCCTTTCCTGAACACTTCCTAAGTTTGGATTCCAAGGCTACATGATTTGAAACTTCTGTGCAGCCAGAAAGGGAGCCCTGCTCTACACTCTGGCATCGCTAGACTACAGTTCTCAGACCTCAGCTTTTCTTTTCCATCCATTTTCACACCCCAGATGACTGATTCTATGCTGGGGACTCCCAAAGTAACATCCTCACCTTACCTTTCTCCCAAACTCCATACTTTGCCTATTAGACAAAACCTCTTTTGTCTAATAATGAACGACAGTTCCCCAAAAGCCCTTTTACAAGAATTTCCATTATTCTAAAAGTTCTTTAAATATCTGCAGTTCATTCTCGGTTCTTTGCCAACTTGTTTTCAGCATATGCTCAATAAATGATGGTGAGTGATAAATTATTCATTGATCATAGTAGCAACTTAGGACTCCCCTCAGATGGAAATATAATACAGATGAAAAGAACCAGGCAATTCCACAGATAGTACATAAAAGGGCACCTAGATTTTATATATTAAAATGAAGAATTAGGGCCAGGCATGGTGGCTCACTCCTATAATCTCAGAGATTTGGGAGGCCATGGCAGGAGAATTGCTTGAGATAAAAAACTCAAGACCAGCCTGGGCAACATAGCAAGGTCCTGAATCTACAAAGAAAAACAAAAATTAGCCAGGCATGGTGGTGCACACCTATAGTCCCAGCTATTCGGGAGGCCAAGGTCAATGATCACTTAAGCCCAGGAGGTGGAGGCTGCAGTGAGCTATGATTGCACCACTGTACTCCAGCCTGGGCAACAGAGCAAGAACCTGTCTGTCTCTAAAAAATGTTGTAATTAAAAAAAAAAAAAAAGTTAAGTGAAGATTTATAGTGCATTCATTCACTACGGAATGGCAAGGAGTGAGGATGCATTATTTTTTTAACCTGAAACTAGGCCAATAATTTTTTTCTTTCTTTTTTTTTTTTTTTTTTGAGACAGAGTCTTGCTCTTTCACCCAGGCTGGAGTGCAGTGGCGCAATCTCGGCTCACTGCAACCTCCGTCTGCCAGGTTCACACCATTCCCCTGCCTCAGTCTCCTGAGTAGCTGGGACTACAGGTGCCCGCCGCCACACCCGGCTAATTTTTTGTATTTTCAGTAGAGACAAGGTTTCACCGTGTTAGCCAGGATGGTCTCGATCTCCTGACCTTGTGATCCACCCACCTTGGCCTCCCAAAGTGCTGGGATTACAAGCATGAGCCACCAAGCCCGGCCCTGGCCAAGAATATTTTTAAAGCTTCAGGTCTCATTCAAGAGCAACCCAGAAGCAAAAGTATCTTATTCAATCACCAAAACACAGTAGGCACTGATCCAGAGGAAGGAGGAGCTGGCTACTCACTCCAGCGGTTCTCAGCTTTAGGCAAGTCAAAAGCTTACATTTCTTAAATCTGCAAAAAAGGAAATATGTCTGCCCTGCAAGTCTTTATAGGGTCCTGTGTTGGTAAAACTAAATATCTGGGATAATAGTCTTTCGAAGATTATTTAAAGTGATACTACATTTATTCTTATTGTACAACCCAGGGCCATATTTAATAACCAATTATTTAAGGAGTGCTACATTAACAATTTATCACAGAAACCTATAAAAAGAAATGTTTAAATTTAGACTGTCTGATATTCGAGGTTACAATTTTCCCCATAATCATTACAAGAACGATTTTTTACTAAACCCATGTCCATGATCATAAGACCGCCAAGAAATACGTTGAACTTGCAAGGTTTAACATCATTCCAGCATATCTTCCTTCTGCCAATATATTATGTCATCATTAGTGGCAACGTTTTAATTCTAAAGATTCTTTTAAAGGAAAGTCCAATTTGGCAAAGTTTTTTCCTGCCCTACTCCCACCAAACTGTTACAAATCTTACTTACTTGTCAAATTTTTGTGTAAACTAAGGTTTTCATTAAATTTTTAAATAATCTTTCAAAAATCACATTATTTTAAGGTGTAGTGAAAATTTCAATGACACTCATTTTTGGATCACTTTTAGCCCAAGTGCCACCTTCTTCCTGTCGGCTTCCATGGCAGTTCCCACTTTCAGATTCTATATCTGTAGCTAACATTACACACCAATTCTGGGTCATAGCACATATTCTTAAAATTAACTGTTTGACTTTGCTGTCTAATCATCAGTTGCTTCTTTGGGAAAACATTGGAGATTAACCACATTAAAGAAATAGCTGACATTTTTAATGGGGAAAATAAAACATGTCCCTAAACATTTCACGGAAACTCAGTATTTGTTAATTCATACCTCCAAAAAATTCTAACATTTAACATTGTTTCACAGTGAAAAGTGGGAATTAGGCAGAATAATGAACCTATTACTTCAACTATGTTCAAAGTGGCCCCATAAACTGGAGCTTTGATTTTACAATGGAGACACTGAATGCTTTTGTGTTTAATCTGTCTTCACTGTGGTTCCACAGGGAGTCCCTATATTTCAAACATGTCTGGCTTAATGAATTTTTTTTTCTTATTATTGCTGCAATCTGTTTTGTTGTCAGATTTACTCCAGCTTGGAGGGCTTTGTTATTCTCTTTTCAGGCATCAGACCCTTTCAGTTTCTGGATATGTTGACTGAGGATGCAAAACAACTGGTCTAAGTGGACCTGCAATGCCACCATGGTAGAAACCAGACGAAACCTTCAAAACAACTCCCGCCTCCTTTTGATCAGTGAAGCAACCGCAGCCTAATATTTTGAAGTGTATTTTTCTTATCTTTAGATCAACTCAAATGCATGCAGTCATGAGAACAGACCTCCCTAGAACCTCTGAGGTCCACAGCAGCCTGGCTCTCATCATTTTATTTGTGTTGAGGTCATCGTTCATCGTTAGGTGCCATGTTTTCATAATTTATAAGGATACTAATCCACTAAGAAATGGTTTCACCAAGGAAGATCTCAAAGATCTGCTCAAAGAGTCTGAAAAATCTCCATGACCCCTCAAGACGATATCGTCTATATCATTTTACCACAAGCAAAGGGCAAACTGATGTCCAGGTAAGATACAGTCACATACGCACAGCTATGTAATTTCTCCATTCCCTGATTTCTATTTAAAAAATCTGCATGCCATACTCTGGAAAATAGGAAAGTGTCGTATGACAACACAATGCCCCTGTCCTCTGATGGGGGTGTCTGCCTTTTGTGTGGCCATCGGGCTTGCTCTGCTAGAGTGTGATGCTGGCCCTACTGAGGACTTGGAATAAGAGTGGTCGAAGTTCAGGGTGGGAGTTAGCCCCTCCCTGCAGGGAGTGGACATCCCAGCATCGGAGAGGAGGAAGGATCTTAGAAGCAAAATGGAACCCTGAAGATGTCCCGAGATAGGAATGAGAGGGGGCATGGTGAGGTGGCTCACACCTGTAATCCCAACACTTTGGGAGGCCCAGGTGGGAGGATCACTTGAGGTCAGGATTTCAAGACCAGCCTGGGCAATATAGTGAGACTCCCATCTCTACAACAAATTTAAAAATAAGCCAGGCATCATGATGCATGCCTGTGGTCCAACTACTTTGAGAGATCAAGGTGGGAGGATTGCTTGAGCCTGGGTGTTTGAGGCTGCAGTAAGCAGTGACGGCACCACTATACTCTGGTCTGGGCAACAGAGTGAGACCCTGTCTTAAAAAAAAAAAAAAGGGAATGAGAAGGAATACCTCTGTCTTTATGGGCTTCTGTCTTTTGCTTCTCTTGAGGCCCTCCCAGGAGGTAGGATCAAACATGCCCACTGTCCTGTGAACACAGGGGTAAAGCCATGTGGGAAGGTGACCAAGAAGAGACAGTAATTGGAAAATGCAGTGATATGATTTTATAAGCCAGATTATTTAACATCATGTTCCTCTTTAGAATTATATCCTTGCAATTGTCCCTTTCCATTTGTTGAACTCAAGTTTAAGTGTTTAGCCTGAACACAATGGTGGCAAAGACTCAATAAGCAAGACTACAAGTCCTGCCATTTTTGCCCACAGGAAGAATCTCCCTTTTTAGAAACCCTGGCATATCTGGGTTTTATATTATTCACAGTGGGGCCAGGCACAGTGGCTCACACCTGTAATCTCAGCACTTTGGGAGGCTAAGGTGGACAGATCACTTGAGGCCAGGAGTTTGAGACCAGTCTGGGCAACATGGCAAAACCCCATCTCTCCCTAAAAATACAAAAATTAGCTGAGCGTGGTGGCACATGCCTGTAGTCCCAGCTGCTTGGGAGACTGAGGCATGAGAATCACTTGAACCTGAGAGGTGGAGGTTGCAGTGAGCCGAGATCACACCATTACACTCCAGCCTGGGCAACAGAGCCAGACTGAATATATATATATATATATATATATATATATATATATATATATCACAGTTTAGTGAATAATGCTCTCACTTTTGATTGGGTAAAGATGGAGAGAAATAGAGGTAAACAGCACACTATTTGGATTCAATTTAACCCCTGTAGATGAGAAAGAGGTATAAATAATATTAATATTACAGCCCAAACCTGCAACTCTCAAGCCTTTGAAGACCCCTTAGCTCTGGACAAACCATGAGAGTTGGTCACTATCCAGGATAGATTCACAAACACAATGAAGTGGCCAAAAGGCCAAGTTCCATCACGAAGGCTGACCACAGCCCCCGAATCAACCTTGGTCTTCTGGAGCGATAGACCCATGATGAACACTCACATCAAGTACTGGAGCACAGAGGGTGGCTGCCTCTGGAGAAGGAGATTCTCCCACATTCTGATAGTTTCAGCCTTGCTGTCTACACAGCATATATAAATTAAAAAACAAAAAGGAAGGAGGAAGGAAGAAAGGAAAGACGGAATGAAGGAAAGACTCATTCTTCATCCCAAATTGCTTTCCTTAGCTTAGGCTCAACCTCCGTTGGTATCACAGGTTGGTCCATTCTCTAACCTTGGCCACTACTGAAGACAAGCTGCCTTGAAAACACAGTCTCATTGCAAGTATATACACCCACACACACACACACATACATATACGCACACATATACACACACAAAACACACATATACATATATGCACACATACACACACACACATACATACATATACACACACATATACATATACGCACACATACACATATACACACGCAAACACATATACATATACGCACACATAAACACATATACACACACACATACAAACACATATACATATATGCACACATATACACATATACACACACACATATATATATGTATGTATGTAAGCCTGGCATGGAGGTTCACATCTATAATCCCAACACTTTGGGAGGCCAAAGTGGGCAGATCACCGACTCCAGGAGTTCGAGACCAGTGTGGGCAACATGGCAAAATCTGGTCTCTACCAAAAATACAAAAAATACAAAAAATTAGCCAAGCATGGTGGCATATACCTGTAGTCCCAGATACCCTGGAAGCTGAGGCAGGAGGATCACTTGAGCTCAGGAGGTGGAGGTTGCAGTGAGCCATGATCTCACCCCCACACTCCAGCCTGGGCGACAGAGTGAGACCCTGTCTCGAAAACTATATATATGTGTATATATATTCCACCTGTCCTCCCTTTCTCTCATTCTTCTCCACCCTAATTAGTAAAATGATTGTGAACAGGGTTCAGTCCGCACGGGAAGAAAACTCAAACCTGATATCATCAGTGTTTCCCTAGTTGCTTTTTGGTTTTGATTCATTCAGACTTAAATTCCAGGTGACCAACTCTCCTGTTTGCCCAGAACTAAGGGGTTTTCCAGAGCTTGAGACTTTCTCTTTTAAACCCAGAATAGTCCCCAGCAAACTGGAACCACTGCTCTCCCTAAGTCAGCTGGGCGAGGCTGGATCCTGGTGCTCCTGAGGCTCTTGACGACTTCTGTACCAAAGCTTATGTGAGTTCATCATTTCAAACGCAATAATCCCACATCACTGCTTCATCAAGTCAGGTTCTTGGTCACAAAAGGCCAAACTAGCAATCTTGTCAGCAGCCCCTTGGTCCCAGCTACCATTTTCAATTATAGCCCAAGGAATAAAGTAAACTCCTTCAAATCAGATTCCAACTTAAATCTACATCTAACCAGACCTGAATGAAACTCCTCAAAAGACAACAATTAAAACTCAGAAACAGACAAACCCTTAGGCTAAGGATTAAAGACAAGAGAAGTAAACATTCCGAGTTATTGCCTGGACTATAGGACCAAAAAGGGACTTTGGACATATTACAGCAGGTGGCTTAAGACTGGACCAGGAACCATCTCCTTTATGCTAAGTCCTTTGGGATTGTCTCCCGTTTTCAATTAAATGTGAAATTATTCCTGTAGATCCTATAGTTTTTGTGTTTTAAAAGTCAACCATTAGAACTCAATGACTGCCTGTGTGGGAGTAGAAAGTCCCTTTGACTGGAAAAAAAATATACGGTTGACCCTTGAATTGCAAGTTTCCACTTATATGTGGATTTTCTTCCACCCCTGCCACACCCGAGACAGCAAAACCAACCTCTCCTCTCTCTCCTCCTCCCCAGCCTACTCAACACAGAGAAAACTAGAATGAAAACCTTTATGACGATCCACTCCCACTTAATGAATAACAAATACATTTTCTCTTATGATTTGCTTAATAACATTTCCTTTTCTCTAGCTTACTTTATTGTAAGAATACAGTACAAAATACATAGAACATACAAAATACATGTTAATCAACGGTTTATCTTATGGATAAGGTTTCCCGTCAATAGTGGACTATGAGTCGTTAAGTTTTTGGGAAGGCAAAAGTTATACACAGAATTTGGAGTATGGAGGAGTATGCATACTGCCCTAACCTTCAAGTTGTTCAAGGGTTAATTGTACCTCAAAACATAAAATGGCTATGCTCTGAACATGGGGTATGACTCTTATTTTCAACCATTGGCTACCCTTGTTAAAACAGAACGGTATCATCTAGTGAGGTGGTCCTAGGAAGGAAATTACAGTTGCCCATGTTTCTCTTAGATATTTAAAGATGTCTCAGTACAAAGCTCTCAGGAAATCCTCAGAATTTTCTTCATCTCAAATTCTCTGACTTGGAAGAGAAGCTGTACGAGTAAAGAAGAGGGGAGAAAGCTATGAATCCCCCACACACTAGTAGGGTTTATTTCATGACGACGCCATCTTGTTTTTGGCTTCCGCCAGCTGGGTGGTGCTCCGGCACTGGAAACTCTAAAGCTTGCCACAGGAGCATGGGAAAATTCTGAACTTCCGAAGAGCACTATATGAGGATCATCTCAGCACGGAGAGAAAACAAAAGGAAGAGATGAGTCTTGGTGAGATCTGCGTGAACTTCATCGTGATTGCAAAAGGGTTGACTAGGGTAGAAAAAAAAGCTGAGTTGGAGAGAGGTTAGAGTTTGCAAGCAGCTTCCCTGCAACACTGCCTGCATTAGGAAGGCTCCATTCAGAAACATCTAATACCCATTATGGAAAAATAGACTTGCATTGTAGAATAAGGGGAAAAGGTCACTGCTTGGTGGTCTTAGCTTTTTATACTTTCCAATTCTTCTGCACCCTCAAAATGATAGCCACATTCAGGGCATGTGGAGTAAATGAATGCTCTTTACCCAGGCTGCCCCCCACAAAGGACGAGGGCATTTGCCCAGAGAGAGGCCTCTGCTGGGGCTGCTGCTCCTGGTGTAGGGGCTAATTAGGACACGCAAGGTCCCCAACACTTCTGTGGTGTGGGTTGGCCCGTGGATGGATTTTCCATTCGATCTTTATTTTTTTCCCCCTTCACATTTTCCACACGGCACTAAAATTACTCTTCAGAAAAGCATTTATCTTCCTGTTACTGCTTCACAGCCTGTCGCCGTTAGAGGATTTTCAGGAAGGACTAGCTGGTACCTGTAAAAATATCCACTGACTTTTATGAGTGGAACATCACCAAAAACTCCTATTTCCTTTCCTCCCCGTTCCCTCCCAACCCATCCTTTCCCTGCTACCCACTCAACTCATAAACTCAGTAAAAAGATTTCACCATTTCTCATCCTTTTTCTCACTTTTTTCTTCAATCTTTTTTTGTTGTTTTCGGAAAATTTATTTTGAGAAGAAGCTTCATTTCCAGTACCTGCAGCTGACTTCCAGAAACATATGAGAAAATGCACAATGAGATATCCGAGTGTGTCTCGTTTTATTAATATCAAAGTGTGATGTGTGTTTGCATTGCTCAACAGGGATTTTTGTTTGTTTTCATTTGTTTTAATCGTGTGTGTGTGTGTGCACGTTTGTGTGTGTGTGTAAGAACTATTTCCTCCAGGTTTTTTTTTTACTTTTTTATCATAAAAAAGCTAACTATTTTTATAATTCATGCTGGAAGATTTGGAAATACCAAAATAGGGAAGAAAAAAAAAACTTCCACCAAGCTAAAAGCCAGGAATGCTAATATTAATAATTTAGCATATTTTTCCATTCTATTTCCTGAAGTTATTGTTTTTATGCGATGGTTTAGATTTACGGGGAGGTTCATCAACTCAATTCAAGTGTTCCTTCCCTGAGAAGCCTTTCCTTGGCTTCCCCTCGTGTTCACCCCATCAAAATGAATTGTAAATATTCTCTGTGTACACATTTGTGTCACTTACTTGACTGACAGCTCCTGTTTGATGGAAGCTTTCTTTAGTTCATCTTAGTTACTCTAGGATCTAACACGTGGCAATAAATTCAACAATCAAAACAAATATTAATTTGCACAGTCTCTGCACTGGGGCAGTTACCAGAGACTGAGCATTAATCAGTGAAACAGACAGATATGAGGGCCAGCCACGGGTTGTGGAAAGAGGAGGAGCAGAGACATGGTGAGAGAAGGAGGGCTTATAGAAAGGCAGGGGCCAAACCAAGTAGGACCATATGAGCTGGGCAATGGGGAGCCACTGGAAGATTTATACAGGCATCACACTTTCCCTGGATGCTGCGTAGGAAGAAATTGAAGCCTTCCACAAGTGGAACCAGGTAAACCACTTAAGAAGCTTACGGTGAGCTGGGCACGGTGGCTGACACCTGTAATCTCAGCATTTTGGGTGGCCGAGGCAGGAAGATCACTTAAGGACAGTAGTTTGAGACCAGCCTGGGCAACATAGCAAGACCTTGTCTCTACAAAAAAAAAAAATTAAAGATTAACTGACCATAGTAGTTAACTGGCCTGTAGTCCTAGCTGCCTGGGAGGCTGAGGTGGGAGGATTGCTTGAGCCCAGGAGGTGGAGGCTACGGTGAGCTATGATTGTACCACTGCACTCCAGCCTGGACAACAGAGCAAAACCATGCCCCCACCCCCCACCCCCGCCCCCCACCCCCCCCAAAAAAAAGAAGAAGAAGAAGGAGAAGAAAAAACTGGTGGTGGCTTGGACTATAGTGAAAGAAGAGGTAATAGGTGGACGGATTCAAGATGTGTTGTTTTAGAGGTAGAATAGTCCAGAATTTCTGACAAATCGGCTATGAAGGTAAGTATAGGGAAAAGACACGTAGGCCATCCAGGTTTCTGAATGGAGCCACAGGTGGATGAAGGTGTGATTTATTGAGACAGGGAAGACAGGAGATAAATAGATTGAAGTGGCAGGAATTAAGAGTTCATTCTGGGACATACTAACTTTGGGATGCTTGTGAAATTGCTACATGGGAGTAGAGAGTGGGCAGTTGGATACACAAGTCTGAAGTTCAGAGGAACAGTGGTCTAAGCTGAGGCTATAAATTCAGGAATCACCAGCAAATAAATGCTATTTAAAGCCATGGGTCAAGTTGGGACCACCCACAGAGAGTGTGGCAAGAGCAGTGGAGGGCTCAGGAACACAGTCATACAGCTGTGTTAGGAGGGGAGGAAGAGCCAGCGAGGGAACTGGGAAAGACAAAGAAACCCAGGGGAGGTGGTGACTGCCCTTGAGCAAGGAGCAAGATGAAGGCAGAAAGCTGAGGCTGGGCACAGTGGCTCATGCCTGTAATCCCAGCACTTTGGAAGGCCAAGACGGGCAGATGACTTGAGGTCAGGGGTTCGAGACCAGCCTGGCCAAAATGGCAAACCCCAACTTTACTAAAAATACAAAAATTAGCAGGCATGGTGGTACACGCCTGTAATCCCAGCTACTTGGCAGGCTGAGGCAGGAGGATCATTGAACCCGGAAGGTGCAGCTTGCAGTGAGCCAAGATAGCACCACTGCACTCCAGCCTCAGCAACAGAGTGAAACTTTGTCTCAAAAAAAAAAAAAAAAAAGAAAGAAAGAAAGAAAAGAAGAAAGCTGAGCCCTGAGTGTGGCAAGGAGGAGGTCACTGCTCACCTGGAGCAGGAGTCACCATCAAGCAGCAGAAGTGGGAGCCCGACTGGCATGGAGAAGAGGTGAGGTGGTGAGATGGCATGCCCAGCTGACTCTTCCATGAATTTTAGGCATAAAAAGCAGACAAATGGAATGATAGCTGGACATCCTCTAAAGGATCAAGGAAAAACATTCAGAATGTTTGCATGCTGATGGGAATAATCCAGGAGAAAGGGGAAGCTTGATGAGGTTAGAGATAGAGGTGATAATAAAAGGAGGAAGTCCCTGAGATGGTGCAGGGATTGTGTGCAAGGCATGAGCATAGGAATTGGCCTTGGACAGGGGAGGGATGCATTACAATTGTACCTGGAGGGAAGAAAGGGGAACAGTGGAGGGAGATGATTATAGATTTAGTAGGAGATGGGCCGGGCACGGTGGCTCACACCTGTAATCCCATCACTTTGGGAGGCCGAGGTAGGTGAATCACTTGAGATCAGGAGTTCGAGACCAGCCTGGCCAAAACAGCGAAACCCTGTCCCTACTAAAAATAGAAAAATTAGATGGGTGTGGTGGCGGGCGTCTGTAGTCCCAGCTACTTGGGAGGCTGAGGCACGAGAATTGAGAATCACTTGAACCTGACAGGTGGAGGTTGCAGTCAGCCGAGATCGTGCCACTGTACTCCAGCCTAGGTGACAGAGCAAGACTCCATCTCAAAGAGAAAAAAAAGACACATGGTTGATGTCTAGTGGGGGTATGTGATAATTCTTTTCCATATCCTCTTCCCCCTTCTTGTCCAAGCTTCAAGTCAGCAGTTTTGATGAGAAGATTTAGTGGGAGTCTGACAGAGTTCTTCTTCAAAGAAGTGTGATGTGAGGCCACCAAGTGAGATCAAGGAGGGAAGGTGGGTGAGCATGCCCACTGAGCACACAGGAGCAACCTAGTCCAGCCTAGGGGAGGCTGGAAAACTGAGTTCCGTAGAGAAGGAGGAGGAATGGGGAAATACTGGAAGATGCTAAGCAGGGAAGTGACAGGATCTGACTAGAGGCAGAGAAGATGCGGGGTGGGCATGGACAGTAGGTTGCTGGGGGAAAGAGACTGGAACAAAAGAGACCAAGTGGGAGGCTGAGAGTTTAATGGACATGGGAGGTGAGGCAGGCCTGGAATAAAGGTGTGGTGATGGAGAGAAGTGGGCAGATTTAAGAAATACTTAGAAGAAGGGGCCAAAAAGATGAACTTGAATCAAAAACACATTTATTTATAATTTTCTTAAACAAACATGACTTCATTTTGAACTGCTGGGTAGCTATGTTATCAAATATATTAACCTGAGGGTCCTTTGGTAAGTCTGATGGTACTCCCAGGCACTGGTTTGTAAATGCCCTGGTTGAGACGTCTCTCTGTTTCCCCCAGCTTCTCAGCACAGTCTAGGCACACAACCTTGGGTAAGTGATTTTTTTTTCCAGCCAAGTGAAGCTACCCAGGGGTAGGACTGCAGCTTGCTCTGGCCTTCCTCTGCAGCAGGGAGCTGGCCAGTAGCACTCACAGTGCCTGGTGACCGTGCAACTGGGTCACACATCATAGTAAAACCTCAGTGATACCTTGCACTAGTGTGTAAGGCTATGTGTCACAACATGCTGTCATCTGTATCATTTGATCCTTTCCAACCCTGAGAGGTGAGCAGAACAGAATTAATCATCTCAGTGTTACAGATCACAACACTGGTAGCCCAGAGAGGCTAAGTGAATCCCCTAAGGTCCCAAAGCCAAGAAAAAAGGAAAGGGTCAAAACATCTTGCCCCATATATCACAAGGAGCAAGTTTCTTCCTTTATTATTTTTATGTTTTTGAGAGAAGGTCTTGCTCTGCTGCCCAGCTTAGAGTGCAGTGGCACAAACACTGCTCACTGCAGCCTCAACCTCCTGGGCTCAAACCATCCTCCTGCCTCAGCCTCCCATGTAGCTGGGACTACAGGCATGCGCCATCGTATCTGGCTAATTGTTTTATTTTTTGTAAAGACAGGGGTCTCATTTTTCTCATTTTGTTGCGCAGACTGGTCTCGAATTCCTGGACTCAAGTGATCCTCCCGCCTCAGCCTCCCAAAGTGCTGGAATTACAGGCATAAACCACTGCACCAGGCCATTCTTCATTCTAGAGCCATACCCTTTAATGTCTTCCTTTAGGGTGACAAGAAGTGACTGTGTGGACTCTCAGAACATGTGTTCCTAATTAAGAACTCTTGAACTCTACCACTGGAAAGGCCTCAAAACATCAGTGCAGTGGCTTCTGGTTGCACCCACATCATCAGAAAGCATTTATTCAGGATCTTCTTAGGCCCTTTCGCTATCGTCCAACAGAAAGAATTAATTTTCAAGGGATAAATTGATTATTTTCCCCAACTTGCCCAACCTAGTGGGCAAGTCAGGGAATGATTCTGTAATTTGCATCTATGGCCTACAATTCCAGCATCATTTAAGCAAATAGGTCACCCAAGAAGAAATCACAAGCCCTGCCTCCCGCCTTCCCTCTAAGGTTTGGCTCATGGGCTCACTCAACTCCAGGCCTCAAAAGATCTTTTCTTTCACCTTGATTCTCTTCTGCTTGTATTAGAAAGTAATAGTTTTGGGCCTCTCTTTCTCCTCCTATTTTCTTGTTTCTTCTTCCCACTTCTCAATCTAGTGTTGGTGAGGAAAATTTAGAAGGATTCAGAATTGAGAAGATAGCGATTCAAAGAGGTGAGTGGGCCAGGTGCGGTGGCTGACACCTGTCATCTCAGCACACTTTGGGAGGCTGAGTTGGAAGGATCATTTGAGGCCAAGAGTTGCAGACCTGCCTGGCCAACGTAGTGAAACCTCATCTCTAGCAAAAATTTAAAAATTAGCCTGGCATGGTAGTGCGTGTCTGTGGTCCCAGCTAGTCAGGAGGCTGAGGTGGGAGGATCACCTGAGCCTAGGAGTTCAAGGCTGCAGTGAGCTATGATTGCACCACTGCACTCCAGCTCAGGTGATAGAGCAAGACCCTGTCTTAAAAAAAGAGATGAAGAAGCAAAGGAGGGCCATAAGCTGGAGGAGGGTCTAGAATAAGGGGCCAGAGTAAGACAAGGAGCACAGAGAGGGGGCAAGCATGAAACACACTCAGCATTTACAGCCCATGAGAAAAGAATGCCACACAGGGGTTTTTTAAATTAAAAGTATCCTAAAATATATTAGAGAAAATTGTTTTTTTAAAAAAAAGTTATTTTTTTAAGGGGAATGGCTTACGAAGACCAAAATCACCACCATAGCAGTTCAAGGATAGAGAATTTATTCTAGAGAATCACAGAGGTGCAATGCCAGGTAGAAGGATAAGGAGGAAGGAGACGGGGAACCCAAGCCCAGGACCACATGTTGGAGAGCACACGGCAAGCCAGCCTGGAGGGCCAGGGCGGAAGGGAGGCCAGGGCCCATGACCAAGACCAGAGCAGAGCAACCCAGAACGGGGTGAGGCAGAGACAAGACCAGGAACTGGTGAAGCGTGTGGGAGTGGAGCGGGGGCCCTGAAAACCACTTCAGTCTTACAGGTACAGGATCCTGGCACCAACCTTCACTGACTTTGCCCCATTGCCTAAACTGGGTTAAATGCCACCCTGTTACATATGCATGCAGCAATGAGTGCTTTGTATAATTTCTACCAAAAAATTTATTTTAAGCCATAAACCATGGAAAAAGACACTACACACACACATACACACCCACACACCATTGCTTACCAAACATTGAGAAAAAATAAAAGTAATGTCCTTAATATTCCATTTAACTTTCCAGCCCTTCCATTTATTCTCAGTTTATGTTCTGTCTGCATATTTGGAGTTTAAATGTCCCTTTTCTTTCTGAAGTGGTAGTGATAGTTTGTTTTCCCACCTGCTCATCTCTCATTGAACTTCTCATCGTTCAAGTCACTTTAGATGTATCTCTGTTCACTCTATTTAAGTACATTTCCCCCACACCTATCCCATTGTTTTGTTATTGCACCCTGTGGGTTTGCTTTATCAGACTCAAGGAAACTTTCCGATGGCCATGGTTGCTCACGCCTGCGATTCCAATATTTTGGGAGGCAGAAGCAGGAGGACTGCTTGAGACCATGAATTTGAGACCAGCCTGGGCAACATAGCGAGATCCCTCTTCCTAAAACTTTTTTTATATTAGCTGGGTGTGGCAGTACATGCCTATAGTCCCAACTACTGGGGAAGTTGAGGTAGGAAAATCACTTGAGCCCAGGAGTTTGAGGCTGCAGTGAGCTTTGATCACCCCACTGCACTCCAGCCTGGGTGCAGAGCAAGACCCCATCTCAAAAAGGTGAGAGAGAAATTGTTCAGCTTCACAGAACACAAGACTGTTGCTCAAAGTGACATAAAGCATCAGGAATGTGTACTAGATCATAGAGCACACTGTCCCCTTTCAGGGCACCTCCAAAATTGATTCATTCAAAGGCACAGTGGCCTCAAGGACACACTCCCCTTCCATTTTTTGACTCTGCTAGCCACAACATGTTGGTCTCTCTCATCTGGATCCCTTCATTGTTCAAAATGGCTGCCTCCAAGGTCCCAGGGTCACCTGCTGACACAATGACCTCCAGTACAAGAGAGACTGTGTCTTCCTCCTCTGTGAGTCTTTTCAAGAACCATTCCTCGAAGCCCCCTATATCAGTCAAGGTTTGAGCAGGGAAGAGCTTGCACTCTTAGAGAATTTAATAGAAGTGAATTTAATGGAGGGGCTGTTTAAAGACTGCAAGCGAGCAAAGTTAAGAGAACCAAGGAGAAAAGGTGAAGTGCCAAGGATTATAGCAGGAAGTCCACCCTGCTTCTGGTCCTGAAGGAGAAAGGAGAAAGGAAGTTTCCACCCTTCATAAAGAGAGCTGTAGCTGAGGAAGAAAGCTTGCCCGACACGGGAGCTGTGCCTTAGAGGAATGTGGCTACTGTCTGGATCGCAGCCAGAAGGAAGGGAGTCTGAGGTCGAATTATGAATACTCTGCCCTCCTAGCAATGCCTCCATTAGCCAAATCCAGTGGAATGCCAGAGGACAAGGAAGACTTCACAGTGCAATCTTTAGAGGTCAACCTCCTGGGGCACAGAGAAAAGCAGAAAAAGACAGATGAGTTCTGGATGGAGCGGGACAAATGGAAACAGACCAGCATAAACCCCTAACAGATCTTCCCATGTACATAGTAGTCCAGAAAAGGATCTCATGCCTCCCCTTAAGCCAATCACTGTCAAGGATATTGACTTAGAGGCTTCGACTTGTCAAGATTTAACTTTAACTCATATGGGAAAGGGATAAACTCCCACATGAAATTAAAGTTTTGCCAAAAAGGGAGGAGAGAGGAATATCTGCTACAGTAAATATTTCTGGGAAAAAAAAATCTGTTTGACAATCTCTTTTAAAAAACTATTTTTACCTGAGAAAATAAAAATATTAAAAACTTTAAGCAAGGCTTCAAAAATATCTTTTGGAAATTTACTAGTCAATGAAATCTAAAAAGCTTTGGAATAGCTTCTACACACGTATAAAAACAAAAGACTATTTAGTCTCATTAGGATTTAGGGGTAGATGGTGGGCAGGCAGATCGCCAGTTAAAACAATTCTCTGGGGGACACTCTCCAGTGCTCTGTCTACTAGAGTTTTAAGTGGCTCACAGAGGTGATCCTGGGGAAGACCAACACATTTCCTCTCCTGTTCTGAAGCAGATCACAACGCACATATCACATTTAATCCTTACCCAATGCAACAATTATTACAAGAGACACAAAGGCAAAGGTAAACCGTTTATTACTTAGACTAAAAGTCACTCCCATTGTGACCTCTTTATTGAAAGAAGAACAAGCTAGGAAATGAAATGTGTGAATTGCAGACATACATCCCTGAACTGTCTCATGATAAGGAGTTGATCATTTTGTTTAATTGCAGTTGGCAAAACATTTAAAACGTTTGTCTTCTGTTCCTGAAATGCAGATGTTAGAACTATGAGGAATATACTGTGATCTCGATTTCCTTTATCTCTGTTAAACTTCCAGTTGCCTTCCAGACAATTCTGGTGTGAAGAACTAAAGTATTAAATGAAACAAAAGCTAAGAATTAAAATCAAGAAATAAACATTTATCAAATGTCAACAGTACCAAGACCTAGAAACAAAAAGGCAACAAAGATGTCAGATGTCTGGCTCAATGGATGATAAGCAAACAGGTACACATAAATAGCTTGATGTCAATTACATTTTGAGAGATTTCCTTCTGTGTGTTCTCATAGGTATGTTCTAACTCAAGGGGAAACCAGCTAATACCAGGAAAAGTATTAGCACGTCTTTGGCTCAGCATTTTTGTTACTTATAGCATAGTTATTTGTTAACTCCAGTAAAATCCTTAGCTCTGACAGCAAACAACTATATAAAAATCACAGGTGGGGCGCGGTGGCTCACACCTATAATCCCAGCACTTTGGGAGGCCAAGGTAGACGGATCACGAGGTCAAGAGATCAAGACCATCCGGGCTAACAGTGAAACCCCGTCTCTACTAAAAATACAAAAAATTAGCCAGGTGTGGTGTCGTGCACCTGTAGTCCCAGCTACTCAGGAAGCTGACGCAGGAGAATCGTTTGAACCCGGGAAGCGGAGGTTGCAGTGAACCAAGATCGCACCACTGCACTCCAGCCTGGAGGACAGAAAGAGACTCCATCCCAAAAAATAATAATAATAATAAAACAATTACAAAGTAGCCAAATTAGTCCCTCAATCCTCAAATTTCAGATGGTGATTTTGAATATTCTCCTTTATTCTTTTTTTTTTTTGAGACGAGGTTTCACTGTCACCCAGGCTGGGGTGCAGCGATGCAATCAGGGCTCACTGAAGCCTCCACCTCCTGGGCTCAGGTGATCCTCCCACTTCAGCCTCCTGAGTAGCTGGGACCACAGGCATGCACCACCATGCCAGGCTAATTTTCAGTATTTTTTGTAGAGACAGGGTTTCGCCATGTTGCCCAGGCTGGTCTCAAACTCCTGGGCTCAAGGGATCCTCCCACCTCAGCCTCCCAAAATGCCAAGATTACAGGCATGTTCGGCCTCTCCTTCAGTCTCACACATTTGTGATTGTAATGAAGGCGGAGTAGTTTGACCACAGTTCTATAAGAGAGAAGAAATTGGCAAATATGCCCGTTTGTATCTTTCAAGCACAGGCATTCTGCCAGTCACCATTTATCTTTACATTTGTACAAACAAGCTCATGGCTAAGGAAGCATTAAGATAATGACGAAGAAGAAGAAATCATTTGGAGGCAGTTAGAATAGACCTTTAGAAGGAAATGGTTAAGAAGGAATCTCAAGATTGAAGGAGATATTGATAAAATGAGAATGACTGGAAAACGGTCTAGTCAGCATCCGAAGAAGAAAAATGGGCCGCGTGTATTGAAGGTGTTGGCTTTGATGGAATTTAAGTTCTGAGAAGACTGGTTATTAAAGGGAGGAGATTTGTGGATAAAGATGCAACAAATCTCAAAGTCCATGGGCTTCGAGCTTTAAAAGAGAAAAAAGGAAAAGACTGGATGATGGAAAACCAAATAAAGAATCTTAGGTAAAAGATTATGTTCTTTGTATAAAAGCTATTTTGAGGAACTGGTTTTATTTACTAAGTGCCTGGATGAAGAAACGGAAAGACCTTCCCACTCCCACCCTTGTCTCAGCCATTGTGAGAAGCCGTGTGACCTCTTCCTAAGTCCAAGGAATTGAGCTGTTGTCAAGGATCTCAAATATTTTTTTTTAAGTGGCAGCCAAGATGTTGTTGTTGTCTAAACCTAGTAAACATATATGATTGCGGTGCCACAAATAGCACTAGGTAATAAGAAAGGCAAGAGAGTGTTGAAACAGAAGGCGAAGAATGTATCCACCACTGTCCTTAATTTTGGGTGACTATCAAATATTCAAGAGGAAGTGGCTCAGCCATAGAAGGTGCTTAATCTAAATGTGAGACCAGTTTGGTTTTGTTGCCCAGAATGTAGTTGCTTCCGAAATACAAAAAGCAAATTCCATAACAAGCAAGAAACGTCTGTGTGCAATTCACAGAACCCCAGCCTAACTCTGGTTGAAGGAGGTAGGGTAGATGCTTACATTTAAAACAAAAATTTTGCATCTGTAATTAACTTAGATTTATCTTCAATGTAGTTTTCCTACTTAACTTCCAGAATATTTTAACTGTAAGAGCCCCTGCATTAAAATACTGTAATGAGAAAATCTGGTACTACTTTGTGAATCAACTTTTTAAATGTGCATAAACATTTCCATGTGTTAGCAAGCCTCTGCAAAGCCATTGACCGCACCCGACTGCCTTATCTGTGGCTAAACAGACTACAACCCAGCAGACCAGAGCATCATGTCAGTTGCATCCTAAGGAAAGCAGACAATGAGGTTGATTTAGAAGTGCAAGAGATTTGGGGTGGGGGGTAATATTTGTAAAAAGCGTAAGAGGAAATATCAAGATTGCCCAAGCATGGAAAGCCTTCAGATCACGATGCAGATTTGACACTTACAAAAGGAAAAAGGGTAGAAAACAAGATAGACAAGAGAGAGCCTCAGATTTTGGTGGGTCAGACACGGATTTGACCAACATGATGGGAAGCTCTGGAGCAAAGAGGATTCCTGTGTTGGACAGACACGGCCTTGGTACCACCATGGTGCCGGTATTGGCTGGGAGCTGCCCAGAAAAAGTGTGGTCTTGGTTGAAAAGCTGAAGCAGATCCTCCAGGTGCTGCAGCTGGAAGCTGTCGGCTGGCTACACTCCTTGAAGCTGCCAGGTAAGTCCTTTCTCCAGTGAAGATCTGAATCATTGCACACCTCAATGCCTACCTCCATCCATCCCTGCAGGGCATCCAGTAATCTTCAAAACATCTGGGAGTTTTTCCCCAGAGTAGAGTCACTTGAATAAATGTCTTTTGGGGAAGGACAAAAGGAATTATACCCATAGACTTGGTGTGGTGTTGCTGGGTCCTTCATCCTGGGAACATGGCCACCCTTTCTATTGGGGGATTCCAGGTCTGAAAACTGCCTCAGGTTCCAGGTACTAGACAAGGAATTGCAAATGTTTGATAGAGCAAACACCCTCAGCCTCCTGGGCATCCTTGTTGGATTTTTTTTTTTTTTAATACAAGGTCTCACTCTGTTTCCCAGGCTGGAGTGAAGTGGCACAACTTCAGCTCACTGCAACCTCTACCTTCTGGGTTCAAGTGATTCTCCTGCCTCAGCCTCCAAGTAGCTGGGACCACAGGTGCACACCATCGCATCCAGCTGATTTTTGTATTTTTAGTAGAGACAGGGTTTCACCATGTTGGCCAGGCTAGTCTTGAATTCCTGACCTCAAGTGATCCACCCACCTCGGCCTCCCAAAGTGCTGGGATTACAGGTGGGAGCCACTGCGCCTGGCCTGTGTTGGCTATCTTTTGATTAGATGTATTGAGAAGTATCCTCACAAGATTCCCATCTGTTTCACCCCATCATCACTACTCTCTGTGGATTCAACTCCACAACAGCCTTTCACACCACCAGTTGTGGTCTGCAGAGGAAAGCCTTCAGCTAATTTCCCAATGGCTTGGTGAATGCTGTGTTCTCCAGACCTCCCTGGGCATAATAATCCTCTGATGGGTCTTCTGATCGCCATAATATACCAGCATGTTCACTTCCCTGAGCCTTTAAAAATCTGTTTCAGCTCCGCTCAGCATGGACCTATCTCCAGGCTTGTTGAACCACCCAAGCAGCAAGTCTGCACCATCCTCTAGGGTCTTTGCCAAGCATTAAGTCCCATATCCTGAGAAAATGCCCTCACATTCCTGTATTCTCCTTTATCCTGCCTCCTTGATCAAGCGCCTTCAAAATCCAGTTCCTTCCTTCTAGTACATGGGGGTGAATTTTTCACAGTTTGAGGGAGGTACAGTCTCTTTCTAGCTCATCAGTGTTGCCATAATATTCTTGGCTTGGTGATGTTGCGACTTACCTCTAGTGATTGGTCTGGCAACCAGGCAAGAAGTTGAGGATCCTGAGAAGCCCTCCTTGGCCCGTGGGGACAGAACTCTGTGGTGTTGGCCCATATGGGTAGTTTCAGATCATAACAGGGAAGGATGAGCCACCTCTGCAGGCTCTGAGGGCTTAGAAGAGTTTGAGAGCTCAAAATATTTGGAGGCATCCACCCAAATGTCCCCATCCCGTGCACAAGAGCTCCATGTTTTCCCAACCAGTGCTCTGATCTTTGTGTAATGATAATCATCTTTGAAGCTAGGCAAGCCTATTAAATCCATAGTTTGGTCTTCTGCTTTTTCTACACTGAATGGAGTGAATATGGGCCCCATTCCTGGAGGCCCTCAGGCCTTCACAAGTGGCTTTCAATTGCTCCCTAACTGCCTACAGCTTTTCATTATCCTAATGTAGAGCCTCAATTCAATTGAGCAACAAGCAGCCAATTCCATTGTCCTTGGATACCTTGCTTCTCTCTGACCTCTCAAATGCCTGAATCCTCTCTCCATCCGGGGCTTTCCCGTCCACCAGAACATTCTTCCAAGTCACTGACATTGAACGTTTTAGGCAGGGCTCAGTGGCCCGTGCCTGTAATCCCAACACTTTGGGAGGACAAGGCAAGAGGATCACTAAAGGCCAGGAGTTCAAGACCAGCCTGAGCCTTGCTCTGTTGCCCAGGCTGGAGTGCAGTGGCATGATCATAGCTCACTGCAGCCTCGAGCTCCTGCGCTCAAGCAATCCTCCCGCCTCAACCTCCTGAGTAGTTGGGACTCCAGGCATGAGCCACCATGCCTGGCCGCAACATTCAGATGGATTTTTAAACTACCTGAGCTAAGTTAATTTCCTCATAGATTGGATGTGGATGTGAGAGCAAAAGAAGAGTCAAGGATGACCCAAGGGTTTGCTTTGAGCACATTCCTCAGTGCTTCCAGGGCATATGGCCTCTGAATGGTGCCCATGGGCTTATAAATCCATCTCCTCCCAAGAGATAACACATTTATTTTGTCCCTGGACCTTATGAAAGTTGTCAGAATCAAAATAGAATCACTAGTGTTTTTTAAGGAAAACAACAAACAAACAAAAAACCTGAACTGGATGCAGTGGTTCATGGCTGTAGTCGCAACTCAGGAAGCTGAGGCAGGAGGACTATTTGAGCTCAGGAGGTTGAGGCTGCAGTGAGCTATGATCACACCATTGCACTCCAGCCTGGGCGACAGAAAGAGGCCCATCTCTAAAAAACAAACATAAAAAGACTTCACTCTCATCACTCTTGAGATTAAGGATTTACCTAAGTAGTAAAATATGTCAGATCAGATTCTGGCCTCAGGAACTCTGAATCTGGGATGTGAAAAGGTTTCTGGAGAGGCATTCTGTTTCTCATATCATTAACCACAGGAAGATATTATTTGGTATACAAGAGGACATTGCTTAAAGAGGTGAGAAACAGAAACTATCTCTCCCTTATATTTCTCCAAATACCTTGTAAAGTTGTGAGTTAAAGAAAAAAGAATGATGTTCACTCAAAGGGGAGATGCAAAAATAAAAAGGTAAAACCTTTTCCCTTACCCTAAGGAGATAATGTGTGCATTTTAAAAAAGTTCTAATATTGTTTCTGCAAGTCAATATATAAGCATTATTGAAAAGTCCAATCTTGCCTGTGTTTTACAGCTCTCAGCTCCTTTCAGGAAGCAACTAAATCAGAAAACAGTGTTCTCTCTTCCTTGGAGCTGGCACAGGTTTTGATAACATCGATTGAATGCCAAGCGTAAGTACAGATTGGAAGTTAGAAGTATTGCTATTGACCGTTTTCTAATATGTCCTTCAGCTCAGTAATTAATCGATTTGTGACAAAATGAATAAGAAGCTGAGGTCTTCTAAGAGCTTACCATGTGGCAGACGCGAGCTCAGTGCTGTACATTCGCATTCATGCTCTTCATCCCTGTCTCTCAAGCCACTCGTCACACCCACACTCTCCGGGCCAGGAGGCTTGCACAACCTGCACTGGGAAACTTTCTCCCACCTGTTCTTGACTCCTGAAACCCCTCCACGGTGCCATCAGCCTGATCCACTAATAGCAAAACGCCTCACATCCCAAACTAACTTCCAAATAGTCCCTCCTTGTTCTGACAAAAACTGACTCTTCCCTGAGGACGATGCTCACATCTTCTCTCATGCGCTGGCTGTTTTTCTTTTTCTTTTTTTGAGATGGAGTCTCCCTCTGTAGCCAGGCTGGAGTGCAGTGGTGCGGTCTCAGCTCACTGCAACCTCCACCTCCCGGGTTCAAGTGGTTCTCCTACCTCAGCCTCCCAAGTAGCTGGGATTACAGGCACACACCACCACACCCAGCTAATTTTTGTATTTTTAGTGGAGACGGGGTTTCACCATGTTGACCAGGATGGTCTCAATCTCTTGACCTCGTGATCTGCCCGTCTCAGCCCCCCAAAGTGCTGGGATTACAGGCGTGAGCCACTGCGCCCAGCCACTGGCTGTTTTTCATTCCAGGCCCTCCTGCCACCTCCTGCAGACCTGGAGGTGATGGAGGGACCCTGCTGGTCCTCTTTTCCCCTTCCAGAACCTTCTCCTTCCCTTCTACTGCAAATCTCGTACCATCATCATCTATCACCCCTGAAACTGTCCCTAGAAACTTTATACAATTAATCAGAAGAGAAGGGAGGGAGAGAAACAAAAATAAGCCAAGCTTGCACATACTCAGTGTTAGTCATGGGGTCAGCTGTTCTCTGATCCTTCCTCATAGTGTTTTGCTACCTATTGCTCCAGAATCACACAGACCCTGTCACAAGATTAGAGTCCCCCTTCACTGCTCCACAGATAACAACTGAACATTGTGAAATGTTGCTTTCCATTTGAGATATTCTTGTAGGTCATGCATACTGATGAAACTACTGACGCCAGCTGGTCTGAAGGACCCCACGAGAAGCTGACTCACTGAAGAATGCAGTTTCTACATCCTGATGATTTCATCCCCCTTTCCCCAACCAATCAATGACTATAGTTTTTCAGCCCCTCACCCCCCATAATCCCCTTGAAAACCTCAGCCTAGAACTCTTCGGGGAGATGGATTTGAGGGTCTTCTCCCATCTGCTCACTCGGCCTCCCTGCTGTCATCAAACCCTCTCTCTGCTGCAAAGCCTGCTGTCTTGGTGTATTGGTCTGTTTCTGCACAACAGGCATACAAACATGTTGGTCCTGTAATACCCCTGCCCAACATTGTTCACCACCTTTTTCAACAACATCAGTTCTCAGCCCATTGGCATCCTCCCCAATACTTCTCCTCTCTTTTCTGAGCATGTTCAATGCATAGATAATAATCTTTCCAAAACTCCACCATCATAGGTCATTAAACTTCTCTCCTCCTTCAGGCATCTTGACCTCTACCCTCCTAGAAACAGTCACTCACTTTGATGGCAATACATGGATCTTGTCATGCACATTCATTGCAGTCCTTAGCCCCTTTTAACTTCTAATTACTCTGGGGCTCAGTCGTTGCTGTTGTTTTCATCTCTGTCTCTACTTACTCCGTTGGAGATCTCATGTGGTTCCATGGCTTTAAATACTACCCACACACTGATAACTCCCAAATGAATATCTCCAGTCCAGTCCTCTGTCCTGAACTCCAAACCTGCATATCCAATAGCGTACTCATCATTTTCACTTGAATATCTAAAATACTTCTCTAACTCACACGTCCACTACTAAACTGATTTTCCCTACCTATCCCACTGTACCCACAACCTTCCCCATGTTAGTTAGTTGATGACAATTTCGTCCTTGTGGCCTAAAACAGAACACTTCTTGGATTCATCCTTGACTCCTCTCTTTCTCCCCTATCCTACATCCAATTCATCAAGAATATCCCTTGTCTCTTTCTTCAAAACACATCCAGATTCTGACAACTTCTCACTGCCTTTGCTGCTCTTATTCTGATCCCAATACCATCTGGAGGACTGCTCTAGCCTCCTGGAGGCTGCCTTTACTGCTCTTGTTCTGATCCCAATACCATCTGGAGGACTGCTCTGGCCTCCTGAAAGGCCCCCCTGCTCCTATACCTTGCCCCTTATCATCTATTCCATGTGATTCAGGCTTCTGTGACCTCTCTAGTCTCAGCTCCTACCATCCCAGCTCCAGCACAGCAATTCCCTTCTGCTCCTCAGTCAACCTCCAGGCTCCTTCCTTTCCTCAGCCTGAACATCATGCCGTCAAAGATCCACACGGCTCACTTCCTCTCCCTGTCTAAGACTTTATTCAAATCTCATGATCTCATATTGTCATAAGCCAGTTCTCATCATCCTATTTAAACTCACAACTTTAGCTCCTTCCTCAAACACACTATTCCTTTATCCTGCCCTACACTCTTCCTTTTCTTTGTTATTTCTTTCATTTTGGACAGCATGGCATTTATTATCTTCTGACAGTCTATATAATTTACTTTATTATTATGTTTATTATTGATTATGTTTATATTGAATTCCTTTCATCCTCTTCTTGGTAGAGATAGAGTCATTGAGCACGATAATACAGAAGCTGTTGTGTTGCAGATTACCATGGCAATAACGACAACAAAAAAAAGTGCAGTCTTTTTTTTTTAGGCTCCAATTTGAAGACTGCAAGAATCTATCGATAGAGACAAGAACAGGTCTCAACCACAAGAAGCTGCAGCAATATGAAGGAAGGATAGATGGGCAAGGAGAAAAAGGGCAGAAATGGAAGAGAGAAGGGGCTTTTGAATGTCAGTTCAAAGTGGGTTATGTTCAGAATAAAATATGACCTAATCAGAATGGAGAAGAAGCATCTGGACTCTCTGAACCCCAGCCACTGAGGAATAGGGGCCTCTTTCTGTTAATGCACCCTTTCCAATGTGATAAGGCATCAAAACAGGGTGACCGTCTTTTAAAATTACTAATAAGGAAGAAAGTCTACTAGTATGAAGCAATCATTTTTAATCCATTTTTTGATTCAACAGAATTTTTCAAGAGCCTACTGTGTGTAAAGTATTGTGGTTATACTATGGAAGATTTTAAATGGAATGAGAAATTATGTCATCCTGAAGATGCTAGAATATAGTAGAGGGAGGCCAGGCACAGTGGCTCAGGCCTGTAAACCCAGCACTTTGGAAGGCTGAGGAGGGCAGATCACTTGAGGTCAGGAGTTCGAGACCAGCCTCGCCAACACGGTGAAACCCCGTCTCTACTAAAAATACAAAAATTAGCCAGGTGTGGTGGCGGGTACCTGTAATCCCAGCTACTCAGGAGGCTGAAGCAGGAGAATTGTTTGAATCCAGGAGGTGGAGGTTGCAGTGAACTGAGATCTCACCACTGCACTCCAGCCTAGGCAACAGAGAGAGACTCTTGTCTAAAAAAAAAAAATATATATATATATATACACACACATATATATATACACATATATATACATATATATACACACATATATATACACACACATATATATATACACATATATATATACACATATATATACACATATATATACACACATATATATATATAGTAGGGGAAGAGGGCAAATAAACAGATTACTATAAATATAAAGTAGAAATTTTCATTATTGAGGCACAGCAAATGTATTAAGAACAAAGGAAGGGATTATATATTCTGCATGAGGCTAAATCAGCAAGCACCCTGGCTACCAAACTGCAAATAAAGAAGGGACGCTTTCTTTCCTAGCAGCAGTTTATGCTGATTTGAATCAAAAACGCTTTCTCTAGCACGCTAGAGAAACAAAACCCACAAAGTGATAGGCACAAGATAGAGACTTCAGGGTCCTGTGCTGGAGATCTGATGAGTAAACCAAAGCCATGACTCAATAATAGGAATTTGTCTATGGTTTGTTTCAGTATGAAGATCTCTAAGGAAATCCCTTCTGTTGCTTGGCATGGAAACATTGTGAACAACTAGGGACAAATCCCTAGGGAAAAAGGGACTCTGGGGATTACAACAGGGGTTCTTGAGTTCAGCCATGCCTCCAAAAATAGAAAGTACCCCACTGTTGCCCACTGTGGAGAATGTGAATTTGCTTTATTGACAGAGCTTCAGACCTAGAATGAATGATTTTATCTTCTACAATATGGCACAGAGTGTTGTCATTAACAATTGATATGGAGGGCACAACATTTATTAAATTTTTTTAAACTTTTCTTTCCAAATACTGAAGCCAACCGTTAACAACAAACTATTTATTTATAGACAGGATCTCACTTTGCCACCCAGGCTGGCATGCAGTGGCACAATCACAGCTCACAGCAGACTCAACCTCCCTGACTCAAGCAATCCTCCCGCCTTAGCCTCCTGAGTATCTGGAATCACAGGCACACACTACCTTGCATGGCTAATTGATTTATTTATTGTAGAGACAAGTTCTATGTTGCCTAGGCTGGTCTCATAGTCTTGGGTTAAAGCAATCCTCTCACCTAGGCCTCCCAAAGTGCAGATTACAGGCATGAGCCACTGCGCCTGGCCCATAACAATCTATTTATATGATTTCTGGAGTAGTTAGTGACTGGCCTTTCTTTTAATGTGGATCAGATTTCTCTCAACCTCTAAAATAGAAATGATTCATCCTGGAAAGATGGGTATTATGCTACCGAGCCAAAATGCTTTTTTTTTTTTTAGAATGGGAAAAAAATCAGTGTGATTTCTAAGGTTTTACCTAATATCATCCCTAGAAAACAGCTTGCTGAATGTCTTATATAGCTTTGTCTTATAATTAGATTCACATACACAGTGAAAATTTAGCATATACAATTTATTTGAAACCAGATATTTCTGTTTCATGCTGCCCCATACTTTGCCTGATGGACAAACAAAACGAATGCTTATTTTAGAATATTTAAGTTTAACAAACACAAAGCACAGTTAGTTTTCACACAACAGTGCCTCCTTGTAGCAACAACCCTACAAGGCACTTGAGTTGAGCCAGCGGGAGGACCTCCACCCCACATCTTTCAGGATAAAGTGGTAAATGGGAGGTGGTACTAAAGTCCTATAATTCCTCTTAAGCTTTTAAGAAATTCCCTCCATTAATATCAGTAGCTAGTTTTCCTTAAGGCTTTGGTCTGAAGGAATGTATTACTGGCAATCTTGACAAAAGATGTTTTAGTTTATGTGCAGTCGTCTCAAGATTGTACAGATATTTGCTTTGACTAACCTCAGAAATTCAAGCAAAGCCATGTTACAGTAGGCATATAAACAAGCAGGTCACAGGGTTAATGTTTGATGCTAACACTGACTTTTTTCTACCACTCAAAAGCACGCAGGAGCAGTAAGATGTGCTACCCAGAAGCAACAAAAGATAAACACTTAACTATCCGCAGTCAACCAGCTTGGAGCTTTCAGGCGATGAAAAGTTATTTAATTATTAAGGCAAAAAGCACACAGGCGTACGACTGAGGACACCAGAGAAGTTGATGCTTTCCAAATTTTGAATAAAAGATTGTAACTTTAAAACTGATTTTATGGAATAAAAATAATCTCAATGGATCTGTAAGAATGTATTTAAAAATTGATCTGAAAATGATATTTCTTAATCCATTAATCATTAGCAAAAAAAGAACTCCTCCATGCATGCATCATACATGATATGGAAAACGTATTGAATATTGATTTTGGCAGGGTGGGAACACATTTCCAAATGTGTTTCTGGACTAGGGATCTATGTATCTGTCTTGCCTATCTCACCTCAAGACTGAGCTCCTGGTCGGGTGGCTGACACCTATAATCCCAGTTCTTTGGAGGCCAAGGCAGGAGGATCGCTTGAGGCCCCTGGCAATATAGCAAGACCCTATCTCTACAAAAATAATTTTAAAATTAGCTGAGTGTGTTGGCGTGTGCCTGTAGTCCTAGCTACTCGGGAGGCTGAGTACTCAAGGAGGATCAGTTGAGCCCAGGACAGGAGTTCAAGGCTGCAGTGGGCTTTGATTGTACCACTGCACTCCAGCCTGGGCAACAGAGCAAGACTCTGCCTCAAAGGAAAAAAAAAAGACTGAGCTCCCCGAAGGTCCAAGGGCACTCTTTGAAATCCCACACTTGGCGGGGTGCATAGCAGAGAAACGGCTCAGAAAGTCTTGTGTTGAATTTCAGTAAAACAGACAAGATCACATCCCAACTGTTATCAACAATAATTGTGAACTCTCTTCACTTGACCTCTCTCTTAAACTTCAAGTCAAAATTCCCCATCTAGAGAATGGGAGAAGTAATTTTATGCAGCGGAGTCATGGTTCCAAAGCTTTCCACGAACTTTAAAGGCAGTACCACTCCATCTAAACCCAGATATTAATATTTAAGATACTTTCATTCTAGGGCGCAGGAGGCCAGCTTTCCCATTCCTTCAGGAAGAGAAACAGAATGTGTACCAATAAAAATGTTTGCAGGGACAAGGAGCTGCAGACTGGCTGATAAACAAGCTCTAGATTTAGTAGACGTGGTTACAAAGGTCCCAAGTTCCGGCAGTAAGTCATTCCACATTTATCTGAGACGCTCTTCTCACAGATAAATGCAGCCCTTATCAAGAGGCTACGTATGTGCCCAGCACCGTTTATTTTGGCAGTGGCTCAGTTTCTGCCTCTATAATTAACTGAGGCTGATGAGTCGACAGCAGCTCCAAGAGAGATCAGAGGAAATTTGACTTCATCTCCCTGCCTTTTATTTTCTCTGCTCTCCACTACCTGGCCTCCCTTGTGTCTTTTTTTTTTTTTTTTTTTTTTTTTTTTTTTATTAATACAGGAGAGCAAATTTAACCCACATCCTGGCCCAGCAGGGGAGCTCAGGAACAACATAAAATTCCAAATATGTGTTTTGATCCTCATTGCCCCTCTGCCAGAAACAGCAACTTCACTTCTCATCAGACACTAGCAACAGCTTCTTAATTATCCCCACAAAGAATAAGGGACACTGTCCGGATCTTTACTGAAATCTGAAATAGCCCTTAACTCTGTATTCTACTAACGAGGACTCTAGAACATTAAGGTAAATGCTCACTAATGGGCTAGTGCTTGAATTCATCACAGAAAATGCTCTCAAGTGAGTGCATAGGATAGCTGTGAAAACAAAGGCAATCAACAAGTCCACAGTTGACTACCAGTTCTAAATTCATAAACCTTCTTGTTGAATGATAGGTCAAAGAACATATGCAATATCATGGGCCACTATTTACTCATAGGCTGATATCTCTGCAGGGTGTGTGTGTGTGTGTGTATGCACGTGCACACGTCCACACAATACAAATGTTGGTTCAGGCCAGACACAGTGACTCATGCCTATAATCCCAGTGCTTTGGGAGGCTAAGGCAGGAGGGTCACTTGAGGTCAGGAGTTTGAGACCAGCCTGGGCAACAAAGCAAGATCCCTCTCTACAAACAATTTTTTAAAATTAGCCAGGCATGGTGGCACCTATCTGTAGTTCCAGCTACTCAGGAGGCTAAGATGGGAGGATCACTTGAGCCCAGGAGTGTGAGGCTGCAGTAAGCTACAACTGCACCACTGTACTCCAACCTTGCAACAGAGGGAGACCCAAACAACTTTTGGTTTCTTCCTACCACCCAGATCTTGTTTCAGACATTCTAATTCAAAAAGCAACCTCTGTATCCTTCTTCTTTTTTGTTTTTGTTTTATCCAAGGGCTGATATTTTTTTATTTATAATTGACACATAATCATTGTACATATTTATAGGGTACAGTGTGGTGTTTACATGCAGGTATACATAGCATAATGATCAAATTAGGGTAATTACCATATCCATCACTTTAAACATTTATCATTTCTTTGTGGTGACAACATTCAAAATCTTCTGTCTTGAAATACTGTGTACACTACATTGTTATTTGCTATAGTCACCCTACCCTGTAACAGAACTCCAAAACTTATTCTTCCTGTCTAACTGCAATTTCGTATTCTTCTTTATAGTAGCTCTAGACACAACGACAGGCACACTGCATGAGACTCAGTTGCTGTGCCACACTTAACTAAGAAGAATAGATTCCCCGAACTCTCTTAAGAGAGTAGCTCATGGGTTAAACATAGCTAGTGTCAGATTTTGACCTAAAGTAGCAGAATGTGAGGTTACCCATGACACATTTCCATGCATTCCTCATAAATACCCATCAGAAGATAGGCATTATCTCAGCTGGAAATGTGCCATCTTCTCCGTGATGAAGAAAAATCATTTCTATTATAAAATAATCTGATAAAAGCAACCCACATTAACAGCTTCCCATATTAACAGCATTTCATATCTGGTCATGTAAAGTGTCCTAACACACACTGTCTCCTCTAGACAGACTCCATCGTGTCCTCCTGAATGCTCCTAAACTGTGATTATCATCCTTTAAGTGTCTGCCTCCCCTGTGCAGCTGTGTTCAAGAGCAATTCCTGTCTCATTCTTTCTTTGTCTTTCTGTTCTGTTCTTTTCTTTCTCTTTTTTTCCTTCTTTCTTTCTCTTTTCTTGTTTCTTTTTTCTCTCTTTCCTTCTTTCTTTCTCTCTTTTCCTTCCTTTCTCTTTTCTTCTTTCTCTCTCTTTCTCTTTTCTTCTTTCTTTCTCTTTTTCTTTCCTTTCTTTCTTTCTTTCTTGCATTCTTCTTTCTTTTTCTTTCCCTCCTTCCCTCCCTCCTTTCTTTTCCTCCCTCCTCTCCTCTCCTTTCCTGTCCTCTCCTTTTCTGACAGGGTCTCACTCTATTGCCAAGGGCAGAGTGCAGTGTAAGGATCATGGCTCACTGCAGCCTCAACCTCCCAGCCTCAAGCAATCCTCACACCTCAGCCTCCCAAGTTTCTGGGATTACAAGCATGCATCACTGTGACCTGCTAATTTTTCATTTTTTGTAGAGAAAGAGTTTTGCCATGTTGTCCAGGCTGGTCTCAAACTCCCGGGCTCAAGCGATCCTCCCACCTCAGCCTCCCAAAGTGCTGAGATTACAAGCATGAGCCACTATGCCTGGTGTATTCATCTTTCTAACTCCAGCAGTGTGCAAACTCTCTAGCGCACCTGAGTTTCAACAAAACCATTTATAGAAATGGAATAAATCATCTCCTTTGATCCTTGCAACAGTTACGGGAGCTAACGCCGAGAGGAGTTAGACGCAGATAATTGAACACATGACCAGTGATAGAGAGAAAACAAAGGCATTTGGTGCCAGGTCTAACCTCATGTCACCCCATCAGCTACCTGCTTTAATTGAATACTCACCCAGTGAATCACTCTGCAGCTTCAATATTTATTTTCACATTAGTGTGTTTTATGCACCCACAGGGATTATTATTTCTTTGAAGGCAGAAGATTTAAAATTAATAAAACATATTGTACATTTGCATGGCTCTCAACACAGTTTGAACTCCTTCCTCATTGCAAAGAGTGTAAAAAATAACATTTAGGCCGGATGCAGTGGCTCATACCTGTAATCCCAGCACTTTGGGAGCCCAAGGCAGGGGTATCACTTGAGGCCAGGAGTTCAAGATCAGTTTGGGAAACATAGAAAGACCCTGTATTTACATAAAAATTTTTTTAAAAATTAGCCAGGTTTGGTGGCACATGCCTGTAGTCCCAGCTACTGCGGCTGAGGCAGGAAGATCACTTGAGTCCAGGAGTTCAAGACTGCAGTGAGCTCTCTCACTTTGCCTTTGCAAGACTATTGGATTCCAAGCCTAGAGAGTGACATCAGCCTAAGCCAGGCCAATAGCTCAATATTCCAGCATCATTTTGGAAAATAAATATGTAAACCATGGCACTCCTGCCTGGTTGACAGGGTGGCACCCTGTCTCAAAAAGAAAGAGAGAAAGAGAAAGAAAGAAAAGAAAGCATGAAAGAAAAAGAGAGAGAAGGAGGGAAGGAAGGAAGGAATGGGAGAGAGAAAGGGAAAGAAAAAAGGAAGGAAGGAATGGGAGAGAGAAAGGGAAAGAAAAAAGGAAGGAAGAAAAAGAAAGAAAGAAAACAAAAGAAGGAAAGAAGGAAGGAGAGAAAAGAAAGAAAAAGAGAGGAAGGAAGGAAAGAAGGAAGGAAGGAGAGGGGAAAGAGAAAGAAAGAAAAAGAAAGAAAGAGAAAGAGAAAGAAAGAAAGAAAGAAAGAAAGAAAGAAAGAAAGAAAGAAAGAAAGAAAGAAAGAGAAAGAAAGAAAAGAAAGAAAGAAAAAGGAAGGAGGGAAGACAGAAGGAAAAAGAAAGAGGGAGGAAGGAAGGAGAAAAATAATATTTAATAGTGTTCACATAAATCCTAATATGTCATTTACACAAATTGTCCAGTGATAACCATCAGGACCTGCTGTGGGAGTGAGACCTGAACCCTCCCATCCCTTTCTGTCCAGCAGCATCAGTGTATTTTGTCTCTCACTTTGCCTTTCCAAGACTATTGGATTCCAAGCTTAGAGAGTGACATCAGCCTAAGCCAGGCCAACAGCTCAATATTCTGGCATCTTTTTGGAAATTCTTTTGTCATTCCCAAACCCACCCTGACACTTGAGATTCAATGCTCCCTGTGACTCCCCAGTACTAAAGAAGTGCCAAGCTCAGATGGATTCATCCCAGTGTGAGATTTTACAGTCACTCAAGAACCAGGCACCTGGAAACTGGGAAACACTCTTACTTTCTCTACCACACTTGGAGCTTCTTATAGGATATCATATAAAGTTCAATCAGTAACTCCAATCATCAGAACAAACCTTTGATTAAACAAAGGATTTATTCCTGGGTCAATACCTGAACTTCTAGACTTCATTCAGTATCATCCTTGTAGTATTTTGTCTTACTTCTCATGCTACATGCTTTCCTTCAACTAAATTCCTATTATGAGCCACTTGATTGACTTAAATTTTTCAACCTAGCACCCACAGCATTTACATATGTAATTGAGTATGCACAAGGAGTATTTTTGTGTATTTTCACATGTACTCATTCTGTCTTTTCCCACTAAGCAATAAATAACTTGAAGTTAGAGGCTGTGTCTTTATTTTTTTATCTCCTTACAACATCCAACTCAGAACTCTGTGGAACAAGTATTCAATAAAGTTGTTTGCTCCTTAAGTAGGTAATTTTATAGAATATGATAGAAATTTAACAGATGTGACTGTGCCTTATCCATGTTGTAAAATAGAGCAGAAGAGAGATCTTTCCTCTTTAGAGATTGAGCTCTGTGAGAGTAAACATCCATCCAAATTCTATCGCTGTTCCAAGCCTTCATTTCTTTGAAGCATAGAGGTAAAGTCTACACAGAGCAACTATCTTGCAAGTAGTCACCAGACTGCATCAGTAAAGATTTACAAGGACCAGATGCAGTCGCTCATGCCTGTTATTCTAGTGCTTTGGGAGGCTGAGGCAGGAGGATCACTTTAGGCCAGGAGTTCAAGACCAGCCTGGGCAACATGGTGAGATGTCCCCATCTCTAAAAAAATGAAATAAAATAAAATAAAAAAGTAGCTAGGCATGGTGGCATGCATCTGTAGTCCCAGCTACTTAGGAGGCTGAGGTGGGAGGATCGCTGAGCCCAAGAGTTCATGGTTACAGTGAGCTATGATCATACCACTCACTCCAGCCTGGGCAACAGAGTGACACTCTCTCTAAAAAAAAAAAAAAAAAAAAAAAAAAAAAAGATTTACCCAGAACAATCAACAAAAGAAATTAAGATTCCACCCATTATGTTCTGAGAAGTTCCAAGGTGTAGGATAGGCAGATAAGAATGATTATTCATTAGGGGCTGATGTAACCAGTACTTATTTTGGAGGATTTAAAATCAAACACTAATCCCACTCAGAAAGGTTTGAGAATTAGCCTAATAGCCTAATAGCCATTGAAACGTAAGCTCTCATTTCCACAGTGGAGCCCTTCCAGGCTATATTTTGTCTCAAATAAGATGGATGCCTGAGACTGGGTCAGGCCGGTGTCCTGCACCCGTACATTTTTTTTCTATGAACTGCATGTCATCAAGAAACCATTGAAAATGGAAGTCCGCACTTTACCCATTATTATATCAATGAGATGAAAATGTGTAACCGATTCTGTCCGTTCTGTTTCCATGCTGACATGGCTTAAGCCCTTTTGCTGCATGATCATTTTGTTGGACCACATCTCAAAACTAGAAACATCAGAAACTTGTCATTTAAGTGTTCAATTTTAACTATCTATAGTTTGCTGAGTTTTTGGTGTGAGATACAGGCAGCATTGCATGACTATAAAGGATTATTCACTAGATTAAATATAATATATAATAAATTATTATATATTATATTTGATTCCTGTTGGAATTATATATATCTGATTCCTGTTGGAATCAGATGGGTTTGAACAACCCACAGAAAGTCGGTGGCAGAACCTAGAACCAAAACAATAGAAACCTTAACACTTGCTTAGCCGTGTTCCATGGAAACTGTAGAGGTTGTTTTTTTCCTCTATTCTACAGCCATTTTTCATAAGTTGATTCCAGCCTGTCTATTGACAAACAACCGATTTTGGAGCACTTAACGATCTTGGTTGGGAAAACACTGGTACTTTAAAGAATTACCAGTGTTTTGATAATTGTTTTTATGGCATGTTTGGGCATACCACATAATTTACTTAAATAAGCATCCCAATGTGAAGTTAATTAAGTTCTGAAGAGAGTTAACAAAACTCTCAAGAAATAGATTATTAAAAAAACTGCAACCAACTTGGTCTTGGCTGTCACAACTTAGATTTAGATTGCTGTAAGTATACTTAATCGTGCTTACTGCCAAATACTGTATTTCTGTGTTTGTTCATAAAAATTTAATTTGAAATGCATGTAAGGATGATACAGCCTTTTTATAAAAGGAAGTTATTATCTGTGATAAAAGCAGTTGTTGACATTAGAAATGCAGACGCAAGGATCCAGACGGGAAATGTAATAAAAAGAAAACAAATGTAGCAGAGGAGAGGGGGGTTAAAAATATGGCAAAACAAAGCCAGATGTGGCTGCAAAAATCTGCCCACAGGCAAAGCTGGAACTCCTACCTTTCATATGGGCCATCGTTGGCCATTAGAAGTAAAATATCCATCCTGGCTAACATGGTGAAACCCCGTCTCTGCTGAAAATACAAAAAATTAGCTGGGCGTGATGGCACGTGCCTGTAGTCCCAGCTACTCGGGAGGCTAAGGTAGGAAAATCGCTTGAACCCGGGAGGTGGAGGTTGCAGTGAGCCAAGATCACGCCACTGCACTCCAGTCTAGGAGACAAAGTGAGACTCTGTCTCAAAAAATAAAAAATAAAAATAAAAATAAAAAAATTAAAAAGTAAAACATGACGCAGATCTAGAAAGCAAAGTGGACGATTCAATTC
The DNA here is from genome assembly GCF_000001405.40 of Homo sapiens. Classification (NCBI taxonomy): domain Eukaryota; kingdom Metazoa; phylum Chordata; class Mammalia; order Primates; family Hominidae; genus Homo; species Homo sapiens. Next base: position 28,833,044 of record NC_000010.11, on the reverse strand, counting down.
ACAGCTGCCTGCTGAATGCAACCTCTGCAAGTAGAGGTTGAACATTTATTCAATGAGGAATGAACAAATGAACACTGCTTCTATTTTTTTCTAAACACTGCTTCTTTTTTCTTTTTGGAGACAAGGCCTCATTCAGTCACCCAGGCTGGAATCCAGTGGTGCGATCACGGCTCACTGCAGCCTTGACCTTCCAGGCTCAAGCTGATCCTCCCACCTCAGCCTCCTGAATAGCTTGGACTACAGGCGTGTGCCACCACACCTGGCTAATTTTTTTATTTTTCTGTAAAAACAGGGGTCTTAGTATGTTGCCCAGGCTGGTCTTGAACTCCTGGGCTCAAGTGATCCTCCCACCTTGGCCTCCCACTGCTTCTTTTAGTGTCTCGGGATAATTGACTGTGGATTTCCCCCCACACTGCTGAGCCTTCTTGTTTCCATTGCTTCTTCATCAGACGTTCTCCAGTGGGGCTCCCACACAGTAGTTTAATGAACAGCCTTTAATACTATACCCCACAGAACTGCAAAGACATGAGGCTGTGTGGTAAAAACTGGTACTTCAACACATTTTACTTAGGCTCAGAAAATCTGTTAAATGTTAGATTCTTTTAACAAAACCCATGGCAGTTTCTCCCCTCCCCACATCCATACAGTTGTCATCCTGGAAATTCTTTTCACAGATCACCAGGATACCATAAGACTCCCCAGGTTCACCTTGATGTTCACCAAAGCAAGTCATTAATGATGTACTCAGCGGCAGGTGTCAGTGCTGGGTTTTGGCTAATGTTTTTAATCTTTCCTGTAAGACAAATGTGTTTTTAAACTTGTGTTTTACCCGCCCCCACTCCCCGCCCCTCCCCTAGGCTGTCTAGGGTTGCTCCTTAATGTTCAAAATAATTCCATGCTTATGCAAATAACAGAAAACTCATAGATCTCCCAAAAAGGGTTTCTTAGGGCCCAGTGCAGCGGCTCACGCCTGTAATTCCAGCACTTTGGGAGGCTGAGGCAGGCAGATCACTTGAGGCCAGGAGTTCCAGACCAGCCTGAACAACATGATGAAACCCTGTCCCCACTAAAAATACAAAACTTAGCTGGGCATGGTGGCGGACGCATGTAATCCCAGCTACTTAGGAGGCTGAGGTGGGAGAACTGCTTGAACCCGGGAGGCGGGGAGGTTGCAGGGAGCCGAGATTATGCCACTGCACTCCAGCGTGGGTGACAGAGCAAGACTCCGTCTCAAGGAAAAAAAAAAATTCCTATCACTCAAGACAGCCCATAATCTTGAATATCATGAAGCCCCTGCCATTTCCTTCTTCTCTTCCTAAGTGAATTGCTGGAAGACTCAAATTTTAATGAAACTAAAAAGCATGAAAACTGTGGGAGGTGTAGAAATAAATACTTGGTCCTACCTGAAACCCACAAAAGTTCCAGAAGGGAGGCAGCACCCAAGGGTGTGCACAGGACATTGTAGGAGAAGGACTGACCTCAAGATCCAGAATGATTTGCTAAATCTCCCACATCTGTGTCTTCAATAGCACAGAAATGTTTCTAATAACTTGGTTCACAACAAGAACCAAACGTTTCCTCAAGTCTTGCCACGAATATTTTCGAAAACAACGATGGCCACATTAATAGAAATCAGACCTGGAAATACATACCCAGGTTGTTATAAGGATATCCAGATTAGAGAGTTTAAGAAAGTTCAGACCCTTAAGCAAAGTGTCCTGTGTGATATTAGGAATTGGCAATTGAGTCCCACAGCCTACGAGTCTTGTGTTGAAACTCTCCATCCTAGAGGCGGTTTTCAGCCTCTGGGTGGAAATCTGTGCCTATCACTGTCTCCCCAGCCCTCCTTCTCCACTGATGTGGGTGGACACACAGACATACATATTGGCCAGCCAGTTAGATTTTGGCCAACTTTTTAAATGTTAATTATAAAACGTTTATTATAAAACCTTTAAAAATCAGGTTTTAGGCCAGGCACGGTGGCTCACGCCTGTAATCCCAGCACTTTGGGAGGCCGAGGTGGGCGGATCACGAGGTCAGGAGATTGAGACCATCCTGGCTAACAGGGTGAAACCCTGTCTCTACTAAAAATACAAAAAATTAGCCAGGCGTGGTGGTGAGCACCTGTAGTCCCAGCTACTTGGGAGGCTGAGACAGGAGAATGGCATGAACCTGGGAGGCAGAGCTTGCAGTGAGCGGAGATGGCGCCACTGCACTCCATCCAGCCTGGGCGACAGAGCGAGACTCCGTCTCAAAAAAAATAAAAATAAAAAAATCAGGTTTTAAAATGGCATAAAATAGATGGAATAAAAGTGTTTTATTTCATCATTTATTTTGCACCCTTTTAATAGTTCTATATTATTGCATTCTATGTATGGATGTACCACAGCTTACTTAACCAAACCATCATTGTCAAACACACATCTTTTACACAATTTTACAAGGTGCTATGCTAAGTGTAAATTTTTACACATATCTATGACAGTTTTGTGAGATAAGCAGACCTACTACATCAAAGAACACAAAGGTTTCAGGACGTTTGAAATTTATTTGTAAATTAGCCACCACTTATGTTTTACATTCCCAGCAACAATATGTGATTTCTCACTCTTCCAAACACTAATCACTTTTTAAATTTTACCACCTTGTTAGGTTAAAAACAACACCTTGTTTGGATTTGTAGTGTGTTTCATTATTAGGGAGATTGAACCTCTTGTCATTTGGTTAGTTGGTTGCTTCAGTCAATAATAAGATATTTATTGAGTGCCTATTATGTTACCAGTTCTAAACTGGGGAAGACAAATGGTTTGCAGATCATGTAAAGAACAATAAAATACCAGGATATATAACAAGAAGAAAACAAGACTTAGAAAGGACAATTGTTTTAAGAGCTGAGCTCTAGAAAGGAAGTTAGACTGATGCATTTTTTTCTCCTTATAATCTTTTGTATTTTTGTTGTTGTTGTTATTTTGTCTTGCCTTTGTTTTTTGTTGTTTGAAACAGAGTCTCTCTCTGTCGCCCAGGCTGGAGTGCAGTGACACGATCTCAGCTCACTGCAACCTCTGCCTCCTGGATTCAAGCAATTCTCCTGCCTCAGCCTCCCAAGTAGTTGGGATTACAGGCATGGCCAATACTCCTGGCTAATTTTTGTATTTTTTGTAGAAATGGGGTTTCGCCATGTTGTCCAGGCTGGTCTCAAACTCCTGGCCTCAAGTGCTCAAGTGATCCTCCAGCCTTGGCCTCCCAAAGTGCTGAGATTACAGGTATTAGCCACCATGCCTGGCCAATCTACTCTGTTTTTAAACTTGTTTTGTATATACACTATACACCAAAAAACACATACATATGTGCATCTTAAAGAATTATAGAAATTAAAAAATGAAATTAAAGAAATGAAACATAAACCCATGTGCCAGTCTCCCAGCTTAAGAAAGAAAGGTAACTGATTATTCTGCAGCCTTATAAATACCTCCACCCAGAAACAGGTTCTCCTCTTTTTTTCTAAGAGGTAAGTGCTGAGCTTTATATAAACCCCCTCCTGAATTTTCTTTAGAGATTTTAACATATGTGAACATATCTCTGATTAACATATTGTTGAGTTTGGCCTGTTGTTGAATCATATATAAGTTCCGCAATTTAGGGCTTTTTTTGTTTTGCTTGGTTCTCTTTTTTCATACACTTTGTTCTTGACCTGTATCGAGTATAGGTTTTTCATTTTCAGTGATATAAAGTCTACCATTACTTAGTATACATCAATATACTTATCCATCCTGCCATCACTGGACATTTGAGTTCAGGTTGTTTTCTTTTTAGAATTATCACAAGCAATATTGCTATGAAGAATCTTATGCATGTCTCCAGATCAAAAGTGGTGCAAGAGTGTCTTTAGGGTATATATTAGGTTGAACCACATGAAATTGCCATTTTTGTATGTCACAGACAGTCTAATTACTCGCTTACAGGGTCGGCATGTGTTTGACTTAATTCCTAATAAATTATTTTATAAAATGGTTTTATCAACTTGCACAAACACAGCAGTGTTTGAAAGCTCCCTTTGTTCCACATTCCTGCCAATACTTGGCTTTGCAAGACATTTTGATTTGGGCCACTGTAGAGGATGTGTAGTGATGTCTCATAGTGGTTATCATCATCCTGATAACCAGTGAGGTCGAGCATTTTTCATTTGTGTATTAGTTATTTATGTCTTCCTCTAGGTCATACCTGTTCATATTTTCTGCCTTTTTTTAAATTGGAGTGTTTATCTTTTCCTTATTAATTTATAAACATTTAAACAGATGAGTATTCTGTATACATATTTTTATATAAAAGGTTGAGTATTCTGTGTATATAATATACAGAATATACTTTATATTACAGAATACTCATCCTTTGTCCTTTATGTGCTGGTATATCTCAGATTATGACTTGTCTTTTCAGTCTCTCATTGATGTCTTTTGGACAGAAGATCTTGATTTTATTGTGATTGAATTTATTGATATTTTCCTTTATGATTTGTGCTCTCTGTGCTTGTTAAAGAAATTCTGCTCTACCCCAGGGTCATAAAGATATTCTTTCTATATTTTTTTCCAAGTACTTTAAAATTTTACCTTTCACATTTTGGACTGTAATCCACCTTGCCCTCTGACTTCAGCATTGTCATCTGAAAACAGACTGTGAGACGGCTTTCGTGATTTTTCCCATACACATGACCGACTGTCCTGGTGCCCCTTGTTGAATAATCTGCCATTTGTACACTGATCTGCAATTATCAGCTTGGTCGTGGATCAAACTGCTATATTTGGCAGGCCTTTTCTTGGGCTCTGTGTTCCATTCCTGTTGTCTCTCTGGGCTAATAGGCACTATCTTAATTGCTAAAACTTTATAGTAAGTCTTGATATCTTGTAGACGTCAAGTATCTTGTAGATAATCTTGATATCTTGTACATGTCCCACCTGGTTCTTTTCAAGATTGTCTTGGTTATTCCTTGGTTATTCCTATCAATTTACTCTTCTATTTAAATTTTATCACCATTGCAGTGGCTCACACCTGTAATCCCAGCACTTTGGGAGGCCAAGGCAGGCAGATCACCTGAGGTCAGGAATTCAAAACCAGCCTGGCCAACATGGGGAAACCTCGTCTCTACTAAAAATACAAAAATTAGCCAGGCATGGTGGCATACACCTGTAATCCCAGCTACTCAGGAGGCTGAGGCAGGAGAATCATTTGAACCCGGGAGGCAAATGTTGCAGTGAGCCGAGATTCAGCCTGGGTGACACAGCAAGACTTTGTCTCAAAAAAACAAATAAATAAAATAGATTAAGTTTAGAATTTGCTTATCAAGTTCTGCACAAAATATCCTTTTGGCATTCTTACTAAAATTGCATTAAGTATCTTATCATTTTGGGTAGAATTGCCATTTTTATTATGTCTTTCTACCATGAATATGGTTCTCTCTCCATTTATTTAGCATTTTTATTACAACTGAATACAATTGTATAATTTTCTGCATGAAGGACCTGCACAGCGTTTGTCAGATGCATCTGGGTTATCCTGCCTTTGCTTTCCAAGTGTACCCTCCATCCTTCCTACCATGTCATGTGCCCAGGAGACTGACTCTGTGGACAGCATCGACAGGCTCTCTGGATCCTGACTCCCTGGAATGTTGGAAGTAGAAAGCAATGGGTGGGAGATCAGAGGGCAGAAGAAGAGTGAATTGGAGGTCAGGCATGGTAGCTCATGCCTGTAATCCCAGCACTTTGGGAGGCCGAGCCGGGCGGATCATTTGAGGTCTGCGGTTCGAGACCAGCCTGGCCAACATGGTGAAACCCCGTCTCTATTAAAAATACAAAAATTAGCCAGGTGTGGTGGCGCACATCTGTAATCCCAGCTACTTGGGACGCTGAGGCACGAGAATCGCTTGAACCCAGGAGGCAGAGGTTTCAGTGAGTCAAGATCGCACCATTGCACTCCAGCCTGAGTGACAGAGGGAGACTCCATCTCAAAAACAAAAAACAAAACAATAAAATAGAAAAGCCATGCATAGCGGCTCACGCCTGTAATGCCAGCACTTTGGGAGGCTGAGGCGGGTGGATCACCTGAGGTCACGAGTTCGAGACCAGCTTGGACAACATAGTGAAACCCCCGTTTCCACTACAAATACAAAAATTACCCGGGCATGGTGGCAGGCGCCTGTAGTCCCAGCTACTTGGGAGGCTGAGGCAGGAGAATCACTTTCAACCCAAGAAGTGGAGGTTGCAGTGAGCTAAGATTGAGCCACTGAACTCCAGCCTGGGTGAAAGAGGGAGAGACAAAGTCTAAATAAATAAATAAATAAATAAATAAATAAATAAATAAATAAAAAGAGTGAATTGGGTCTTACTTCCCAGCACCTTCTCTACCAGGCAGCCGGTAGGCAGTGACTGTGCTCTTCTCCTGAAACAAACACCTCCCGCTTGCAGCTCCAGCTAAAGCTGAAATTCGCTCCAGCTTCTGCTTCCCATTCTTGCCTCCCAGGCCTGAGGGTCCCTGGCTGTTACTTGCCCGGGGGTTTGATCATCTTCGCTGGTATCCCTTCGCCCCGCCCAGACCTTTGCAGTCATTCAACTGCGTTGGAGTTGCCACCTATTTCCTGTAGAGACCCTGCCTGATACAACTGTGAGTGTGTGAAATTTCTCATGCTTTGTAAATTCTTTCGCGTTTTCTACGTAGAAAACCGTATCATCTGCAAATAGTAATATTTTATTTTTTTCCTTTCTGATTCTTACACTTTCTACTTTCCTTACACCGGCTTGTGCTCCAGAGCACTGCTGGTCTGCAGCGGCAAGAGCAGCCACCCCTGTTTCATGCCTGATTTTTAAAGAGAAGGCTTTTCATAATTCTCTACTCATAAGATGTTGGCTGTCGGTACAGGGATTTCCATCCTAAACCTTGCTTGCTAAGATTTTATCATGAATGGTTTATGAATTTCCTCAAATGCTTTTTCTGAATCTATTATGATCACAGGATTTTTCTCAAGACTACTGATATGAGGTATGACATAGTACATTTTATAACGCTAAATCAATCATTCTAGAAATAAACAGTACTTGTTCATTGCTTGCTATGGTTTGCTATTTAGGATTCTTGTCTTTAGATTGGTCTGGGGATCTTTTTTTCTCCTAAATGTCCTTGTTTGCTATTGGAATCTGGATTACATTTGTCTCATAAAATAGGTGAAAAATGTTCTGTCTCTTTCTATTCTTTGAGTTTGTATAAGCTTGAAACTAGCTGTTCCTTGAATATACAGTAGAAACTACTTATAAAAACATCTGGGATTGGTGTTTATTTTGTGGGAAGATTTTTAACTACCGACTCAAATTCTTTAAAAATTATAGGGCCCTTCAGGTGTTTATTACTTAAATCAGTTTTAAAATTTATACGTTTCTAGGAATTTTTCCACTTAACCTAAGTTTTTAAGTATTTGACATTAAGTTGATCATAGTATTCCCGTAAAATGTAATCTCTGCTGCATTAGCAGTTATGAACTTCATTCATTCAGATATTGTCATTTCTCTTTTTATTGATCTTACAAAAAGTTTGTCATTTTAAGCAGCTTTGGCTTTGATAATTTTGCGTCTTTGTTTCTTATTTTATTTCTTATTTCTATCTTATTATTTCTTTCTTCTTATCTTCTTAAGATAGATACATAGCCTTTCTTTTTTTTCCAGGTAAGCATTTAAGGTTAGAAATTATACTCTACAATATGACTTTAGCTATGTCTGCCAAGTTTCAACATATAATATTCCTGTTTTATTCAATTTTTACTATTTTCTAATTTCCACAATGGTTTCCTCTTTGAGCCATGGGTCCTTTTTATGTTTTATTTATTTATTTAGAGACGGAGTTTCACTCTTGTCGCCCAGGCTGGAGTGCAATGGCACGATCTCGGCTCACTGCAACCTCTGCCTCCCGGGTTCAAGCCATTCTCCTGCCTCAGCCTCCCGAGTAGCTGGGATTACAGGCGCCCACCACCACACCCAGCTAATTTTTGTATTTTTAGTAGAGACGGGGTTTCACCATGTTGGCCAGACTGGTCTCGAACTCCTGACCTCAGGTGATCTGCCCGCCTCAGCCTCCCAAAGTGCTGGGATTACAGGCATGAGCCACCACGCCCAGCCCATGGGTCTTTTTTAACATTACATGATAAGAGATTTATTTTAAGTTTATCTTTTAAACACTGATTTCTGGTTTATTTGTATCGTGCTAGGGACTTTGAGATTTGTAAGCTTGCTTTATGACCTGTTAAGTATAGGTGTCCCTCAGGGGCATTGGTTCCAGGACCCCCGTGGATTCCAAAACCCAAAGATGCTCAAGTTCCTCATATAAAATGGGAGTAGTGTTTGATTATAACCTATACACATCCTCCTATACACTTTAAATCATCGCTAGATTACTTATAGTACCTAATATAATGTAAATACTATGTAAATAGTTGTTATATTGTAGTTTTTAATCAGTAGTTTTTCATTGTTTTTGCTTTGTTATTATTTCATATTGTTTTGTTTTCATTGTTTTATTGTTACCTTTTTTTTTTTTTCAAACACTTTCTACTCAAGATTGATTGAATCTGAAGTTGTGGAACCACAGATACAGAGGGCCAACTGTCATCAATTTATAAATTGGCCTATGAGTACTTAAAAAGAATGTGTATTGACCAGGAACTGGGCACATTTTACACAGACACACACACACATACATACATATATATGTATGTACATTTCTCAGTAGATTAATATTGGTAATTGTGCTGTTCAAATCATCTATGTCTCCAATGATTTTTTAGTGAATCTATCACTAATTCCAAGAGAGAGATGTTTTAAAACCTCGATTTATCCTTAAAACTGTTAACTTAGGCTTTATATGTGATTCAGTGCCTACAAATTTAGAATTGTAACTTTCTGTTTAATTGAAACTTCTACCATTATGTTGAAACTGTAATAAATTATTTTTGCCCTTAAGCTAATTTGTCTTGACATGGTCCTATCTGCCAAGTCACTGAAGGCATCAGCATCCTGTGCTAGTTAAGTAATAACTGGAAATCTGGAATACAGAACCTGTCTTTTAGTAGCCACTAAATAAATTATTGTTGAAATAGTGAATGAATGGATGAATGAATACACCCAACTGACTGCCTGAATAGACAGTCAAAATAGCTTTCAGCTGAAGAGAGAAATTATATTCCCACCCACTTGTTTTTCATCCTCAAGCAAAAACCACAATACTGTAGCCAACACGAGAGTCTGTCCAATCAGTGCATTTCACCAGAGAAGCAATCTCCCCCTCCCTTGCAAATGGTGATTTTAAGGAAAAACCTTAACACTCTTTCTTAAGGAAAGTGCTTGGATAGGTTGGAAATTGAGTAAAGCTGTCAGTGACTCCACAGGGGGGAAAAAAGTTATATTTGCTGCCCCTGGTTGAAAATCAAAACAAACTTAGAATCAAACATTTTTATGGTCTGGAAAATGTGTGCTTGAGAAGATGCAGAGGAGTCCAGCAATTAAAAGGATATGAAAACATTTCATTTCTCTTGCATCGAATTAGTTTGCTGTTTGCAAATTTCAGAGATAAAATCACGTGGGTTTTCAGATCCTGTGTCTTATTGTAACAGATTTCAGGGGTGCAGGGTGGAGAAAGAGAAACAAAGACTAATGGAGAAGAGAAAAATAGAAGGAGTCAGACACAGAGAGAGGGAGAGAGAGGAAGACAGAGAAAGAGAGAGAAAGTTAGAGGCAGAGGCAGAGAGAATCCGATGGTGTACGCCCACTAAGAAACGTGCTCCCAACTGGCAAAGGGAGGAAAGGAGAAAGAAACCCTCCACCACTGAAGTTTATTTGCCTCACTTCTTTAGCTCTGGAAATAATAGATAAGGAGGAAACAGGGGGACTGGAAGGCGGGAGAGCAAAGGGAGGTTGTAAAACACTTTAATACATTAAGCTGAGGGAGGATTCCAGTGCTGGCGCTGAGGTTTCTTTCATTGATTAAGACCAGTGCCGACTAAAAGGGACAAGAGGGCGACCCCACATCCTCTCCTTTCCCTCTACAACTCCCTGTCCGTCTTTCACCAGCTCTGTCAGCCTGCATGTAAAGAGGCCTTCATCATATCTCAGAGTCCCAGCCCGGGAACCAGAATCAAGAGTTCATTGCCCCTCTGCCTGACAGGCCTCGCATTTCAGCAGTGTCAGGAAGCAGATGGAGATAACCCTTGCTTCCAGCAGAGAAGAGCAGAACCTGCAAATTTACATTCAGAGACCCATCTCATCCAACAGTCATCGTGGGGATTCCATAACACTTGATTTCTACCCAAAGAGAGCACTCATCTCAGTCTTGCTCTGCTTAAAGTAGGGTTTGTTGTGCACTTGTCTTTGAAACCCCAGCCTCTCCACTCTGCTGCACCTATGCGGCATTGCCTAATTCATTCATTTCAGGCTTCTCTGAAGCCTGACCAACCAGAATCTTGTTCGTAGAGGAAGGACTCTGTAAATTTAGAATTGAATTGAAACTGGGGCCAAGTAAGGGGTTGCATAGCTCCCTAGAAGTAAAGCTTAGATCTTCTGGGGTCTCACTCCAGGGCTCTTTCAACCTGACCACACCCCTATCGCTCAAAAAGGCAGCTAACTTTTTCCTTCTTCCAGACAGCAAGTGTCCACTAGCCTGGCGTCAATAACAATCTATTATTCAAATGACTCCCTGTGTTCCTATTTCCCTAGTTGTTCATTCTGGTCTCTTTCTTCCTACTTTGCAATGTCTAGAAACTATTACTGAGTTTATGATACATAGAGGAGATCATCTCCTGAACTGATCAGGCTTGAATGTGTGCGTGGATAAGACACACAGATCATCTTTATCGAGGGGGTTTGACTTAAGAATACACAAGAAACTAGGACAGCCCAAAAGCAGGCTCAAGCAGCAGTATAGACAGGCAAATCGTGGTGCTTCCAAGTTCATGACATACATCAGGCCCTGGGGAGAGCTGAAGCAGTGCTGGCTTAATGCTGCTCAGAATCCAACCTGAGCTGTAGACCCATTTCATGTGATTTTCCTGGCCCAAGAAGCCAGGTCAGTTTGCCGCTGTCCAGTAAGGAGTCATCCCATTGGGCAGGATGTTTTAGCTGTTAGGTCTCCTTTGTATGTATGTATGTATGTATGTATGTATGTATGTATGTATGTATTTATTTTTAGATACAGAGTCTCACTCTGTTGCCCAGGCTGGAGTATAGTGGCACAACCATAGCTCATGGCAGCGTTGAACTCTTGGGCTCAAGCGATCCTCCCACCTTGGACTTCAGAGTAGCTGAGACTACAGGCATGTGCCACCACGCCTGGTTAATTTTTTTTTTTTTTATTTTTTTTGTAAAGATAGGGGCTTGCTATGTTGCCCAAACTGATCTTGAACTCCTGGCCTCAAGCGATCCTCCTGCATCAGCCTCCCAAAGTGCTGGGATTACAGGCATGAGCCACTGTGCCCAGCCAATCTCCCTCATTTAGATCCTCAGGTTCTAAACCCATATCAGTCTCCTGAGTCCTGGACAATAACTTGGTACCTGGGAAGGAAGGCTGGCACTTAGAGTGCCTTACTCCTCTCCAGGACATCTCTCCTAACAAGTAGAAACTATTTTTTCAACTTTCCCATAAGCATTATTAATCTGTTTTCTTCCCAGTCTCTTTCAAGTTGTTATTCAACTCTTCTTTCCTCAAGCTACTCTGTCATTTACTACTCAATAAAGTCGCTCAATTTACTTACTGTCTATTCTGCCAATCAATTTCTAAAAGGTCCTTCCTCTCATTACAACAAAGCACTACCCAGAAGCTCCGGTCCCTACTGTCTTCAGGAATTTCTCATGCCATGTCAATGTCCTCTTCCCATCATGCCAACCCCATCTCAGAGATCTGCAGATCTGAGTACACATGGCATAAAGATGGCAACAGCAGACACTGCAGACAACTAGAGGGAGGAAGAAGAGATGAGGAACGGGTTAGGAAACTATACCTACTGGAGACTGTGCTTAATACCTGGGTGACAGGCTCAATCATTCCCCAAACCTCAGCATCACGCAATATACTCATGAAACAAACCTGCACGTACACCCCGACTCTAAAATAGAAGTTGTTTGCCAGCTCACATCTGTGATCCCAACACCTTGGATCGCTTGAGCCCAGAAGTTTGAGACCACCCTGGGCAACAATAGGGAGAACCTCTCTCTACAAAAAAATTAAAAATTAGCTGAGCATAATGACACACGCCTGAAGTCCCACCTACCTGGGAGGCTGAAGTGGGAGGATTGTTTGAGCCCAGGAGTTCGAGGCTGCAGTAAGCTGTGATCACACCACAGCACTCCAGCCTGGATGATAGAGTGAGACCCTGTCTCAAAATAAATAAATAGATAAAATTAAATTTACTAGCTGAAATTTTTTTTTAAATCACTAGTCATATGTTTTATATCCTTTTGATCTAACTTCTAAGGTAATTACTAAATAATTACATTATAATTTAATTAAATGATCAGTTTCACAATTATATTTTTATTAGAAATTAAGAATACTTAAATTATATATATAAAAAAGAAGTCTGCAGGTCACTGCTGGCATAAAATTTCCAGCAAAGGGTTCATGTTTCAGTTGGCACGTTTGTTACCCCACCCCCGTCTAATCGGGAACATACTTATCCTTCTACATAGGCAAACATATTAGTAACCTGCTGAATATTACTTGTTCTCCATGTCAAAGCTGTCATGTTCAGCCAACCACATAGGATAGCTTCCTCCTCTCTGCACTGTCCTTCAATAGCCTGCCCAAAGGGAGAACCACACCGACACAGAGAAGACTCTCTTCCCTGGAGAGACCACTTCCTCTCATTCTCTACATCAGTTTCTGAAACAGGTTTTTGTCTGACCTGCCTGGGTCTCACGCCCACCCTGTGGTGGGAGTGTTGTTGATTGCAAGCCATTAGTTGACTGACCCACCAGAATTATACAAATGCCAGAGTAGTAAATCCTAAAAGGGAGGAATAATCTGATTCAGACAAAATAGTAAGAGATGAGAACTTTTATCTGAGGAATACAAGTCATTTTAATTATCAAGTCCAGAGAGACATTAAAATGAGACAGCAACCATATTTTACTCCCCGCTTTGAGCTATGTATTCATCTCTTGAAACAACTTGCTATTGCCACAAGTAGCTATAAATTAACCTAATAATGCTGCACTGGACAGGTTCACAATGTATAGTCAATCACAAATCAATGTTATTTCTGTAAACCAATGAGAATTCCCGACAAGCAACTTCCTATCAGGCTACTCCCTGTCCCCGCCTCCTTTTTTTTTTTTTTTTGAGACAGAGTCTCGCTCTGTCACCCAGGCTGGAGTACAGTGGTGCGATCTTGGCTCACTGCAACCTCTGCCTCCTGGGTTCAAGTGATTCTCCTGCCTCAGCCTCCCGAGTAGCTGGGACTACAGGCGCACACCACCACATCCAGCTAATTTTTGTATTTTTAGCAGGGATGGGATTTCACCATGTTGGCCAAGATGGCCTTGATCTCTTGACCTCGTGATCCGCCCGCCTCCCAAAGTGCTGGGATTACAGGCATGAGCCACCTCACCAGGCCCTGTCCCCCTTTTTTTGCCTTTAAAAGTCTACTTGTAACTGCTGCTAACCAGAGTATATATTCAGGGCAACTTGAATCTGAATCTATGCTTCTGGGTTGCAATTCTCAAGCTTGGCCCAAATTATGTCTCTACTTATACCAATTTTGCCTCAGCTTCTTCCTTTTAAGTCGACAGACAGATCCACTGCATAGGTCTTCATTTGAAGGTAATAAAAATGGTTTTCTCTGTAGTATACAATTGATATCATAATGCATCTGTACACAAATCCCCTAAAACCATAACAGGTATTTTAACATGTTTAAAGGAAGCTTCCCTCTTACATGTGCACATATACACACATACAAACTCCAACAAAAGTGTTCATTTAAAAATTCACTGGAAAGCCTATTGAGTAAGGATTTTCACAAGGAAGTAAATCAAATGTGACTTTATTGGATATCAGATCAGCTCACTCTTTGTTTTTTAACAACTTCTTGTGTAAACTGTAAGAGAAACGCTCCTTGGGCTGGCAGAGGAGATGGGAGTTTGTTTAGGAGCTGTCTTGCTCAAGGGCTATTTTTTAGACACTAAACTCTTTCTTCTGCTTCGAGCACAGAAGCAGAGGGTTACATGAAATGAGTGAAGCACAAATAAATTTCTTAAAGGGGTGGGAAGGGGGAGAGGGAATAAAGTCTGTGGGTTTTGATATACAGTGTGGAGAGTACAGGTCAGGAGGAAAAAAAAGGGTCATTCAAACAAAGATACCCAAGAGGCCTACAAATGTGTCTCATTTTTGAGCATTATCCATTTTGGGGAAGGGGGGTTGTCGGATGTTGATTTATGCACCAGGCCACCAAACGTAACGTTTTGCCAATTTTTTTTTTAAGGAAATGTGGTCATTACCTTTGAATGAAATCCAACTAGCCAGCTTTCAATCATGCAGGAACTAACTGTCCTGGTGTGAGTTACCCAGATCCTTTTCCTAGCTGACCTCTTTGTATGATTACGTCACCTTGAGGAGAGCAGTGGAGGGGGAAGAACTTAAGAGCTTTAAAATCTCTGCTTGGGTAGTGAGGACGTAAATCCGTACCTAAATGGTAGTTATGGGTCAAGGATTGAAGACTGTCCTCACTCCCTGATCCTTCCACCACTTCAGAAACTATCAACATGGCCGGGCGCGGTGGCTCATGCCTGTCATCTCAGCACTTTGGCAGGCCGAGGCGGGCCGATCACGAGGTCAGGAGATCGAGACCATCCTGGCTAACACGGTGAGACCCCGTCTCTACTAAAAATACAAAAAATCAGCCGGGCGCCTGTAGTCCCAGCTACTCGGGAGGCTGAGGCAGGAGAATGGCGTGAACCTGAAAGGCGGAGTTTGCAGTGAGCGGAGATCGCGCCACTGCACTCCAGCCTGGGCGACAAAGCAAGACTCCGTCTCAAAAAAAAAAAAAAAAAAAAGAAAGAAACTATTAATACATCTCCTAGGAGCTTTTCTTACTGAAATTAAAAAGGGAGAAGGGCTCCGGGGTGGGATGGTTGGGCGAAGGGGGATCAGAGTTTAAGAAAATAAATCCTTTCAGAAAAGGAGGCCAAAAAAGACTCCATTTATCGCGATGATGATGAATTCCTGAATTCACTTGACTGTTTCCATTTTTCTCCATCTTTCTACCTTTGCCCCTTTTTATTTATATGTATGAGCTCCTTACATATTATGAATAATAATCTTTATCAATCATGTAGCTTGCAAATATTTTACCTGAGACTGTTGATCATATTTTTCTTATTTCACTGCATTAAACCTTTTTACCTTAACTAAATTTGGGTAAAATGTCTTTATGAAAAATGTATCGGCTCTTGATATATTGGTTTTAAAAAACAATGTTTAATGGCTTAATTAAGAATGAATATATTATTTTAAGTTTTCATACAATACAGAAGTATATCGACTACAAAAAAGAACCACTTTTACCTCCTCCCTCCCCCGGCCCCAATCACAACACACACCCCCACAGAAAGCACTATTACAGCTTGGTATGTAAATTTTAGGCTTTTTTTCTATGCAGTTGTACATGTGCATTCATACATACACACAAACGCACAAACAGACACACACACCGGAGGTATATAAATAGCATTAAACTGTACATATTGCTCAATGTGTACTTTGTCACATAAAAATATGTCTTATTAATCTTTCCATGTCAGTACTAAGGTCTCTACCTTAGCCTCTGTCTCACTCTCTCTTTTTTTTTTTTTTTTTTTTTTGGTTGCCCAGGCTGGAGTGCGGTGGCGCGATCTCAGCTCACTGCAACCTTCACCCTGAGGGTTCAAGCAATTCTCCTGCCTCAGCCTCCTGAGTAGCTGGGATTGCATGCGCCACCACGCCTGGCTAATTTTTTGTATTTTTGTAGAAACGGGATTTCACCATGTTGGCCAGGCCGGTCTCAAACTCCTGATCTCAAGTGATGAGGCTGAGGTGAGTGGATCACTATAGGTCTACCTTAGTCTTTACAGGTCTACCTTAGTCTCTCTCTCTCGTTTTTTTTTTTTTTTTTTTTTTTTTTTTTTTGGTTCACTCAGGTTGGAGTGCAGTGGCGCAATCTCAGCTCACTGCAACCTCTGCCTCCAAGTTTAAGCGATTATCCTACCTCAGCCTCCCAAGTAGCTGGGATTACAGGCACACACCACCATGTCCAGCTAATTTTTTGTGTTTTTGTAGAGATGGGGTTTCACCATGTTGACCAGGCTGTTCTCAAACTCTTGACCTCAAGTAATCTGCCCACTTCGGCCTCCCAAAGTGCTGGGATTACAGGCGTGAGCCACCGTGCCCAGCCACTTACCTTATTCTCTCTTACTGCTGCATAATGCTATGTAGTATTGGAAATATCACAATTTGTTTCCCTAATGATGGACATTTAAATTGAAAATTTTTTGCAATTATGAACAATGCTGCATTGAAAATCTTTACCCATGCCTCTTTCAACCTGTATAACTTTGTACATGTGCAAAGAATTCTCTTGGACAGAAATACAGAAGTGATGATGCAAAGAAAATAGGTATTTTTACTTTTAATAAACACTGCCAAATCAATCTTCAAAAGGCTATTACCAATGCATACTCCCCCAAAATGGAATGCAACAGAATTTTTTTGAATTGCCCAGCTAATGGGTGAAAAATAATCGATCTTCCTTACTTTTGCGAGGTGACAGCGTGCTGGCAGTCCTCACAGCTCTCGGCGCCTCCTCTGCCTGGGCTCCCACTTTGGTGGCACTTGAGGAGCCCTTCAGCCCAGCGCTGCACTATGGGAGCCCCTTTCTGGGCTGGCCAAGGCCAGAGCCGGCTCCCTCAGCTTGCAAGAGAGGTGTGGAGGGAGAGGCGCGAGCAGGAACCGGGGCTGCGCGCCGCGCTTGCGAGCCAGCTGGAGTTCCGGGTGAGCGTGGGCTTGGCGGGCCCCGCACTCCGAGCAGCCGGCCGGTCCTAACGGCCCTGGGCAGTGAGGGACTTGGCACCCGGGCCAGCGGTTGCGGAGGGTGTACTGGGTCCCCCAGCAGTGCCGGCCCACCGGCGCTGCGGTGGATTTCTCGCCGGGCCTTAGCTGCCTTCCTGCGGGGCAGGCCTCGGGACTGCAGCCCGCCATCCCTGAGCCTTCCCCCGCCTCCGTGGGCTCTTGTGCAGCCCGAGCCTCCCCGACGAGCGCCACTCCCTGCTCCACGGCGCCCAGTCCCATCGACCACCCAAGGGCTGAGGAGTGCGAGCGCATGGTGCTGGACTGGCAGGCAGCTCCACCTGCAGCCCCTGTGCGGGATCCACTGGGTGAAGCCAGCTGGGCTCCTGAGTCTGATGGGGCTGTGGAGAACCTTTATGTCTAGCTGAGGGTTTGTAAACGCACCAATCAGCACCCTGTTAAAACAGGCCACTCGGCTCTACCAATCAGCAGGATGTGGGTGGGGCCAGATAAGAGAATAAAAGCAGGCAGCCCGACCCAGCAGTGGCAACCCGCTTGGGCCCTCTTCCACACTGTGGAGGTTTTGTTCTTTTCTCTTTGCAGTTAAATCTTGCTACTGCTCACTCTTTGGGTCCACGCTACTTTTATGAGCTGTAACACTCACCAGGAAGATCTGCAGCTTCACTCCTGAAGCCAGCGAGACCATGAGCCCACCAGGAGGAACGAACAACTGCAGATATGCCGCCTTAAAAGCTGTAACACTCACCGGGAAGGTCTGCAGCTTCACTCCTGAGCCAGCGAGACCACGAACCCACCAGAAGGAAGAAACTCCGAACACATCCGAACGTCAGAAGGAACAAACTCCAGACGCGCCACCTTAAGACTTGTAACACTCACCGTGAGGGTCCAAGGCTTCATTCTTGAAGTCAGTGAGACCAAGAAACAACCAATTCCGGACACACTTTGATCTGTGTTCACTGTTTTACTAACGAGATTAAGAATGTTTTCACATGTAGATTGATTTAAGTGAATCACTTGACTGTTTCCATTTTTATCCATCTTTCTGCCTTTTTTCCTTTTTTTACTTGTATGAGCTCCTGACCTATTATGAATAATAATCTCTATTAACCATGTAGCTTGCAAATATTTTATCCAGAACTGTTGATCATATTTTATTTATATCACTGCATTAAACCTCAATTTTTTTTTCTTGCGATGGAGTCTCACTATGTCACCCAGGCTGGGGTGCGGTGGCGTGATCTCGGCTCACTGCAACCTCTGCCTCACGGGTTCAAGTGAGTCTCATGTTTCGGCCTCCCGAGTAGCTGGGATTACAGGCGTGCGCCACCACACCAGCTAATTTTTGTATTTTTGATAGAGACAGGGTTTCACCATGTTGGTCAGGCTGGTCTCGAACTCCTGACCTTGTGATCCACTTGCCTTGACCTCCCAAAGTGCTGAGATTACAGGCGTAAGCCACCCTGCCCAGCTCAAATTTTTATTGTTGGCAAAAAATTCAAATTTTAAAAGTGGTGCCAATCTTTTCTATTGGCCAGGTGAGTTGGCTTATAATCCCAGCTCTTTGGAAGGATAAGGCAGGAGGATCACTTGAGGCCAGAAGTTTGACACCAGCCTGAGTAACATAGTAAGACCCCGTCTCTACCAAAAAGATAAAAAATAAAAGTTTTAATTAGCCAGATGTGGTGGTGTATGCCTATAGTTCCAGCTACTTGGGAGGATGAAGCAGGAGGACTGGCTGAGCCCAGGAGTTGGAGGCTGCAGTGAGCTATGATCATACCACTGTACTCCCACCTGGGTGACAAAGTGAGACCCTGTCTCTAGAAAAAAAAGAAATTTAAATCTATTTTATTAATCTGTGTATTTTCCATTCTATATAAACTAGCAGATCAGCTTGTCAAATTTCATAAAATATCCCTGTTATGGTCTGAATGTGGCCCCCCAAAGTTCATGTGTTGGAAATTTAAAGCCCAGTGCAACAATGTTGAGAGATGAGACCTTTAAGAGGTGATTAGGTCAGGAGGGCACTACATAAATGAATTAATGAAGTTATTGCAGGAGTGGGTTAGTTATCTCAAGAGTGGATTCCTGATAAAAGAATACATTTGGATCACCTTCCCTGTCTTACTCTAGCCCTCTCTCTTGTCCTATCAACTCCTGCCATGGGATGATGCAGCACCAAGGCTCTCACCAAATGCTGGCACCATGCTCTTGGACTTCCCAGCCTCCAGAACTATGAGCCAAACAAATTTCTGCTTATTATAAATTACCCAGTCTGTGGTGTTGTTATAGCAACATAAAATGGACTAAAACAATCCCTTTGTAATTTTTCATGAGGTTGCATTGAATTAATAGATGATTTAGAAAAAAATTGACACTTTCACAATTTTTATTCTTACCATCCAAAAACATGATATGTGTGCTCATTCCACTTTTCTTTTGTCTTCCAATAAAATTTTATGTGTTTCTTTACATTAGGTTTATGTCTAGAATTTTTCTCCCCACAGGTTTGAAATGAACTTTAATTAGCTTTTGTCTCCAGAATTCCCCATCGATGCCTGGGCTTTAGGGTTCTCCTCACCCCCTCCAATTTGAAGGTCCAGACTGGAAAGAAGAGACACAAGAGGGGACAGAAGATTACCTAGCACAAAGTTGCAGGGGGGTTGTCTCCCTGGCAAGAGATCCCAGGGCCCAATGCCTCTCCAGCCCAGCCACAAGTACTCAGAGTGTCAGAACATATTTTTGTAATGAGAAGCGTGGGCCCTGCCTCTCCCCACTCATGGAGCAGGTGGGTGTCCTGCAGCCTTGGGGGTCACTTCAGTGGGGCAGTGGGCGTGGGCCCAGCAGAGGCACTGACAGCGAGAAGTGGCCAAAAAGAGGGTTGCACACCACCATCTCCCTGTTCGGGGCCACGCCTGGACACCTGTACACCATAAAGTCACTGCTTTCATTCTCATCTGCAGAGTCCAGCTCCTCAGGAGGCTCTTTCTGCAGCTCCAGCTGTAGTATCTGTTAACCTCTGGTGCTGGTAGTGATACATTTGCACGCTGGGCACCAGCTGCTGCTTGCAGGCTGTGTGGAGGCAGAGGAAGAGTCAATTATTTTACCACCTAACTAAAATCCTTCCTTCCTTCCTTGCTTGCTTCCTTCCTCCCTCCCTTCCTCCTTCCCTCCTTTCTCCCTTTCGTTCTCTTTCTTTCTTTCTTTCTTTCAATTCTTTTACCACCATAACTAAATTACTTTTTCTTTCTTTTTCTCTTTCTTTTCTTTTCTTTTTTGTTGACAGGGTCTTACTCTGGAGTTCAGTGATGTGATCATAGCTCACTGCAGCCTGGAACTACTGGCCTCAAGCGCTCCTCCCACATCAGGTCTCCCAAAGGGCTGGGATGACAGGCATGAACCACCACACCCCACTTAAAATATTTTCAAGACTTTCTCTAACTGTTTATTGACGGTACATTGAATTACTATTTTTCACCCATTCACTCAACAGGCGTTTGTTAAATGCTTACCATGTGTGGTATTGCAATTCTGTTTCTAGAAAGGGATCCCGAACTAGACCCCAAGAGGGGATTCTTGGATCTCTCGCAAGAAAAAATTCAAGGCAAATCCAGAGTAAGGTGAAAAGCAAGTTTATTAGAGAAGTGAAGAAATAAAAGAATGGCTACCCGATAGGCAAAGCAGCCCCAAGGGCTGCTGGTCGGCTATTTTTATGGTTGTTTCTTGATTTTATGCTAAACAAGGAGTAGATAATTAATGAGTTTTCCCGGAAAGGGGTGGGCAATTCCCAGAACTGAGGGCTCCTCCCCTTTTTAGACTATATAAGGTAGACATTGCCATGGCATCTGTAAACTGTCATGGCACTGGTGGGAGTGTCTTCTAGCATGCTAATGCATTGTAATTGGCGTATAATGAGCAGTGAGGATGACCAGAGGTCACTTTTCTCTCCATCATGGTTTGGGTAGGTTTTGGACAGCCTCTTTACCGCATCCTTTTATCAGCAAGGCCTTTGTGACCTGTACTTTGTGCCAACCTCCTATCTCATCCTGTGACTTAGAAAGCCTTTATTTCTAGGAATGCAGCTCAGTAGGTGTCAGCCTCATTTTACCCAGCCTCTATTCAAGATGGAGTCGCTCTAGTTCAAGCATCTCTGACAATTTTGATTGTCTACTGTTGGCCGGGCATAGTGGCTCAAGCCTGGAATCCCAGCACTTTGGGAGGACAGGGCAGGTGGATCACTTGAGCTTAGGAATTTGAAACCAGCCTGGCCAACATCGTGAACCCCCCCGTCTCTACTACAAATACAAAAATTAGCCAGGCTTGGTGGCAGGCACCTCTAGTCCCAGCTACTTGGGAGGCTGAGGCAGGAGAATCAGTTGAACCCGGGAGGTGGAGGTTGCAGTGAGCTGAGATCGTGCCACTGCACTCCAGCCTGGGCAACAGAGCAAGACTCCATCTCCAAAAAAAAAAAAGTCTTCTGTAGGGATACAAATGATTGAGTTTCGTATGTTCATCTCTACACAAGAAGCTATAGGATGAAATATCAGAGAATAAATTTTAATAACCAAGGTTGAATGGACAGAGAAGGCCAAAAAGTTTCAAGGAAAAGCAAAGCACTTAGAAACGTTTCCTAGTACATTTTCAACCACATTTCAAACGTCTCCTACATAAAGCAACACAGGAGAATTTTCTATCCAGTGGTGGCCAAGGTTTTTCTCTTCCTGTGGGCATGCCATCTTCCTCACAAAGAACCAAAAATACACAACTGTGGGTCCGCTTCCTCCACTCACTGCCAACCCACCCCCTTGTTTTGCATTTGATGCTGTGAAGTTCAGAGTTAACTTGCTTGGTCAACCATAGCAAGCTTGCAGTGCATTATCCGTATTCTCTTCTCCCACCTACCTGATTCGGTTTTCGCTTTTGTTCATGTTTTAAATTTGGGTTTCCTATAAACTCCCAGGAAGCAAGGCAAGGAGGGAGAAGAAAATATTTCTAAGTATCTGGGACACTAGTTGGTACAAAACAGGTTCGAAGGAGATTGTTCCTTCACATTCCTGAGACTCCCAAGGACAAGGTCAATCAGATCTGCTCCCCTTCTCCCTCCCCGCTCCCCGCTCCTGCCCCCAGCCTAGGTTCAGTGGAGACCATGTTATCCCTACTGACCGCCAGCCTTTCCGCTCTGGGGCTGGACTTCTCTCCCTAAGTCACCTCTGACTTCTCAGCCAGCAACTCTGTTCTTTCCGGCTGCCAGGGACAGACAGGACGTGAATCCTTTCATTGTAAAGACAGAAGTATTTTCTTGAGTTTCTTTTTTCTTTTTGAGTCTTTGGAAGGAGAAAAGGAAGGAACCTTCTTTCAAGGCCTGAAACAGTTTTAAAAGTTGCGTGCTCATGGCAAACAGCATTTCTCATTCTGTTTATGTGTTTTCTGCCCCACAATTCTGAATGACTCAGATGACAAAAAAAACAATCCAGGCCTGGGGGAGGGGCACCCGCAGGGGTGGTTGTTGCTTTTCATATTGTGAGGCATAAATGATACAAAATGCCAAAAGAAGCTGGAAACCAATTTTAACCTGAACTACAGGTTTGCATTTTTCCCATTTCTCTGCCTTCTCTCTGTCACCTCCATCCCACCCCCACATCCAACTTAGCTTTTCTATTGCAAATAGCAGGGCCCAGGATTTGAATGAAAGCAGAAGCTGTTTCCTCTGCTTATGATCTGCAGACAGCTGCATCACAATTTGGGCGACTTTTGCAGACTTGCCACCAATTGTGAAATAAATAACTTATCTGATTTATGCCATTTGAGTAGAAGAAAACTACGAAATAATAGATACAAATAAAGAGGTTTCTTGTTCATTTATGCACAAGAAACCTCTTTATTTGTATCTATTATTTAGTGAAGGCCATAATTAGATGAATAGCTGGACTTTAGATTTTTGTATCTTTAGGCTCGAGCAAGAGTACAATAACAAAGAATTTACAAAAAAAAAAAAAGTAATCAGGACAACCTTGTAGTAGATTTTTGACCCTTGAATAATTCAGAACCCAAAATCTACGAGAGCTACACTCCATCTGAGACAAGGAGAAATGATTCTTTCACTGCAAGAATTTCTAAAAAAATCAACTGACAAATTTTTAGCTGAAAGGGAAATCTCCCATCGAGTTTATTGAATGATAGTCATTGTTACTTAAAACAGACTCTCGTGTTCGGTTCTGATTGCAGGGTTGTGCAGTTTTTCTGTTTTTAAAACTGATGGCATTCAACGTGGCACAGGAAAGAATTCTCCCAGCCATTTTCATAATTATCTACATTTAAATTCTCCCCTTAATAAAGAAGTCCTTTTTTCCCTCAGCATCCTTATTCTTTAATAGCATTTTACCTGATTGCAAAAGTAACACCTGTGCATTGTAAACATTTTGGAAAATCCTGAAAATCACAGGGAAGAAATATACAAATCATTTGTTTCTCCAGCACCTACCAATAACTATTAATCACATTTTAATGTTTAGTCTTCTAGTCTGTACTTCTCAATATGAAAATATTCACATTCTTCACAAAAATAAGAATATGACATTTTTGCTTTTTCACAAACCATTAAAAATCTTCACCATCCTGGTTGCAAGTAGATGCCATCCGATGCTGCACCATAATTTTTTCCACGGATTCTTTCCTCCTGGGCATTTGGGCTTTTCCGGGTGGCTCCATGAACAATGGAGTTCATGGTTATAGTCATGAAGAACATAGAGTCTAATTCAACTCACCCTAATGTGACACTTCTACCCCTGTGACCAAGAATTCTCCTGGCGGGGAAAACATAACAGGAAAATATTTCACACACTTTTGGGTGAGGGTTGGCTAAACTAGACTTTAGTGCAATGATTAACATTTCAATGGTGAACTCCTCATTGGCTAGGTATACGTTCAAGCAGCCAACCAAGAAGGGGGAAAGTTCTCTCTTGAGCTTTAAACATATATTCTCTATGAAGTTACGCCTTCCCTCATTCCCTAAGAGTAAGGAAAGCTCTTTTGAACTTTTATATTCCTTTTTTGCTCTGAACTCCGTTATAATGTTTCTCTCAATTGTCCCTTTTTCCATAAAACTTTCACCCACTTTCCCCTCGGCCATCTCGATTAGCCCAGGCCCCCACAACACCGGATCTGCTCCTGTCCTGGGGTAACCATCATTATCTGTTATCTTAGGGCTATTTTAAACAAACCCCTTTTATCTTTTCTCCCAGTTTTTTTCTTTTTTCCTCCATTAGAGTTTATGTCTGATTCAACTTGGTAGCCCCACACAGTAGGCACTCAATAAATATTTGTCGAATGATTCTTTCAAGGCATCTCGGTCACAAAACTTTTTCTGCATTTAGGTCTCTCACAGGCTGGAGGCCACAGTTTAACAAAGCCAGGGCAAGGTCAGAGGGAGGCCGAGAAGGCGCTTTCAAGTTGAGTAATGAAAGGCGATGTTAATTACTGACATGGGCCATTTAGAAGGAAGAAAAATGCTATCTCTTATTAATTTTGCTGAAATGGACACACTCTTGTCAGTGGCTAATGGTTAACAAAGCCATTCTTTGCTAAAGGACAGGGCAGGAAAACCTCAGTTACGAAAGGACCAGAGCAGCCACAGTGCAGAAACTTCCTGCCCCTACACGCCTGCACCCGCCAGAGATAACGTCTTTCACCATTTTTTCCCCATGTATAAAGTTAGACGGAAAACCATCAAGGAGAGGTTAAAAGTTGCATTTCTACCAAGATGTTTATGATGGGCTTACAGGGAAGCCAGGCTCCGGCAAAGGACACAGGAATCAAGTTTACATTTTAATGGAGGGAGGCGGGAGGTGGAAAGAGGAAAAAAAGTCAGCTTGTGGAGTGGGAATTCCTCATCCTGTTAGTGGGTAACACTAATTCAATCAAGAAGAAAGGGTTTGTTGAACAGACGCTCTCCCTGCGATTTCAGCCTGCCGGATCATCTTGGTGGAAGTTCATAAATGCGTCTGAAATGCTCCCAGCCTTTCAGTCTGAACACGCGGTTTTGGCAGTTGTGAACTTCAAGTAGACCTATTTAAGCTGATCAGAGGAAACAGGCTGACAGTGAGCTGATTAGAAACCTCTTAGGGACCCTTCTTTAAAGAGGGAAAGGAGTTATTTTTTTCCATCATCTTTAGAGACCCAGGGGTGGGTAATAAAAAAGAAAGGTTGCAAGTGGGGTGGGAGTGGGGGTTGTGGGGGAAAGGAAAACATCCATTTTAGAACACGAAGAAAAACAACTGCTTTGCCAGCCCTTTCCCAACCTCCTCGCTCTTGTCAATTTCTGCTTTGAGGGAATGTTTGAAGATAACAGGAAAGGAAATCATGAAATGATATGGCAAGGATGAGTGAGGCTTAAAGAGACGAACACAAGCTGTTTCCTTGACCCAGGCTTATCTCAAGCCTGCCAAAAAAATAACCATCTATCACAGACCCATAAATAGGTTAGGAACATGAGAGTAAAATGCTGCTTTTAATGATAAAGCGATTGGTGAGTTAGTTTAGAAAACAACCATCTCAGACATCTTAGGCTTAACAGATGCACACAAAGGTATACTTTTGTCTCCAGGGGTGGGAGGTGGGGGCAAGTTCTTGAACAAGCTGAATGTGTTTTAGGAAGCAGGAGCTCCACTTGAGAAAAGTTATAAACATGAACATTCAGAAAGAACATTTCAAAACCTCTCTGGGGAAAATAGGAGTTGCTGACAATAATACACATGCAGGGAGCGATTCCACTGCAAAATCTAAATGAGTGAGAAAGCTACCTCTTTGCTAGCCGCAAAGCCTTATCAGCAACAAAAAGTTCAGGTTAAGAATTTGCTTTCCAAACCGATACCCCACAGTTGACCTAAAATAGAGCAGGCAGTCAGGTTTCTCGTTGGGGCCCTTGAGAAAAAGTCTGCAAACCTGATCCCTGCTGAAATACTCCAGGAAGAACCAGATTCTCTGGGTTACAGCCCTTAAGATCACAATAGGAGTTTCCATTCCAGACCTTCAACTGAAAATGAAGTTTACAAATTAGCTTTGAATAAATATTATGCTTCCAGTCTCCAGTGAAGAGCCACAGCTCTGAGAGAAACCAAATTAGAAAAAGACGCGATTCAGCTCCCAAACACACAGAACCAAGCCCAAGCCAACCTAGCCTGGCATGTTTCTCTTCTTGCGCTACCAAAATAGCATGGTGATGTCATGCTTTCATTCGTCCCCCAAAACCAGCCACCCTGCCCTCCTAAAAATAGCTTGATGCACTTTTAAAGGGAAAAAAGGGGGAGTCAAAATATTTTTTGAAATAAACTTTTTTTCACTTAAACCGTCAAGCAATAAAAGACTATCTTTTCTTTCCTGTTTACTTTGTCTCCCAGACTCTGTGTGTGTGTGTGTGTGTGTGTGTGTGTGTTTCCCAAAGTCCCTCTGAAAATCATACAAGAAGGAAAAGCCTTTTCCAAAATAATTTATGTAGTCTGACTTCTGAGGCCTTCTCGTGTTTGTAAATTTTCTCTTTGTTCTTTGCCAGTGAATGAACCAGACTCAGGATTAACCAAGGACTTATTTAGGAGTCCTCTGAAAAATATAAGCATATTTGTAGGGAAGAGGACCGACTTAAAGAGACTGCTAGACATCAGGGACATAGATCAGTGATTCTCGAGGCTGTTTGAGCCTCCAGACACTTGTAACACTTTGAGATACGAAAGCTTTGGACTCACTAGGGACCTGAAGAATCATTTAAGTAAGGCCCAACCATCTGCATCATTCAAAAGAAACCCAAGGTAGCCATGTGTGGGGGCTCATACCTGTAATCCCAGCACGTTCAGTGGCTGAGGTGGGAAGATCCAGGTCAGGAGTCTGAGATCAGCCTGGGCGACATGTGGAAATCCTGTCTATACTAAAAATACGAAAAAAAAAAAAAAAATTAGCCAGCCATGGTGGCAAGTGCCTATAATCTCAGCTACTCAAGAGGCTGAGGCAGGAGAATTGCTTGAACCCGGGAGGCAGAAGTTGCAGGGAGGCAGAGGTTGCAGTGAGCCAAGATTTTGCACCACTGCACTCCAGTCTGGGCGACAGAGTGAGACTTCATCTCAAAAATAAAAAAAAAATAAAAGAAGTTAGCTGGGCATGGTGGCATGCACCTGTAGTCCTAGCTACTCAGGAGGCTGAGGCAGGAGGATCACTTAAAAGGCCAGGAATCCAAGGCTGCAGTGAGCCATGATCATGCCACTGCACTCTAGCCTGGGCAACAGGGCAAGAAAAAGGAGTAGGGAGCTTGGAGGGAGGTGGCGATGGTTAATGGGTACCAAAAAAAAAAAAATGAGTAAGACATACTATTTGATTGCACAACAGGGCAACTATAGTCAATAGCAATTTAATATACATTTCTAAATAACTAAAAGAGTATAATTGGGTTGTTTGTAACACATAGGATAGATGTTTGAGAGGATGGATACCCCATTCTTCATAAATTGCCTGCCTGTATCAAAACATCTCATGTACCCTGCAAATATGTACACCTACTATGTGCCCACAAAAATTTTAAAATACATTTTTAAATTAAAAGGAACCCAGGTGACTCCGAGGCTTATTCAGCATTAGGAAGCACCCATCAGACTTGGCATGAAGGCCGATGTTCCAAAGAGCAAGCTCTCATGTCCCTCTCCCCACACCAAAAAGCAGTACCTTGTCCCAGCTCTTCTGGACACAGCCAACACCAGCTATTCCAGCTAGATTCATGATTTCAGAACATCCCTTAAAGTAACTTAGCATCTCTCCCACTTCCTTCATTTCTCATAAATTGCTATAGGTTGCCTTTGATCTCGGAGTAGACTCCCTATAAAAAGGAGGCAAAGTAACTGAGATGAAAAACAAACTTTGCCCAAGAATCCAATAAAAGATGAGTGGAGAGGGTTGCTGCCAGAGATAGGAGATTTCATTCACTAAGTCTTAAGACAGAGGCAGGGTAATGGTTAATCACTTGTTTGAGTCAAACTTACCCCCTAGTTAGGAAGGCTGGCTGTCATTTACCTGAGGGTTACATTAGAACAAAAACAAGTCCAAAAAAAAGATGGTTTCTAAGAATAAAAATATCTCTCTTTCTGGGGTCTTCTTAACTTTGTCAGAGTGCTTCCACATCTATTGTCTGTTTTTATAACTAATCCCGTAAGTAACTACATATTTGTTTGTTTTGTTTTCTTTTGAGACAGAGTCTCACTCTGTCTCCTGGGCTGGAGTGCAGTGGTGCGATCTCGGCTCCCTGCAACCTCCGCCTCCTGGGCTCAAGCAATTCTCATGCCCCAGCCTGATGAATAACTGGGATTACAGGTGCAGGCCACCATGCTGGCCTACTTTTTCTATTTTTGGTAGAGATGGGGTCTCACCATGTTGCCCAGGCTGGTCTCGAACTCCTGGCCTCAAGTGATCCACCTGCCTCAGCCTCCCAAAGTGCTGATTACAGGCGTGAGCCGCCGCATCCGGTGATATTTGTATATAAGATCTATTAACCAGCCTGTAATCCCAGCACTTTGGGAGGCTGAGGTGGGCGGATCACGAGGTCAGAAGATCGAGACCATCCTGGCGAACACAGTGAAACCCTGTCTCTACTAAAAATACAAAAAAATTAGCTGGGCGTGGTGGTGGGTGCCTATAGTCCCAGCTACTCGGGAGGCTGAGGCAGGAGAATGGCATGAACCCAGGAGGTGGAGCTTGCAGTGAGCGGAGATCGCACCACTGCACTCCAGCCTGGGCTACAGAGCGAGACTCCGTCTTAAAAAAAAAAAAAAAAAAAAAAACAACAACAACTATTAACCCAGCAAATTTTAATATTGTTGTCATTCCCTAGCTTAAGAGAAATATAGGAAAATTTTCACGGGATTATGAAATTGGTTTCTAAATACCCAGTATCTTTACAATTTATTTTTTAACTTATCAAGTGAAATATCACCAGTATGTTTATAATTTATTTTTAACTTAATTTTTATTTTATCAAATCAAATATCTGTCAGCGTTACTTTAAAAGCATTAAGACTTTGGCCTAAGTTGGACCACTGAAGTAGGGCATGTTTTCAAATTTCTGTCTTTGATCAGTGCTTTTCCTAAACCACAAGTAAATGAGAACCTCATCAACCTTAAAGATATGACAAAGTAAAGGACGTTTTAGTGCCTCCCCTGGTAAACCATTTCTATTTTCCTTGACGCACTGTCAGTGACAATGTAGACTTGATACCTAATTATACACTTAGATTCTTATGAAATTACTGAAATGGCTTCGTTGTCTGGAGTATCACCCGAGGTTCGTGGTCTCACAGCCAAGGAGAACAAGGACGCAGGCGCACAAAAGAGTGAGGTTAAGAGCAGAAGTTTAATAAGCAAAAGAAAGAGAATAGCTCTCTGATGCAGAGAGGGGTCCTGGAGAAATGGTTTGCCAGTTCAACAGTGAAATGCAGGGGGTTTTATAGCTGAGCTGGTGAGGAGGTAGTGTCTGATTTACACAGGGCAAGAAAGACTGGTTGGACCCGGTGTGCCATTTGCATAGGGTACGAATTTCTGGCCACCCCCACCCTAATCTTTTATTATGCCTGGCCTGCGCCATGTTGCCCATTGCTTTACTGTACACGTAGTAACAGTACACGTGGTAACAAAAAAAAAAAAGAAAAGATGGAGCTTCCATGTTGGACATTCCTGGTCCCGAGGTAGCCCTTTTCTGTTGGCACAGCTGCCAGCATTCCCCCATGCAAGTTTCCAGTATCTATTTTTGCAGCTGGATTTTTCAGGGTGCTCTTTGTTAGAAAAAAAATAATTTCTTGGGCTGCTTTTTTGCTAAAAGGGAAGCTCTGCCAAGGACTCTGTTGCCCTCACTCTCTGCCTAATTTCTTTCTACCTCCTATATCATTACCTTGCATGTGATCTCCAACAAACGAAGTAATCTCTACTTTCTCTGAACTTTCCCAGCAATCTTGGTTTCCAGCTTTTACTTCACACCTTTGGGTTCCTCAAGCACCCCCAAGTTCTCTCAGACTCCTCCAAGAATTTAGTGAAATGCCTAGTAGGAACAAGGGCAAGATAGTGTCTATAGTCTACAGCGACTCAGAAAACCAGAGGAAGGAGAGATCCCTCCAAAACAGGCTCATCAGGAAACCTTAATGGCTGAGACAGGTTCTTTGTTGTTATTGACGTTGTTGAAATAAGTTCTCATTCTCTCAGTCAGTCTGTCACCCAGGCTGCAGTGCAGTGGGGCAATCATAGCTCACTGCAACCTCCAACTCCTTGGCTCAAGTGATCCTCCCTCGTCAGCCTCCCAGGTAGCTGGGACTACAGGCATATACCACCATGCCCAGCTAATTTTCTTTTTTTTTTTTTTTATTTTTTGGGAGATGAGATCTTGCTATGCTGCCCAGGCTGGTCTTGAACTCCTGGGCTTAAGCCATTCTCCCACCTTGGCCTCCCAAAGTGCTGAGATTATAGACATGCGCCACTGTGCCTGGCCAAGGGAGACAGGTCTTGATCTGGGCTTTAAAGGATGGATCAGGATGCAGGGAGGAATCATTGGCTTTGTATCAGAAAGTATTCAGGGTTTACCTGGAGCAAGAACAAGCACAGGGTGTGGTGGGGGGCACCCCTGGGAGGGAAAAAGCAACTAGAAGATTGTTCTTATTTGAGAGACAGGTCTGTGGGAGACTCCTAGAAATGAAGTTGGAAGGAAAAGGTGGCAGAAAACCCAATAAAGCCTGAATGCCAAGGTGAGGGACTTGGAAATCATCAGAAGAAAGGCCTCTGAGAGCCACTCCTAACTTTTAAAGAGAGTGACATTTAAGAGGTTTAAGTTGGCAGCCATATGCAAGATGTGTCAGAATGAGGTAAATAAGCAAACTGGGTGAGAGGCAAAAGGGCCTCGACCAAGGTTTATTGATAAGTATGTTGCCCAAGACTGAGTCAAAAGTCTTGCTAAAGTCAATCTAGATTAAATCTGTCCCTTGCCTTTAACCTAGCAGGCCAATCAAGGTCTCCAAGGAAGAGATGCAATTCCTCAGAGTAGGTCTTGGTTATGAAGCCAAGTGAGTTGTTATTCACAGTTTGTGTCTCTGAGATGGGCACACATGCAGATGTGCTGATTATTTCCCTTTTTCCATTGCTGGTCACTTCCTGGCCAAATTGTCTAAAAACAAAAGAATCACAGAGTCTTAGCACTGGACATAATCTCAGCAATCCTGTGGTTCCTATCATGCACTGGTACATCATTTTGCACTGAGAGCCGATCATGTGACCGGAACTGTGCTGGAGGAGGGAAATGGAACACAGTAGTCTCACAGGAGGCAGAAGCACCTCATCACCAAGCACCCCAGCTTGTCCAACTCCTTCATTTTACAGATGGGCAAACTGAGAAACAGACACATCAAGTGACATATCCACATTCACACAGGTATTTGCGGATCCAGGTTAAATACGCAGACAGACCAGGCGCGGTGGCTCACGCCTATAAACCCAGCATTTGGAGAGGCCAAGGCAGGAGGGTCACCTGAGCACAGGAATTCAAGATCAGCCTGGGCAACACAGCAAGATCCCATCTCTACAAAAAGTAAAATACAATTAGCCAGTTGTGGTGGTACATGCCTATAGTCCCAGCTACTCAGGAGGCTGAGGAGGAAGGATTGCTTGAGCCCAGCAGTAGGCTACAGTGAGCTATGATCACACCACTGCACTCCAGCCTGAGCAACAAAACAACATCCTGACTCTTAAAGAAGAAAATACAGACAAATAGAAATATACACGAAGACTTTATATATATGTGATGTATGTGCAATATATACATATGTCTTTGTGGCTATGTATGTAAATATATATGTATATATATAAAAGCTCTGTGGTCATTATGACTATCAAAGAGTTAATAAGTGGACACCGTAATCTGGCACACACAATGCAGATAGCAAAGCTTCCCTTTGATTCAGTTACAGGAAACATATTAATGATCTTTATCACTGGACTCCCTCAGGAGAAGTAACCCGGGAGCAGAAAGGGATAACTTTTGAGAAGCACAATCATTTATTAACACGCCCACCATCCCTTAAGTACCAGTAACTACAAAGCATTCCACTCTCAGAATATACTTTCCCATCTTGGGATGCTTTCACTTAAAACAGGCAAAAATTGGTTGCATTCTGTACCAAGGGGCAGCCCTGCTGAATTAGGTCCTGTGGTTTGTTTCCAAGGTATAGCCACCAAACCTCTCCATTCACAGGATTTTTGTGGATTTGGTTTTATCTCTGGACAAGGGACCAGGCTCTGACAAGCTGCAGAAATCACCCCTTTCTCACAGAATAATGAGAAGATTGGAAAAGCCATTTAGTAATAATTTGATCAGCCAATTTTCCTCACCAGTGGGCCTTAGCACAATTGCCTTAATTTCTCCCCTGGGTTGGAGGGGTGTGTGACTGATGGGGACTCCGGTGGTGTCTGCATGGCAGGATGCACACACACACAGGGCTTGCAGCCGACAGAGCTGGAGCAGTGGCCCTGAAAGGCTTAGGGAAAATAGTTATGTTTCAGCTACAAACAAGGCCAAACCTGGAGGTGAAAAGACAATCAACAAAGCCACAATGTTGATACTCCTGAAATGGAAAACAGCTGTCTCTGAGGGAAATGTTGGCTATTCCTCTGTAGCACAGAGGCTGTATGGCAGCCACCCACCCGCCTGACTTCTCAGCAGAGGATTAGTGTTCATGAGAGAGAAGGAAACACGAGACAAACCAGACAAACCGAGTGACAAACCAGGCAAAGTCTACCTGAGAGAAGAGCAAAGGGGAGGGAGAGTAAAAGGAAAAAGCACAAAGAAAGAAGAGTGAGCAATTCTGCAGGAGAAATACTCCCAAGTTAGCAGAATGAAACAACCACAGCGCACTGCATGAAATAACAATCTGGAACTTGGTGATGGTGATCCCTCAAAAGATCTTGGAGGAATCGAATATGATTCCAGCCTTATTCTAAAGAAACTTGGTCAGTTAACAAAAAAAGAAAAAAAAAAAGTCTTTGGCAGAGTGAGGCCAATTGCAGGAGTATTCAACTGAAATGCATATGGTTTGGATGACTTTCAGCTAAAATGAAAATTTAGGATTTCAAGGTATACTTAAGAGGTTTGTTTTTTTAAAAAAACCCATCTCAAAAGATAGGTTAAAAGGAGAGGGGGTGAGAGGAAACCAATTGTACCAGTAGGGGTGCGGGTAAGGAAGAAAACAGGGAAGGAAGAACATGATGCAAAACTCAAGTGAGACCAGAACATTTTTACCGGGAAAGCCCTGGTTTTAGTTTTTAATCTATATTTTTTTTGAGACAGAGTCTCACTCTGTTGCCCAGGCTGGAGTGCAGTGGCGCGATCTCGGCTCACTGCAACCTCTGCCTCCAGAGTCCAAGAGATTCTCGTGCCTCAGCTTCCCTAGTAGCTGGGATTACAGGTGCGCACCACCATGCCCGGCTAATTTTTGTATTTTTAGTAGAGACGGGGTTTCACCAGGTTGGCCAGGCTTGTCTCGAACTCCTGACGTCAGGTGATCTGCCTGCCTTGGCCTCCCAAAGTGCTGGGATTACAGGCATGAGCCACCATACCCAGCCAGTTTTAATATATAACAAATCTTTTTTTTTTTTTTTTTTTAAGAGACAGGATCTCTCTCTGTTGCCCAGGCTGGAGTGCAGTTGTGCAATCATGGCTCACTGCAGCCTCAACCACCTGGGCTCAAGCAATTCTCCCACTTAAACCTCCCAAGTAGCTGGGACTACAGATGCATACCACCACACCCGCTAATTTTTAAATGTTTTTGTAGAGATGGGGTCTTGCTATATTGCCCAGGCTGGACTCAAGTGACCCTCCCACCTCCCTATGATTACAGGCATGAGCCACTGCACCTGGGCCAACAAATGTTTCTATATCAAAAGAGCTCTGAGTACGAAAAGTTTACAGAATCAAGAAGAGTTCAAGAGTTCTAGAAAGTAGTCTCCCGTGTGGAGCTAGTCTTAGAAAAGAGAGGCTAAATCCTG
The DNA here is from genome assembly GCF_000001405.40 of Homo sapiens. NCBI lineage: Eukaryota > Metazoa > Chordata > Mammalia > Primates > Hominidae > Homo > Homo sapiens. The sequence continues at coordinate 28,798,913 of NC_000010.11, read as the reverse complement.
GATGCAGACACATGGGCAGCCCAAGCTCACTATAAGGCCATATGTTAACCTTCAGTCCCAGAGGCAAGCGGTGAGCCCACATGGGTGATGCCCTTGCAGAGCCAGGACACACTCCTGAATTAGATTTTTGCATACACTTACTTGATTGTTACCCATGATGTCCCAGGATGAGGGAGAACAAGAAGCATTTGTCCTTTTGTGACAGAGGGTCACAGAAACAAGGAGCCAGGGTGAGGAGGGAGTGGAGGAAAATTATATGTTTGAAGGAAGAAGATGGAGAGGCAGCAAGGATGAACATTAAAGGAGGAGGGGGGAGAGAATACAGATCTAGAATTTCTAAATTACCCTTGGCGCAAAGATCTGGTTTACCACTCAAACAGTATAATTATAAAGTTGGCGTAAAGGAGACCAGGGATCTAGTTACTAATTTCTTACTAGCAATAGCATCAAAACCTTCTCTGCTGGTAGCTGGTCTCTTGACAAAAACCGTGTGTCTTGTACATGATGTGACCTATAGGGAGAACTGGTTTTAATCAGGCTGATCTATAAAATGGTATGCGGTTGTGGTCTTGCTTCTCAGATGTCAATCTGAGCAGAGGAGAAAGTGAGGGTTGGAATTGTCAAAGTAACTAAGGTCGGGGGGAAACACTTTACATAAATGCTCCCTTGTCTTGTAGATGCAGTGTATAGGCTAAGTTTGTCAGAAAATTCAGTGGGAACCCTCTGGTGGATTTGAGAAAAATTACCAGAAACATTCCTGTTGTTCATGGTTTTTGGACCAGATTCTGCCCAGCCTCAAAAAGGAAATTCTGGCTTGGTTACAGCCTTAAATGGGTGCTCAAATCCCCTGAACATTTGCTGCAAAAGTACTTTCATTCTTACTCCATTTTGGTTAATAAGAACACCAGGCATCAAAGTCACATCCTGGCCTTATCCCTGTTTACCTTGGCAGTGATAGATATAGCCAGAGTTCCAAAGATTATTCATTTCTAAGGTACAAAATTCCCCTCTCCCCTCTGCCTTTTTTTTTTTTTTTTTCCAGAGACAGGGTCTCACTCTGTCCCCTAGGCTGGAGTGCAGTGGCTGAATCATAGCTCACTGCAGTCTCTAACTCTTGGGGGCAAGTGATCCTCTCAACTCAACCTCCTGAGTAGCTGGGACTACAGACATATCCCACCATGCCTGACTGATTTTTTTTTTTTTTTCTTTTTATTGTAGTGATGAAGGTCACACTATATTGCTCAGGCAGGTCTTGAACTCCTGGCTTCAACTGATCCTCCGATCTCAGCCTCCAAAAGTGCTGGGATTACAGCTATAATCCATGGCACCCAGCCCCATTTTTTTTTTTACAAATTTTACAGAATTTTTACATGGCAGACTTTTTTTCTATCTAATTATTACTTTTGTTTCCTAGGGAAATGCTAAAGTGCAAATGTAGGGTTTTATTTATTTATTTATTTATTTATTTATTTTTATTTTGAGACAAGGTCTCACTCTGTCACCCAGGCTGGAGTGCAGTGACACCATCACAGCTCACTGCAAACTTCATCTCCTGGACTCAAGCCATCCGCCCACTGGACTCAAGCCATCCGCCCACGTCAGCCCCACAAAGTGTTCAGATTATACGCATGAGTCACCACATCAGACCCTGCAAATGTAGATTTTTGAAAAAACAACTGCAACATTTTAGCCCTTTTTAAAATCAGGACCCCTAGGTCTTTCCCAATATAACTAACTAGCCAGTGATTCCTCACTCATCTACCTTTTTTTTTTTTTTTTTTTTTTTTTTTTTTTGATACGGAGTCGCACTCTGTCACCCAGGCTGGAGCGCAGTGGCGCGATCTTGGCTCGATGCAACCTCCGCCTCCCGGGTTCAAGCGATTCTTCTGCCTCAGCCTCCCGAGTAGCTGGGACTATAAGTACCCGTCACCACGCCCGGCTAATTTTTGTATGTTTAGTAGAAATGGGGTTTCGCCGTATTGGCCAGGCTGGTCTCGAACTCCTGACCTCAGTATCCACCCACCTCAGCCTCCCAAAGTGTTGGGATTACAGGCATGAGCCACCGCGCCCAGCCCACTCCCTTTTAAATGCAGATCTTCTGTGGGAGGATTAAGTCACTGAGCCCACAGGGAACTGTGCTGGGAGGGGAAGTGGAGGGTGTGGAAAGCCGGTGGAAAACAAATCTGTGGATAGCCTGTAGGGCAGATGCCTGAGGCTTGGGGAGACTGGGAAAGCAGGTCTCTAAAAGGAACTTCATCCTTTTTCTCCTAGGCCTCAGATGATGCTAGAGTCCTGCCAGAAATTGCAAATAATTCTGGCTCACTTTTGTATTAGTGCAGGTGCGTAGACCAGAGTCTAGAAGAGCAACAACAACGACAATAAAATTCAGTGTGTCCTTGAGGCATTTTCATGAGATGATATTAAATATATAATTAAATACTACTCATTGTTTTTTCTCACAAATATATACCCACCACCTACCAGGAACTGTCCCAGAAATTGATGAGGAAAAAATGATTTTTATGCCATAACTAATCATACCGTAATATGCACTAGAAAAAGCAAAGAACGTAAAATAGTATATCATGGGGACATTCGAATTTATAATCCTAGGAGTGACATGTAAGCTGGGCTTGAAAGAATAACCATAATTTTGCTGAACTAATAAGTAGGTTGTGGAAGAGAGTGCTAGCTGATTAGGAAAACCTCTGCTCTCCTTCTAAGCACGCAGTTAAACCGTTTTCCATCCGTTTTTGCCGTTAAGTGTGGTCATATGACTGAGTTCTAACCAATTAGAATGAGACGGCAAGGGATGTGTAGCTTTTTCAATCCTGGCCATAACATTCTTCTTCATGCTCTTCTCAATGTCCTTTCTCCTTTCATTAGGTAAAATGGAGATGATCCCCAGGGCCATCTTGGAAACAGTTTTTGAAGTTGGTAGAGTCTCGGGCCCGCTTAACTGCTGAAAGAGTAGGAAGGGGTCCGTTTCATTAGCGCGTTCAACCAAAGAGCGCTGTTAGGTGAGCAAAAACAAACCAGTTGTGTCTGAGCCAACACCCGTTTGTCTATGGGTTGTAGCAGTTGGTCCACCTAATCAAGGAAGTGCCGAGAGCACAGGACATGAAAAGACACAGCGCTAAGGTACATGGCACGTTCACGAAGGTACAGGAGAGGCAAGAAATGAGACGGGAAAGGTGGCCTAGGACCAGGTCGTGAATGACATGATAACTAAGTTTTGACTTTTTCTCGTAGGTCAGTGGTTCTCAACCAGCGGCAATTTTGCCTTCCAGGGAACATTTGTCAAAGTCTAGAGACATATTTGGTTGTCTTCACCAAGGGGAGGAGGGAGGGAAGTGCTACTGACATCCATGGGTTGAAGCAAAGGATGCTGCTGAACATCCTGTAATGCACAGGACGGCCTCCCCCACCAAGGAATTACCTGGGCCAAATAGTAGTACTGAAATTGAGAAACCCTGCTGTAGGCAGTGAGACACTAGCAACAATTCTTCTTTTTTTTTTTTTTTTTTTTAAGCTGGAGTCAGGGTCTCGTGCTGTTGCCCAGGCTGGTCTTGAACTCCTGGGCTCAAGCAATCCTCCCGCCCTGGCCTCCCAAAGTACTGGAATTACAGATGTGAGCCATCAAGCCCAGCCACAGCAGTTCTTAAAAGGAAAATCACATAATCATATTTGTGTGTTAGATAATTATAACAACATAGAGGATTCATTGAAGAGAGAGAGGAGATGAGAAAAACAATTTCATCCTTTGTTTATCAAGGACCTATTATGTGTACTTGATCATGCATCAGGCACTACAGATTCAAAGATGAATAAGAGTCCAGCAAGGGAAATAATAAGTACCTTTATGGGACTTGGGGAGACTCAAACTCTGGCCTCGGGTCTTCATCCCCATGAACCTCTTAATTAAAACAAGAGAAGGGCCTGAACTAGAGCAGGGGTTGAGGACATGGAAAAGAGAACCTACTTGAGAAACATCTCAGAAATGAAATGAACCAGGCTGAGTTTTGGAGTGGAAGTAGAAGTTGAGAGCAGTGAAAACCAAAACTGAGGTCTTTATCCTGGGCAACTACACAGATAGTGCTGCTAATAGGAAAATGCAGGAGAAGCAACAGACTTAGAGGACTGTCTTGCAGGGTTTTCTTTCTGAGAGAGAGTAAATATCAAATTCCTATAGGACAGGTACAAGCAACTCACATAAAAATTGCCAACAGCCAAAAAACTGTTTCTTTTTTTTTTTTTTTTTTTGAGACAGAGTCTCACTCTGTTGCCCAGGCTGGAGTGCAGCAGCAAGATCATAACTCAGGGCAAACTTGACCTCCCAGGCTCAAGCGATCTTCTGGCCTCAGCCTCCCAGGTAGGTAGGACTACAGGTGCATGCCACCACGCCAGACTAATTTTTTAAATATTTTGCAGGCCGGGCATGATGGCTCACATCTGTAATCCCAGCACTCTGGGAGGCTGAAGCGAGCAGATCACCTGAGGTCAGGAGTTCGAGACCAGCCTGGCCAACATGGTGAAACCCTGTCTCTACTAAAAATACAAAAATTAACCGGGCATAGTGGTGGGCACCTGTAATCCATCTGCTTGGGAGGCCGAGGCAGGAGAATTGTTTCAACCCGGGAGGTGGAGGTTGCAGTGAGCCAAGATCGTGCCATTGCACTCCAGCCTGGGTGACAGAGCAAGACTCTGTTTCAAAAATAAATGAATATATATATTGAATATATATATACATATTTTTTTTTTTGTAGAGATGGGGTCTCACCTTGTTGTACAGGCTGGTCTTGAACTCCTGGCCTCAAGCAGTCCTCCTGCCTTGGCCTCCCAAAGCGCTGGGATTGCAGGTGCGAGCCATTGCACCTGACCCCAATAAACATTTTAAGAATGTTTGGTGCAAGCCAGGGGTGAGTTGCGCCAGAGGTCTCATATCCAGAGGTCTGAGAACCAGGAGAGTCAATGTTGTCAGCCTCAATTTGAAGCAGAAGGCCTGGGAATGAGAGGAGAATGGGGCTCAGAGGGTGCTGGAGCAAGTCTGGAGTCTGAAGGCCAGAAAATCTAGAGTTCTGATGTCTGAAGATGGGGGAAAAAGATGGATGTTCCAGCTGCAGAAGAGAGAGCAAATTTGCCCTTCCTCGGCCTTTTTGTTGTATCAGGGCCCTAAAGTGGTTGGATGATGGCCATCTACACTGGGGAAGGCAAATCTTCCTCACTCAGTCTCCTGATTCAAATGCTAATCTCTTCCTGAAACGCCCTGCGGACACACCCAGAAATAATCTTTTACCAGCTGTCTGGGTATCCTTTAACCCAGTTAAGTTGACCCATAAAACTAACAATCACATTGGCATTTTAAATACATATAAAATCATTTGCATTAAAATAGTAATACATTCACATTGGCATTTTAAATACATATAAAATCATTTACATTAAAATAGTAATACATATATTTGTAATCGATATAAAACATATATACGTATTTAGATATGTATGCTCTGTAATTCAGCAATTTCACTTCTAGGAATAAATTCTACAGAAATAACCAAATGAATATACTAAAAAGTGCTCTACACTTTTAATGGAGTGTTGTTTATATTTCACTGGAAACAAATGTCCATAAATTGGGGATCGGTTAAATAAATTATAGGACTTTTTGAACTAGATGGAATACTGTACAGCCTCTGAAAATAACATACTCATTGAATGCAAAGATATTCACAGCATTAATAATAACAAATTAACATTAATTAAAGTGACCAAAAGCAGGCTATTAAGCAACCCATATGGTAGAATCACATCAATATAAAACTGTATACATCTAATAAGAATAGAAATTTTTAAATTGGTAAAAAACAAAAGGCAATCATGGTTGCCTCTGGGCGATAGGTTTGTATGTGATTTTCACTTCTTGGTGAACCCGCTAAAGATTCAGTTTTTTTGTTTGTTTTGTTTTTCAGGTTTCCTGCACCACAAGGTTCCTTTCACTTAAAAAAATTTTTTTTTATATTACACCATCTTTATTTGTACCTTACCGTCTAAGGCTATCAATCAAACTTCAGTAAGAACAGTTTCAGCATCAACTAACGAACAGTAGCCAAACCAGAGAGCAGTCAAAAGTGTTTTAAAGGGAGCAGCATCAGCTGATGTTCTGCCAAGTCTCTGGGTGTTCAGGACCATGGTCCCCCGGCACTTCCAGGCCCCTGTGGGCTGCAGGTGGATCCCCAGGAGCCAAAGGGCCGCTCAGGAAAGGGTGGAACTTGGCCTCGCAATCAGCTGGCTTCTGCCTATTATGGTCATCTTCTTTCCAGAGGTCTTGCTATCTCAGTGGACGTGGCTGTCATCCAGCCGTCCTGGGCTGTTTTCTCATAGAAGAGGATCTCCCTCTGAAAACTGTGTCATCCTTCAATTCCTGGGCCAAGTCTGGGGACACATCTTTTCTTAAAGCTTGCTGGTATGACGAGCAGTTCCCATTTTCCTGCACTTTACGAAGTCTCTGAGGTGCAAGCAGTAGACATCCTTCTCCATGGACTCCCCCTGAGGCTGCTTCATGTGTTTTCAGGGCAGTTCAGGCAGATCGGAAACCACTGGCTGCAGCTTCGGGATGTCCCTCTCCAGCTGTGCCCTTGAACCCTGCAGAGAGACCTGCTCGCTGAGCAGACCTTGGGCTTGTGCTGTGAGTTCTGTACTCCTTTGGGTTTCTTCTCACAATCGTATGTCTGCTTTACCAGTCTTTCCCTCGGGACATTCGAAGGAAGCACCTAAATTACCATTGTCATCCATGCTTTCAGAGGGACTTGCGGCCACGATGCTGGGGGACCACCCTGTTCTGCTTCCCTGTTCCCCTCCACTGCCAAGTCCTCATTTTCCATGTCGTCTTTCCTGGTGCAGATGAAGGGTGCTCAGCAGAGCGTGAGCCACCAGGGAAGCCACTCGCCTACTCCAGTTCGAATATTGGGGACTTGAGGCCATCTTGTCTTTTTTGTGTGTGTGTGGCGTCTGATTTACAACTTCTTGGTCGGGCAGCTCTGTGGGTTGCTGATGGTCCATGCTGTCATTCACATCGTCCGTGGTGTGCACTGGAAGATCTCCATGCTGTGAAGCGTGCAGGATGTGCTTCACATCAGTCACTTGGGGAAGTTCAGGAGGCTGCTTTTTCATGCTTTTTTCAGAAGCTCGCCTAGGTTAGGTCCTGATCGGAAGACCTGCTCATTTCCATTAGAACCTTCAAGCAGAGTGTTTGGAGCAATCAAGGACTGGCCCCAGCATGGATAACAGGTAGCTACCACTGGTGTGGGCTGCTGGCTGCATCTTGGCGCAGGCCTTTCTGTGGGCCTCACCTTAGACTGAAGCCCTTTGGGCCAGCCCTTCCCTCCTTCTCACTGCGTGTCGTCTCCTGACCAGAGAGGCCATCACAGCGGTGCACGCCCAGCTCACCCATAGTATCCCTAGGGTCACTGGCACTGGTCCCAGGATTCTGTACATCACTACTTACTGCTGCCCACAGGTGGGCCAGCAGCAGTTGAGGAGGCATTTCGTGGTGAGCAGCAGGTCCTTCATGGCTCTTGAGGGCTCCACAGCTCTTCCTCTTTTCTCTACTGGTATGTGGGTCACAACTGACCACTCAGAACCCTGCAGAGTGTTCCACCTCTAACACAAACAAGGGCTCGCCAACCAGGGCAAACCATCCATTATGCTGGGGGAGGAAAGGCACCGCAAATTCTAGAAAACTGTGTCCCTGATTTTGCTGTGCAAATATAAAGTGACATTACTTAACACAGTGCCTTGGAAGAGGGGAAAGAGTTCACGGCAGCCCCCAGCTCAGGCCACTGCAGGTCCCACCTGGCCTTACAGCATAGCTAGAGGGTCAAAGCCAGTCAAAGCCCCGTGTCCACGCATGATCCTCTCAGGGCAGCGTGATGGCCCGTCCCTGGTGGGGCTCATTACCCTGATTTCAAGTTTCCTTCTGCTGCAGGGAAGCCTGGTCCCGCCTACAAAGAGACTGTCTACCTTGCTAGATTGAACTATAGGACTATGTTTTCTTCATCTCTGTAACCCCAGAAGCTCTCCAGAGACCCTTATACACTAGGGACATGGTCATTGCTTGTCTTGTTTTCTTGTTGACTCTACTCTGACTTAGGGCACATCGCTTTCCCCTCTAGATCTCCATATTCAGATCTGTGAATGACAGTAAGTGGGTGAAGGCCCCTCTAGCTTTAAAACCCCTCCAATACAGAGAGTACACTGAAACCGGAAGCAGAAGCTGAGTGTGGTGAGTGGAGCATTTTCCCTGGCATGATGGAGGGGACCTATGGATCTGGCTATGAGGGTGGCATCTGGCCACTTGAATGGCTCTGCAGAGCTGGACCCTAGTTTTCAAATCAGACTCAAGAATGATCTTTAGTGTGGGTGGTTTTGTGGGGCATATATTTTTTGAGACCTTGTTATTGACACAACAGCTTCTGGGAAGTCTTTTTGACAGAGAGTATGCACAGGTGCGGGCTCCATCTGCTCGGCAGCCGCTGTCTGGTGACGGTGAGCGCTGAGAGCTGGATGGTCCTGTTAGAAAGGCAGCATGCCAGCCTCCGGTGATGAGCAGAGTGACCCGACCTTGTCTCTCCTTCCCCATGGAGCACTGCAGGCTCTTTCCCCAGACCTGCTTCTAGGCTTCCCTTCACCCGCTCCCACCAGGCAGCTGAGGCCACTTTAGGATTCCATTTTTAGTTGTACTTTTTTTTTAATTGATCATTTTGTGAGCATTTTTCTCTCTAATGCAACAGAACTAGCACAAGTCCTTAAAGATGTAGGATCTCTCAGCTCCCACAAAAACAAAGATAATGGCCTATGTAATTCTCTACATATTTAAATTGTTAGCTCTAAAAATAGATTCAGAGAAAGGGTGGACACATGTTCCAATTTTCTCATAACAGTCCTGGGTTGTGCCTGTTATCCTGGCATAGTTATTAATCCTGTCCCCTTTCACTCTCAGACTCTCCTGGTTTGGAGGATAATTTCATTCTATTCAAAGAGGAAATCTACAAAAAGGTGTCATCATCTAACCTGTATTCATATAAACATTTTCCAGTCTCACGGTTCTGTGTACCTCTCCAAACCCCTCAATCTTCTAATCATTTTGTGTATTATTTATAGGAAAAGAGCACCAGCTAAAATATCTTGCCCTTGGATTTCTTCAGCCAGCTGCTGAAGTAATTTGTCTTAGTCTTTACTGAAGACTGAATTGTATCATTAAGACTTTCTTCTAAGTCCTGTTATTTTGACTTTTTGACTCACTCTGTGCCCTCTGATACATAAAGTAGCAATAATTTGTACAATGAGCCATTGTATTTGTTCACGAGAAATTCTTCCTGTTCCTCACATTTCTATTCATTTTCCTAAAGGTATGTATTTGAAAACTTGAAAAATTGCCTGGCCCAGTTATAGTTTAATGGGAGCATTTAAACATACTTTTCCTACAAAGCTTATCAGTTAGTTACTTAACCTTTATGAATAGGTTAAATATTTTCCACAGTATTTATATAAATATGATACTTGGTTTCAAGTTAAATCTAATAAAAAGGAAGTTATTCTTGACTTAAATTACTCCCATTTCTTTTCATTTGTTTTTATCTTCCTCTTTTTTATGACCACTTGACTAAGAAAGAAATTCACAAGGCAGATGTGGAAATGTCGCTTTATAAATACAAGATTCAGCCAGTACACTGTTGTTGTCCCTGTTTTAAGAAAAGAAAAGGTAACTATTCCTCCTGGATATATGCTTTGGCCATGAAAGTGAGGTCCAAAATCAAGTCAAAGGGCTGTGTCGAGTTTAGAAAAGAAAAAAAAAAAGCCCTGGAAATGAAACGATCTCGGTGCTGAATTCAGAGTGATGGTGCAGAGGCTTGTGTGATGCACAGAAAGCATCCCAGTGTTCTTCAATCCCAACAAAACGCTCCTTGTTCCCGCATCTCCCAGAGGCTCCAAGCACACATAGGCTCCTCACTCTCTGCCAATGGGGAAACACTCTGCTCAGTGCTTTATTCATTCCCAGATGCTCTATTTATTCATTTTTCAACAAAAAGTGGCACATTGAATATGTATTCCTGGAAATCACCTGAAATCTATTCATTAGGCTTTTAGCTAATCTCTCATGCACTTCCACATCCCAGGAGCCAACCTCAATAAACCCAAGTCTCCCATCAGTTCCACAATCCAATGCCTTAGGATACAGCAGCCAGACCAGAAAAAGACCTTTAAGCCAAGTCTGCTTGGTTTTAAGAAATCAGCTAGCCCTACACATCACCTTTGACTGTCAGTAAAACAGTCCCCTGTCTATGACACCACCCAAATTACTGCCCTAGTCTAGGGCCTTATGCTTCTGCTTTCTATTTTGCTGAATTCAGAACGGAAGATTTAACCAGCATGAGGCTGATATAATCTTGTGATCTGGGACAGCCCCTGAAAGTAGGCAGGTGTTTGGGCAAAGCTTCAGTACCAAGGAGTTACTAGTTGACAGCCTGAAGCTGAATCATCTCACGACACCCTTGAGACAGTGTGACATTCAGAGTAAAGACCACAGTAAAGACCACAACAGCTCAAGTGCCACATTGCACCCAGCACATTCTATTTTTAAAAGAAAGAGCCAAATTACCATTCTACCCATCAATCCCATTACTAGGTATATAGCCAAAAGAAAATAAATGGTTCTGCCAAAAAGCCACCTGTGCTTGCATGTGTATTGCAGCACTATTCATAATAGCAAAGACATAGAATCAACCCAGTGCCTGTCAATGGTAGACTGGATAAAGAAAATGTGGTACATATACACCGTGGTATGCTACAAAGCCATAAAAGGAAATGAAATCTTGTCCTTTGCAGCAACATGGTTGCAGCTAGAGGCCATTATTATTATTATTATTATTGAGACAGGGTCTCACTTTGTCACCCAGGCTGGAGTGCAGTGGCACAGTGTCAGCTCACTGCAGCCTCAACCTCCTGGGTTCAAGCGATCCTCCCACCTCAGCCCCCCAAGTAGCTGGGACTACAGGCACACACCGCCATGCCCGGCAAATTTTTTGTATTTTTTTATAGAGGATTTCCCCATGTTACCAACACTGGTCTCAAACTCCTGAGCTCAAGCAATCTGCCTGCCTTAGCCTCCCAACGTGCTGGGATTACAGGCGTGAGCCACCAAGACCGGAGGCCATTATCTTAAGCAAACTAATGCAGGAAAAGGAAACCAAATAACACATGTTCTTATAAGTGGGACCTGAACACTGGGTACACATGGACAGAAGGATAGGAACAACAGGCACTGAGGACTCCTACAGGAGGAGGAAGAACGGGAGGCAAAGTGAACTATTGGGCATTGTGCTCAGTACCTGAGTGACGGAATCAATTGTACACCAAACCTCAGCATCACGCAGTCTACCCAGGTAATAAGCCTGTACATGTGCCCCTGAACCTAAAACAAAAGTGGAAATTATTAAAAGCAAAGTATTTGTTTATATATCAAAATTCAAATAAATTTAAAAAATAAAATAAAAGAACTTACATAGAGCTCAATAAATGGAGAAAGAAACTCCCCAGGAAACACATCTAAAAGTGTCCAAAACCAGAACTGCAAACACAGACTATTATTATCCTTGTTTTCATTTTTAAAAGTTCCAGTTAGGAAAGATGATGGTTCTAGTGTTTCAGTGTACTAATAAAATCAGAAATGCCACTAAATACGGTCAATAAAAGATGTGACATCTCAAGGAGAACAGGTCATCTGAAGTCTGGAACATCCACAGGCACAAAGGCGTGTTCGGAAATAAAGTTTGGAGACAAACGAATTATCCAAGGAACGAAAAGAAGAGGGACAATCTAGACTTCATTTTATTAATGCCTTCAGGTAAAAAGCATGCCATTAGGAGTCAGGGATGTAGGTTTCAAGTCTTGCTCTGGAAGTCATTCAATGTATGACTTTGAACAAGTAATTCAAGCCCCCTGTGTTTATTTTTATTTCCACATCTATGAAATGAACTTTAGATTTGATCATCTCTAAAATCCCCGTTCTGCTCAAAATTTATATTGTCCTGAGAAACACTGGATTTTAAGTATAAATCTCAGGAAAATCCCTGTAGCATTTCAAAGACCTGTGAAGCTACAACGCTCAAAGAAACCTTTGTCCTGGTCTTCTGACCTGATCTCCCAGAGCTGCGTCTTACACTCCCTGTTCCAGGAGTTGGCAGTGGCAGAGTGGGCAAAAGCTGGTGTCTCCAACGTGATGGGTAAATGTCCGATGGAGAAAGCAGGGAATCCATAGATAAACACGGGAGGAAATGGCTTGAGAGTCTAATCAGGCTTACAGGTATGAGCACTGCACCTGGCTTTCTTCTTCTAATTTTGAAAGAAATTAAAACATTATTGCAGGTCCCTAAAAACCCCTGGGGCCTTGGGCACTGTGCCTCCTAAAGGAGATGCGGGCTCTGGGCTCTGACTTCTGGTTGTGCGAAGGCTCCATTTGGTGGTTGGTGGGAGGGGAGGGGATGTTGTCTCCTATACATTAAGGAAAGCCTAATCCCAGCAACAGTGAAACTCCTCATCTATACTTTTAGGGAGCACTGAGGGGTGAGACCATAAAACAACACAAACCCAAGTATTGTAACTCATATTCGCATGCTTCAACACATCCTTTGGTGATGCCTAAATAAAATGTACCTGTATGTACGATTACTCCAGTTAGTGACACACGAGCTGATACGCACAGTCGAAGCCCGGTGCTATCATCCAGTCCTGGGTAAGTTCATTAAAGTCTCTGTCTGTTTCCTCATTTGTAAAATGAGATGATGAACATCTGTAATCCAGAGGGCTCTTATGAGGACTAAATGGAGTAATATAAATAAAGAACTTAGCCCCATAGCTGGGATATGGTAAACACCGGGTAAACAAACATTAGCTAAAAATTGTTCAGACCGCCATCATCACTATCATCGCTGCCACCCATGAAGACAACAGAGCAAAATGGTCTAATTTAGAACCAACGTGGATAATCCAAGAGGTCTCTTGCCACATTCACATCATCTCAGATGAAGAGTTCAAGATCCAACTATAATTATCTGACTCTTATGTTTGGATAGATTCATAAGACAATAGGCTGATGATACAAAGAATAACACAATGTATGCAAACAATAAAGAACGTAAAGAAAAACCCAGGCAACAGAGCTACTCTCTAAAGCAGCTATGGGAAAAACAGAAAGTATTCTCTGTGGAAAACACTGCTGAGTATTATTCAAATGGGGGTGATCACGCCCCCAAAACAGAGTTGTCTAAACAAGAACTAGACACAATATCATGTGGGACCTTCACCTCTGCCAAGCACAGCTGAAGAGAAACCACTTATATCCCCAAAACTCAGCAACAAATTTTGATCAAGCAAAATAGCAAAAGAGGAAAGTAGAAAACTGAGTTTGCCGTCATGTATTTGGAGCATTTGAATGCATGCATGTTTATTAGACTGAGAAACGCATTATGAAGGAAGTAATTCAAGAAATTGCAATTAAGTATTTGAGAAGGAAACCAAAGTTAAGAGGGCATGAATTCTACCATGGGAACTGCAAGAAAAACAAACAAACAAAAAAAGGTATTCATGTCCTGGTGGGGAAAAGATAACCCCCGAGGAGATGAAAGAGACTCTTACAGAGAAACGAGACTCACAGATAAGGCAAGGGAGATGGGCCCACGGAGCCAGGTCAGTAAATAGCGTAAGAAATCTAAGTGACAAGAAACATTCAAAGGGATGTACACACATTGCTGGGAGGCAGCCCTTTTCCCACAAGAAGGGAAGATGTAATCAGCATGGGCTAAGGATAAGAAATGACTTCACCCCTACCCAGAATCACTTTTGCTTTGCCTGCCTTTTACACCTGAAAAAGGAGACTGTTCTTGGTGGCGAACAAAAGAAATGGGGTGGAAAGTATAGCAGTTTTCACTCTGGGCAATTAGAATAAAGTTAGCTGGGGCTAAGACCTGGGGCTGGCAGATGCAGTCAAATGCTCTGTGCAGATGCTTATTTGAGAGAGAAAATGAGACTGTTTGTCCCCAAAGATGGGAGAGTCAGCGTATATTAGCATGCAGACTGAGAAGGAGGCAGGACGCCAGGTCTTACCCGGGGGGCTGGCTGCAGAGAAGCTGGGCAGAGTGGGCCCATGGGAAAGGGGAGTCCTGCTTCAAGATCTTGGGGGGCTCAATGGGGTAGAGCCATGCCTGGAAAGAGGGGGCCTCAGCTAATGGTGCCTTTCCACCACTTGTCAGCCCCACCCCAAATGGACAAGAAGAATGTCCCATGGGATTGGGGGGAAGGAGGAGGAGAGAGAGGTAACACCATTATATGTGCAAAGGCGTTCTCATTCTTTGCTGCAACCTCCCTTCAGCCCAGCTATCAAGAAGTTAGGCCACAGCCACTACCACCTGGTCCTGGTCCTCATTATTTTTCCCTGGACTGTTGCAATAACTTCCTTAGAGGTCTTCTTCTACATATGCCTAGCCCCTCGACTCATCCTACACCCCCAGTCTCTCTGCTGCACAGCTGCCACCAGAATGATCTTTCCAAAGCCCAAATCTAATCATGTCTATTTCCCTCTTAAAAATCTCCAGTGGTTTCCCATCACCTGTGGCTGTCAGCAAACTATGACCTATGGGCCAAATCTGGCTGTGAACTAAGAATGGTTTTTACATGTATAAAGGGTTGTAAAAAATTAAATTTAATTACAAAAAATTAGCCAGGCATGGTGGCGGGCGCCTGTAGTCCCAGCTACTCGGGAGGCTGAGGCAGGAGAATGGCGTGAACCCAGGAGGCGGAGCTTGCAGTGAGCTGAGATGGCGCCACTGCACTCCAGCCTGGGCAACAGAGTGAGACTCCGTCTCAAAAAAAAAAAATTTAATTTAATTTAAAAAGAAATATGTGACCAGGCACAGTGACTCACAACTATCATCTCAGCACTTTGGGAGGCTAAAGCAGGAGGATCACTTGAGACCAGGAGTTCAAGGCCAGCCTGAGCAACATAGCAAGACCTCATCTCTATAAAAGAATAAATAAAATTAGCCTGGCAAGGGGGTACGGACCTGTGGTCCCAGCTATTTGGGAGGCTGAGGCAGGAGGATCACTAGAGCCCAGGAGTTCAAGGCTGCAGTGAGCTGTGATCCCACTACTGCACTCCAGCCTGGGCCACAGAAGAGACCCTGTCTCTAAATAAATAAGTAAATAACTGTATGTGACAGAGAAGTAGGTCACCTGCAAAGCTTAAAATGTTTACTATTTGGCCCTCTTTAGAAAGTTTGTCACCCCTATGATTTGGGTAGGGAACAAAAACAAAATCTAAATATAAGAAGATATATGAGACCTTTTGTGATCTGAACCGCCTGCCTCTCAGCTTCCTGTCCTCATCCTTCCTGCTGGAACTTTACCCTCCACAGCTATGGAACCATACATGGCTCCCAAAATATGCCAGGCATTCTCATTTCTCCTGCTGTCCTCTTCCTTTATCCTGGAATGCCAGGCTCCTCACAAACGTGAACTCTTTAGTCAAGCTTCAGCTCACAGACTGCATACTGCGTGAGTCTTGTCATTTATTTACTTAAGAGTCTGGCCTCTCGAGCCAGGACACTGCATCCACCCGTCTCAATGGCAAGTGTCACTTGGTCTGCAAATGCCAGCTCAACTGGAAACTTCCTAGGAGCAGGCTGCAGCATCTTATCCTCCCTGTAGCCCAGCATGTGGCCTGAAACATTGTCAACGTGCAACAATAAATAAAGCAATCATTACCAAACTACAAAGAAATAATTATTTAATAATAAGTAAACATATATTGCATTTGTTGCCAAAGGTGACTTCTGTATTAATCATCTGTATCAGTCTCTAAGTCTCTGTATCATCTGTGCATCTGTAACAATCATCCATATCAATCTGTAACAATCATCTATATCAATCTCTTTAGGTCTCAGTTTGCTCATCTTTAGGACAAATTTTAACCCAGTGATTTTTAAGCCCTGAAGGTATATTATTCTATGAGAAGCAGAGTTTAAGATGGAATGCTAGCAGAAAATTTCTTGCCTATATCTCCTCAAAGAATTTCAAGAAGCAGTACTGTCTCAGAGCTCAGGAGATAGTTGTCTTTGATTTCCGGTGAGTCTTTGCCAAGAGCTTTTTTTGAGAGCCTAAGCTAGGGAGCAGGGATAAGTTAGCAGAATCTCCTACAGAGGCCTGGCTGTGAAGGGCAAGCCAATGTTCAACTGGCCTGGTGCTGAAAAGCTAATCTGGGGATGAGCATTAAACCTGGTTTCTCTCTTGTCATTTGCATTCTCTCTTTTTCACACCATAGGCAAGAGTCTGCCAATCAAAACTCTTGTGAAGGTTTGGTAAGAAGGAAGCTGGTAGCATGGCTTAGCTTTTTTTATGGTAGATATTTATTCTATTTTAAAAGGAAAAAGGCCAGGAGCAGCAGGTCACACCTGTAAACCGAGTGCTCTGGAAAGCTGAGAAGGGAGGATGGCTTGAGGCCAGAAGTTTGAGACCAGCTGGAACAACATAGCAAGACCCTGTTTCCAGGAAAAAAAAAATTAAAAAATTTGTCAGGTGTGGTGGAATGCACCTGTAGTCCCAGCTACTCAGGAGGCTGAGGCAGAAGGATCACTTGAGCCCGGAAGTTGGAAGCTGCAATGAGCTATGATCGTGCCACTGCATTCCAGCCTGTGTGACAGAACCAGACCCTGTCTCAAAAACATAAAAAATAAATGACATAAAAGTAAAAACCAACATATAAATTCTTTTCCCATTCATAAACCCAGTCCACCTCAGAATCACTGTTTTTGGTGTTTTGTTTTGTTTTGTTTGAGATGGGGTCTCATTCTATCACCCAGGCTGGAGTGCAGTGGCGCAATCTTAGCTCACTGCAACCTCCACCTCCTGGGCTCAAGCGGGTCTCATTCCTCAACCTCCCGAGTAGCTGGGATTACAGATGCACACGATCACTCCTGGCTAATTTTTTTTTTTTTTTTTTTTTTTGGTAGAGACAGGGTTTTGCCATGTTTCCCAGGCTGGTCTTGAACTCCTGGGCTCAGGAGATCCACCTGCCTCGTCTCCCAAAATGCTGGGATTACAGGCATGAGCCACCAGGCTTGACCAAAATCACTGTTACCGAGTTCCTGTGTCTCTTTCCAGAGATATTTTATGCATATAAGAACATATATTAGATATCTATCCTCCCCCCTGCCTTTTTTACACGAATGGTAGCATTCTATTCATGCTGTAATGTATTATGCTAGTGTAAAAGTAATTGCGATTTTCGCCATTGAAAGTAATGGCAAAATTGTGGTTTTCTCCATTGAAAGTAATGGCAAAACCGCAATTACTTTTGCACCAACCTCATACCTTGCTGTGTTTGCCTAAAACTATATTCTAGAGTGATACACTGAAGGGTGGCCCCCTAAAGGTGTTCACATCCTAATTCCTGGATCCTATAAATCTTACATGGGAAGAGGGACTTTGCAGTTGTGATTGAGTGAAGGATCATGAGAAGGAGAGGTTATCCCGGATTATCTAGTGGCCCAATGTAATCACAAGGGTCCTTACAAAAGGAAGGTGGAGAATGAGATATGATGATGGAAGCAGAAGTCAGAGAACAAATCTTTGCTGCTGGCTTTGAAGACAGAGGAAGGAACTATGAGGAGGCAGCCTTTAGAAGCAAGAAAAGACTAAGAAATGGATGTTTCCCTGTGATGGTTAATACTGAGTGTCAACTTGATTGGACTGAAGGATGCAAAGTATTGTTCCTGGGTGTGTCTGTGAGAGTGTTGTCAAAGGAGATTAACGTTTGAGTCAATGGACTGGGAGAGGCAGACCCACCCTCAATCTGGGTGGGCACCATGTAATCAGCTGCCAGCTCAGCCAGAATAAAAGCAGACAGAAGAACGTGGAAAGACTAGACTGATTTAGTCTTCTGGCCTACATCTTTGTCCCATGCTGGATGCTTTTTAGAAAGCATTTCTGGGTTTGATACTTATAGAGGTGACTTTGAAGTCTAAAAAAATAAGTCAACTAATTCACTTCTTGCATGATGATTACAAAACTAAAGTTTGGGGAGGTCAAGTGATTCATTGAAGGTAATATACTTATTTAAGAATAGAAATGATATCGTATACAGATACAGAGTTTCCTCGTAACCACCACAGGTTTGACCTGCAAGAGTCCTCTTATATGAGGATTTTCTTCCACCTCCACCACCCCTGAGACAACAAAACCAATCCCTCCTCTTCCTCCTCAGCCTACTCATCATGAAGTTGATAACGATAAAGACCTTTATGATCATCCACCTCCATTTAATGAATACTAAACATATATTCTCTTCCTCATGATTTTCTCAATACTATTTTCTTATCTCTAGCTTACTTTATTATACAAATACAGTATAGAATACATATAACATACAAAATATGTGTTAATTGACCATCTGTGTTACTGGTTAAGGCTTCCAGCCAACAGGAGGCTATTAGTCATTAAGTTTTGGGGCAGTCAAAAGTTACATGTGCCAGGTGCAGTGGCTCACGCCTGTAATCCCAGCACTTTGGGAGGCTAAGGCTGGTGGATCACCTGAGGTCAGGAGTTTGAGACCAGCCTGGCAAACATGGCGAAACCCCGTATCTACTAAAAATACAAAAATTAGCCGGGCGTGGTGGCAGGCACCTGTAATCCCAGCTACACGGGAGGCTGAGGCGGGAAAATCGCTTGAACATGGGAGGCGGAGGTTGCAGTGAGCCGAGGTGGCACCACTGCATTCCAGCCTGGGCAACAAAAGTGAGCCTCCATCTCAAAAAAAAAAAAAAGTTACATGTAGGCCGAGTGCAGTGGCTCACACCTGTAATCCCAGCACTTTGGGAGGCCAAGGTGGGAAAATCGCTTTAGGTCAGGAGTTCAACACCAGCCTGGCCAACATGGTGAAACCCCGTCTCTACTAAAAGTACAGAAGTTTGGCGGGCATGGTGGCTCAAGCCTGAAATCCCAGCTACTCAGGAGGCTGAGGCACAAGAACCGCGAATTCCTTGAACCCAGGAGGCAGAGGTTGCAGTGAGCCAAGATCACACCACTGCACTCCAGCCTGGGTGCCAGAGCAAGACTTGGTCTCAAAAAAAAAAAAGTTATATGCAGATTTTCATGTGCACAGGAGTTTAGCACCCCTAGTCCCTGCATTGTTTAACGATCAACTGTGTGTGTGTATGTATGTGTATATATATACACACATACATATATATACTTATACGTATATATGCATATATACACTATGTATATGTGTATATATACATACATATGTTTGTCTTCTTTTTACTTCAATCGTATATGTGTGTGTGTGTGTGTGTGTGTGTGTATGTATATATATGCTCAAATGATTCCTAAGCCATACCAGGCTGCCTTTCAGGAGGAGCTATGGATGAGTTTTCTCTAATATGCCTATTGGTAAAACTTTACTAAGGTATTAGGTCTCTCTCTCTGAGGATCTTAATTTAAATGAAACATGAACGATTTAAATGAGTGACGCTTTTTGATAAACTCATGAAATATCGACATCCCTGGTTATCCATTCTGTTGGTGGAGATGTCAGTGAGAATAACTAAGAGCAAATGTTTCAAAGGACAGGCAATCACTTTGGTTGGACATGAGGGAAGATGGCCAATCTCAGGCTCAGGGAGGAACCATGCAGACCTAGCTAGAAACAGGTGGGGCTCACCTGCAGTCATTGCTTGTGAAAATTACGTACAATTAAGAAGTTGACACTGAAGTGCTTTTGTGGTTTTTATTCTAATCACCCCAGTCCTCCATCTACAAAAATGTCTAAAATCAAAGTTAATTTGCACAGCACAGAGAAGACAAAATGAACCCAAACTTTACAGTATTATTTTATGAAGACCACTCCAAGAAACAAGGTCTCCAGTAATCCTGTCTGGCTGTTAAGGCAATTAACTAGGAGTGGGGTGCTGGGGAGGCAGGCTGAAAACCAGATTATCTCCAAGGGAGAACGAGAAGTCACAGACATTTTTCATAAATCTTCTCTTCTGGCAATTTAAAAACCAGAAAGAGATAAATGAGTGACAGATCCAACCATGCCTGTCTTTGCCATGACTAATCCATGGCTACCATCCCTCTAATCAGCAGGAAGTAGTCTCCTTTTTCTTTTAATGAGGTCACAATCATTAGTCACTCCAGTATTATCATCTGATGTCATTATGATTCTGTTTCAGGCAGAGATTGGGTGTGGCAGGGTCTCACTTTGCATCAAATATACAACCACCAGTGCTTTTCGGGGTGAACATGCTTGAACTCAACTCCAAATTTCAGCTTTCAGATGGGCAGGAGCCCCTCCATCCCATGGTACAGGAAACAGTTTTCTTCATTGTGCACCCAGTCACAAGGAGGTAGATGGATCCATCATCATGTTCTCACTGGGCGCAGTGGGACACTCCTTTAGTCCTAGCTACTTGGAAGCCTGAAGCAGGAGGATGGCTTGAGCCTAAGAGTTCGAGGCTGCAGTGAGCCGTGATCATGCCACTGTACTCCAGCCTTGGTAACAGAGTGAGACCCTGTCTCAAAAAAAAAAAACAAAAAAAACAAAGACTGCTCTTCTCACTTGTTCCCTGCTGACCCTCAGGAAAAACTCCTGTTTAACCACAGTCTAAGTGATGAATACCTGCCCTCCCCAAGATCCAGGACCCGAAGCCAAGTTTCCCTGCACATCTCACTCCCTGGCCACAAATGTGGTCTGTCTCAGCCTTGTTGCCTTGAGAGGAAAAGATGAGGAAAATTCCTGTTCTGTCCAGCTCATCCCCTCTGATGACTTCAAGGTCAGAAGGTTTTCCATCCTGCATACAGAGTGCATTGAATCTGTTGACCGAGTTGTCAAAGTTAGCAGGGTTTTTTTTTGAGCAGTCTCCCCATCAGTCACAATTATTGAACTTCACTTTAGCATTTTCAGTGCCATTTGCAAAATCAAAAGCATTACAACATGCATACTTGAAAAACAGAGTTTGCTCTTCAAAGAGTTACTTGCCTGCATTGTTTTCAACAGTGACTTATTCCTCAACTTCTAGTTAAATTTAACTCATGCTGTGTTAATTTCATCTTCATACCTTTTTTTTTTTTTTAAAGAGTCTTACTTTGTCACCCAGGCTGGAGGTGCAGTGACATGATCACAGTTCACTGCAGCCTTGACCTCTCGTGCTCAAGTGATCCTCCCACCTCAGTCTCTGGAGTAGCTAAGACTACAGGTATGCACCACCACACCTGGCTAATTTTTGTATTTTTTGTACAGACAGGGTTTTACTGTGTGGCTCAGGCTGCTCTCCAACTCCTGGGTTCAATGGATCCTTCCATCTTGGCCTCCCAAAGTGTTAGGATTACTCCCAAAGTGAGCCACTGTGACTGGCCTCATCCTCATACCTTTTTAAAGCATGTTTTCTACTATGTGAGGGTAGCAGGAAAGTGGGGGGCACTTTCCATCCATTCCCAAGCAATCCCACCTGATCGTCAAGTGATCCTTGAATCTTCTAGACTATTTGTGAATAATCTAATACAAATTTCCTATTCAGTGTAACTACACCCTGCCTGGCATTTCATGTCACTATTTCATGAAGGGCTGTTATCTGAAATTAGATTATACATTTCTTGAGAACAAAATATTCATTTTTCACCTCTTTCACATGCACGTGTCCCTGCTCATCCATAACTGCCTCCTATCAATTATCATGTTCCCTCTGTGCTGAGGGATAACAGCACAAAGTGAAAATGTGCTGAATTCAACTGATAGGCCGAGGCCTTGAAAAAGAGAGGCAAACCCAGATGTCATCTGTGAAAATTTCCACATTCCTTTTTAAACTTGAAATTACTCCAAATGAGAGCAATAAACATAAAAGTGCTCCTATAACCCTCTCTTTGCATCCGTTTCAATTTGTACTTCATTTCTAGGAACATTTTTTTTTTTTTCAACAGAGTTGTCCAGGCTGGAGTGGAGTGGCATGATCGAGGCTCATTGCAGCCTGAACCCTCCCTGGGCTCAGGTGATCCTCCCACCTCAGCCTCTGGAGTAGCTGGGACTTCAGGTGCAGGCCACCACACCCAGCTAATGTTTGTACTTTTTGTAGAGATTGGCCACATCACCCAGGCTTGTCTTGAACTCCTGGGCTCAAGTGATCCACCCGCCTGGCCTCCAAAAGTGCTGCTATTATAGGCATGAGCCACTGCACCAGGTGAGAAACATGATTTAAAGCTAGCTAGCTAGTTATTTTTCTCTGCTGGTCCAGTATTAAAGGAGATTTTCATGCAAGAATGAGATCTAGAAGAAATGATTAGAATCTTATTTTCCCGCAGCTGACATTCTATCCCGGCCTCTCAGACCTGATCAGCCATTAGAAAAGTATGGTTTCATCATAATTACAGCAAACACTCATTGACTTCTTGGTATGTGCTAGACACTGTATTAAGTGTATTAATTGCATACCTTATCTCGTCTAATCTTCACAATAATTGAAAAAGACAGGAACTACAATAACTCTCATGTCATAGGTTGAACAAACCACAGGGCATAAAAATTGAGTAACTTGCCCAAGCTCATACAGCCTGTAGTGGGTAAAGCCAAAATTCAAATCAGCTTTGTTTACCTCTTGCTACTCAAAGTGTGGTCCCTAGACCAGCAGCATTGGCACCACCTGGGGACTTGTTAAAAATGCAAAATCCCCAGTCCCACCCCAGATTTACTGAATCAGAATCCTTGAAATTGGGGCCCGGCAATCTGTAGTTTAAAAAGGTCTTCAGAGGCTGGGCACAGTGTCTGATGCCTGTAATTACAACACTTCGGGAGGCTGAGGCAGGTGGATTGCTTGAGGCCAGGAGTTTGAGACCAGCCTGGGCAACATAGCAAGACCCCATCTTAAATGGTTTGGCTCTGTGTTGCCACCCAAATCTCATGTCAAATTGTAATCCCCAGTGTTGGAGGTGGGACCTCGTGGGAGGTGTTTGGATCATGGGAGTAGGGTTCTCATGAATGCTATAGCACCATCCCCTCTGTGCCCTTCTCATGACAGTGAGTGAGTTATCCTGGGATCTGGTTGTTTAAAAGTGTGCAGCACCTGCCTCTCTCTCTTCCTCCTGCTCCAGCCTTGTAAGATGTGCTTGCTTCCCTTCGCCTTCTGTCATGATCATAAGTTTCCTGAGGCCTCCCCAGCCATGCTTGCTACAGAGCCTGTGCAGCTGTGAACCAGTTAAACCTCTTTTCTTTATAAACTACCCAGTCTTCAGTATTTCTTTATAACAGTGAAATAACAACTAATACACCATCTCTATAAAAAATAGAAATAAAAAAATTAGCCAGGCCTGGTGGCTGGGAGGTCAAGGGTGCAGTAAGCCGTGATCATGCTACTGCACTCCAGCCTGGGTGACAAAGCGAGACCCTGTCTCAAAGAAAAAGTTCATGTTTTAATTATCAGGAGCTCTTCTTGTTCTCTGACTGTTCTTGGGTCACAACAACTTGTTCTTATTTTAGGAATGTAATGTCATCCATATCATCCTAAATTGTTCCGAGAACACTAAAAAAAGGGGTTTTTTTTTTTTTTAGTTATTTTTAGTTCCCTGAGTTATATCTATTTTCTTCAGAATCTGTTGTTCTGTTTGTTCATATTAATCCTTCCCTTTTCTGAAATTGGCATAATCAAATATCTAGTGTTATATCTGTATCAGTCCATTCTCACACTGCTATAAAGAGCTACCTGAGACTGGGTAATTTATGAAGAAAAGAGGTTTGACTCACAGTTCTGCGGTCTGTACAGGAAGCATGACTGGGAGGCCTCAGGAAACTTACAGTCGTGGCAGACGGCAAAGGGGAAGCCAGCACCTTCTTCACACACAGCAGAAGAGAGACAGCGTGAAGGGGAAAGTGCCACACACTTTTAAAACCACCAGATCTCATGAGAACTCATTAACTATCACAAGAACAGCAAGGGGGAAATCTGCCTCCATGATCCAGTCACCTCCCACCAGGTCCCTCCCCTATAATCCCCAGGGATTACAATTCAACATGAGATTTGGGAGAGCCAAACAGAGCCAAACCATGTCAATACCTATGGCTCAAGGACAAAGCTGATTAGCACAGATAGCATGGGTTTCTCGGGACTCTTTCTTAAGTGAGGGAGTTCTGTGCATACACTGGGTAAGTGAGTGGGAGTGCTGTCAGGCAGCCTTCCCTATTGTATAGACCAGGCAACCTAGAGATCCCCAAGATTGTTAGGGAATAAAGAACTTTGGTGTAGTTCACACCTGAGCAAAGCTGTCTTACTTAGCCTTTGTTCCTCAGGCCCAGGGTTACCTCCAGCTTTTTTCTTTAGGCCCAGCACCTATATCCCCTTACTCTAAAGGGTTAGGGTTCTTTAGAGATGATTTGGTTTTATCCACTTGCCATAATTTGCCCATGTTTGCTTTGAAATTGCACGGTGGACTAGAGAAGAAAGAGAGGAGAAGGAAAAGCTCTAGTTGAAGAAGGGGGTTCCAAAGTCCTGAATTCAGAACTTTAAATAAACACTCTGATGGGTGCCCTCTGACCCATCCCTGTCCTTTGTGTTGGATGACTCTGAGCTTGGAGCTTCTCCAGCCCTCTCTTATCTCTAGAATCTCCTCCTCTGTTTTTACTTTTGTTTGCTTTTCATATTTGTCCATCTGCTTTCTTTCTACCAGCATGTATTTCACGCTCTGTGATTCCTTTATTGATGTCCAGCACTGTGGTTTCATTGGATAGATTAATAGACAGACAGACAACAGATGGGTAATAGTTTCAGTCATTTCAGTGGGACCTTGAGAAAGCATGAAGGTTGATAAGTATGCTCACTCTCTCTTCTTGAACAAGAAGATACTCAGCAAAGATTTCAGCATATAGAATTTTTTGTTTTAGAAGTCATATTTACCTTTTCCTCCTCCCACCCTATCAAATTATATCTTCAGAAAATTATCAGATAAATACATATCTAATAAATACATCACCTAGTAAATACTTACTTTATTTTATTTTATTTATTAATATTTATTTATTTTGAGATAGGATCTCACTCTGTCACCCAGGCTGGGGTGCAGTGGCATGATCCTAGCTCACTGCAGCCTCTAACTCCTAGGTTCAAATAATCGTCCCACCTCATCCTCCTGAGTAGCACTACAGGCACACACCACCATGCCTGGTGTATTTGTCTGTTCTCACACTGCTAATAAAGACATGCCTGAGACTGGGTAATTTATAATGAAGAAGAGGTTTAATGGGCTCACAGTTCCATGCGGCTGGGGAGGTCTCATAGTCATGGCAGAAGGCAAAGGAGGAGCAAAGTCACGTCTTACATAGCGGCAGGCAAGACAGGGAGCATGTGTAGGGGAACTCCCCTTTATAAAACCATCAGATCTCGTGAGACCTATTCACTATCATGAAAGCAACCTGGGAAAGACCTGCCCCCATGATTCAATTACCTCCCACCAGGTCCCTCCCATGACACATGGAAATTATGGTAGCTACAATTCAAGATTTGGGTCGGGGCACAGTCAAACCATATCACCTGGGTAATATTTAAAAATTTTTTTAGAAACAAGGGTCTCACTATGTTGACCAGGCTGGTCTTGAACTTCTGGCCTCAAGTGTTCCTCCTATCTCAGCCTCCCAAATTGCTGGGATTACAGACATAAGCCACCATGCCTGGCCTTAGCACTTCTTTAAGTATATACACACAGACACACATGAACATAATGGGAAATGTTAGAAGCCAAATTGTAGTAGAAACAAAAGCCTAGCTTAAAAAAAATTACCATTTGAGAATTTCAGGTATCATGAAAGTACAAACATTCAAATATTTTGTGGACATTTTCCTTTTATGGGGAATTTAATTGCATGAGGTCAATTAAGGTTGAATCTGAACATCTCTGAACCCTAATACGTCTACCAATCAGATGAACTAATAACTTTCTGGTGATATTTGGTGGCCAGCTGAGAAAGCAATGTGGTATTTTAAGAAAGGCGATAGACCAAACCAAACTAACCACATCAAGGTAATTCTATACATCTCATTTTTCAAAATGTCTATGACTGCAGGAACCTTTGAAAGTTTATAGAAAGGAAGTATTGATAAATCTATGTGTATTTCAAAGAAACTTTTTTTTAATTTTAATTTTTATTTATTTATTTTTTTTATATAGTATTTATTGATCATTCCTGGGTGTTTCTCGGAGAGGGGGATTTGGCAGGGTCATAGGACAATAGTGGAGGGAAGGTCAGCAGATAAACATGTGAACAAGGGTCTCTGGTTTTCCTAGGCAGAGGACCCTGCGGCCTTCCGCAGTGTTTGCGTCCCTGGGTACTTGAGATTAGGGAGTGGTGATGACTCTTGACGAGCATGCTGCCTTCAAGCATCTGTTTAACAAAGCACATCTTGCACCGCCCTTAATCCATTTAACCCTGAGTGGACACAGCACATGTTTCAGAGAGCACGGGGTTGGGGGTAAGGTTATAGATTAACAGCATCCCAAGGCAGAAGAATTTTCTTAGTACAGAACAAAATGGAGTCTCCCATGTCTACTTCTTTCCACACAGACACAGTAACAATCTGATCTCTCTTTTCCCCACATTTCCCCCTTTTCTATTCGACAAAACCGCCATCGTCATCATGGCCCGTTCTCAATGAGCTGTTGGGTACACCTCCCAGACGGGGTGGCAGCCGGGCAGAGGGGCTCTTCACTTCCCAGACGGGGCGGCCGGGCAGAGGCGCCCCTCACCTCCCAGATGGGGCAGCTGGCCGGGCGGGGGCTGCCCCCCACCTCCCTCCCAGACGGGGCGGCTGCTGGGCGGAGACGCTCCTCACTTCCCAGACTGGGCGGCTGCAGGGCAGAGGGGCTCCTCACTTCCCAGACGGGGCAGCTGCCGGGCGGAGGGGCTCCTCACTTCTCAGACGGGGTGGCCGGGCAGAGACGCTCCTCACCTCCCAGACGGGGTGGCGGTCGGGCAGAGACACTCCTCAGTTCCCAGACGGGGTCGCGGCCAGACAGAGGTGCTCCTCATATCCCAGACGGGGCGGCGGGGCGGCGGGGCAGCGGCGCTCCCCACATCTCAGACGATGGGCGGCAGGGCAGAGACGCTCCTCACTTCCTAGATGGGATGGCGGCCGGGAAGAGGTGCTCCTCACTTCCCCGACTGGGCTGCCAGGCAGAGGGGCTCCTCACATCTCAGATGATGGACGGCCAGGCAGAGACGCTCCTCACTTCCCAGACGGGGTGGCGGCTGGGCAGAGGCTGCAATCTCAGCACTTTGGGAGGCCAAGGCAGGCAGCTGGGAGGTGGAGGTTGTAGCGAGCCGAGATCACGCCACTGCACTCCAGCCCCGGCAAGACTGAGCACTGAGTGAGCGAGACTCCGTCTGCACTCCCGGCACCTCGGGAGGCCGAAGCGGGCAGATCACTCGCGGTCGGGAGCTGGAGACCAGCTCGGCCAACACGGCGAAACCCGTCTCTGCCAAAAAATACGAAAACCAGTCAGGCGTGGCGGAACGCGCCTGCAATCCCAGGCACTCGGGAGGCTGAGGCAGGAGAATCAGGCAGGGAGGTTGCAGTGAGCCGAGATGGCGGCAGTACAGTCCAGCCTCTGCTCAGCATCAGAGGGAGACCGTGGAAAGGGGAGACGAGGAAGAGACCGTGGAAAGGGGAGACGAGGGACAGGGAGACCGTGGAAAGAGGAGACGAGGGAGAGGGAGAGGGAGAGCAGAAACTTCTAAATCAAATATTTTGCCTCGTCATAAATAATACTTTGTCCAGATGTAAAAAAGAAAAAAAAAAAAACCAGAACGGGAACACATAGTTAAAATTGGAAAAGACAAAGGTGGGTAACACATGTAAACAAACAATCTAGGGTAATGACTAAAAGAAACATCATGTTTAGATTTTCAACTCTCACTATTATTATAAACATTTAAGACCGGGCGTGGTGGCTTATGCCTGTAATCCTAGCATTTTGGGAGGCCGAGGCGGGTGGATCACCTGAGGTCAGGAGTTTAAGACCAGCCTGGCCAACATGGTGAAACCCCATCTCTACTAAAAATACAAAAATTATCTGGGTCTGGTGGTGGGCACCTGTAATCCCAGCTACTCGGGAGGCTGAGGCAGGAGAATCGCTTGAATGCAGGAGGCGGAGGTTGCGGTGAACCAAGATCACACCATTGCACTCCAGCCTGGGCAACAAGAGTGAAACTCCATCTCAAAAAAAAAAAAAAAAAAAAAAATTTAAAAAACAGATAGGCTAACACTAATCAGTTGAATTTCTATAAAGTCATTCTTTACTCAAAATATCCAATTCATTTTATCATAACAGATGTGTATTAGAATGCATGAGTATACATTATTATAAATGGCAATTGTAGAATGATTATGGTATAGGAATCTTTTTAAAAGCTGACATTTGGGCTGGGCATGGTAGCTTACACCTGTCATCCCAGTGCTTTGGAAGGCAGAGGCAGGAGGATTGCTTGAGGCCAGGAGTTCAACACCAGCCTGGGCAACATAGCAAGACCTCCATATCTACAAAATTTTTTAAATTAGCCAGGTGCCATGGTATGTGCCTGTAGTTCCAGCTACTCAAGAGGCTGAGGCAAGAGGATCACTTGAGCCCAGGAGTTGAATACTACAGTGAACTATGGTCTTACCACTGCACTCCAGCCTGAGAGAGCGAGACTCTGTCTTTAAGAAAATAAAAATAAGGCTGGGCATGGTGGCTTACACCTGTAATCCCAGCACTCTGGGAGGCTGAGGTGGGCGGATCATGAGGTCAGGAGATTGAGACCATCCTGGCTAACACACGGTGAAACTCCGTCCCTACTAAAAATACAAAAAAATTAGCCAGGCGTGGTGGCGGGCGCCTGTAGTCCCAGCTTCTCAGGAGGCTGAGGCAGGCAGGAGAATCGCTTGAACCCGGGAGGTAGAGTTTTCAGTGAGCCGAGATCGCACCACTGCACTGCAGCCTGGGCGACAGAGCGAGACTCCATCTCAAAAATAAATAAATAAAATAAAATAAAATAAAATAAAAGTTGGCATTTGGTGCTCTTCGCTTTGCAAATAAGTAGACATAAAAAAATTTCTCAGTTCCCAAAGTTAGCTTGTACTCCAAATCCTTTTGACTTTGAAGCTGCTTGTCTCTCTTTTTCAAGCATGTGTGTGTACATGTGTGCATGTGTTTATATATATAGGTGCACACGCGTGTACACACATAGCCCTTGCTTTTCATCTCAACGGTTGGATGGATGAGGCCTATGGCCAGATTCAGCCATGCCCTACAGTTATCAAGCATGACAGAGCTGGAAGAAAAACATCTGGTCCAAGGTTGCTGTTTGCCTTTGTAGCAGAGAATTTTCTTTGATCTCCAGCTGGAGTTCTCTATTGAGTCTAGCAGATCAATTAGTTAATAGGCCATTCCCACTAGTAGCTCTACCAGCTGACTACCTAGGATAGAAATAAGTTCTATTTATCAATCCTTCCCTTCCCCTTCTACTTTAGGCACATCCTTTTTCCTCTTGAAATAACATAATTATTAAACCACTTCAGTCACTTCTGTGGTTAATGATTCCCTCCTTTTTCGGTTCCGCTCTCCTGCTGAAACCTCTTGGTGGGTTTTAAACACACCACTCCATGGCGA
This sequence comes from Homo sapiens, assembly GCF_000001405.40. Classification (NCBI taxonomy): domain Eukaryota; kingdom Metazoa; phylum Chordata; class Mammalia; order Primates; family Hominidae; genus Homo; species Homo sapiens. Next base: position 28,769,183 of record NC_000010.11, on the reverse strand, counting down.
TAGTTTCATTTTCTACTACAATTAAGGTTAGGAACAGCTTGCAGTACCAATATAAAAACCAACAGCTTGTCCAGGTTTTACTAGTTCCCTTGGGGAACTGAAACAATAATTTTTGTATCTATGTTTCCAAAAATTCAGAAGAGTAATATAACAATTACATTTTCACCTGGATTTCATTTTAGGAAGCTTGGTTCATTTTCCTTATATTATAAAGATCAGTTCCAGGAATTTAAACAAACATAAGAATTTTTTATCCCGTTTACAATGATGTTGCTATCAGTGCTATTTAGAAAAGAATAATTATATGTCAGGGAATCAAACTGTCTTATTTTGGGACTGGCACGTAGAATTCCAATTAGTTTTAATAATTTTAGTGGGGTCAAGACATTTTGTCTGAACTCAATGTTTCACCTGAACACAAAACCATTATTTTGTACTATATTTACCTATCAAAAAAGTGCTCTAAATTAGTTCTTTTTGGAAAAAAAAAAACAGGATTAGCTAAATGACTGGCTGTTTTAGACACTCCAGTTAGACCAGCTATGTACAGAGGACAGTCAACTTAATTCTCCCGTGAGGTGGTGTTTGATGCCCTGTTCAATGCGTTTTACAGCAAGAGACGCTAGTCCGGTTTCTATGCTGGGACCGAGACAAACTGTGCAGTACCAACACTAGCTCTGCCCGAAGTACTCCCCCCTGGAAATGAAACAGGGCAGCTGTCTTCCAGCACGCAGGGCATCCCAGGCTGTTACAAGTACTTCATCCACATAAAATTGCAAAGGGAATTTTAGAAGTCAGAATGTAATTATCCCCTTTGGAGTTTGGCAATGGAACAGGAGGATTAAACAGAGCTGTCCTTTGTCCCCGAAATAAAAGATGCCAGCGGCTCCACAATAGACACAACCAAGGCATGAGGAAGGAGCCTGGAGTCTTGTTTGTTTTGGTGTCCGCTTTCTCACCTCCGTAGATCACCAATTCCGTGTTCTCAAAAATCAGAGCAGGCCTCAAGGTGACCCCTTTTATGGCATCTTACTCCCATTTTCAATGCTGTTTAGAAGAAGCTAGATGTAAATATTCAATAAAGTCCCTGTGAGCTACTGCCCTTGTGGCTCAGTAAAAATGAAAAGCTACTTAAAATACAAGTCTCCAAGCTTTGTCTTGCAGAGAGCTAGAACAACCCCAGGATACCCTGGGCTTTGATGTAGAACCTTCCAAAGACCACATTAGATGGTAACTACCAGTATAACTATTCTCAAAAACTCCAGAGTGACTTATATCTCATTTCCATAAACTTTATAATAAAACACTTGTAATTAGGCTGGTAGGAAATGAACTGCTGAGTATAAGGCTTGAGAGTTTCACCACTAGGTACCTTCGGAGAATCACTGAAAGTAAGTTAGCTGCTTGATTTATGCCACGTATATCCACAAGAACAGCAAAGCCAGGACAAAGTGGAAGTTGCTGTACAGCCTTACGATCTACGCGTTCTCTCATTCCTTTGTTCAAAGCATCCTTGACATGACTCTCCTTTCCACTTTCTACTTCCTATTGGCCCTTCTGAGAAGGTCACTATCCTAAATGACTTATCCCGGGATCTGACACTCACTCCTTCTAACATCTTTTGACAGGATCCAAGTAGCACCCCAGCAATACATTCCTAAGGCCCAATGGCCCTGACTCAAGCCAGGCTGATGAAAGCTAAGATGCAGCATTCTAGAAACCCTGAGCTCAACTCTAGCCAATGCTGACATCCTGACTTTCAAACCCATCCGTTTCCAAAAGGAAAAAACTTTTCAAGCTTTCCAATCATGATAAGTTCTGAGCCACCTAATACTGATGTTTTGTAGTTGATTGGGTGAAATAGAAGTCAAACCTAGTCTCAAGCTCTCCAAGGTGACATACTTTCCTCTAGTTCTTGCTCTAGATGACAAATATCTTCTTGAGGGTAGAACCAGTGAACCTCTCTTTCCCAAGAGCCACACTTCATCAAGCAGCCCAGGTCAAATTTTACAATGTGCAAACTAGCTAGAGAATAGACATTACCTAGAAGTCAGCACACTTCCTACTCATGCAATTTTGTTACCTTCAGTAAAAAATGTCTTGGGTCACTTTCGTACAAGAAGAATAGAAATCAGTTCTTTGATGACTGTAAGTTAGCCCTAAGGTCTTGCTTTCTGGTCTTTTTCTCATCTCTTGGGTATATTTCTGTCCCATTTTTATTCTTTTTTTCCTAGCAAAAACTTTGAATTTTGGCTAGGTGTGGTGGCTCACACCTCTAATCCCAGCACTTTGGGAGGCCGAGGTGGGCAGATCATGAGGTCAGCAGATTGAGACCATCCTGGCTAACATGGTGAAATCTTGTCTCTACTAAAAATACAAAAAATTAGCCAGGTGTGGTGCCACGCGCCTATAGTTCCAGCTACTCAGGAGGCTGAGGCAGGAGAATCGCCTGAACCCGGGAGCCAGAGGTTGCGGTAAGCTGAGATCACGCCACTACACTCCAGCCTGGGTGACAGAGCAAGACTCTGTCTCAAAAAAAAAAAAAACTTTGAGTTTTTTTAACCCAGAAAATGAAATGCCAATAATAGCAGCAAATAGGATGTTTTCTTTGTGACAGTCCCAAATCTGTTTGACTCTTGCAATAGACTGAATGTGTCCCCCCAAAACTCCTATGTTAGAACCTAACCCCCAATGTGATGCTATTTGGACGTGGGGTCTTTGGAGGTCATTGGGTCATGAGGGTGGAGCCATCATAAATGGGATGTGCACCCTTATAAAAGGGACCCCAGAGAAGCTCTTCACCCCTTCCACTATGTGAGGACAAAGCAAAGAGATGAACATCCATGAAACAGGATGCAGCCCATCACTAGACACCACATATCTGAGTGCTGTGATCTGGGATTCCCAGCCACCAGAACCATGAGAAATAAATTTCTGTTGTGTGTAAGCCATGAGTCCACGGTCATTTGTTATAGCAGCCGGAATGGACTAAGTAAGACAAGTCCAATATCCAAGATCTTCTCTCGCTGCCTCTCAGTTAATTACCTGTTGTGGGAAATCCTTTTGAAAGATACTTGCCTGGTGATTAGGAGGATTTTACTGCTTCCCATACACAGGGACAAAAGCAAGGATCCAAAAGTTTTAAACAACTTACTAGAGTCAAAAAGTGAACGTGAAACAGCTATAGCCATGTGTTCTTTGTTCTGTAAAGTCATGATCACATGGAGCTCTTTAGAGAGGCTGAAGACAGGACAGAAAGGATGATGAGAGCATCCCCCTCTGATGCAACAAGAGAAGCCCACAGCTCTAGCCCTCCCACTTTATGCCTTGAAGTCCCATCTCCACTCTCATTCCATTACCTCTGGGAGTCTGCCTCTAGTCAAGTCTGGGCTTCTGAACAACCGTTTTCATTTCCTGTGTCTTGGGAACATTCTCCGTGTTGCTTATTTCTTGCAGACTTCACTGGATACTCTCAGCGTGTTGAGTTTCATCACATATGTACCCGGCTGAGCGACCCATTTAGCAAAACTCCCTTGGTTTATGGATCTGGAAAGCCCTCTGTGAAACCAACCTACCATGAGTGGGAATCCTACTTTCTGCCCTGGCCAAAATCAAGCTCCCTTCCTCTTGGCAGCCATAGAAACATGGGTGTTTTTTTCACCCAAAGTTTACAATGGGTTAACTTTCTTTTTCAGACTTGCTCCAAATACTTGTCTGGTCTCTGGGCAGGACTTGTGATTTGATGACATGTAATTTAAGTAAATACATTCAACTCTAATTTATGGGTGGAGAGGGAGACTCAGAATTTAAAACAAGGCATTAAAAAAAATAGAGGCTTCCCAATATGCATTTCCCAGGGTTTTGCTCCGACTGCCTCTGTTTTCCATGTTTCTACAGGCCAACTCCTGCTGGCCCTGAATAGACCTCCCGTGGAACAGAAGCATCAGGACATTAATCTAAGATTAAAACACACCTCCACACTGGCCAAATCATAGGCTACTCCCAACAGTACTGTTATTGATTGATTGATTGATAGGGTGCTGCTCCATCACCCAGGCTGGAAGGCAGTGGCACCATCACAGCTCACTGCAGCCTCAACCTCCCAGGCTCAAAGGACCCTCCAGCCTCAGCCTCCCAAGTAGCTGGGACCACAGGCATGCACCACTATGTCCAGCTAATTTGGATTTTTTTCTAGAGATGAGGTTTCATCATGTTGCCCAGGGTCCAAAAGTAAATACTTTTAGAAGTAGGTGGTATCGCTTGGCAAACAAGGTCAAAGGGTTAAATATTTTGCCTTCGAAGCCCTATATCCCAATGCTCTCAGATTCAAGAGAAACTTATAAATTATTTTCTTTTTTTTTCTTCTTTGGAGACAGAGTCTTGCTTTGTCACTCAGGCTGGAGTGCAGTTGTGTGATCTCAGCTCACTGCAACCTCTGCCTCCTGGATTCAAATGATTCTCATGCCTCAGCCTCCTGAGTAGCTGGGACTACGGGGATGCACCACCACACCAGCTAATTTTTGTATTTTTAGTAGAGACAGGGTTTCTCCACGTTGGCCAGGCTGGTCTCAAGCTCCTGACCTCAAGTGATCCACCCGCCTTGGCCTCCCAAAGTGCTGGGATTACTGGTGTGAGCCACTGCACCCAGCCATATAAATTAATTTATAATACTTTATTTTATACGCATCAAGTATTTAACCTGAGCACATAACCTATGGAAAAGCATGGGGCTTCCAAGAAAATACGAACTTCTAGACTCAACCATGATGCTAACTATGGGGGTTTCCTTGGAAAAGTGACATTATCAATCTGGACCTCACTTTACTTATCTGCAAAGGGAGCCCTTCAACAGGATCATGTCCCAGGTGCCTAAACCCTTAGGAAAATTGAATGGCTGTGTGTCAGCCGTGACATTTGCCAACCCGTGCCCCATGCAAAGTTATGTCTCAGGCTCCAGTGCCAGAGAGTCTTCACGTAGCCACTTCATTTCTCCTCTCCATCATGAGATTGTGACAGCCCTTTTGTAACAACAGCACCAACCCCAGAAACAGCAGGAAATCGAGAATGCTGGTCCTTAAACAAAAACATCCACATATAAAAGCCTGCCTTGGAAAAATTAAGGTAAACATCTTTTGGACTTGTTGCTATTGACAGTATGTTTTCAATTTGCAACGCAAATTCATCGGAAGCTTTTCTGCCAGGGAACCGGATGGCCCTGGGAATTGGTAATTGGTAATGAGTCGTGCAGCCTTTCAGGTCTCGGTTACCATTCTGAATGGAGCCCAACTAATAGTGAATTACCTGATACTGTTGGAAACCTTTGCAACATGAGCCAGACCCCTGGATTTCTTCCCTAGCTTAAAACATGAGTTAAAACAGTGTCTGATTGGCATTTATAAAGAGAATTAGTAGAGAACACTGCATGGGGACAAAGGTGGACAAAGAGAGAGTAAGCTGGGGGTTCTGTCTCTGTGTCTGTGGTTTTTCCCCAGGATAATCCAAGGGAAATTTCCAAGGAATGTCAGACCCAGAGAAGTGGAATTAATGTACACCTCACATTCTTGAAGGGTCAGAAATTCCAGTCTTGGAATTTTTATTTCTTCCTAATCACTCTCCCAGTCCAGAGGATCAAACTACTTTTGCAGCAACTTTCAAGGTGAACTAGATTTTACTACTTATGATTTGTTCGGTGAGCCCACACTAAAAAAAAAAAAGGACAGTTATCATAAGGGCTTTAAAAGCAAACCAAAACAATGAATCTTCTTGGCCAAGAGTCACCAAATGAACTTCTACATTATGATTTGGTCTGCTGCATTTTATTTTTGGTATCTGCAGTCTTCCTAGGGGAACCATCTAACAGAAAAACAGAACTTTTACATCACTTGCTTTCCCTGCCCAATTCAGTTCCATATTTATATCACTACTTTTCCTTTACACTCTTTGGTTTATAGTAGCAATAATTTTCCCTCATATACAGTCCAACGAACAACCAATTAACAAACGCCCAGAGTGGTAAAACATTTTTGGCTGTCTTGCCCAGTTGGTCATTAATTTGGTGAAGGAAGGGCTAACAAACTCATAAAGGGGAACTTGAATTTTAGAAGTCAGTTCAATTTTACATTATTAAAAAGGAAAATGTAGTAAAAATAATAAGAGCTTTGCCAAAACTCTACAGCAAAGTCAATTAGTCTCACAAAGAGCCTAGGAGTCTGCGATATGGACTTGCATTTGGAATCACTTAGCCTATTAGAACAATTCCAAACATCTTCTCTCTGAAACCATATTTCAGTGCTCATGGCTGCAGCTTACTGAGTAAAATTCTTTCCCCTCCTCAATACAACACAATTTAAAGTATTCTTTGTGTCTGCATATTTCAAATATACAAATATGACTTCATGCATCAATATCTTCATGCATATGTCCATCACGATCACAAAAATTTCATACATTAAGTATGGTCTTCTCCAGCATATACTAAAATGCATACTGTATTTTGTGTTGGTATGGTATATACTTTTAAGATGCCTTTAAAAGAAAAACCAATTCCAAAAAGAAAAATTACAACACTGGCATTACAAGTCTGTGGCAAAAATAAATTGCATTTTACTCTGAAGAAAAATCACTTTTATCATTTTTCACCTTATTTCAGGTATAAGGGAATGCTGTTCCTTTAATCAAAAAATTTGGCAATTGATTAAAGACGTGTCATTTGTCCATCATCATCACTATAGGCATTTTGTTCATATAAATATTTTGTTTTGCTCTGATTGAGCAATGGGAAAAGGTTAAAATGCTAAGTGAGATTATCTTCATAGGCAATTCTTGCAAAATAGCGTTTTGCAATCAACTATATGAATTAACTGACAGGTTTTTTAAAAAGAAAAATATATCCTATTTTGTTAAAATCTAACAAATATCCTCCAAACTCCTTAAGTGAAAATTATGTTGTATCTTTTCAGACTAGTGGATCCCAACTCTCAGCCTCTGTAAAAATCCTAAGTGATTGCTATAGGTTTTCCAACGAAGATTCAGTTCTAATTAACTACAATTTTGTCCATATTTTGTTTTCCTACTGCATTGAAAGGATAGCAGGGGGTTAGCGCTGCAGAAAAGAAGATTATTAAAACTTTAATAACCTGAGCCTTTGAACCTTTTCAAATTCTTTACAATTTTCTCACATTTCCAGCCCAGATGCCTGCACGTAGTTATAGGGACAACATGAACTTTTTGTTTACAATTTTATTCACCTTATTTATTACCTCCTTTAAAAAAAAAAAAAACGAAAGAGGAACACACAGAAATGTTTTAGCCCTTCTAAGCAAAATAATTTAGCTATTAAAAAATAAACTTGAAGAATGATTTTCATCCATTTTTAAGTTAAATATTTCCAACAACACAACTGTTTCCTCCCCACTGCTAGAGGTAAATTGTCAGGCAGCCTAGCAACGTGGCCAGCTGAATCACAGCATTCTTTTCAATCAAGCTACAAAGCTCCAAACGACTGAAAAAGAGAGTTCACTTTGGAAACTTGAACTCTTGAGATTGTTACAAAAGAAAGAGACCAAAAAGAAGGCATCCCTTAACATAATTAGCTGCTTGCTGTTTCACCAAAGAGAGGGATATTTGCATACAACAATAGCCAATAGAATTGGCTTTCATAGAATTCAGTGTGGCAGTTGTATTATCCCAACTCCAGATGGTTGTAGCCCCTCAAGAGCAATTATTACCTTTCTTTTAATAACAGAACCCCAGTTATTCAAGCATTTCACAAACATCTTTGTTCTGTGATCGAGTGCTGGCAAATGAAATACAAGCAGATACGTTGAAAAGTACCTTCAGGAAGTCTCCAAAAAGGTGAGCCAGGGCACTTTCTTCTTCCTTTCCTCTTTCAGTCGGATGCAATTTTAGTGTGATGGCTGGAACCTCAGCAGCCATCTTGGACCTTAAGTCCAAGGAACAAAAAGCTAAGGAAGACAGAGCACTGAGCTAGCAGGAGTCTGGGTTCCTGCCCAGCAATGGCAGACTCACTTCCAGAATTATTTTCTATATGAAAGAGAGAGAAACATCTTTATTGTTTGAGCCACTGTTATTTTGGGATGTTGGTTTGCTTAATGTGACAAAATCTAGTCCTAACATGTGCCCTCATTTTGAGGGCTCTCCTTATAGCTATAGGTAGCTGAGAAAGAGAAAACCAGTACTGGCAACCAGGAGCTGTCCTGGTACAATCAGCAATGCACAACGGCATTGTTAAAAGCTGTTCTGGTCTTCACAATTAGGTCTTGATGTTGTCCAGTTGAACATAAACAACTGCACAAAACATCAGCATCAGACAAGGCCACTTTGTGACCATGAGAGTTCCTGACAAAAATAAGATCACTCCGTGCTCGCTTCAGCAATACATATACTAAAATTGGAATGATACAGAGAAGGTTAGCATGGCCTCTGTGCAAGGATGACACAAATTCATGAAACGTTTCTTTTTAAAAAAATAATATTATTCCATATCATGTGTGAACACAGACAAAATATAAACATTGTCCAAGCCACAGAATACCAACTCCCCACCCATCCTAGCTAATACGAGTGACTGCTGATTTAGCAATTAAAGCTCTAACCTGGCTTCCTTCCTCTCACTTTCTAGATAAGATGCCCAATTATAGAATTAATTCCACTTCCTGACAGCATCCAATTCAGACCAAAGTCCCGCTTCCTTGAATCCTTTCCCAAATCACCACACACAGCTTAAATCCTGTAAGTCCTTTTTGACACTCTCCTACAGAGACACTCCACAGTTTCCAATTGTGTGTGTTCTCTCTCATCACAGTGAATAACACCAGTTTGTTCAATTCCACTTGTGTTCCTGGAGGTCTACATGGCATTCATGTTGCTATGCTGTGTCTCTCTACAATGAAAACTAAAAATAAATCTACTCAACATATCAATCTGTAATTCAAATGATCCCACCCAAATGGAAAGCCCCTATTCTTCAACAGACTTCAATCATCAAGAAACCAAAACATTAATTTGTAGTAATCAGATTCATTGAAATTATCCCCTTGTGCTATTTCCATGGCCTGGAAAAGACCCAGTCAGAACCTTCACCTGGTAGCGAGTTTGCAGTAACTACAGCAAGTTCAACTCAATGCTTCTTCAAATAAGAAAAACGTGTAGTAAAATAGACAG